>NC_000002.12:123739618-124364618 GCF_000001405.40 Homo sapiens
TGGATTATTTTTAGGCAAGCAGCATAGGCTATTGCCGAGGTTGATAAATCATATTGCTCAGTAGCACTGGGCAAGATTTGCTGCCTAGCTTACTGACCTCCCAATTGTATCACTTTTTCTGATATCCTGAGTTAGGAGATTTTAAATCTTGCAATCCCAATCTTTTCACTCATTAAGATGTTGCTCATTCAATTTTATATTAACTTTCCACAGTGTTTATATTCCCTGCCAGTTGTATAAACAAAGAGGATGTTTTGGAGACCTTGAGGAGTTTGACATTATTAACAATTTAAAAAATTTCCTGGATCAGACAAATTTGGAAAAAAGGAAGAACAAAGAAATGAATGCTTTTAACATGTTAGCGGTAGTCAGAGCCACAGCCTGTACAAACCAAGGGTTTCAGGGATGGAGACATAGAGTATACGTCTGATCAGAAACAAATTTTCTCACGGTATGATTCTTATAATTATCTAAATAACATACGTGTTTGATGATTTATTCTTATTTGTTTCATGTGTCTCTTACTGGCTTTCCCTCTCCTTCAGCAGCTTGTCTTTTTCTACCACCAACATCAAATCCTAAAAACCTAGACTTTGAACAAATCCAACAAAAGAGTCTCATGTCACTTACTGAAGACATGACAAAATACTAGACTCCTAATACATGTTTCACAAATATTAATTTTGAATTTAAGTAAAGATAGGTAGGAACTAATGGGAAACTGAAAATTATAATAGACTTTTCTTCAATAATGTTATATTAATAGTTAACATCCACATTTTCAAAAAATTTGTATTTCATAACAGATTTTGATGTGCATTACATAATTTTCATCCCCATAACAGCTCTGTGTAGTAGATGCTGCTAATGTTTTTAATTATAATTATTATGCATGGCTAAGGTTAGTGAATTCCTGTGTTGGACCAGTGTTTAGCAGGTCATAAGTTTCAGAGCCAGTCCTCAAACCATATCTTCTAACTCTAAGTCGATATTTTTAAAGAAAAAAGCAGCATAGGTACCTGATAGATGATATTAGATAGACAATCTGAGATGGAAATCTTGCTCACAGAATACTGGCAGTAACTGTATCTGCAGTAATTAATAACTTCTATAAGAAATGCCATTCTATGCCCCTGTTATCATTTACTGGGTTTTGAGTATAAAAGATTTTGACCATAAGAAAATAATAAATACATAAATATTAAAGGACAGTGGTATGAATAAGATAAAGAAATAAACTTTAATATTTTAATCAAAATTTAGAAATTTTATAATTAAGATGGCCATCATTTGTGATGGAATATGAAAATGAGCTTTTTAATGAGATAAATGGCAAGATAGATAACAATATGTATCCAATTTAAAGTGGCAGTAGATTTTGTAAGCTTCTTTGGAAAGTGAAAAACTTATTGTAACAACTTTTTTTTTTCTGTAAATGACAAAGCTACAGAAACATAAAAGAAAGGCAGTATGTAAGTAAAACAAAGTAAAATATTTAGTAGACATAGTCCATTGCCCTCCATGAAATATTTATATGCAGAACAAGCTTTCCTAGTTGACTCTTAAAGGCTTATTTGTAGAGTATACTATTTTTAATGCTCTTATTTCATCTATTACAATTTGGAACTTGCTATACAGGTCAAAATGGCAACATTGTGTGCTTGAGTTTTTCTCTTTATTACCACCTCAAAAGATAATAAACTATGGAGTTTATGATTATTATATCTATCAGTCCTTTACTTAAAAATTTTCCTTGTGGAAAGAAAAAGAATAATCACAGTTATATTTTTGCAAAAATGTGTACATATTTATTTTAAAGCTTATGAAACAATGCTGGCAATATGCATACATGAGACAGCTCTGATCTCTTAAGATGCAATTCTTCCTTGTCTGTTTACTGTTTAAATAGATTTGTTAGTTTCATTTGCAATTTCTAAAACTTGCAGACCCTTCACAGCTATATCTGACACTTCCACATTTAGAGTCTGTAACATGTTAATAATATTTATTCATTCTGGATTAAATAAAAACATGGTAAAATATGATAAATCTTGTTAAAACTTTCTCTATCCATCCCCATGAGGGCACATAACCTCATTTGATGCACTTAATAGTTTATCATTAATATTCTACCTACCCTGAAATAACAACTAGCAGTTATCAAAAAATGATTATTATAAATTGTTAACAAATATTTTATATGTATACTTTATCCTTTTCCACAAATTTTGTAACAAATTCGTCTCCACAAAACAACTCTATAGGAAATAGAAAAAGTATCTCAATTTCCATTTGATACATACAGAAACTGAAGCTAAGAAAAGGAGCCAGGCTTGTGGTAAATCTAATAAAATACATCCTGATATATAATTCAATGTATGGCAATTAGCTTATATACAATCTATTAGAATGGTGAAGGAGGGCCAGGCACTGTGGCTCACACCTGTAATCCCAGCACTTTGGGAGGCCAAGGCAGGTGAATCACCTGAGGTCAGGAGTTCAAGACCAGCCTGCCAAACATGGTGAAACCCTGTCTCTACTAAAAATACAAAAGTTAGCTGGGCGTGCTGGCAGGCACCTGTAATCCCAGCTACTCGGGAGGCTGAGCGAGGAGGATCACTTGAACATGGGAGGCAGAGGTTGCAGTGAGCTGAGATCGTACTATTGCACTCCAGCCTGGGTGACAGAGCAAGACTCCATCTCAAATAATAATAATAATAATAATTGTGAAGGAGGTAGAAGAGAGTGAGGAGGAGAAAAAGAAAAGTACTGATAGTGCCAACACTGGAAAGGATGAAGAAATGATGAAAATTAATTGGAACCGTCGTTTCCTGGTAAGAATGCAAAATGTTACAGCCAATGTAGAAACGGGTGAAGTTTTTTGTAATATTTGACATACATTTACCATATAACTCAACAAACCCACTCTTGGGTATTTACCCAAGAGAAATGGCAGCTTACATTCACACAAAAACCTGTACATGAATGCTTATAGTAACTCTATTCATACTCATACGAAACTAGAAATAACCCACATGCCTTTCAATGGTAAACTGGATTGCATCTATACAATAGAATACTAAGGAATAGAATAAGAATAAGAATGAACTACAGTATTGAGATATACAGCAACTTAGTCGAACCTCAGGGACATTATGATGAATGAGAGTCAGTTTCAAAAGTTACATGCTGTATCCTTTCCGTTATATGATTCTCTCAAAAAGACAATACTAGCGTGATGGAAAAAAGATCAGTATTTTTTTGAAAGTTATGAGTGGAAGACATAACTATTAAGGGATTATCAGAAGGAGTTTTGTAGACCGATGGTACTGTTTTGGTTTGTGATTGTCATGGGGCTACATGAATCTATGAGTGTGTTGAAATTCATCAAAGTCTTACTTTTTTGATTTACAAAAAAGTTTTACTGGAAGGCAATTTGAAAACTAAAATTTAAAAATAAATATTAAAAAAATAAAAGCTACATATAGAAGGTATAGGTCAAAGTAAATTTAAGTGATTTTCCAGTACTATTTGACAGAGTAAATAGCATATATAAGACAAAGAAAAACATTAACGATTTTTGGTTAAATTTGAGATTTAAAAAATGGTAAATGAAGATAATACAATGAAACATCCAGAGTATGGTTTTAAGCACAGCCATGTTCCCTATCTTATGTGACCCCAAGTGTATGTTTTCTGTTTAGATGGCTGTCAAAATAGGTGTTATATCCTCAAAATAGTCTACATTTAAAGGGACTGTCTCTTTACTTTTTTATCAGAATTGACCAGTTTTCAGGGAATTTTATATTGTCATTGATTGGTAGGGTAAAAACTAAAACTAATTTTCTCAAAGATGGTTCAAAATAAGACTGTGGACTGGTGAAAGAAGAATTAAGTTCTGTTCTTATTTCTAGGATTCTGAAATTCACAGCAGTTGCCCATAAATATTGAAGGCAGATTCTTGAATTCCTCAGGGGTTTCAATTCACACTTTTATATTGCTTCTGATTAACATGCTAATGAAGAGTGAACTAATTCAATAGTAATATGTTAACATTCAGAAAGCAAGCTAATAATATTCTGTAGATAAATTCAGATTTCATTTAAGCTGTTTCTTTTCTATCAGATTATTTTGGATCACCAAATTCAGATAGAAGTTGTTTTATTTATGGCTTTTAAATTATAGTTTTTAAACAGAAATAATTAGAGTAAAGAAGATCTGCATAATAGTATTGGGAACTCAGTAACATAGATAATTGAATGAATAGTTTTTCTAATAAATGATAGAAAAAAAGACCTGTGGTTGGGTGTGGTGGCTCACACCTGGGCGGGCAGATTGCTTGAGCCCAGGAGTTCAAGACTAGCCTGGGCAACATAGCAAGGCCCCGTTTCTACAAAAACAAACAAACAACAACAACAACAACAAAAATATATATATATCATTTATATATATATATTTATATCATTATATATCATTTATATATATATATATTTTTGATATATATATATATATATATACATAATCAGCTGGATGTGGTGGTGCACACCTGTAGTCCCAGCTGCTCAGGAGGGTGAGGTGAAACAATCACTTGAGCCCGGGAGGCAGAGTTTGCAGTGAGCCATGATTGTGACACTGCACTGTAGCCTGGGTGACAGAGTGAGACCCTGTCTCAACAACAACAGCAACAACAAATGAAGAAAAATTCTCCCTCAACATCCCCCCTCAAATCTCTTTGGATTTAACAGCTTTATTGAGATATTATATATATATATATATATATATACACACATACATACACACACACACACATATACGTATATGTATACATATACATATATATACACATATACATATATATACACATATACGTATATGTATATGTGTGTGTGTATATATGTATATATATAATTTTCCTATTAAAATTTTAAGTATAAAATTCAATGGATTATAGCATATTTATAGATTTATGCCACCATCACTACAATCTAATTTTAGAACATTTTCATCACTACAAAAGTAGTATCACACCCATTTGCAGTTACTCTCCATTCTCCACTCTGAACCCCACCTTTAGGCAATCACTAAATAACTTTCCATCTCTATAGATTGGTCTATTGTGGACATTTCATAAAAATTGAATCACATAATACATGACCTCTTATGACTAGTTATTTCACTTATTGTCATGTTTTTGAAGTGTATACGTGTTATAAAATGTATCGGTTCTTGTTTATGGCTTAACCATATTCTAGGTCTGAACGTATGACATTTTGTTTATACATTTATTGGTTAACGGACATTTGGGTTGTCTTCACATTTTTTCTATTTTGTTTTTTTTTTTTACTTTTTTTATTTATATTTTTGGAGATGGAGTCTCGCTCTGTCACCCAGGCTGGAGTGCAGTGGCACGATCTCAGCCCACTGCAACCTCTGCCTCCCAGGTTTAAGTGATTTCCCTGCCTCAGCCTCCCAAGTAGCTGGGATTACAGGTGCCTGCCACGACGTCTGGCTAATTTTTGTATTTTTAGTAGAGATGGAGTTTCGCCATGTTGGCCATGCTGGTCAAACTCCTGACCTTGTGATCCGTCTGCCTCAGCCTCCCAAAGTGCTGGGATTACAGTTGTGAGCCACCACGCCCAGCCACATTTTGTCAGTTTTGAATAATGCTATGAAATTCACTCACACATCTTTGTGTGAACCTATGTTTTCACTCTCTTGGTTAGATACCTAGGAGTGAAATTTCTGAGTCTTATTGCAACTCTGTTGAACAGTTTAGAAAAATGTCAAACTATTTCCCAATGTGGATATATCATTTTACATATCCACTAGAAAATGATAAGACTTACAATTTTTCCATATCTTGTCAACACATTATTTTCTATTTATTATTGTAGCCATTTACTGGGTCTAAAGTAGTATCTCATTGTGGTTTTGATTTGTACTTTGTTAGTGACTGATCCTGTTGAAAATCATTTCATGTGCTTATTGGTTGTTTATGTATGGCAATCCTATGACCATTTTAAAATTAGGTGATACATTTTTATATTTTGGGAGTGTAAGTGTTCTTTATATATTCTGGATTTAAATTGCCTATCACATAAATGAATTTTATATATTTTCTCTCGGTCTGTGAATTGAATTTTGACTTCCTCAAT
Organism: Homo sapiens; assembly: GCF_000001405.40. Lineage (NCBI taxonomy): Eukaryota > Metazoa > Chordata > Mammalia > Primates > Hominidae > Homo > Homo sapiens. Next base: position 123,745,774 of record NC_000002.12, read on the forward strand.
GCTGTGCTCCCAAGAGCACAGAAGTTTTTAATTTTGATAATCAAAAAACAACTTCAGATGGATGCAGAAAGTGTACACTACCAGGGCCATGTAAATAATAGCATTTATTGCTAGTTCATATTATGTTGAATCACAAAAACAAATGTCTCATCTTTAACATGAATTATACACTGACTTAAAGTAGTGCACCTTCACACAATGTCGGATTGCTGCTGATAAGGAAATGGTAGTGATAACATTTTAGTCTTCCTTTCTGGTAGTTGTAGTTTGTGCTTATAAGGCTCTGAGTTTATCTTACTGTGATTCTTGAAATAGGAGATGGCTAGGAAAGATATAAAAATATTGACAACTCTTCAAGGACTCCAGTTCTGCCTTTCTGAAGCACAAGATAAGATTGCACTTCCACATTCTTTCCAAGTTTTGCCCATGTAATGTCAGCAGAAGGACAACAGTATTTCAACACTAATTGTTGACAAGGATCACCATTTCCCTCTCTTTTTTCCATGGAGACAGGCAATGTTCCAGAGAGGGACTGCCCCAGGATCCTGGGTTGTAGAATAAAGACAGCATAGAACAGAGAACCCTGGTTATTTTCAGAGGGTGTGGTACATGAATACGAAATCACCCTCTGTTGTTTCAAAAAACTAAAATGCCCTGGCTGTTTGTTTCTGCAGCATAACCCAGCTTCCTTAACATGACAATCACAAGGTTTTCTAAGTATATGTGTCCTATGGTCACAGATCATATATTTCTTAAAATTAAATAGATATTTTATCTATATTTTGCATGTAACATACTGTATTATTATAGATTATAGTAGTTTGGCAGTTACTAAAATCCATAATCCTTAGTTGGGATCTACAACCATTTCTGTCTGAATTCAAAGCTTCTACTCATCCCACAAAATTCTGCTTTCTGAACTTGTAAGCACTTGTGAAAAATATTGGAATACTCAGAATTGGAAATTTAAATAGTACTAAGTTTGGTTTTACCTTCTGTTACCTCCTAAAATAACACTTCTGTACAAAATTTATAATTAATTTGAATCCACAGATTTACAAAATTGAATTTTACAATCAATAGTATAGTCACGACCCTCTATCCAGAAAACAAAAAAAACAAGAAAATGAAATAAAAATTATTTGTTGTCTCTTTCTTGGAGAGAAAAATATATTTACATTTATTAGAAAAAAGTCTTATTTTAGTTGTCCCTTATAAAAATATAGATTTATTTATAAAATCTGTATACATTGAACAAGTAATATAATAATCATAGTCTACTATCACCTACCATTTCAGAGACTTGACGTTATGAAAGTCTGTGCAGCTCTGGCTCCCTGCATCAAAGGATATATATTTGAAAACCACTTCTACACAGAAACTGTTGGACAGAACTTAGCAAAGTAAATTTTACAAAATCGCATATTGGACTTCTGAATGCAAGCCTTCTTTTTTTTTTTTTTTTTTTGGCACCTCACTTTTTGTGTTTGTAAAGCTCTTCTGTAGCTCCCTTATTTCCGTTTATTTGCTAACACCTTACTTCCCTAACTAGTGAGGGGACAAGCAACATCACTGACACAGTCGTCAGTGTATCCTGCAAAGAACATAGATCAGTAACTGGCATCACATACATAATAAAGATAAGCTTTGGTATAATGCATTTTCATTTTTGAATGGCAACTGATATATTGTGGAAAGAATATAGACTTAGTAATCAGGAAGAACTGGGTTTGAAAACCGGCCCTGCCACATATTGATGTGTCACTGTAGGGAGAGTTGTGTAAGCCTGTTTCTTAATCTGTAAAATGGGGATACTAGCATTTGGTATAATAGGCTGTTTTGAGGATTAAAACAAATGATGTTTTAAAGTGGCCAGCACATCTGCCATTCAGTAATTGGGATTTTACATTTTACAAATGAAAGAACAAAGCTCAGAGAAGTAAAGGTCATGCAACTTGTTATTGCAAAGTCAGGAGACTTAATTTCTAATCTTCTTTACAAGATTATGTCTTGTTGTTCAATTCATATAACCCTGCAGCCTTTCCTCAAGGGAAAGTCAATCTCTTTTGCCCTGCAAATTCAAGTTTATGCATAGTCTGACCTACAGAACCCTTATTTTAAGACGTCAGTTAGATAACACATTATGTTACATGATTTAATTAATATCTTAGGTCCAAGAATTTGTAGTTTGAATTATGCTTCATTGTCATAACGCGATCATATGATCCAAATATGGCCCATATGGTTTAAGACATGGAGCTTTTAAGAGTGAAAGATGATGAAACAAATACTAAACCAGTTAAAATACCTGGACAAGAGCAAAACTGAACTGTCCCAAGGAAGCTAGGACATATAATTATCCTATTTACAGGATAATTATAATAAAATCGAAGTGACAGCCTTAGAAATAGGTGAATTACCTCAACTTTAAGTAAGTCCAATTATATCTAATTTGAGTGGAAAATGAGAAAAAGAGACATTAATGAGTTATTAACCAGTAGTTAAGATCATTATTATGGTATTTGTGAAACTTCCCAGCTAAAGTATCTGAAAATACTGCCAACTATCGCAATACAAGAACAATGTTTGTGTCAACTGCTCAGAAACAAATAGGCAAGCTCTTTACTCACATTGTACAAATGAAGCCTGCAATGTATTTTAAACATACAGAGATGTATTTTCTGACATCAGCATCTGAGAAGAGTGCATGTGTGAGTTGGGGAGACCTCCTTGTTTTTAACAGATTAGCAAAACTTCATCTTAGTCCCCGATTTCCTTCAAGTTTCCAAAGCTTACAATGGGTTTATAAAATGACTGCATTTCTCATTATTTCTTTATAGTTAAAAGAAAAGCACACCTATGCTTGTTAATGTTTGGTCTTTACAAGGCATATGTGCTTCTGTGCTCAATAGCATGCCCAGATTTGCATTGAGGATGAGTTTTCTGGACCTTTTCTAGTAACGTATGTAGTTATTATTGACTTTGTGATGGTCAGAAAAACAAAAACAAAAATACTTTAATCTAAAATAATTATCATCTCAAAATTATATTAACAAGTTTAATTAATGAACAGAGGCATAGCCACCATTGTGCATTACATATAATTTTATGGATAATAAATGGATAGAGTATTTCTCTGCGTCACCTCCATGATGAGGACTATCTGAAATCTGCCTTATTCACTGTTGCCAAGACCTGAATCTTAAGAAACATTCATATATTTGTTGAATGTGAAAACAATGAACAAATGAAAGTTTGGAATGGTTTTAGTGGCAAATTATTTCCCTTTCTTGCAGATAGAACTTGGACAGGCAGCTGCTTAAGGGTCAGGCGTTACCTGTGGTTCACTTTTCTGACAATCTACTAAACAAGTTTTTCTTCTCTTCTTATCAATGCATCCTGTGCCAGTACAAACCTATTTCTTGGGTCCTTGGGCATAATGTACTACAGTTGACACTCATCAGTTAAGCAAAAATATTAATATTATATACTGGGTAGAATGCTCAAATATTAGTGTTATGCATACGTTAAATATTATAAACTCAGTATTATAATCTCCATTTCACACATGATCATACTGCGACTCAGAAATATTAAGTGACCTGCTAAGGTCATGTGTAAAGTTATAATATGCAGAAATTGTGTTTATCTCATTCAAAGTTTATGCTCTTTTCACAAGGTCACTTTGTTTTCACTAGGAAAAAGCAAGTCTTCGATTGGGGTGCTGGAAGCTTTGAAAAGTTACTGTTAAATTGAAGCAACTAAAACATCTAGAGATTGATGGATCTTCCCACCTGATCCTCACCTTGTTAATGAAAGCACAGAATTTGGAAAGTCTAAACAAGGTTATTGGAAAAATACAATACACACATATCTAATTTTGGAAAGTAAACTTTATAACTCTTTTGTAGTCAGGCATCGTCAATGTGTTTATAGCCTCAGCAGCCTCAACAGCTACAATAATTTTAAGTATTATTTTTACCCTGCAGAAAAGTCAATTCATTTTCAACAATGTTTCAGTGAAATTAAGTGGCAGATTACTTTTTAATTAATCAGAGTTTTTTGTTAATGTTTCTGTTTTATAATGTTGAATACATTTCTAAGGGAGCCACTGTGTCACACATACACACACACACACACACACACACACACACACACACACACACACACACACACAGAGAGAATAAGAAAGAAATAGAATGGTTCCACTCTGATATTCTGGAGCTCTAGTTTCTTGCTGAGCTTGGAAGTATTACTTTTCAACATCTTAACGTTCTTTTGGTTTCTGCAAAGATCTATATTCTTTATTTGTTAAGTGCCTAAGAACATTTGTTTATTTAAAGGGAGTCTTAAAGGATTAGATATGAAATGTTTGCCTGGTTTAGAGAAACATGGATCTTTTCAAATAAGTAGATATGCCACCAGCAAAAAACATATTGAAAAATAAAATGTTCACTGTGTCCAGTATTTTTTTAGTAACTCTATATTTATTTATAGAATTTGACTTTCTAATCATTGTCAGTGTACCTGTTTTATGGCAGGCAAGGGCACCCAGAGGGAGAATTCATTTTAATCAAATTTAACATTTCAGGAATAGCCATGTAAACAAAACAGCCAGCCCGTTACATTGTAGACATTGGGTAGACAGATGATTACACTGCTAAGCTGTTTTACCTTGAAACTAACTCTCAGTGGTTGAAATGTTGATTTATTTCCTACAAACTGCATTGTTTTTCACTGTAGAATAATTCTCAAGAATCTAGAAACTTTGGAATAAAATCTGAATACTTTAAAAAATTATTTTTACATTATTGATTGACCTATACCATTTGTCCAACAATGGACTTTACAATAAAATTTCAAGTAAGACCTAAACATATCAATGCAAATAAAAATAAAATGGTATTAAAATAAAGAGGGTAAAGACAATAAATATACATATTCACATACATACACGTGGGTTTATGAGATCAAAAAAGAAACCCAGTGGGTTATACTGGTCTATAGTAAAGTATAGATTGGTTTGATCAGGAACCTGCAAATGAAATCCCCCTCAATCTTTTCTACTTCAACCTCATTTTGAAATAATTGGCACCAGACACCTATCTTATGGACATACTTACAATTCCTTAATTTAATTTTTTTTTGCTTGTTTGCTCATATAGGTCCTGCTTCTATATCTTTCGGCTTGTCCTGAAACTTCACATCACCTAGTTATAAATAGCCAAAATTCCTCTATGATTTTCTGTTTCACCTAGGGTAATAAATATAGGCATGTATAAACAAGATATGAGACATATGGAATTAAGAGCAGAAAAAAAGGGCAATCTTTTCAGTAAATGGTGTTGGAATCATTAGGTATAATATAAAACAAATAAAAATTGATTCCTACCCCATATCATTCCCCAAATCAATTTTAGGTAGACTGTAGGTCTAAATTTAAAAAGCAAAACAACAAAATTCTTTTAAACAAGACCACAAAAAGCATGAATCATAGGAAAAAGCAGACAGCCTTCAATGAATGAATGGATGAAGATAGTCAATTTTGAATGGATTGACTATCATGAAGGGCAAAACATGATAACACTTAAATGTTAATTAATTTAGTTATGTGTTTCCAGTACCAGATATAAAGCTGAGACTGTGACTTTTGTGTTAGATGTTGTTGCTGTGGTTACATCTCCAATAAGCTTTCCTGAAAGGGCAAAGGGAAGAAACTTACTGAATGCCTGAGAGGGCAATTATATAAGAGAGTTGTATATTGGAAGTGAGGCCATAAGCAGGGGGAGGCAGCCAAATCACTAAACATGGGAAAAAAGGACCCAAATCTTACTTACTACCTATGTTCTGCTCTGCTGCATTCTACTCTGCTGCCCCTCCAACTGGTTAAACCCAACCAGAAGTTAAACAGCATGGGAGCTTTTGCTGTATTCCATAGAAATCAGTTTCTCAAGACAAAGAGCAGCATGATCAAAGATAGAGAGTGGATCTAGAACAATACAGGAGTGTAAAGTGACAAGAATAGCCAATACATTCATGAAGAAGATTGAGGAGGAAGAATTTGTTCTATCAAATATAAATATTTCTCATAAGGCTACACTAATTAAGGCAAAATGGCATTGGCACAAGTTAGACAACTAGGCCAATGAAACAGAATAAAGAGACTAGAAACAGACCTATACCTAAGTAGACACATAACGATGTAGATGCCTTTGCAGAACAGTAAAAATAGCAATCAAAGGAGAGACAGAGAAAAGAAAGGAAAAGAAAAAAGATACTGAGGCAACCAGATTTGTATGGGCGAAATATGAAACTTAGACTGACCTCACATATTCCCCAAATTTAATTTGAGGTGGATTGTAGAACCACCTATAAAAGGCAAAACAATAACAATTTCTAAAATAGGATACAAAAAGTATGGATCATAACTTATGAGAATCTAGATATTACTTTTACATCAAATTTAAGAAATCCTGTCTATTCAAAAAGACCGTGATGTGAAGTTCAATACATACGTCAGAAAGACTATAAAGACAAAGTTTATATACAAAATGTATAAAGCATGTCTATACATCAAGAAAAAAATATAATGAAATATGGTCAATATACTTAAAAAGGTATTTTACAAAAGTGGATATTGAAGTTTACAAGTAATGTATGAAAAAAGTACTTAATTAGGAGCAAGGACAATTCATCCATATGAACAGAAGGGAATATAGATTTTATAGTTCCAGATTCATATTGGTGTCTATATGTAGGGAAGAGGTATCATGGTTACCTTCTTATTGCTTCTATTTTCTCACTGAAATAAGGAATAAGGTCAATGACTAATAGTGAAGATACTGAGAGGAGGTTCTGGGGGACTGAAAAGAAAGCAATAATTAAATAATCATCTGAAAGGCTGGAAACTATAGGAGATCAGGACAATGGAGTCAGAATGAAGAGACCACTTGAGGGTAGTTAGCGTGAGCTTAAGATAAAATCATTTAGAATCACCATGAGTTTTTCTTCAGATCCATTCAGATGATCATGTGGAACACTAAGATTTGAACTAGATTTAACCAGAATTGAAATTCTGTGACTGGAAGAAGACTAGACAGGAGCTAACATTGTAGGAAAGAGACTGTGATAGCTGACCATAAGATTTAAACTATTAAGAAGGGAAGTGGGGGAGATGAAGTGGGGCTAGGTTGTGAAGAACAGTGAAACCACCAAGAATCTGCACAGTGTTAGTTGGAGAAAGTCCCAGCCATCCAGGAGTTAGAATCTTCGTGAACCTCGATATTTAAATAAATGTGGAGTACTGACTGGCAGAGTCTCCTGTCAATTCAAAACTGAGTGTTTTTTTTTGTTTGTTTGTTTGGTTTTGTTTTGTTTTTTAGAAGAAAAGGGGGTAGACTGATTTAGATTCAGTGTGAATATTAAGAAGGGCACCTGCTCTTTCACTAGGCCAGTGGTAGAAGAAGTAAGAGAGAGAGAACGGTGAAGTTTTGCGAGGGCTAAAGGAGATGTGGTGTCTTCAAGAGAAGGAAGTATGAAGGAGAGCAAGAAGATGAAGGAATATTTAAAGAAGTGAATGAAGAAATACAAATGCACTGTTTCTACTCTCTGGAAAGAACTCTATCACAAAAGGCTAAGTGAGAGTGACTTAGGGAAGTTAACAGTGAGATGACAGGTGGTGGTCAGATTCAGGATAGATTTTTAAGGCAAAGCCAAAAGGATTTTCTCGCACATTGAAAGTGGCCTATGAATAAAAGAGAATAATCACAGATGACTCTGTATACTTGAGCCAGAGATCTGAATTATTATTGTCTTTAACTGAGATAGGGCAGGCTGGGGGAAGGAGAGTATATCGAGAGAAATAGCAGTTGAAATTTGAGTATATTAATTTTTAGGTTCCTATTAAACAAAGGGCTGGTGAGATGAAAAATAGATGGACAAGGTCAAAAAAGCAGTTGATAGGATCAGCATATACCCAGAGTGTATTTTTACCTTACTTTTAATGTGAAATATACTTACCAAAAAGTACATAAAATATATATGTAAATTTAAACAGATATCCATAAAGCAAACACCAATTTACATCTGGATAAAGAAACAGAACATTGCCAGAACCCTGGAATCTCCTCACCCAATATGCCTTTCTCTAATCATAAACCTCTCCCTCAAATCCAACCGAGGAAATTACAATCCTGAAATAAAATGTGGTACTAAGTTTTTTGTTTGCTTCATGTTTGTATCTGTAAATGCATTCCTAAACAATACAAGTTCGTTTTGCTTGCTTTTGAGATGTACTTAAACGGAATCACTATGTGTAGGCAATTTCAACTTGCTCCTTTTGCTCAACATTAGTTTGTGGACCTTACCCATGCTGTTGTGTATTGCTTTAGTTCATTATTTTCCTCTATGTGCTATTTCACAATTTATTATATATATACTCATTGTGGATAGACATTTGGCAGATGATATATATGACTTTTTATGTTGATTTTACAAGCAATGTTTCCAAAAACATTATTTTATGAGTATTTTGCTGACCATATATTTAGTTATTATGAGGCTTAAAATTTGGAATTACTGAGTCACAATGTTGCGGGACTTTTCCTTAGTTCAGCTAAAGGCAGGGTCCTTGTCACAGGGCCACCAAAATGTAAGCTCGCAGATGATTTGAAGGGTGATCTAGGGCAGGGTTTTATTGGGTGAGAAAGAAGAAAAGGGGAAACAGAGACTCTTAGAGAAGCAAGAAAGTGTGCTTCCTGCGCATGGGCTTCCGGCCTCACAGATTGAATTCCAGATTCCACCCAGGAAGAGAAGGGGCCAGGTTCCTCCAGGCTGAGAACAGAGTGAACTTCTGTGGCTCCACCCCAGTGTGCACTCCTGTCAATGCACAGGTCATTTGGAGGCTCTGCCAGGGACCCCTTCCCACCTGACTGTCTCAGTAAGTCAAGAGATTATCTTCAAGATCACTAAGCAATCAAATTTCATTCTCTCTTTTTTTTTTACTAGCTTGCACTCCCAATAGTGTACGAGAATTTCCTTTGCTATGAAAATTTAATTATTGCAAATTTGGTGTATCTTATTGTGGTTTTATTTTACTTCCTTTGGGACAGATATTCTTTGAAGCTAATGAAGTTTGAGTTTCCATGCTCAATGGAAATGCTTCATGTTGATGACCATCACTGTTATGTATGGATTAGGTGATTGCTAGCAGTCTATGTGTAAGAAATGACTTTCAGGAATATTTTGTACTGATTTACCTACCCCATGCCACATCATGTAGACGCTGGGTCATCATGAGGACACTGGGTCAAAGGTTTTACCACGTGCATGTACTAAACAGCTGACAGTAGGAGTTACATGTGTTTTAAAGGATATAAAGAATAATTTCAGAAAAATAAGTTAACTGAAGATTAAAAACAGAAATAATAGAATGTTGAATATAAACAAAACAATAAAATAATGAATATGGGTGTTCAAATCAATATGTATATATTTTTCTGATATCAAAAAGCACATTGTAACACCAATTTTTGTACAGATTATACCAAAAGTGATGATTCATTAAGAGATAGCTTTGAGACCATCTTTAATTTAACCAGTACATTCAAATAAATAAAAGAGTTGAATTCTCAGTAGAAGTAATAAATAAGTCTTTTGGTTACTTGATTAAATAATTAATAAAAATATTGAATCACATAAACATTGAGAAAAAATAACTACCTTGCTAATTTGACTTGGAATATTGACATTAGAAAATATTTTATAGTACGCTACCCTGAGGGCATCAATTAGCAACTGGTAGAAGAAAATGTTCCTTAGCAAGTGCATTTAAGATCTCGTTCTAGATCCCTGAGGAATCGCCACACTGTCTTCCACAATGGTTGAACTAGTTTACAGTCCCACCAACAGTGTAAAAGTGTTCCTATTTCTCCACATCCTCTCCAGCACCTGTCGTTTCCTGACTTTTTATTTTTTTATTTTTTATTTTTTTATTATACTTTAAGTTTTAGGGTACATGTGCACATTGTGCAGGTTAGTTACATATGTATACATGTGCCATGCTGGTGCGCTGCACCCACTAACTCGTCATCTAGCATTAGGTATATCTCCTGATGCTATCCCTCCCCCCTCCCCCCACCCCACCACAGTCCCCAGAGTGTGATATTCCCCTTCCTGTGTCCATATGATCTCATTGTTCAATTCCCACCTATGAGTGAGAATATGCAGTGTTTGGTTTTTTGTTCTTGCGATAGTTTACTGAGAATGATGTTTCCAATTTAGGGATCTAGAACTAGAAATACCATTTGACCCAGCCATCCCATTACTGGGTATATACCCAAAGGATTATAGATCATGCTGCTATAAAGACACATGCACACGTATGTTTATTGTGGCACTATTCACAATAGCAAAGACTTGGAACCAACCCAAATGTCCAACAATGATAGACTGGATTAAGAAAATGTGGCACACATACACCATGGAATACTATGCAGCCATAAAAAATGGTGAGTTCATGTCCTTTGTAGGGACATAGATGAAGCTAGAAACCGTCATTCTCAGCAAACTATCGCAAGGACAAAAAACCAAACACCGCATGTTCTCACTCATAGGTGGGAATTGAACAATGAGAACACTTGGACACAGGAAGGGGAACATCACACACCGGGGCCTGTTGTGGGGTTGGGGGAGTGGGGAGGGATAGCATTAGGAGATATACCTAATGTAAAGGACGAGTTAATGGGTGCAGCACACCAACATGGCACATGTATGCATATGTAACAAACCTGCACATTGTGCACATGTACCCTAAAACTTAAAGTATAATAAAAAAATATATATATTAAAAAAAAAGATCTCGTTAAGCCTTATAGCTGATGTATCAAACAAACTTAATAGAGATCTCTCAATTGGGACATAATATTATCAATAACAATTATGAAACTGAAAGAAACGTTTTCAAATTATCAACTAAAATGCTTATCAATAATGCCACAGAAAACATAGAATCATCTTTATAACCTACAGAAAAATATTTCAAAATCCATGTCATATGAAGAGTCGATCAAAAGCATGTAGCCAAAACATGTAGAAAAAAATAGTATACAATTTGTGTGTCAGGCAGTTGGTTCATAAAAACACACATACACTGTATTGGTACAAGACTGGGTAATTTATAAAGGAAAGAGGTTTAATTGACTCACAGTTCCACATGGATGGGTAGGCCTCAGGAAACTGACAATCATGGCAGAAGGGAAAGGTACTTCTTACATGGTGGCATGTGAGAGAGAAAGGGCATGGAAAATTGCCTTATAAAACCATCAGATCTTGAGAACTGACTCACTGTCATGAGAACAGCATGGGGGAAACCGCTCCCATGATCCAGTCACCCCCCACCAAGTCCCTCCTTCAACACCTAGAGATTAAAATTCAAAATGAGATTTGAGTGGTGACAAAAATCTTAAGCATATCATGTATGTATTTTTTCTGGTTTTGAATATAATTTATGACATTTATCATCTTTTTGAAATTGTGCCTAATTTCTTATGCAGAAGTTTATTTTTTACAGATTCTATAAAATATAATTCAGTCTCCTAAAATTCTAACGATTTTCCTTTCTACATAATTCCTCATTTACTGTGTTTGGCCTCCTTTCAATACAGCCATTGGCCATTTTTACCTCTTGCTTTCGAAATGTTGTACATGTCCTTTGCCCACTTTCTCTATTAAAATATCTGTCTTATTCTTATTGATTTCTTTGTATTATTCATATAATGAATTCTAGTCTGTCATTATATCAATATGCATACATACATATATATTTATATACATATGTAGACTATTGTGAATTGACTACTTTTTACTCTAGGATGTTCTTGGATAAAATTAACTTTTTAGTTTTGATGTGGCTGAATTTATTATCACTTGTGATAACTTACTGCTTTTGTTTTTCTTTAAAGAAATTATTCCCTATGTAATAGTGATGAAGATATTCTCCTATATTCCCTTTTTATTTTATAGCTTTTTTGTCACCATACCTCTACAGTCTGCCTGGACTTGAGTTTTGTGTATTGGTATGAACTTCAGATCCTATTTAACAGACAAATAAGCACAGACAAATACCTATCAATATTAATAGAAAAGCTTCTCTGTCCTTTTCTTAGTAACTGCCAGTGCCATATATCTCATTAACAAAGTTCTCATTAATTATGTGGTTCCATGTAAGCTCTTTTCTTGTGCCATTAGTATTTTTTTAAATATCCGAACCAATGGCAAATCATCTCAAATACTATAGTTTTAACACAATTCTTGTAATCTAGGATGACACATAACCTGTTTATTCTACATCTTCAAATGTGTCTGGGTTGTATCCCTTTGCACTTTGACATAAACCTGACTTGACAAGTTATTGTAATTATACTGAATCTATAAATAAATCTTAGGAGAGCTAACACTCACCATATTGAGTCCTGTAATCGATGAATTCGTAAGTCCTTTTTGTTTGTTTGTTTTTGTTTTGTTTGTTTGTTTTTAGAGATGGAGCCTCACTCTGTATCCCAGGCTGGAGTGCAGTGGCGCAATCTCGGCTCACTGCAAGCTCCACCTCCCTGATTCAAGCAATTCTCCTGTCTCAGCCTCCAGAGTAGCTGGGATTACAGGTGCATGCCACCACACCCCGCTATTTTTTTTTTTTTTTTTTTTTTTTGTATTTTTAATAGAGACAGGGTTTCACCATGTTGGCCAGACTGGTCACGAACTCCTGACCTCGGGCAATCCGCCCACCTCGGCCTCCCAAAGTGCTGGGATTACAGGCATGAACCACCATGCCTAGCCGAATTTGTAAATCTTTTTATTTATTATATTTTAGATAACCTATAATGCCTCAATAGGGTTTCATTCATTTTATTTTAATTACATTCATATTTTCAATACAAGGCAATACATTGCATATCTTATATTAGAGTGAATTTAGGTACATGATATTTCAGATGCTATTGTAGATGACATCTTCTTTTAAAAATTTGTTTGATAAGCTCAATTAGAAATGAAAATGGAAACATTACAACTAACACCACAGAAATACAAAAGATCATTCGAGACTACTATGAATACCTCTACACACACAAACTAGAAAATCTAAAGGAAATGAACAAATTTATTTTAGATGGAGTATTGCTCTGTCACCCAGGCTGGCGTGCAGTGGCGCGATCTCGGCTCACTGCAAGCTCTGCCTCCTGGGTTCAAGTGATTCTCCCGCCTCAGCCTCCCGAGTAGCTAGGACCACAGGCGCCCGCCATCACGCCCAGCTAATTTTTTGTGTTTTTAGTAGCCACAGCGTTTCACCGTGTTAGCTAGGATGGTCTCGATCTCCTGACCTCGTGATCCGCCTGCCTCGGCCTCCCAAAGTGCTGGGATTACAGGCGTGAGCCACCGTGCCCGGCCAGGAAATGAACAAATTTCATACAACCTTCCTTGCTTGAATCAGGAAGAAACAGAAATCCTAAACACACCAATAACAAGCATGAAGATTGAATAAGTAATTTTTTTTTTAAAACTGCCAACACAAAAAGCCCAGGGCGAGGTAGATTTACAACCAAATTCTACCAGACATTGAAAGAATAATGGGTATCAATCCTACTGAAACTATTCTAAAGGATTGAGAAGGAGGGAATTCTCCCTAACTCATTCTATGAAGTCATTATCATCCTGATACCAAAACCAAGAAAGGGCATAACAAAAAAGAAAACTTCGGGCAATACCCCTGATGAATGTTAAGTTTTAATCATAGATTTAGCCTTTTCTTGAATATTTCTTTCTGTATGTTTAGTATATCTTCTATTTGGGATTGCATTCCTTCTTCTTCTTCTTTTTTTTTTTAATTGTTATTTGACCCAGCAATCCCATTACTGGGTATGTACCCAAAGGATTATAAATCATGCTGCTATAAAGACACATGTACACATATGTTTATTGTGGCACTATTTACAATAGCAAAGACTTGGAACCAACCCAAATGTCCAATAATGATAGACTGGATTAAGAAAATGTGGCACATATACACCATGGAATACTATGCAGCCATAAAAAATGATGAGTTCATGTCCTTTGTAGGGCATTCCTTCTTCTTAAAGTGCTTTCTTGAAATTTTCTTTTAATAAAGTTATTCTGTTATCAAATTCTTTAGTTTTATTGGCTAGAAATTGTCTTTAACTTGTTATTTCTCAAAAGACTGTTTTCCCTGGGTGTAAAATTCTACACTGGAAGTCCCCGTAAGATAATAAAAATATTTTTCTATTATTTTCCAGCTTCTATGAATATTGCTATTCTATCATTACATGAAAGTGAACGTGTCTTTTTATCTCTGGCTCCTATTAAGATTTTCTTTGTCATTATTGTTCTGCTGTCTCCCCAGTTAGATGTGCCTCATTTTCATCAAGTATTTTCAGTATTGCTTCTGACCCAATCTCGGTCTCCTCCAATCATTTAATCGCTTCTTCCTCCATGTTTTTTCTCCCATCTTTCTATTGTCCTTCCTGAATTCTGGAAGATTGTTTTGATTTATCATCACGGATTCTTTCTTAAGTGTTCTTTAGCTACTAGTCAACCCATACATTATGTTTTTAATATTGGCTATTGCAATTTTTAGAGCACATATTTGATTCTTCTTTCAAATCTATTTGGTAACATTTTATAGTTTCTTGGTCTTTGCAGAAATATTCAAGCGAATTTCTTAAACTAAATTTACATCCTGTGGATTTTTTGTAATTTTTGTTGTTGCTTATTTGTTTTATTTCCTTTAGTTTTAGGCATATGATCAGGTTTTAGCTGTAGCACCTCAGGACAGCCGTGCAATTCTGAGCCACAATATTTATTCTTCCTGTTCTTTGTGATGTGGTAGATGGAAATTTTAGATCTGGTTTATCGTCACCCTTACATTACAGTTCCTTTGTGCCTTTAGCCTAATGTGAGAAGGATTTTTTACTGACTAAAAGTGTTTAACTTGTGATTCCTGCTAGCTTTGTGGCCATCAAAAGCAAAATTTCCATATGTTCAGGGAAATATTTTGAGTATGTAAAAAGGATATTTAATGATTATAGAAAAGTTATCTCTAGAGAAACTGTAAAATGTTGTTCGAAATTTCTGACTATGTAATGAGAATATTTACTGGTTATATAAAAGTTACCCTTTAAACATTTCTGTTAAATTTACAATTAACAGTGATTTTTTTTGGTGGGGGTGGATGGCTGGCTGTTGTGGTACACCTTTATCATAATGCTAATATGTAATTTTCTAATTAATGTTCTATATATTCTACAAGTTTGTTTTTTATTTTCTGTTTGCTTAAATTACTTAGATTGCTAAACCTTTCCAAATAGTTTGGAGTTTCCCCATTAATACTCCACCAATTACATATACACTAATAATCCAAATAATACATTATTATGCTCATATAAGAAAGAATAAGATCTGAAAGTTTCCATTTGAAATTACCTTTGTGATATTAAGATGCAAATATAATAAATTCTGTCATAGTATTACTTTTAAAGCAATTTCTAGTTGTAAGTCATGTCAGGTTATTTGTATAAAACCTTCTAGTAAAAAACAATAAAAATTCTGAATAAAATATATTTTAAAATTTTTTACTTAAAATATTAAACCATTAAAGATAATCTAAATAATCTGCCCACAGTCCAATGAAAAGCTAGAATGTAGACAGAGTATTCTGAGTAGACACGTTGATTTGCTTATATGATGTTTATTGATATGATATATAAAAAATCAAGGAGACCCAGGCAACTCTTTTGAATGGAATTGGGCTGATTCATCTCTGGTTTGTGGAACAAGAACTAGGTTAAGTCTCAGCCACTGTAACTGCTGCCTCTGTCTTCGCTTCACCGCAGAGGCAAGACAAAGGTCCGGACTGCGGCGTTGCTCACCTGTTGGCCTTCTGGAGAGTCACATCACACGAGAAAATTAAACCTGCCAGAATTAGCAAGAGCTTTCGTTAAGAAGAAATTTGTCGGCCAGGCACGGTGGCTCACGCCTGTAATCCCAGCACTTTGGGAGGCCAAGGTGGGCGGATCACGAGGTCAGGAGATTGAGACCATCCTGGCTAAAACAGTGAAACCCCATCTCTACTAAAAATACAAAAAATTAGGTGGGCGTGGTGGCGGGCGCCTGTAGTCCCAGCTACTCGGGAGGCTGAGGCAGGAGAATGGCGTGAACCCGGGAGGCGGAGCTTGCAGTGAGCCGAGATGGCGCCACTGCACTCCAGCCTGGGCGACAGAGCAAGACTCCGTCTCAAAAAAAAAAAAAAAAAAAAAAGAAGAAATTTGTCAACCAAGAAATTGAAGCTGAATGCCTTAATAATTGTAGTTACTGACCAGAAGTATAGGAAGACTTCTTAGACTCGGAGAAGATATGCCTGGACTGGGTCGTGGCCACCTACAGATGCTCCTGCAGTGGAAACAGCAGAAAAAGTCTATATTTCTTCCCTGGCACTGTTAAAAATGTTAAAGCACGGAGATGCTGGAGTTCCAATGGAAGTTACGGGTCTGAAGCTTGGAGAATTTGTTGATTATTATACCATCAGAGTGATTGACATGTTGGCTATGCCATAGGTGTCAGTGTGGAGGCATTTGATCTAATGTTCCAAGCTAAAACGTGAATATATTGAATCAGACAGGAAAGCCTGAGATGGTTACTGGTTGTCATCACAGTCACTTGGCTTGGTTGCTGGGGTTTCTGGGGTGGATATCAGTACTCAGCCGAGTTTTGAAGGCTTGTCAGAGGGAGCTTTGACGGTGGTTGTGGATTCCATTCGGAGTGTAAAAGGGAAGGTTGTTAGTGATGCCTTCAGGTTAATCAATGCTAATATGATGGTCTTGGTACATGAACCAAGACTAACAACTTCAAATATGAGTCACTTAAACAAGCCATCTATCCAGGCAATAATTGATGGATGAAACAGACATTATTACTCTATTACTGTTAACTATCAGAAAAATAAACTGGAATAGAAGATGTTGCTAAATTTGCATAAGAAGAGTTGAATGGAAGGTTTGACACTTCAGGATTACAATGAACATTATAAATGCAATGATTTAGTATTAAAATAGATGCTGGAATTGGCCAAGAATTACAAAAAGGCTGTAGATGAAGAAGATGAGATGACACCTAAACAGCTGGCAATAGGGTGTTGGCTAGCAGAACACTAATGTCACTTGGAGGAACAAGTGGATTTAGTCATGACTTCAAATATTGTTTAGCAACTATGTTGAATACTGTTGTATTTAAGTGAAGCAACAAAAGATTTATTAGTGATGATTTCAGTAGACATTTCTCTGTTGTTCCTAATGCTCAAAGTTAAGGGATGTATTTGGTTAAATGTAAGACATTTGGCATCATTTGTAGCACTGTAACCTTCAGTCTCACCTATGCAATTACTTTTGTTTCTTTAGTTAGGGTCTTTGCAGGTTCTAAAGTTATACAATAATTCATAAAAGTGGACACATTTTGTTAATATCCCATTTAATATTTGAAAAAATCAGTAGTACAATATATTTTGATTGTTGCTTACAAAATAAAATACATTTACAATTTGAAAAATAAAGTCAGTTGGTAGTAGATGTGTGGATTTATTTCTGGGCTATTTTGTTCTGTTGATCTATGAGTCTGTTTCTATATCGATACCATGCTGTTTGGTTACCATAGCTTTGTAGTATATTTTGAAATCAGGTAGTGCAATGCTTCAAGCTTTGTTTTTGTATGTTTGTCTTTTTAAAAAAAAACAACAACACAAGATTATTTTGATTATTCAGGGTCTTTTTTAGTTCCATATGCATTTTAAGAGTTTAAAAAATATATTTCTGTGAGGAATGTCATTAGTAGTTGATAGACATGGTATTGAACATACAAATCACTTTGGCTGGTATGGACATTTTAACAATATTAATACTTC
This sequence comes from Homo sapiens, assembly GCF_000001405.40. Taxonomy (NCBI): domain Eukaryota; kingdom Metazoa; phylum Chordata; class Mammalia; order Primates; family Hominidae; genus Homo; species Homo sapiens. Next base: position 123,763,736 of record NC_000002.12, read on the forward strand.
TAATTCATAAACAAAGTATTTTTTTACTATTCGTTTCCTCTTCGGTTTCTTTTATCAGTGTTCTACAGTTTTCATGTAGAGATCTTTCACTTCCTTGGTTAAATTTATTTCTAGGTATCTTTTTTCTTTTGTAACTATTGGATTTTTTTTCATTTTTTTTCTAGATTGATCACTGTTAGTTTATAAAAATTCTACTGATGTTGTGTGTTGATTTGTATCCTGCAATTTCACTGAATAAGTTTATTAGCTAAGAAATTTTTGTGGAGTCTTTGGGTGCTTCTAAATATAAGATTATATCATCTGCAAAAAAAAAAAAAAGAGAGAGAATAATTTGACTTATTCCTTTCCAGCTTGGATGCCCTTTATTTCTTCCTCTGGCCTAATTTTTCTGTCTACGACTTCTGGTATTGTGTTGAATAGAGTTGATGAAAGTGGACATCCTTGTCTTGTTTCAGACCTTAGGGGAAAGGCTTACAAATTTTTACCATTTCATATAATATGACCTGAGGTTTTCTCATATATGATCTTTATTGTGTTGAGGTACATAGTTTCTATACCTAATTTGTTGAGAGCTTTTGTTATGAAAGAATGTTGAATTTTGAAAAGTGCTTCCTCCGCTTCTATTGACATGATCATAAGTTTTTATCCTTCATTCTGTTAATGTGATGTATCACATTTGTTAATTTGCATATGTTAAGCCGACCTTACATTTCTGGAATAAATCTCACTTGATAATAAGCGAATGATCTTTTTAATGTGTTGTTGAATTCATTTTACTCATATTTATTTTGAGAATTTTTGCATTTATGTTTTCTTTTCTTCTTGTATCCTTGTCTAATTTTGATAGCATTGTAATGTTGGACTTGGTGGTTTCTTCAGATCTGCATTTTCTATTTTTTCATAAGTCCATCATGGTAGGTTGTATGTGTCCAGGAATTTATCCATTTCTTTTAGGGTTTCCAATTTTTCAGACAGTAATTGTTCATAATATTCTATTATGATTTTTTGTATTTCTGTGGTAAGAGTTTTAATGTTACCTTTTTCTTCCTTGATTTCATTTGAGTCATTTCTGTTTTTTTCGTCTTCTAACTAAAGGTTTTTTCCATTTTGTTTATTTTTTTAAACTAACTCTTGTTAATATTTTGTACTGCTTTTTAGTCTCGATTTCATTTATTTGTTCTCTGATCTTTACAGTTTCTTTTCTTTTATTAATTTTGTATTTAATCTGCTTTTATTTTTGTATTTCCTTGAGTAATGATGCTAAATATTTTATTTGTGATCTTTCTACTTTTTTGATATAGGTGTTTATTGCTATACCTTTCCTCTTACAACTATTTTGCTGTACTCTATAAGTTTGGTTGGTATATTGTATTTTCATCTGTGTTTGTCTCAAGAAACTTGAATTTCTCTTTTAATTTCTTTATTGAACCATGGGTTTTCAGTAGAATGTTGTTTAATTTCTATGTATTGTAAAATTTCTGAAGTTTCTTCTGTTATTGATTTCTAATTTTATACCATTGAGGTCAGAAAATACTTGATGTAATCTTTATCTCCTTGACTCTGTAAAGACTTTTTTTTGGCTTAGTATATAATCTATCCTGGATAATGTACTATGTTAGCTGAGAAGAATGTGTATTCTACAGCTGTTGGATAGATTGTTCTGTAAATGTCAATTAGGCCCATTTGGTGCAGAGGGCAGTTTAAGTTTGATGTTTCTTTGTTGATTTCCTGTCTAGATGATCTGTCCATTGTTGAAAATGGGGTGTTGAAATCCCCTATTATCATTATATTGAGGTTCATCACTCCCTTTAAATCTAATAACATTTTCTTTATATAGTTGGCTGTTCTGGTGTTGTGTGGATATCTATTTACAAATGTTATATTATCTTGCTGAATAAATCCACTTATCTTTATGCAGTGAGTTTCTTTGTCTCTTTTTACAGTTTTTGACCCAAAATATATTTTATTTCATATAAATCTAGCTACTGCTGCTCACTTTTGGTCTTTATTTTCACGGAATATCTTTTCCATCTCTTCACTTTCAGTCTGTGCAGTGCTTACCAGTGAAGTGATTCTCTTGTAGAGAGAATATACTATATATAATTGTAGAGAGAATATACTACATGTGCTTCTTGTACATATAGGCAGCATATAATTGGGTTTCAGGGCTTGGTTTTTTTTACCCATCCAGCCAGTTTACATCTTTTGACTGGATAATTTAATCCACTTACATTTAAGGTTATTATTGATAGGTAAGGACTTACTACTGCCATTTTGCTAATTGTTTCCTGGGATTTTTTAAATAGATCTTTTGGTATTTTCTTCCTCTCTAATTGTTTATTATTGTTTAGCTTTGTGGTTTGGTATTTTTCCGTGTTGCTAAACTTTTATTCCTTTCTCTTTCTCATCATTGTATATGCTGCAATTTCTTTCTTTGTAGTTACTGACAAGCTAACATAAAGAAACCTGTAGTTATAATAGACTTATGTAATCCAATAATAACTTAATTTTGGTTAAATGAAAATGTTTTAGACTTTTATCCTGCCCTCATAATTTATATTTGTTATTCTAAATTTACATCTTTATGTATAGTGTGTTTCTTAGCAACTGATTGTAGCTCTAATCATTTTTGACCATTCTGACTTGTAACCTCTATGGTAGAGGTTTGAAAGATTTACATAGCATGATTATGGTACTGAAGTATCCTGTTTGATTATAAGTTTAGCTCTACTAGTGGGTTTTTTACTTTCACATGTTTTCATTACAGGAATTATCATCCTGAGAATTAGCTGCTGATAAGTATTCTTACAGCCTAAAAAATATTCTGATAGTCTAATATTCTTATAGTCTTTTCTTATATGTGACTTGACACTTTTGCTACTTTAAGAATTCTTTCCTTGTCTTTGACTTTTGACTGTTTGCTTATAATGTGTCTTTGTGACCTTTGTGAGTTGTATGTATTCATGGATCTTTGAGCATCCTTGATCTGGATGCTCATATCTCACCCAACAATTGTCTCTTCAACAAGACCTTTATCAAATATATGATTAACAAATATTTTCTCCCATTTTTTAGATTTTGTTACAAAAAAAAAATCCTGCAGGCCAAACAGGTCCTCAGTCCACTTTGGGTAGCTGGCTGAAGCAGCTTTTGTAGGCAGAGAAGTTTTTGTTTGTTTGTTTGTTTGTTTGTTTGTTTGTTTTCTGTAGATGAATCCCAGGGTGTCTGTTGGGTATGGCACATGACTTTGGCTTTGGTGAATGTAGCAGTGTAACCTACATGCCGTTTCTTCACCTATAATACACAACAGCAATGTCTGTGAATGCCTCATTGGCCTAGATTACAGGAGTTAATTGTGTCTGTGGCATAGTCTTATTGGGTATAAGGTGCCAGTTTGGTTCTCAAGCTGGAGGTGTACGTGCATGGCAGTTCAGATGGCTCTAGAGTGGGCTTGGTGCAGACCACTGGGCTAGTTCTCCAGCTGGGGTTGCACATGCATGGCAGTTCATTTGGCTGAGGGGCAGGCTTGCCAGAGATAGAGTTACTGGGCTGATTTTCAGGATGGGGATGCTTGCTCATTTTGGTTCAGCCAGCCCAGGGTTGGCCTCAACACTGTGAAGAACCACTTGTTCCTGTGGACATAGTATTGTGTGGGCTCAGGCACCAGAGTGACAGACATTTATCTGAGCTTAGGCTCCAAGAAGTCAGTGTCATGGCACTGCAACCACCTGTGTGAGCATGATGAAATAATGGTGAGCACTCAGGGATGAAGAGACACAATGGCAACTGGCCCCCAGAGCAGGGAGCCCTCTAACAGTGACTCTGGTTTCAAGATGATACCATGATGTAGCTGCTTTCTTCCACAAAGGGTAGTGGGGTGCATAATGTGGGCTTTACTCTGGAGCAATGCATCCATGTCAACTTCAGGCAGCTCCCCAAAGTGGACTGAGGGCCTGTGAGTTCTGCAAGATATTTTTGTAACAAAATCTAAAAGTGAGGGAAAATATTTGTTAATCATATATTTAATAAAGTCTTACTGAATGTTTTTGTCCCCTTAAATTCCATATGTTAAAATGTTAAAGTCTGAATCTCTGATCCCAATAGTATTTGGAAGTAGGACCTTTGGGAGTTAATCAGGTTTAGATGAAGTCAGGTGAAACTCTGTTGGTGAGATCAGCACCCTTACAAGAAAAGAAATAAATCAGAGCCCTCTGTCTCTTTATCATGTAAGGACAGAGCAAGAAAGTTACTGTCTGTAATCAAAGGGGACCCTCACCAGATACCAAATCTGCCAGCACTTTGATCTTGGACCTTCCAATACTGGAAGTGAGAAAAATATTTGTTATTTAAGCTGACGAGTGTGTGGTATTTTGTTACAGCAGCCTAACAGGCTAAGGTAGTTCTAGTATCCAGAATACATAAAGAACTCTTACAACCTAATATAAAAAGGACAAATAATAATTGACAACGACTTGAATACACGTTTCCAAATGCAAATAGCCCAAATGTACATAAAAAGATGACAAATATCATTAGTGTATTTTCCTTTCTTCCTTCTTTTTCTCTTTTCTTCATTCCTCCCTGCCTTCTTTCCTTCCGTTTATCTTCCTTTTCTTTCTTCCCTCCCTTTCTTCTTTCTTTCCTGTCTTTCTTCCCTCCTTTTTTCCTTCTCTTCTTTCCTCCCTTTCTTCTCCTCTGTTCTCTTTCTCTTTTTTCCTCTTTTTCTTCCTTCCTTCCTTCTTTCCTTCCTTTTTCCTTTATTTCTTCCTTCTTTCCTTTCTTTCTTCCTTTTCCTTTTTTTCCTTCCTTCCTGACTTCTCTCCATCTCTTTCCTTCTTTCTTTCGTTAATATTTTCTTTGTTTTTGGTGGGAATTGAGTCTTTTTTTTTTTTTTTTTTTTTTTTTTGCTCTTTCATAAGTCAGACCTTATGAAAGTGTAGTCTCCAGGACAAGAGAATCACACAGAGCTTAAATTCATGGACCAAAATCTAGGGATTACCAGGAAAGAAGGTAGAACTGCAGTTGGGATGCATGTAGAGAAAGATGAGGGTGAGTCGTTGATCAAAGCCAGCAAATAAAAGTGAAAGTTTAAAGCGCAATCACTTTCTGAGACTTTAATGAAATGACAAGGATGTAATCCTTGAGTTCATTGAATTGAATTAAAAATCCAATAGTCAAGTTTCATACTGCAGGCAAATCATGCATATAATGTTTATATATTTGTTTAACATCTCTCCAGGGTCTATGATATGAGATCTGACTTCTGTGAGGCCAGGTGCAAAAACTGGTAAAAGTCATACAGTTCACCAAAACATGGAAAAGAGCCATTAAAAAAGTGTAATTACCTTATATTGTCCACAATATTATCTTTACTTATACATCATTGTTCAAGAAGGAAAGAGGACTAAGGGAGTTCCACAAGCAGCTGTGGAAAGGAAGCAATTTAGTCATAATGTATTTTGTTGTTATCAGCTGACGTCATCCAAAATAAATAAATAAATCAAAACTATAATTTTTGAAATTACATTTATCCAAACTGATTCTTAAAGAAAAATAATTCAATATTTCTCCAAAGTCTGCCAACTGTTACCAACTTGTTCATTTTTGTTTCAAAACTAAATTAGATAAGCTTTGTAATAAAAAGGTTTTTGTTTGTTTTGAAACGGAATTTCATTCTCTCGCCCAGGCTGGAGTGCAGTGACACAATCTTGGCTCCTGCAACCTCCACCTCCCGGGTTCAAGCGATTCTCCTGCCTCAGCCTCCTGAGTAGCTGGATTACAGGCACCCGCCACCACGTCTGGCTAATTTGTGTATTTTTAGTAGAGATAGGGTTTCACCACGGTGGCCAGGCTGGTCTCGAACTCCTGACCTCAGGTGATCTGCCCACCTTGGCCTCCCAAAGTGCTCAGATAACAGGCGTGAGCCATCACGCCTGGCCTTAATGAAAAGTTTTAAACTTATATTTCTGCATGTATCAGTTTCATAAATGGAATGGCAGTTGTTGACTACCCTTCATAAAATATGAGGAAATTAGCACATTTACAATTCTTCCCACTTGTTCTACCCCCACACCTCCTGGTTTTATGGGCGTCAAATGAGATTTTTTTGCCTAAAGCATTAATTGTTAAACTATTTTTATGTCTTATGACTATTATTTTAAGAACTGTAACATTTACACTGTGTATTATATGACAGTTGTACAAACTTGATTTCATTTTTAAATGAAAAAATGTTGTCTGTAAATTCTTTCATATGCAAATTTCTAAGTTTTCTTTGAACGGAATTTATTTTTTAATCACAACTTGAAGTGCATATTTGCTAGTTTAGTTTTGTTTTCCTCAGGACAAATCAGTTTTAATAAAGAAATTAGTTTTTTTTTCATAGCTGAGGTGTCTTTGCCTTGAATTTGCATGTCTACGACAGCTTACCTATATATTGATATCTAAATTCAACACAGATTTCTTTTCAAAGTCAAAGACTATATTCTAGCTTATTCTGGAATATGAATATGATGTTGTTGAGTAGAAGTTTGAGAGTATCCTAATTTTTTTTTACTTTAATATTTTGGTTCATTATTACATGTTTGTAGGATTTTTTTTAACTGTGCTTAAAATTAAATACTCAACAACATAACCCCATGCCTGTTAACCTCCATCTATCTTGGGGACGTACTAGACTATGTTTATCTACAAATCCCTTTAGCATAGAAATTTGTTTCTCTAATTTCATTTTATAAAATTACCCTTTTTGTAATCATGTTCTCTGTTTGAGAAGCTCCAAGTTTATAAATTGTTTGTCTTCCTTGGAGCACTTCACTACTTTCAATGCCATATACTTTTTTTGGTCTACATTTTTAAATTTTAACTTTTATCTATTGATTCATTGAATTAATATTTCAATTGTTTTCCTTTAGAGAGTAAAATAGTTTCTGCTTAGAATTATGTGATTTTCTAGAGCTGATTTTTTTTCTAACTATATTCGTCTCTAAAAATTCACTTAGTATTTTTTTCCTTTTCTTTTCAAAAAGGATTTTCAAGGTCTTATGGTTTATTGGTTTACATTATTTGTTTATCTTTGAGTAGAAACATTTCTATTCAAGTCTCCTTTTTTTCTCTGAAAAGATTCTTCTTGGTTCTTTTGTTTACCATTGCATCGTGTCAATAATTCCTTTGGAAACACAACTATAGTACAAGGCCATGAATTTCTAAATTATATAGGGCAATGCTGTCAGGTACAACAAATAAAGCCCAACATTTCAACAGATCAAACAGAAGTTTGTTTCCTGCTAACATAACAATCCAATGTGGGCCTTCCTGGTCACAGGAACCTGAGGGACCTAGACTCCTTCCATCTTATAGCCATCCTGTTCCCAAAGGCTGTATAGTTTATTCATCCTTTATTCAGATGGATAAAAAGAGGAAGTAGAGATTCAGCTGCTGCTAAAAATGCCCTGTCCTAGAGTGACACTCATTAAATTCCTTAACACTTTATTGACAAAATTAGTCCCAAAATGACACCTAGAAATGAGGGTGGGGTAGGGGGCTGGTAAGTGTGATGTCTGCCTGGGCAACTTCTTTACATGTATTTCTCTATGTAATAGGAGAGAGACAGCACATGTTGATGAACAGCTACCATTTTGTCATATTCTGTCCCTCTGACAGAATTATCAGTGAAGATCCTTCTCACATGTAATACCTATTTAACCCTCTCTAAGGAAGACAACTCAAAGCCCCATCTAGTCACAACATCCAGCTCTGGGTGTAGGCTGTCTGGGTGATGTGCAGTCTTCCCCTTCAGTTCTGTGTGTGGTTGTTTGTGGTCTTGACAAGTCACTCCTCCACCACAGTGGTAGAAAGAAGACAAAGTAAGTGCAATGAAAGTTCCCATTCAGAAAAGGGAAGCATAGGAAACATAAGCATCACGTATCCAGCATAACACCTGCTGGACAGGTGACATGAAGAGCCTTTGTCCTGGCAATGCTGAGCGATGGGAGATCCTTGTTTAGATGCTGGCTCTGCTTCCTGGGAACAACTACCTTGTCCAGGGCTCTCCATATGGCCTCTGCCTTGCCTTCATGGATATGCTGCCTTGTTTCTTCCCCAGCCATCTCTGTGGTGGCCCCTAGGAAATATGCATTTATTGGACAATATACTGCTCGCTCCTTATGCCAGCTAGTAAGGAATTGTTCCTCAGTTGACTCCTGCCCTTCTATTTCCTGTCTATGATACTGATCTTGGAACTACACAAACCAAATTTCTGTTTTGCCAGCTGAGCCCTTGTTATTCTCTGCCAATAACGACACTAAAGATAAGTTGTTAGGAAAAAGGAGAGAGAAGAGACTTCCTCTTTACTGTCTGCATGCCACACTAATGATTTTTCACCACAGCTACAGTAGTTCCTTCCTATATGACAGCTGAATATAGTTTGGGCTTTGTCTAATACTTGAAGAATTAGCTAAGTTGCACATCCCTCAGAGGCACAAGCACCAGCTGAGCAGCTCCTCAGGGTCACAGGTCTGAGTTTTATTGCTCAATAAATCCCCTTCACAAAACTTCTGAGATTAAAAAAATTCAAACTCTTTCCTTTGCTTCTCTATCTCTAGTGATAGTAGCTGCTCCCTGAAGTGACTATCTGAGATATCTTGGTCCTAATCTCTTTTAAATCCTTTAAGTTAGCCAGTTAACAACTTTATACTTGATTAGTCATTCTTTATATATTCTCTAGTAAAATAACTCCTGTGATTTTCATTTCTTGCCTGGGCCCTACCTAATATAGACAATTTGTGCCAGAAGAGGTAGTAGGAAAAACAACCTCTACAATGGAGTTTGGAAACATAGGTTGGGTTCCATTCCTGTATTTATACACAACGTTGACTCTTTAATAAAGTTTTATGGTATTCTGCTAATCCATGGAATATCATAGCACTATGATTAACCAAACTTTCATCTGTGTTTGAATGCAATAAAGTCTAACTAGAGAAGGTAACTTGGGTAATCAAGGGGCTGCTACTATTGACTCATGGCAGTTGTGATGAATGAAACGCTGGTGCAGGGTCAGTTCTCATAATTACTCTGGAGCATCTTCAGAAAGGGAATAACAAGCTCAGGTCACTAACCTGCTGGCTCAAGTCACAGAGAACCAGAGTTCTTCTAAGAAAACCCTACACATGACCTTATTTCTTGTGGCCACAGACATAATTTTGCTGAAAATCAAAACCAAAATTGAATTGTGTGGGTTATAGAATCATGATGTATCCTGAATTCACAGCCTCACCAACCTTTCATGTAGAAGTTAGAGCATTCCTAAAACTTGGAATAGGATCATCTGGTTGGATTCACGTGAAGCAAGGAATCTTGGAATCTAAGTCATTCAGTTTTCCTTGCATATAGAGAGAGCATTCCCCTTTCAAGGCTGAGAAGATTAGCCCTCCTGTTCTTGACCATCCTGTAATAAATTTACATAGGCCAGTTGCTTTATATTTAGATATTAATTTTCCAGAAGATACCACCTTAACAACAGTTTATTGCCACTGGACCAACAACAAGGGTCAGATGTAAGGATATTCCAGGGGTCAAGTACAAACTCTGATCTAGTAGGAGGCAATGTATACACCTAAAGTATTGCAAGCCATTATTAACTTAAATGAGAAGAAACCCAAGGAATATGTATGCAATGCATTCAAAGGGTGTTAGATGGAGGAGACAGACCGCAACAGGTTACGGTCAGTTGATAGAATAATAATGCCAGCAGCTAGGAATTATGTCTATTTTATTGACGTGAATGCACTTACTAAGGACTCTGGAAATGGCTCAAACATTTTAGTTGGTTAATTGATTGAAACTTATACTTAAAAATGACTGATAGTTAATGCAGTTACAATGTCAGAACTTCCTTTGCAAAACATAGAAAAAGAAAACAAACAGCTATTGGAGACAGAAACGTTGGAAGGTATTGATCACATGCATCCTCTACTTCATTCCCCAAGACAGCCCAGAGACCACTCCATTCACTAAAGCACTGAAAAATCCTTTAGTGAAGGGACAATCAATGTTCTTGGAAAGCTCTGTAGTGTTGTCTTGTCTTGGCCTGGGGTTACTATGTCAAAGGGCACTAGTAAACTTATCAATTTCAATGGGAATGACAAGATCTCAGAGTAGCAGGTCCCAATTGACAGTGTTTAGCTATTAAAGACATGGCCAATGCATTTATCTTAATGGTTAGCAGAGATGAAGTAGTTGTCAGAATGTTTTGAAGAGCAGAGTGACCGGCAGTAGCTACTTTTATGACAGCAATCCCAGGAATTAGATAGATGAGTATTTCCCGATATAACAGGAGAATTCCAGTCTGGTGTCCAGAAATGTGGATTGAGTCACACAACAGAGAATCACACTTTCTCACCCTATTTTCAAACTTAAGCTACTTTGCAGATCAGAGCCTCTTGATTATAGAGAGGCCAATTCCCTTCTCTTTTTATCTGTGTCATTGTAAATCAACCTCCAATCCTTTGTCTAAGGAGCCTGTGGCCAATTACTTGAGTGACCATGCCTAAGGAAAAAGAACTATGTAGATCTTCTGGAGATTGCTGGACAATGGTTCTATGTCACTACTCCCTGGGTACTGGAACCTGGCTATTGTGATCCACAAATTACAATGGAGCTTATGATAGAATTTTAACCCAAGTTTAAATAAAACAAGTATAGTAGGTCTGCAGATCCCTTCTGTGGTTCTTTCCCCAGTTTCTGAATGCATACCTAGAGTACTCATTCTTAAAAAAAAAAAAAAAGGCAGAATGCCCACATTAAATCATAGGATTTTTACACTGGGAACATGTTCTCTCCAACAATCTATTTCTGTCAGGAGCAATGTAGGCGTTTGATCTAGTTGCTTCCAATCTATTCAAAGTCCGAGGAACCAAGGTGAAAATTACAACTTAGACCTAAGCTAAGGTCTTAACCCTTTTTTTTTCCTCCCCTACCCCATAGGCCTTAACGAATAGGTCACATAGGTTATGTAAAAGAAATAGGCCATAATGAGAAGGGAACACTCTTAATCTGACTTGCTATTTACATTATAGCAGGAAAATATTTTACTAAATATTTTACCCTTTTATTAAAACAGGCTTCCAAATTTAACATCTGTGATACTTTTCTCCTTGCTGGAGGAGAGGGTATGAGGAGCTTTGACTGGGGCATAGGCCCCTACCACCTGGGTATCCTGGCTATTCTTTCAATGCCTGGGTCAAGAGCTGGTAAAAGTGTGGTATCTAAAAGATGGAGAATGCTGTGGCCTACAGAAACCTAGAACTGGGGGCTATTCAGTGGAGAAAGTATGCCCTATAGCGGCCAAGTACGTGAGTTACTCTAGAGCAATGAAGTGAAAGCCCTTCTCTCCTTCAATGTTTCTCTTGTACTTTCTACTCAGAGGATTGACATTGGACCACTGGTAGGAAAAATATTTTCAGGACCTAGCTTTATCATGACAAAAAAAGCCAAAAATATTGAATTTATAGTTGAGAGACAATGAGTTGATAACTGGCATAGCTGGTATTAACACATCACTTCTGTTCATACAACACAGGCAAAAAAACTAGTCACATGGCAACATTTAGACAGGAAGATACCAGGAAAATATAGTTCCTGGGTGGGCAGCCATTTCTCAGCAAATGCAATGCATGAAATCCAAAGTTGGGATTTTGATGGCAGCAACCACCTCTACAATTCACGCTATCCATCTTCTCATCAGTTTTTGTGGGAGTCGAGAAAAATCTGAGATTTAGAAATCTTTATCTACATTCATTTTTTTAAATTATTTTTTATTTTACTTTAAATTCTGGAATACATGTGCAGAATGTGCAGGTTTGTTACATAGGTATACATGTGCCATGGTGGTTTGCTGCACCTATCATCCCGTCACCTAGGTTTTAAGCCCCGCATGTATTAGGCATTTGTCCTAATGCTCTCCATCCTCTTGCCCTCCCACACCCTGACAAGCCCCTGTGTCCATGTGTTCTCATTGTTCAACTCCCACTTATGAGTGAGAATATGTGGTGTTTGGCTTTCTGTTCTTGTGTTAGTTTGCTGAGAATGATGACTTCCAGCTTCATCCATGTCCCTGCAAAGGACATGACTTCATTCTTTTTTATGGCTGCATAGTATTCCATGGTGTATATGTGTCACATTTTCTTTATCCAGTCTGTCATTGATGGGCACTTGGGTTGGTTCCAAGTCTTTGCTATTGTAAATAGTGCTGCAGTAAACATACATGTGCATGTGTATATATACATACATGTACATGTGCATGTAGAATGATATATAATCCTTTGGGTATATACCCAGTAATGAAATTGCTGGGTCAAATGGTATTTCTGGTTCTAGATCCTTGAGGAATTACCACACTGTCGTCCACCATGGTTGAACAAGTATTTGTTAAATTAACTGTGGGTCAGCTTTGAAAATATTAAGAGTATCCAAAACCCACTGGTATTGATTTCCTATTTTTGTATGACACAGTTATATTAATGAGAAGTTGAGTCAGGGAAAAATAAGATAATCCCTGGCTTTTCTGCTTTAAGTATAGCATACACTCTCTGCATGTAGTAAACTTTGTTTCTCTCACATTAAGATTGTAAAAATAGTACCCACTAAATTATTTTCTGGCTCTATAAGTGCTCCCCATTGACACTAGATTTCCATTATACATTATCCTTTACTCCAGCTCTTATACTTCCAAACGTGGGATATTAGTTATTTCTCTGAAATCCCTATTTTTCTTCTTGTGTAATATACTGCTTATTAAGAAGAGGAATTGTTTTCCTGATAAAATTTTTGGTTTTATTTATTCCTTATGTTTGATCACTTATTCAGATTCTTAGGCATGTATTGTTTTTAAATTAAGTTTTATCATTGCCACAAATTATTTACTTACTTTCAATTAAATTAATTTGATAAAAAATTATTATAGAAGATACATGTATTAATTGTTGTTAAATTTGTATGAAGATGAAAAATAATACTCAAAGATCTCATAATTCAGAAGTTTCTACCATTAATGTTGATAGGCATGTCTTTATAGTTCTTTTTCCTGTTTAAATTTAACGTGTTTTAATTTATACTAAAAATTAAATGTATTCATTTAAAATGGCTGTGAACACAGTTTGCAATATTTCCGTAGCATTTACTAGTGTTAGTAAAACATGTTTGCAGTAGCTACTCTGCTACTTTTGGGATTTGTGTTGGATCTGATTTTTCCCTATTATGTCTAATATTGTGACAGATATGTCTACAAGCAAAGCAGAAAGCAACGTTCTCCCCAAATTTAAATTATCTAAAAATAAATTTATAAAAGTCAAAAATCAAATTTTTAAATTATGAAATGTTAGCCTTTGTTATATATTTAAAATTGTTTTCTAAAATAGTGTTTCATCTTAGCAATAATTAGATAGATATATTTTTAAATAAACTGGCTCCAGCACAAAAGCATACTTTTAATGTCCACCTGCTTGAAATGACATTGTCAATTTTTTTATATCTTTGTGTCTAATATTATTCAAAACCACCTATTTTAGAATTTTCATCACGTGACATTGCAGTGGTCTATCTCTGAAAGTCTCCATCTGCTCCATCAATATAGAAATAACCTCATATCTGTTCTCTGTATTCTAGCTGCTATTTTCATTTTCTCCCTGAGAAGTAACCAGGAAGATTAAGCTAATACTTTTGACCTTAAGTGTTGCTTGTTTTGTTTCCTCAAATGTAAGCAATTTTTTTTGACATTTGAGATATTTATAATGCCAACACTTTTCACATAAAATCCTATATAAAATTTTTAAAAATTAGCCAAGTGTTGAAAAACAGCAGGATGTGCAATAATAAGATTAAATTTGACTTAAATTTAACCTTAAATTTATTAAATGTTGAGTATCTATTTGGCAGAAATTATCATATTTAAGTTTTAAAAGAATTTTGAAATAGTATCAGGGTAGAGTATATGCTGCTTTGATTGAGATACCCCAATTTAATGGCCCCAGTAGAACACAGCAGTGATCAACCTTATTTCACTACCTCCACAATTGGCTCACATTTCTGTCATTTTCTCACCAGCATCAACTCTTGTAATTATCAGTGATTTTTAGCCAAGAAAACATACTACTTTTTCCACATAATAGTCTCTACTGCATAATACCCTCCCCACAAAAAAACAAGAACAAACTTCTTATAGTTCTGTTAGTTTTTTGTTGGTTTATCTTGGTCTTAGACGTGCAGCTTCTGGAATGATGACCTCACTCACATATCCAAAAGTTGTTGTTGGCTAGTGGCTGATAAGCCTCAGTTTCTCCTCTATGCAGCCTTTCATAATTCAATACATTAGACATGAACATATTAGGACAGCATTTCAAGACATTGAGGACAGAATATGCAAAGCCACTCAAGGGCTAGTCTCAGAACTTTCACAATGTCACTTCTGTTTAATAGTGTTGGTCAAAAGAAGTCACAAAGCCAGCCCACATCTAAGGAGTAGGAAACAGATTCCACCTTTGGATTGGAGGATTAGCAAAGTCAGAATCCAAAGGTTGTGCATAGGAAATTGGGAAGAATTTGTGACCAAATATTGAAATCTACTTTAAACCCTCTCTCACTAGAATTCTTTATATATCTTCATCCTTAAAAATGTACTCATTCTGGCCCAGCACAGTGGCTCATGACTGTAATCTCAGCACTTTGAGAGGCCAAGGGAGGAGGATTGCTTGAGCCCAGGAGTTTGAGACCAGCCTGGGCATCATAGAAAACCTCATCTCTACAGTAAGAATAACTGGATGTGGCAGTGCACACCTGTAGTCCAAGCTACTTAGGAGGCTGAGGTAGGAGAATTTCTTGAGCCCGGGAGCTTGAGGCTACAGTGAGCCATGAGCCATGATCATACCACTGCACTTCAGCCTGGATAACAAAGTGAGATCCTGTTGCCAAAAAAAAAAAAAAAAAAAATACTCCTTCACTCTTAGGACCATGAAAGTTTTACCTAATTATGGCATCATGCTCAAAATTAGGATACCATGATCTGAATCTGACCTATATGTAGATAGACTTCTTGAGTACAACTCCTCTTAATCCAGAGATCTACAAATTAGAAAAACAAGTTATCTATATCATCCCTTCACCCAATACACAACGATGGGACAAGGACAGCATAATCATCAGACACATTAAAAAACAGGAAGAATGGGATCACATAGCAATCACTGATTTGTAGCAATTTTGTAATTCAACCTGGCATACATTGCCAGTTTGCTCAACCTTGACAGCAGGGTATGGTCCTTGATAAACATCTATTTTTTTTTCCCTTGTGAGTCCTTTTTTACTACATTGTAAATGGCTCGGGCTCTGATTTCTTGAAGCTTGGCTCTAGGACTATGATTGAGATTTTCTTCATTCCTTGATAGACATAGCTATAATTGTTTTGGAAACCATCTCTCTACTTTGTTCATGTGTGATGTTGCTGTGGCATGACATTCTATTCTTATAAAACCCTCATTTATTTATTTTTTCTTTTCTTAAGCTGTGAAGTTCTAATGGACTTTTTTTACGTATTCAGAATCTTAAAAAAAAGTTTTCTGCTACTTTTAATTTATTTTTTGTCTCAGGGCCATTTCTCACCTTGGGAATATTTTCTAGATGAGTGGAGATGAGAAATAGCTGTATTTCCAACTCGGTACATTCTAGAACTTCACGGTTTTTTTAATATATCAAAAATACATTAGATTAGAAAATTAAACAGTTTTTAAATAAGTTTATTTATGTTTTATGCATCATTTATGCAGCCAAAACGAACAAATAAACAAAAAAACCTGCCACTTTCAGTAGGTCGTCTGGAAACCTCATTAGCTAGTTTCACACATCAATTAAATTTATATTCTAGCTTCTAAGCTACCACAAAAAACAATTTGCCAATTGTTCTGCCACTATTTTTCACTGGTTGCCCTTTTTCAAGTCTCTAATAACAGTTTTATCACCATTCTTTCAACTTTTACCCACCTCCTGGTCCCAAAGCCAGTGCCACATTTTAGGTTTTTGTTAGGTCAACACTTCATTTACTGACAGCAATTACTGTAACAACACATAAAAAACAGCTCAAAACTCCGTAGCTTAAAACCACAACTACCAGTTGTATCTTCACAGTTTTGCATTCAGTCTTAACTGTGTATTTTACCTCTATACTATTTGGCTCACTCATGCATTTCTAGTGATTGTCTGGAACATGCAAGATGGCCTCATTCAAAAATCTACTGTCTCAGCTGGTATGATTGGCAAGGCTGGGATCTGGCTGGACCTCTCTCTATTTTTTAATTCTTTTATTTTCCAGGGCTTGTCTCTTCATGTGGCCTCTCATCCTTTAGGGGGCTAGTCTGAGCTTTTTTAAATGAAATCTCAGAGCAACCGCAGAACCAAAGCATAAAGTACAATGCCTCTTAAGGCCAAGCATTACAACTTTCACAATGAAACACTTAGATTCTCCTTATCTAAGCAAGTTTTAACATCAGCCATGGTTCAGTGTGGAAGGGAACACACAGGGGATGAATTTAGCGAGGTGTGATTTATTGATGTCAGTTTTGTAACAACCCAGTGCATCACCATAAAACATGGAATATTTAAAAGATTTTTAGGAGGTTGTGCTTGTAATCCCAGCTACTCAGGAGGCAGAGACAGGAGAATCACTTGAACCCAGGACGTGGAGGTTGCCATGAGCCAAGATCACACCACCGCACTCCAGCCTGGGTAACAAGAGCAAAACTCTCTGTCTGAAAAATTATAATAATAATAAAAAATAAAAATAAAAGATTTTTAGGAAGCATATACAGTTTTAAATATCCTTTTAGGGATTATATAAATATAATGCTATTTCCATTACAACCAATTTCCACATCCTCTGGTTGAGAATACTAATCAAGCGATCACTTATAGAGTATTTGTGGAGGAGAATAATATAGTAATTAAGGTCACAAGCTTTAGATAGAGAAGACCTGGATTCAAATTTAGGGTTGGTTATTTCTTTGATGTATGATTTGGGGTATTACTCTTTGACTTTTGAATTCTTATTTGTACTATAGCATGAGAAAGCTAATGATAGAAACCAACCTCGTAGATTAAATGAAAAATATGGAATAGTTTCTGGCATATAATAACCTTCATTAGCTGTACATGTATAATAGTACACATAAAACCAAAGGTAGATAAGAAAGAGCAAAAACATATACAGTTGAATGTTTAAGTATTTTGATAAATGCATTTGCAAGATTCTACGGAAGCTCAGAAATGGGGTGTGCAAACATGATTGAGAAGATAACTCTAAATGAGTAGAAATAGATGAAAAGAGAAGCAGGACTGTGGACTGTAGGAAGAAAACCAAACCCGTGGAACGGAACCACAGTGGAAACTGAGGTGAGAAGTTCATGGTCCGGCAGCAGCAGAGGATAAGGCAAGGGACAAAAGTATATTGTGTTCTAGGGAAGTTCTGGACCTCCCAACTGGAATTTGTGAGAAGTTAGAGACATATTTCATGTAGAGAAATTCTGTGCATAAATTTGTGTTTTAGAAAAACACTCTGTCAGCAAAGTTAGAGGAATTTAAACACCTTCAGAGAGAAAACCTCTACACCTTGTTAACTGGTTGTATAGTTCTGGTTGCAAGTGAGAAGAAAGAGTTGACATTTTAATGTATAAGAAAAGATTTTTATATAGATACTATTCCTTAGTAACATAGCTGCTGCATAAAATAAGGTATATGTGTACACACATGAATATGAAAGAGTTGTCCAAAATGTATTACAGGCCCACAACAATTTATACAAAATTCTGAAATCCATAAAGCTCAGAAAACTAAAAGCTTTTCTTTCTTTTATCTTTATTTTTATTTTTGTATTGGCAATAGAAGTAGCTCACCCTACCTGAACTCATTTATGCTGAAAATTGACTGCAAATGATGTGAAGTATTTATCATCTTAAGTTTTTCCACTTAGGTAACTAATATTTTTTGTGTTTTATTTTTTTGTATAGGAAGGTATACTATAATATATATTATGTATACACTGTATTCCCACTCTTAACTCATATATATGAAATATTTCTGGTCCCAAGAGTTTTGTATTAAAAATTG
Source organism: Homo sapiens (assembly GCF_000001405.40). Taxonomy (NCBI): domain Eukaryota; kingdom Metazoa; phylum Chordata; class Mammalia; order Primates; family Hominidae; genus Homo; species Homo sapiens. The sequence goes on from NC_000002.12 coordinate 123,781,883, forward strand.
CATCTCTGTGTTATTTAATTATATAATTTAAAAACATTATAATCCAAGTCAGAGCAAGGAGTGTAGTCAAAATATCTAAATTCATTTCAAAAAGAGAAAAACTATTATTATTGTTATTATTTATATACACCTTATATCTAGCACCAGATCATCGTTAAATTTCAATTGGGTTGACAACATCAAACTCTGCCTCACCTTGTTATAATCAATTATGACTCTGATGAAGCAGTTTGAATAAACAAGTCTGTTGTGACTGTCATATCTTGTTAAAGGAAGATAAAAACAAGAGAGTTGGGGGAGACCACTGCATATGGTCACGATATTGTAAAACCAAGTGCTAACTGGAAACGAGACCAGCCTACAAGGCTATGCTTGAGCCATCTGTTTACAGTCTGGTGCTCCACAGCTTGCAAGGTTGTTAATCTATCAATTTAAAAGCTACATATGTATTTTTATATCATTTCAAATTGCTAAAAAATGGCATTAATATAGGAAAGTATCTGGAATGATTGTTTGCAGACTCTGACTCCTCTCAAGTACTCAGGGGAATGTACTTAAATTGCTTTCAGTCTATTTTATATTTTTCATAGCACCTAGTACAATGTTATTTACTCAGATAGTTGTCATCAGCAAACCCTTATTGGATATATTAAAGCCCAGAGGCCCTCTTCTACACTTCCTGGGGTCTTTAAAGTTATACATAGACTATAATAATATATAATGTTCCCCTTATTCATCTCTTAGCCATGACCACATGAGCAAACTGCTATCTCATTTTTCTAAGGTGGCTTGAAAGAGAAGGTGTATATGGCTCCCTTTCTGGCTGTTGTATTATGACTTCTCCAATTTCCCTACCACCGTACCGTGTATTGAGTCCTATAACATATGTGATTTTATTCAATTACAAAATGAATAAAATGAATTATTTTATATATCTAGAATGAGTTGTATATATCTTTCACAGACAGGCAAAAATATGAGACAGTAGTTGGATGTTATATTTTCAGATACTGCTCAAATCTGAGAATGTCCTCTGTAACTTTCTCATATGAATGACAACGTGGCTAGGTAGAACATTTCTGGAACATATTATTTTCCTCTCAAAATGCTCAATTGACTTAATTGCTTTCCTGACAGTGATGCTATAGGAAAGTCTCATGTCACTGTTATTTTATTTTTTCTGTAAGGTGCTGCCGTTTTTTTATGTCTCGTGCTAAAAGAATTAATTACTTAACTTTGAAGGTCATGGTTTTCACAAGAATATGTGTGTTTTAGCATTTGCTGTATGTTAGGTCAGACAATATACTCAAGTGATATATTTTTGTTAAAAGTCTTTGTGGTCGAATGATTTGGTAAGTGGAATATACTGTTATCATCCTTGAAGAACCACCAGGCACACTAGCATTTCGAGGCTGAGAAGCCCTGTAGTTGAGAAATCTGGTGAACTGTTCTTCATCCAAAGCTTTCCAAACTTATTTGAATATTCAAACACTTGTTTCCTGTCACTGCTAGCACATCTGTTGGCTAGACACTCCCAAATTTAAAGGCACACATACAAATGTCCACTATATCACTGATTTGCTTTTTAAATTATTCTTTTTTAATCTTTAATGTGTATTGTTTATAATTATGTGGATGCATTTTGGTTTTAAAGCATTCTTTCTTTATATTATCTAGCTTCTTTGTTGTAAATTTCCACTTACCTCTCAATTAACTTTTTACCTCACACTGTTATCCTATCTTATTTCATTTTATAGAATCTATGCTCCATAAATTTGACTGAGATAATAGCAGATGCTGTTTAAAGTTTACTTCTCTTCCCTACAGTGAATCTGTTAAAAAATATGTACTTCTGCCTTTATTATGTTTTGTTTCTATAACATAATAGAAGCTTTCCTTTGGAATAGTATTACTCTTTTTCCTTCCTGTCCTTATCTATTTAAAAGGAGGCAGCTGTAAGATTTAGCATTTATTCTAAAACAAAGTAAAAATAATTGTCCTTGACTTTTCACATTTATGTTTAGATTTTTCTGTTGAATATTGGCTGGACGGTTGATTCACTCTAGACATATACAGTGGGCCAGGGACATGGGGAATTCACAAGGGGAAATTACATTACCTCTGCTAGGCACCAAATCTCATGAGGCTTACCTGCTTTCTTGCTATTTTCACCTTCAGGGTCAGGGAATGACATTCACTTTTTTAAATTAAATTTTTCATTTTTATGGATTTAGAGGTACAAGTGTAGCTGTGTTTCATGTATATATTGTGCAGTGGTAAAATCTGAGCTTTTAGTGTACCCATCATTCAAATAATGTACATCATTCCTAATAGTTGGTATATAATCCCTCACACCATTTGGAGTCTGCAATGTCTACCCTCCCCCCATTTGGAGTCTGCAATGTCTATTCCACTCTGTATGTCCATGTGTACCATTGTTTACCTCCCACTTTTAAGTGAGAACATGTGGTTTTTGATTTTCTGTTTCGGAGTCATTTTACTGAAGATAATGGACTTCAGTTCCACAAATATTGCTGCAAAAACATTATTCCATTCATTTTTATGGCTGAGTAGTAATCTATGGTGTATATATACACATACATATATATACATATATATACACATACATATATATACATATATATACACATACATATATATACATATATATACACATACATATATATACATATATATACACACACGCACACCACAGTTTAAATCAATCATCCATTGATACACAGAGGTTGATTTCATGATTTTTGTTACTCTGAATACTGCTGCAATAAACATGAGTACAGGTGACATTTTTTGATATTTATTTATTTTCTTTTGAGTAGATACCCAGTAATGGAATTGCTGGATCAAAAGGTAGTTTTATTTTTAGTTTTTTGAGACATTTCCATACTGTTTTCCGTAGAATTTGCACTAATATACATTCCCATCAGTGAATAAGCATTTCCTTTTTCCACATCCTCACCAACATCTGATGGTTTTTGACTTTTTAATGATAGCCATTCTAATCTATATAAGATGGTATCTCATTATAGTTTTAATTTGCATTTCTGTGATGATTGGTGATGTTTAGCATTTTTTCATATCTTTGCTGTCTTCTTGTATGTCTTCTTTTGAAAAATGTTTCTTTATATTCTTTGCTCACTTTTCAATAGAGTTATTTGCTTTTCTTCTGTTGAGTTGTTTAAGTTCCTTTAGATTTTGAATCATAACTTTTTCAGATGAATTGTTTTCAAAAATTTTCTTTCATTCTGTTGGTTGTCTGTTTACTCTGTTCATTATTCCCTTTGCAGTTCAGGCATCTATTAGTTTACCTAAGTCCCATTTGCCTCTTTCTGGGTTTTTTTTTTTTTTTTTTTTTTTTTTTTTTTTTTTTTTGCGTTTCTTTTTGTGGACTTAGTTATAAATTATTTGCCTAGAACAATGTCCAGAAGAATTTTCCTAGGATTTCCTCTAGGATTTTTGTAGACCTATAGAAGACCTTTCAGGTCTTGCATTTAAGTCTTTAATTTACCTTAATTTTTATATATGGTGAGACATATGGCTCCATTTGCATTCTTTTGCATATGGCTCTCCAATTATCCCAGCATCATTTATTCAATAGGGTGTTCTTTTCCCAGTGTATATTTTTGCTGACTTTGTCAAACATCAGTTGGTTGTAGGTATGTGGCATTACTTCTGGGTTCTTTATTCTGTTTCATTGGTCTGTGTATCTATTTTTCTACCAGTGTCTTGCTATTTTGGCTACTATTGGCTTGTAATCTATTTTGAACTCAGGTAATGCGATGCCTCTAGCTTTGTTCTTTTGCTTAGTATCACTTTGGCCTATTTGGGCTCTTTGTTTGTTTTATGAATTTTAGAATTGTTTTTTCTACTTCTATGAAGAATGATGTTTGTAGTTTGAAAGGAATTGCAATGAATCGGCAGATTGCTTGGGCAGTATGGTTATTTCAACAACATTAATTCCTCTAATCCGTGATCACAGGATGTCTTTCTATTGGTTTGTGTCTTCTTCAATTTCTTTCAACAGTGTTTTGTAATTTTCCTTGTAGAGATCTTTCATCTCCTTGGTTAAAATTATTCTTAGGGTTTTCTTTTGTAGTTATTGTAAATGAGATTGCCCTCTTTCTTTCTTTTTTTGGCTAGTTTGTCATTGGTATATAGAAATGCTACAGATTTTTGTAAGATAATTTTGTATCCTAAAACTTTACTTAATTTATCAGTTCTAAGAGTTTTCTGGTGGAGTCTTTTTGTTTTGCTAGATATAAATCATATTGTCTGCAAAAAGGGACAATTTGACTTTCTCTTTTACAATTTATATGCCTTTTATTTATTTTCTTGCCTGATTGCTATGGCTAGGACTTCCGGTACGGTGTTGAATAGGAGTAAAAGTGGGCATCCTTGCCTTGCTCTAGTTTTTACAGGAAAGACTTTCAATATTTTCTCATTAAGTATGACATTAGCTGTGGGGTTTGTTGTTTATAGTCTTTGTTATTTCAAGGTATGGTCCTTCTACACCTAGTTTGTTGAGAGTTTTTATTATGCAGGGATGTCGAATTTTGTCAAATGCTTTTTCTGAATCTATTGAAATGATAATATGTTTTTTGCCCTTTATTCTATTGTTATGATTCCTAGCATTTATGAATTTATGTGCATTAAACTGTCCTTGCGTCCTTGCATCCTTGAGATAAATCTCACTTAATTAGGGTGTATTATCTTTTTGATGTGATGTTGGATTTTGTTTGCTAATATTTTGTTGAAGGCTTTTGCATCTATATTCTTTAGGGATACTGGCCTGTAGTTTTCTTTTGTTGTCGTGTCCTTGTCTGGTTGTGGTATCAAGGTAATGCTAACCTTGTAGAATGAGTTTGAAGAAGTTTCTCCACTTCAATTTTTTAAATATGGTTTGAGGAGGATTAGTATTTCTTTATACACTTGGTAAAATTCAGTAGCGAATCCATTCAGTCCTGGGTTTTTCTTTGTCGTGAGGTTTTTTTTTTAATTACTGATTAAATATCACTACTCATTATTAGTCTGTTCAGGTTTTCTAATTCTTCTTGATTCAATCTTCTTGATAGGTTGTATATTTCCAGGAACTTACCCATTTCCTCTAGGTATTCCAGTTTGTTAGTGTATAGTTGTTCATAATGGTCTCTGATGATCTTTTCTATTTCTGTGGTATTATTTAAAAACTCTTTTTTATTTCTCTTTTATTTAGATCTTCTCATCTTTTCTTGATTAGTCTAGTTAATGATTTATCAAATTTTTTATCTTTTCAAAGAACAAACTTCATTTTGTTTATTCTCATTTTTTAGTCTCTATTTTGTTTAGTTCTGCTCTTATCTGTATTATTTTTTCTTCTGCTAATTTTGGATTTGGTTTGTTTTTGATTTTCTAGTTCCCTGAAGTGTATGATTGCATTGTTTATTTGAAATCTTTCTTTTTTAATGTTGGTATACATTGCTATCAACGTCGCTCTGAGCACTGATTTTGTGGGACAGCACATTTCCACTGTGGGAACATTCTCTCAGTTCCATACTCACCACTCATAGCCCTCTGTCCACTGGATCCAAGTGACACTTTCTCCAGATAACTCAGCCTCCTCTCTCCATTTCAAACTTTAGAGGACTCATGGAATTCAAGATTTTGTTACTTCCTGAAAGACCAAGCTGTCTTTTCAGAAGTAAAGTATCAGTCCTGTCTTTCCTCAAAGGTAGGAACATCTCAATATCACTTTTCCCTCCTTTCCAATAGTGAGCAAGAATTTTTATGTTCACATTGTGTTTGTTGTTGCTGCAGAGGTGGAAAGAAGGGGCATCATATACTTCTATCCAAGCTTTCCTCAAGTCTGAATCTGTAACCGCTTTTCAGCATTCTATTGGATTTCATACTATTTCCCTACTTAAGCTTATAAATATATAACATGTATTTACATAGTAGATGTATATACAATATATAAATTTTTTATTTGTTTGTATTTAGTCTTTTTTTTTTATACCAAGGCAGAAAATTACTTTCCTACTAATGTGCTTCAGTGTAATTCAATGGGTTGGTTTATATCCACTCCTACAGCTCATTGTGATGTTAGTCTACTCTATTTTTATTATTCTGGTAACTTTTTAAACAATCTGTCATATGGTTTGAGCTGTGCCCCCACCAAATCTCATGTCAAATTCTAATCCCCAGTATTGGAGGTGGGGCCTGGTAGAAGGTGATTGGATCATGGGGACAGAGTTTTCATGAATAGTTTAGTGCCATCCCCTTTTGGTACTCTATAGTGAGTGAGGTCTCATGAGATCTGGTTGCTTAAAAGTGTGTGGCACCTCCCCCATTCTCTGTTTGTATTCCTGCCATGTGAGACGCCTGCTCCCTCTTTGCCTTCCACCATGCGTAAAAGCTCCCTGACGCCTCCTCAGAAGCAGATGCTGCTATGCCTTCTGTACAGTCTGCAGAATCTTGAGCCAATTAAATATCCTTTCTTTATGAATTACCTTTCTTTATAAATAGCCTTTCTTCATAAATCTCATATATTTCTTTACAGCAGTGAGAGAACAGAGAAATACAGTCTATATCCCTTCATATCCATGGAAGGAATAAGTATTTGAGTGAGAAAGACAAAGTCAGACCATGTCACAAAGAGCCTTTCTGCCTTACATTATATTTCTATATATCAATATCATCACCTTTTTTTCATTTTATTTATTGAGCAATTTGTGAAGTGATAAGTTTTGGTTCTCAACAGCTTCGGTTAGAGTAAAACAAAGTTATCTAAAAATCTCCACAGTGTAAATTAAATTATATAATCATAAAGGAAAATTGTATGACTTTCCTTAGTGAGTGTAACTTTCTCTTAACAGTGTGAACTAAATCTAGGATCAATACGTTGTTCTAGAATCTATTGTTTCTAAATTATGTTTTCTCCATGTGCTGCTATACATCTCACTTTTACCCTGCTTTCTTAAAAGATCATGCCAATAATGTATTCATTGCCTTGTGGTATAAACTTATTTAAAGTAACTTCTTACAAAATAACCTTTTTCTTATATTAAAACTGTTGTGATAATGTGTCTAAATTATATAAGTGCTAAAGGTTGGTTACTTTCTGATTGCAGAAAATCTTCCCTGAGCAAAAATTATTTTACCTTTAAATAAACACATTTATTTTCCCTAATAGAGTATAATAATGATAGTAGAAAAGCAAATTTAGTTATTTGTTTTTGTTGAAAAATGGACTAAATTTTAATGATTCAATAAGTTGGCCTAATCATTCTTAATATAACTGTACAATAAAAGATCAGTTCAGAATCTTCTGACATTTTACAAAATGCAGCAGATGTTCTTAGTCTAATAACGCTCTTGTGCCCAAGAATCAACATTATTGTTTCTACTGTGGCAGAAAGCTTCTTCCAAGAATAGAGGTATCCGGAAGAACTCTCTTTAAAATAGACTTTTAATTTTAGGTCATATTGGGAAGAAGGTAAAGAAATGTAATGGCTGAGGAAAGCAGTTTAAGAATAATTTTATTTTTAGAACTTTAAAGAAAAACATGTTTATTCTTTACTCATGTGACTGATTATTATTATTGATCTTAAGTTGGCCAGGTTAGTTAATGAGAGATTATTATAAACCTCAAAGAAGTTTTCCTAGACTCTGTTGAGTGTGCTGTTTGGCAAATTATTTTTCATTGTATTTCAGTACAGGAGAGGCTGGAGCACCATAGGAAAGAGGCAGAGCCACGAGCAGCCGGCAAGCAGGCTACCCAACACTAGACAACTTTGGTTCAGTTTAAAGGTGGCTTGTGCTTGTACTGCTTTGTGCATTGTGCCCAAACTAAGATTAGAGTGTCCTAAAGTATACAAAGGGGTGAAGCCTATCCCACCTTCTGATGTAAAATTAAAAATTGTAACATATTTGGGGAACTATATGTGCTCTCCTACATTACCAAGTCCTTTCAGAGACAGGATAGGTAAGAACAAATATTTGTCTCCTTAAATCTAAAGAGATTTAGGGTACACATAAGAACTTAAGGATCTAGATAGAACATTTAAAATACAAAATGTTGGACACAGTTATTAAATATAGAAAAATTAACAAGAACATTGCTGAAACATTGATGATTGACAAATCAAGGTGAAAAATTTCTTTGGGGTCAACCATAGTGATTAAATTGGACATAGTATTGGAGGTAAAACTATGTGAAAAGATGTGAAGGGGTAGAAAATCAGGAAGTATGGGAGTAAACTTCTAATATGGAGATGGAGAAGGTGTGCAGAAAGACATAAGTAGCAAGGAAATCATTCCGAAGGAGAGAAGAGATCCCATCCTCAGTATTTTCACTTGTACCAACAGTTAAGTGTTTGCAGCTAACACATCCCCAGAAAAGGGTAGTTTACTAATATGGTACTTTTCCATATATAAAAACATATGTTTATTTATATAAATATATATGAATTCAACGAATATATTTTATATATAAAATATACTTATATTTAAAATATTTTTAAATATAGACTATATACTCAACAAGTAAATATTTAACCTCATGACCATTTGTGATATTATTAGCAATAGTACAAAAATATGAATAAACTAAGTGTCTAGGAATAAAAATATATTACAGCATATGCAATCAGTAAACTATTAGGCTAGTAACACAAGTGATGTTTACATATGATAATGAACATAATTATGGCATATAATTTAGAAAGTCACAATATTGAAGTGGTTGTGTTTAGACATCAAATCAGTATTTTTTTTTGTTTGAGGGTATGTATCCAATTATTCTAACAAATTTACTTAATACATAATAGTAATGGAACAACATAACAAAAGTAATACGGGTTTCATTAAAGTATCCTAGTTAAACTAACTCTAGGAGTTGGTCCAAATAGCCTTCCAAATCTCAGAGTTTTAATATGATAGGAATTTGTTGCAATTTTAGACTATTAAGACTACTTTCAGCAGTAAATACTGTCATTTATAGTAGTGAGAGTAAGCAAGACCATCATGTATTCAGAGCCTAACATATCATAAGTGTTATATATATTCCATTTCCAATCTCATGAAGTCATGTTGATATACATTATTATATTTCCTTTACAATTGTGGAAACTAAGAGTTGGAAAACTTAAGTAATCACTCAAGATCACACTGCAAATAAATAGTAAAGCCTGGATTCTAGTCTATATTTGTGTGATGTCAAGTTCAATCCCCTATCCCTCTGAAATCATTGCTGCAGTTTTCACCTATTCATGCAAAAGTCAATGTCTTCATGTTGAAGAAACTCTAAGTGGCATTACCCAAGGCTTTATTCATGAGGCTTTTCACAAAGAAGGCAATCTGTTTTTACTTGGGCCAGTGTTGGAAATTGTTTTCATACCACTTTAACTTCCTACCATGGGGAGGCCTCATCTGATTAGCAATCACCATCCCTTGATTTACAATAGCCATTAGTTGGGGCTAGTCACTTCTACAGGAACTGACTTCCAATAAAGTGATTTGTCCATGGTCGAGTGTAATTATATTCCAGTTGGTTCAGGGAGGGAGTGTCCCACTGCTCGGACATTTGTTTTATTATCAGCCTTGATTTGAGCTTTAATTAAATAATAATTTATTCAGTATCTCCTTCAAAGAAGCCTGCTGTGATTAATCCTCATACGTCACTTCAAGTGTCTGCACGTACTGTGGAAACTCAATAAATAATGCTGACTAACTTCATGCCTGTCAAAAACAGAAATATTGTTAAGGCAGATACGTTGGAAAGAAATCCAGTGGCACAATAGGTAAAATTGAGTGAGTTGACCTTTCATTGGTTAATACAGTGACATAGCTAGGCATCATATAAGAGGCATCAGTTCAAAGCCATGTAATATCAGAAACAGCTGCATAAATTCAACTGCTATGCCCACTGGCTTATTTCACTTGTCATTGTAAAGATCAGCTGTGGCATTTTTGCATTATGCTGCCATTTGACATAGCAGGCCTCCCTGGGGGGCAGTTGCATGGTGACCCTAAGCTTAAGCCCCATCAGCCATTGCAAGATAGCACCACTCCTAGACAGGCAGCTCTGAGCAGGAAATGACAGATGCATGCTGTTATCATTAATAACACCAAGCTGTTTATTTCTAGGGAAAGGAGATAAGATGCATCTACAGAAGAAGGAGTTCACTAGCTCTGCACACACCATCTGCATTCTACAGATAAGAATATTAAGTACCCAATTGTAAATAAAATATAAATAAAACAAATGAGGTAGTTAGAACACATACACACTATACATACAAAGGCACAAAGTATTACCATTGTAATTAAGAAGTCTAAATGGCTATAAATATTTTAGAAGGAACTTATTACATCAATGGGTCAAATAGATAAAGAGCCTGTAATCTGTTACTAGAATTATTCTTAATTGCATATAAAACAAATAAAATGGATCAATACCAAGGCCATCTCTTAGTATTACCTCTGGTTCATTTGCTTCTGAGGGATGAAGCTCTCCCATTTTTATTCCAAAGTTTTCCCTTATATTCTTTCTTAGCCAAAGACATCTATGATTCCTTTTCTCATAAACACACATCTCATCTGATTTTCTTTGAAGTCAGTTATCAGTGTTATGTAGTCACAGTGTTTCATGAGCTCCTGGGCAATGAGACTAGAGAAATGAAGAGCAACATTAAAGTCCTTTCTTACGTGAGGCTAGAGATTCTTGAAAAGTCGGGGAATCCCAAGCCTTATTCTTGTCTGTTTCTGTGCCTTTTCTTGTAATGATGGCCTGCCATACTGTATTCAGAACCTGTCCAATTTTTGAGTCCTACCTCTAAGCCTCTGACTGGTGATTGAGTTCTGGTTACCTGCAGTGAGAATTGACTGGCTCCGGAACCTGACCGTCTTTGTGGGCTTCTGTGTCTAACTTGCATAGACAGTAACATTTTCATATTCCAGTAGCTGACAGAGCATCCTTAGGACCTAACTAACACCTTATGTGCTACAGAAAGCTTACCTGTCCCAGATACTGTTATCAATTGCCACTGCTTCCCAATAATATGTTCTGCCTTCTGTATGTTATTTTCTTTCAGAAAATAAGTAAGGCCTCTGCCCACCTGGATAACATTTATAAGCCTTTAAAAAATTTGTCTGTCATTGCAATGCTGTGGAGATCACTGTGAACTACAGAGAGGCTAACCAGGACCTATGATATAACCGTGTCCTGCTCTGTTCCTACCATGTACTCAAGCTTCACAACACAAGGGGCTGTGACTAAGATGAGTGTTTGTAGTCTATAAACATTAGTAGATAATATTTTACAAGTTAATGGAATTCTCTAAAAGTTTGTCTTTACCATTCTTCTCCCTTTTGTTTTTGGTAAAAGGTAACTCTATTGCACCAGTTCTTCAAGCCAAAAACCCAGTATTATTTTTGAGTCCTTCCCTTCTCTCTGAACAACATCAAAACCATCAGCAAATCCTGTCAGCTTTACCCTCAAAATGTGTCCTCCATCTTCCAACCCTTCGCTATCTTCTCTGCTGCCATCCCAGTCCAAAACCCCACCATTACTTTGAGGGACTGTTGGCAGGAAAACACATCTCTGTTTCTAACCTGGCCATCCTACAATCTATTCTCATCATATTTTCTCGCACTATGCTTTTAAAACATAAATCAGATTATAGCAGTTTATTTGCTCAAAACTATTTTCAAACCTTGATCTTATTCAAAGACACTATCATGGTCTCAAACACTCTAATATATCTGGCCCCTGCCTACCTTTCTGACATCACTCATGGGGACCTCATTTCTCCTTGCCATCCTTCTCAGTCTGGCTTCCCATGCCAGGTACCCTCCCCCCATCTCAGGGCTTTTACATATTTTGTCCTCTCTGCCTGGAAACTCTCCACCAGGGGTATGTTCTTGGATCACTTTTTAAAAAATAATTTTGTTTATTGTGATAAAATACACAGAATGTGAACGTTGGCATTCTAACCATTTAGAAGTGTACAACTGAGTGGCAATAAGCACATTCACAGTATCATGCAACTGTCACCATTTACCTGTTTTCAAAACGACTTCATCATTTCAAGCAGAGACTTTGTGCAAATTAAACAGATATTTTCCTCTTCTCCTCAGGGTCTCATAATCTCTACTACTTTCTGTCTCTATGACTTTACCTCTTCTAAATATGTACTTCATATAAGTGGAGTCATACAATATTGAACATTTCATGCCTGGTTTATTTCACTTAGCAAATGTTTTCAAGGTTGTCCATATTATTGCATGTAACAGAATTTCATTTTAAGGCTGAATAGTATTCCACTATATGAATATACCACATCTAATTCATCCATTTATCTGTTGATGGACATCTGACTCTTTCCAACTTTTAGCTATTGTGAATATTGTTGCCATGAATATAGGCATTCACATTCTTTGCTTTCAACTCATTTGGGTATATATGTAGAAGTGGAATTGCTAAATTATATGGTAATTCTAAATTTATCTTATTGATAAACAACTAAATTGATTTTTACAACAACTTCACAAGAGTTCCAATTTTTCCAAATCCTCACTAACACTTGTTATTTTCCATTGTGTTCATAATAGCCATGTTAACGAGTGTGTTATAGTCTCCCATTATGGTCTTTATGTGCATTTCGCTAATGACCAGTGATGTTGATCTCTCCTAATGTGCTTATTGGTCATTTGTATATCTTCTATATAAACACATTAAAACAGTTGTCAATTTTTAATTTTGGTTGTTTGTTATTTTGTTGTTGAATTGTAAGAGTTTTAATATAGTCTAGATCAAGCTTGTCCAACCCATGGCCTGCAGGCCACATGTGGCCCAGGATGGGTTTGAATGTGCCCCAACACAAATTCCTGAACTTTCTTAAAACATTGTGAGATTTATGCATGGGCCTTTTTAGTTTTTGTTTTTTAGGTCACCAGCTATCACTAGAGTTAGTGTCTTTTATGTGCAGCCCAAAACAATTCTTCTTCTGGTGTGGCCCAGGGAAGCCAGAAGATTAAACACTTATGGTCTAAATAATAATTCTTATTTTATACATAATTTGAAATATTTTCTCCAATTCCATGGATTGTTTTCTCCCGCATTTTGATCGTGTTCTTTGACATACAAAAGTTTTAATTTTGGTAAAGTCCAATTTACATATTTTTACATTAATTGTCTGTGCTTTTGATGTCACATCCAGGAAATTTTTGCCAAGTCCAATGTCATGAACATTTTTCCCTTTGTTTTTTCCTAAGAATGTTATATTTTCAGTTTTTACTTTTAGTCTTTGATTTCCTGTTATGTTTTGTATATGCCTTTGGGTAAGGATCAAAATTTATTCTTTTACATAAGGATATATAATTTTGTTTCATTTTGTTTTTAACATCATTTGTTGAAAAGACTACAGTTTCTGCCTTGGATGGTCTTCTCACCCTTGTCAAAAATTATTTGACCATGTATGTGAGGGTTTATTTCTGGGGTCTCTATTTTATTCTATGAGTATTCATGACTTTTCTTATCCTAGTACCACACTGCATTGACTACTATAGCCTTGTAATAAGTTTTGGCATTTGCAAGTATGATTTATTTTAATTCGTTATTTTTTTCCAGATTGTTTTGGCTACTTTGGGTTCCTTGAGATTTTGTATGAATTTTACAATGTTTTTATGTTTTTCTACACAAAATGCTTTTGGAATTTTAGTAAGGATTACATTGAATCTGTAGATTATTAGGGCTAATAGTTTTATGGTAACAGTTTTAAGTCATCCAATCTAAATACAAAATATCTTTCCATTTACTTATATCTTCTTTAATTTCTTTCAGAAATTGCGGTTTTCAGTGTGCAAGTCTTTCACATCCTTCATTAAATGTATTCCTTAGTATTTTATTCTTTTTGTGGTATTGTAAATGGAATTAATATCTTCATTTTCTTTTCAGATTGTTTCTTGGCAGTGTTTAGAAAGATAACTGATTTTTGTGTTTACATTTTATACCCTGAAATTTTGCTGAACCTTTTTATTAGCTCCAAAAGTTTATTTTTTTTTAGTTGTGTGTGTGTGTACTTTTATAAAATCTTTAGTGTTTTGTGCATATGAGAGCAGGCCATCTGTGAACAGGGATGATTATATTTCTTTATTTCTAATTCAAATGCCTTTTTTTCTTCCTCTTTCTTTCCTTCTGTAATTCTTTTTCTTCCCCCTAATGGCCAAAGCTAGAAATTCTAACACTATGTTGAACAGAAGTGTGAAAGTGGGCATATTTGTCTTGTTATTGAACCTGAGGAAAAGTTTCACTCTTCATTATGCATGATGTTAGCTGTCAGTTTTTTATGTGTAGTCTTTATCATGTTAGGTATTTCCTTATAATTTTACATTGTTGGATGATTTTTTGTTGGTATTATGAGTGTTGAATTTTGTTAAATATTTTTTCTTCATGAATTGAGAATGCCATGCAGGATTTTTTTCCCTTCATTTCATTAATGTGACGTATTACCTCACTTAGTTTTCATTTATCAAATTATCCTTGTATTATAGAAACAAATCCCACTTGACCAAGGTTCATAATTTTAAAAAATGCAAACGAATTTGGTGTATTAATATTTTGTTGAGAATTTTGCATCAATAATCAATAAAATCCTTCTGTAGTTTTCTTGTAATGATGTCTTTGTCTGGTTTTGATATCAATGTATTTCTGGCTTCATGGAATTAGTTATAAAGTGTTCCATCCCGTTGAATTTTTTGGAAGAGTTTGAGAAAGATTTACGCTAATTCATTAAATGTTTGGTAGAATTCACGAGTGAAGCTATTTGGTCCAAAGGTTTCCTTTATTGAATTTTTTTTTAATTTCAATTCAAATGTCTTAGTAATTGTAGGTCTATTTAGATTTTCTACTTCATGATTTGATTTGGTAGACTATGTTTTGCTAGGAATTTGTCTGTTTCATTTGGATTCTCCAATTTGTTGGAGTAAAATATACTATAAGTGTATAATCTTAAAATGCTTCTTATTTCTGTAAGGTCAGAAATAATGTATTTACTATTATTTCTGATTTTAGAATTTGAATCTTTTTTTCTTTTTTCTTAGTCAATTTAGCTAAAGGTTTCTCCATATTGTTGATTTTTTCAGAGAACCAAATTTTGGTTTTGTTAAATTTTTCTATTGTTTTTATAATCTCGATTTCACTTATCTTTGGTCTGTTTTTCATTATGCTCTTTCTTCTGCTAGCTTTACATTTAGTTTGCTTTCTTTTTTTGCTTGTATATATTTCAGAATGTCATAATTTCACCCTCAATTTTGAAGAACAATTTTGTTAGATATATAATTCTCAGTTACAATTTTATTTTTATTTCCGTTATTTAAATATATGATCTCACTTTCTTCCTGCCTCCAAGGTTTCTGATAAGAAATTAGCTGATAATGTTACTGATAATTCTCTTTGTCTTTGGCATTCAGCAGTTTGATTATAATGTGTCTTCATGTATCTTTGAGTTTATTCTACTTTGAGTTTGTTGAGATTTTTGAATTTGTAGACTCATGTCCTTCACAACATTTGGAAATATTTTAGTCATTATTACTTCAAATATTTCTCTGTCCCGTTATCTCTCACATTTCCTTCTAAGATTCTCACAGTGCATATATTGGTCTGCTCTATGGAATCCCACGAGTCCCTCAGGCTCTCTTCATTTTTATTCATATCTTTTTTTCTGTTTATCAGACTTTGTAATTTCAATTGTCTTATATTAATGTCTGCTTGCTTAAATCTGTTGAACTCCTCTTATTTATTTTCTATTATAGTTATTGTACTTTCAAGCTTCAGAATTTCTTTTTGGCTTTTTAAAAATAATCCAGTAGAAACACTGGAGATTATATTCTCCCTGTTCCCTGAGTTTGCTGTTTTTTTCTGATTGCTTTAGGATATCTCTCTGCCAGTATCAGCCTGAGATGAAAGGTTAAAATCTTCTCAGGTTCTTTCTTAAGGGTTTGTGTTTTCCTCAGCGCACACTATGGTTTTCTAAAACATCTGCATGCATTGGCCTTTTAAAAAACATACGGACTAAAACAGATGTGACCTCTTGAAAAACCAAGGAAGCCATTGTGGGTTGATACAATGACAGAGAACTTCTGCATTTTTACAACAATGATCAGAAACAGAAATCTCCAATCAGAACCCAGAATTGTGATATTTGTATGACAAAGTTCTTCTTGTCCATTCTGGCTCAAGCAAACCAAACCAGAAATGTGGCTATCTCCACAGCTGCCTGCCACTGGGCTGTGGGGTAAGGGATGGGTGGTTACTACCATACTGGAGGCTAAGATTGAGCAATATAAAACATAATTTCTCATCCAAGCTATTCTTTTGGAAGCTGCAAGCATTCAAATAGACTCTGGAGTTCCAAAACTGTTATAATACTTGAGACAGTGTCTCCCTGTCTGAATCTTTTATTTATTTATATTTTACATTCCATGGGGGAATAGGAACTTGGAGATTCCTAGTCTTCCATTTTTCTCTGCTCACTTTTGAATTTGTTCAGATATATGATCGACTGTCATCATATTAGGGAGATATTGCCTAAAAATTATTTATAAAATGATAACACATACTCTCCCTGGGCACACATGCTTTTACACAGCTTTATTTTTCTTTCTCAGACTAGCCCTTTTTTGCATATTTATCTGTTTAGGTGTTTATTGTTGCAACTTTTTTTTAATTATTATACTTTAAGTTCTAGGGTACATGTGCACAACATGCAGGTTTGTTACATATGTATACATGTGCCATGTTGGTGAGCTGCACCCATTAACTCGTCATTTACATTAGTCATTTCTCCTAATACTATCCCTCCCCAGCTCTCCACTCCCGACAGGCCCTGATGTGTGATGTTCCCCGCCCTGTGTTCTCATTGTTCAACTCCCACCTATGAGTGAGAACATGTGGTGTTTGGTTTTCTGTCCTTGCGATACTTTGCTCAGAATGATGGTTTCCAGCTTCATCCATGTCCCTACAAAGGACAAGAACTCATCCTTTTTTATGGCTGCATAGTATTCCATGGTGTATATGTGCCACATTTTCTTAATCCAGTCTATCATTGATGGACACTTGGGTTGGTTCCAAGTCTTTGCTATTGTGAATAGTGCTGTAATAAACATACGTGTGCATGTGTCTTTATAGTAGCATGATTTATAATCCTTTGGGTATATACCCAGTAATGAGATGGCTGGGTCAAATGGTATTTCTAGTTCTAGATCCTTGAGGAATCCCACACTGTCTTCCACAATGGCTGAACTAGTTTACACTGCCACCAACAATGTAAAAGTGTTCCTATTTCTCCACATCCTCTCCAGCACCTGTTGTTTCCTGACTTTTTAATGATCACCATTCTAACTGGTTGTGAGATGGTATCTCATTGTGGTTTTGATTTGCATTTCTCTGAGGACCAGTGATGATGAGAATTTTTTCATGTGTCTGTTGGCTGCATAAATGTCTTCTTTTAAAAACTGTCTGTTCATATCCTTTGCCCACTTTTTGATGGGGTTGTTTGATTTTTTCTTGTAAATTTGTTTAAGTTATTTGTAGATTCTGGATATTAGCCCTTTGTCAGATGGGTAGATTGCAAAAATTTTCTCCCATTCTGTAGGTTGCCTGTTCACTCGGATGGCAGTTTCTTTTGCTGTGCAGAAGTTCTTTAGTTTAATTAGATCCCATTTGTCAATTTTGGCTTTTGTTGCCATTGCTTTTGGTGTTTTAGTCACGAAGTCCTTGCCAATGCCTGTGTCCTGAATGGTATTGCCTAGGTTTTCTTCTAGGGTTTTTATGGTTTTAGGTCTAACATTTAAGTCTTTAATCCATCTTGAGTTAATTTTTGTATAAGGTGTAAGGAAGGGATCCAATTTCAGCTTTCTACATATGGCTAGCCAGTTTTTCCAGCACCATTTATTGAATAGGGAATCCTTTCCCCATTTCTTGTTTTTGTCAGGTTTGTCAAAGATCAGATAGTTGTAGATGTGTGGTGTTATTTCTGAGGCCTCTGCTCTGTTCCATTGGCCTATATCTCTGTTTTGATACCAGCACCATGCTGTTTTGGTTACTGTGGGCTTGTAGCATAGTTTGAAGTCAGGTAGCGTGATGCCTCCAGCTTTGTTCTTTTGGCTTGGATTGTCTTGGCAATGCGGGCTCTTTTTTGGTTCCAGATGAACTTTAAAGTAGTTTTTTCCGATTCTGTGAAGAAAGTCATTGGTAACTTGATGGGGATGGCATTGAATCTATAAATTACCTTGGGCAGTATGGCCATTTTCACGATATTGATTCTTCCTACCCATGAGCATGGAATGTTCTTGCATTTGTTTGTGTCCTCTTTTATTTTGTTGAGCGGTTGTTTGTAGTTCTCATTGAAGAGGTCCTTTACTTCCCTTGTAAGTTGGATTCCTAGGTATTTTATTCTCTCATGATTTGGCTCTCTGTCTGTTAATGATGTATAGGAAGCTTGTGATTTTTGCACATTGATTTTGTATCCTGGGACTTTGCTAAACTTACTTATCAGCTTAAAGAGATTTTGGGCTGAGATGATGGAGTTTTCTAAATATACAATCATGTCATCTGCAAACAGGGACAATTTGACTTCCTCCTTTCCTAATTGAATACCCTTTATTTCCTTCTCTTGCCTGATTGCCCTGGCCAGAACTTCCAACACTATGTTGAATAGGAGTGGTGAGAGAGGACATCCCTGTCTTGTGCCAGTTTTCAAAGGGAATCCTCCTAGTTTTTGCCCATTCAGTATGATATTGGCTGTGGGTTTATCATTAGCAGCTTATTATTTTGAGATACATTCCATCAGTACATAGTTTATTAAAAGTTTTGAGAAGGAAGGACTGTTGAATTTTGTCAAAGGCCTTTTCTGCATCTATTGAGATAATCATGTGGTTTTTGTCTTTGGTTCTGTTTATGTGATGGTTTACATTTACTGATTTGAGTATGTTGAACCAGCCTTGCATCCCAGGGATGAAGCCAACTTGATCATGGTGGATAAGCTTTTTGATGTGCTGCTGAATTTGGTTTGCCAATACTTTACTGAGGAATTTCAGATTGATGTTCGTCAGGGATATTGGTCTAAAATTCTCTTTTTTTGTTGTGTCTCTGCCAGGCTTTGGTATCAGGATGATGCTGGCCACATAAAATGAGTTAGGGAGGATTCCCTCTTTTTCTATTGATTGGAATAGTTTCAGAAGGAATGCTACCAGCTCCTCTTTGTACCTCTGGTAGAATTTGGCTGTGAATCCATCTGGTCCTGGACTTTTTTTGGTTGGTAAGCTATCAATTGTTGCCTCAATTTCAGAGCCTATTATTGGTCTATTTAGGGAATCAATGTCTTCCTGGTTCAGTCTTGGGAGGGTGTGTGTGTCCAGGAATTTATCCTTTTCTTCTAGATTTTCTAGTTTATTTGCTTAGAGGTGTTTATAGTATTCTCTGATGGTAGTTTGTATTTCTGTGGGATTGGTGGTGATATCCCCTTTATCATTTTTCATCGCATCTATTTGATTCTTCACTCTTTTCTTCTTTATTAGTCTTGCTAGCAGACTATCTATTTTGTTGATCTTTTCAAAACACCAGCTTCTGGATTCATTGATTTTTTGAAGGGTTTTTTGTGTCTCTATTTCCTTCAGTTCTGCTGTGATCTTACTTATTTCTTACGTTCTGCTAGCTTTTGAATTTGTTTGCTCTTGCTTCTCTAGTTCTTTTAATTGTGATATTAGGGTATCGATTTTAGATCTTTCCTCCTTTCTCTTGTGGGCATTTAGTGCTATAAATTTCCCTCTACACACTGCTTTAAATGTGTCCCAGAGATTCTGGTATGTTGTGTCTTTGTTCTTGTTGGTTTCAAAGAACATCTTTATTTCTGCCTTCATTTCATTATGTACCCAGTAGTCATTGAGGAGAGCAGGTTGTTCAGTTTCCATGTAGTTGAGTGGTTTTGAGTGAGTTTCTTACTGCTGAGCTCTAGTTTGATTGCACTGTCGTCTGGGAGACAGTTTGTTGTGATTTCTGTTCTTTTAAATATGCTGAGGAGTGCTTTACTTCCAACTATGTGGTCAATTTTGGAATAATTGTGATGTGGTGCTGAGAAGAATGTATATTCTGTTGATTTGGGGTGGAGAGTTCTGTACATATCTATTAGATCTGCTTGGTGCAGAGCTGAGTTCAAGTCCTGGATATCCTTGTTAACCTTCCGTCTCATTGATCTGTCTAATATTGACAGTGGGGTGTTAAAGTCTCCCATTATTATTGTGTGGGAGTCTAAGTCTCTTTGTAGGTCTCTAAGGACTTGCTTTATGAATTTGGGTGCTCCTGTATTGGGTGCATATATATTTAGGATAGTTAGCTCTTCTTGTTGAATTGATCCCTTTACCATTTTGTAACGGCCTTCTTTGTCTCTTTTGATCTCTGTTGGTTTAAAGTCTGTTTTATCAGAGACTAGGATTGCAATCCCTGCTCTTTTTTGCTTTCCATTTGCTTGTTAGATCTTCCTCTATCCCTTTATTTTGAGCCTACGTGTGTCTCTGCACGTGAGATGGGTCTACTGAATACAGCACACTGATGGGTCTTGACTCTTTATCCGATTTGCCAGTCTGTGTCTTTTAATTGGAGCATTTAGCCCATTTACATTTAATATTGTTATGTGTGAATTTGTTCCTGTCATTATGATGTTAGCTGGTTATTTTGTTCATTAGTTGATGCAGTTTCTTCCTAGCATTGATGATCTTTACAATTTGGCATGTTTTTGCAGCGGCTGGTACTGGTTGTTCCTTTCCATGTTTAGTTCTTCCTTCAGGAGCTCTTGTAAGGCATGCCTGGTGGTGACAAAATCTCTCAGCTTTTGCTTGTCTGCAAAGGATTTTATCTCTTCTTCACTTACGAAGCTTAGTTTGGCTTGATATGAAATTCTGGGTTGAAAATTCTTTTTTTTAAGAATGTTGAATATCGGCCCCCACTATCTTCTGGCTTGTAGAGTTTCTGCTGAGAGATATGCTGTTAGTCTTATGGGTTTCCCTTTGTGGGTAACCTGACCTTTCTCTCTGGCTGCGCTTAAGATTTTTTCCTTCATTTCAACCTTGGTGAACCTGACAATTATATGTCTTTGGGTTGCTCTTCTCGATGATTATCTTTGTGGCATTCTCTGTATTTCCTGAATTTGAATGTCGGCCTGCCTTGCTAGGTTGGGGAAGTTCCTCTGGATAATATCCTGCAGAGTGTTTTCCAACTTGGTTCCATTCTCCCTGTCACTTTCAGGTACAACAATCAGATGTAGATTTGGTCTTTTCACATAGGCCCATATTTCTTGGAGGCTTTGTTCATTTCCTTTTACTCTATTTTTCTCTAAACTTCTTGCTTCATTTCATTCATTTGATCTTCAATCACTGATACCCTTTCTTCCACTTGATCAAATCGGCTACTGAAGTTTGTGCATGTGTCACGTAGTTCTCATGCCATGGTTTTCAGCTCCATCAGGTTATTTAAGGTCTTCTCTACAATGTTTATTTTAGGTAGCCATTCGTCTAATCTTTTTTGAAGGTTTTTGGCTTCCTTGCAATGGATTCAAACATCCTCCTTTAGCTCGGAGAAGTTTGTTATTACCGACCTTCTGAAGCCTACTTTTGTCAACTCATCAAAGTCATTCTTCATCCAGCTTTGTACCATCACTGGCAAGGAGCTGCGATCCTTTGGAGGAGAAGAGGTGCTCTGGTTTTTAGAATTTTCAGCTTTTCTGCTCTGAATTCTCCCCAGTTTTGTGGTTTTATCTACCTTTGCTCTGTGATCATGGTGACCTAGAGATGGGGTTTTGGTGTGGATGTCCTTTTTGTTGATATTGATGCTATTCCTTTCTGCTTGTTAGTTTTCCTTCTAACAGTCAGTTCCCTCAGCTGTAGGTCTGTTGGAGTTTGCTGGAGGTCCACTCCAGACACAGTTTACCTGGGTATCACCAGTGGAGGCTGTATAACAGCAAATATTGCAGAACAGCAAATATTGCTGCCTGATCCTTCCCCTGGAATCTTCATCCCAGAGGGGCACTCAGCTGTATGAGGTGTCAGTCGGCCCCTACTGCAAGGTGTCTCCCAGTTAGGCTATTCGGGGGTCAGGGACCCACTTGAGGAGGCAGTATGTCTCTTCTCAGAGCTCAAACACCATACTGGGAGAACCACTGCTCTCTTCAGTGGTGTCAGACAGGGATGTTTAAGTCTGCAGAAGTTTCTGCTGCCTTTTGTTCAGCTATGCCCTGCCCCCAGAGATGGAGTCTACAGAGGCAGACAGGCCTCATTGAGTTGTGGTGGGCTCTACCAAGTTCGAGCTTCCCAGCCACTTTGTTTACCTACTCAAGCCTCAGCAATGGCAGATGCCCCTCCCCAGCCCAGCTGCCTCCTCACAGTTTGATCTTGGACTGCTCCCCTGGCAGTGAGCAAGGCTCTGTCGGTGTGGGACCTGCTGAGCCACGCACAGGTTATAATCTCCTGGTGTGCCGTTTGCTAAGACCATTGGAAAAACACAGTATTAAGGCAGGAGTGCCCCGATTTTCCCGGTACAGTCAATCACAGCTTCTCTTGACTAGGAAAGGGAAGTCCCTCAACTCCTTGCACTTCCCAGAGGAGGCGATGCCCCACCCTGCTTCAGCTTGCCCTCTGTAGGCTGCACCCACTGTCCAACCAGTCCCAATAGATGAACCAGCTACCTCAGTTGGAAATGCAGAAATCACCAGTCTTCTGCATCAATCACGCTGGGAGCTGCAGACCACAGCTCTTCCTATTCAGCCATCTTGGAACGCAACCTGCAAGTTTTTCAAAAATGACAGTTTCGTGTACCCTATTTTATCCAATCTTTCTTTTAACACCACATATTAAAGTACCACAAGGATATTTGACTCACCTCAGGTGCTCAGGAAAGATTTACTGTATGAAGGTCACTGTTCTCATAGGACATACGACCTTGCTTTTTTGAACCATATATGTTCAGGTAAAATAAGTTATTTTTCCTTTTATTTCTCCATTTGGGAGATACTATTTTCACTCATTGTATTTCAGCTTTTTTGCCTGTGTAATGATGGGTAAGTTTAATTTGGGGAAATAGGAGACAGAGTTTAAGATGTCTTTTAAAATGTATCATTGTGGAAATTATCACTTCTTGTTCATCAGTGAGGAAAGCTGATATTTAAGCCTCATTTGACTTAATGAAGCTTATCATCCTAAATTCACAATAAATGCATACTAAGCCAGAAGACATTAGAAAACCCCCAAAATAATAAGGAAGAATCTGTTGATTCACATAGACATTCAGTATTGTTTGGTAATGCTAACCAATGTAATTAGAGAAGAAAGGAAATGAGGTCTAAATGTTAATAAGAGATAGTTATCATTATTAATTGCTATTGTTATAATTGTCATCTATAATATCCAAGACAATAAACTATAACCCATTAGAACTAATGAGCATTTAATAAATTGCTGGGATATAAAACAAATTACAACCAAATGTTCTCTTACTGAAATAACCAATTAGAATTTTTAACTTCAAGAAGACACAGTTTGTAGTAAATTTAAAATTATTAGTGTTAACAAATGTGGCAAATTGCCTAAGAATAAATTAAAAAGAAAGTTCAAGGAACTACTAAACACTAAACACAATAAATGGGAAAATGATCTTTCTATATGAGAAGACTAAATATTAAAATATTAAGAATATTAAGAATTCCAAAATAAATTTATGCAATTCACATTAAAATCTTTGTAGTATTCACTTATGAAATTTGTGTGATTATCTATGTAAGAATATTGAAGTTTTCTTAAGGAAAGAATAATAAAGACAATGGCTGTGCAAAATATTAAAACACAATATAAAGCTACATTGATTACAATTGTGGGATATTATTGGGGGAACCCGCCCCCAATATTTCAAGGTAGGTTCTTTCTATTTTCCATAAGTGTCAGCTGGCTGAGAAATAAAGAGAAAGAGTACAAAGAGAGGAATTTTACAGCTGGGCCGCCAGGGGTGACGTCACATATTGGTAGGACTGTGATGCCCACCTGAGCCTTAAACCAGCAAGTTTTTAATAAGGGTTTGAAAAGGGGAAGGGGTGTATGAACAGGGAGTAGGTCACATGCTTCAAGGGGCAAAAAGCAGAACAAAGATCACATGCTTCTGAGGAAACAGGACAAAGGCAAAATCAGAACTCCTGATAAGGGTCTATGTTCAGCAGTGCACATATTGTCTTGATAAACATCTTAACAGAAAACAGGTTTTGAGAGCAGAGAACTGGTCTGACCAAAAATTTACCAGGGAGGAGTTTCCATCCTAGTAAGCCTGAGTGTACTGCAGGAGACCAGGGTATATCTCAGTCCTTATCTCAACCACATAGGACAGACATTCCCAGAGCGGCTGTTTATAGACCTCCCCCCAGGAATGCATTCCTTTCCCAGGGTCTTAATATTAATATTCCTTGCTAGGAAAATAACTTAGTGATATCTCTCCTACTTGCACGTCCATTTATGGGCTCTCTGCAAGAAGAAAAATATGGCTCTTTCTGCCCGACCCTGCAGGCAGTCAGACCTTATGGTTGTCTTCCCTCGTTCCCTAAAAAGTGCTGTTATTCTGTTCTTTTTCA
Organism: Homo sapiens; assembly: GCF_000001405.40. NCBI lineage: Eukaryota > Metazoa > Chordata > Mammalia > Primates > Hominidae > Homo > Homo sapiens. The sequence continues at coordinate 123,806,542 of NC_000002.12, forward strand.
AGGTGCACTGATTTCATATTGTTCAAATACACATCTTTTCCAATCAATTTGTACAGTTAACACAATTATCATAGTGGTCCTGAGGTGACATACATCCTCAGCTTACGAAGATAACAGGATTAAGAGATAAAAGTAAGACAGGCATAAGAAATTATAAAAATATTATTTGGGAGCTGATAAATGTTCATGAAATCTTCACAATTTATGTTCCTCTGCCGTGGCTCCAGCTGGTTCCTCCATTCAGGGTCCCTGACTTCCCACAACAGGATATTGCTTAAAAATTGACAATTACATCAATACACAAACCAGAGAGTAGAAAATATGTAGATTTGGTTACATAATAATGGTGGCATTTGTATTTATTGGCAAATAAATGGAATTTTCAGTATGTATATTTGGAATATTTAGCTAAAAATTCAGAAAAAAATTAAATCCCTACTTTACACCATATTCCAAAAAAAATGGCAGATGGGTTAAAAATCTAATGTTAGAAACAGAAGTATAAAACATGAAAAATTTTGTATATTGCATTGAGTTTTAGAACAAGTAAGGCCTTAGCAAGAAATAAAAAAATTCAAAAGCAATAAAGATAATATTAGGATATTTGACTATATGAAAAACTAAAAGAGCTCAGTCACACAACACATCATAAATAAAATGAAAAGGTAGGGGGAATGGCTAAGATGGCCAACTAGAAGCAGCTAGTATGTGGGGCTCTCATGGAGAGGAATGGAAGGGGTGACTAAATACAGCACCTTCAGCTGAAGCATCCAGGTACTCGCATTGGGACTAATCAAGGAAACAATTCAACCCATGGAGAACAAAGAAAAGCAAGGCAGGATGACAGCCCACCCAGGAGCAACATGGAGCCAAGGAAACCTGCTCCACCCAGGAAAGTGGTGAGTGAATGTGTGACCCCAGGGACCCATGCTTCTCTCATGGATCTTCACAACTCTTGGGTCTGGACATCCCCTTGTGAACCCACTCCACCAGGGCCGTCATTCTGACACACAGAGCTATGTGGAGTCTTGGCAGAGCAGCTGCTTAGGCATGCACAGAGACCTGGGAGCCCTAGATACTTTCTGGGCTTCCTGACAAAAGTAGCTGCAACTCCAGCAAAGCAGGAGTTTAGACCCCTGTACATTTAGAATTTTAGCCAGCTTACATCTCTCTGGGATGGAGTACCCAGGAGACAAGCAAAGTGATGGGGCAGCAAGCCAGCTAATGTGGAGCCCAGAGAAGTTGGTGAGGGAGTGTCTGCAGCAGAATGTGGCCAGGAACAACCATTCCTCTAGGGTCCACTTGCTTTCATAAGAGACCTTAGCCCTAGGGGAACTGTTGGACCTTATCTCAGCAGGGTTGTCTTGCATATCAGATGGGGCTCGTTCAACCTGAGGACTCTTTGGTCTGCTGACCTCTCCTGGGGCCCCAACCTAGCCTACAGGGCAGTCTTGTGTGTCCTGAGGGCCCCCACCATCACTTTGGCACCAGAGATTCAGTGAGGTGGCCCCTACGGCTGGGCACAAGCCCACAAGTTCCTTCCCCATAGTGCAGCTTCCTCCACCACATGGAAACTTCCAACATCACTTTACAGGCATGTGTCTACATGGAAAGTTTTGCTTCACTTGCCCTGACAGCATATGGTAGTACGGCCAGCCCCCTGCCACTTTGACCAACTGCTATAGTAGATGGAGACTTGGTGGGTACACAAGCCAGCAGGTCCCACCCCTGCCAGCACCCAACGCTTGTGGTAATACCTCTGAGAGAACAGAGGATCCTCCCATACCCTAAGTTATCTTTCCTGCTTGCAGGGCACAGAAAATGCACCCAGGCATGTGCTGGCTAGCACCCTGCCCCAAATGAACACCACCTCCAGCGCAACAGCACACAGTCTCCAGCAGGGGCCCCCCACTCCTCTCCCAGCTTCCTTGTCTCCACCACTGTGGTGAACTTCCACAGAGAGTCAGGCACCCCAGCAACTGCTAGCACTCTGCTGCTACTGCTGCACCTGGGTCCCCCCCCAGCACAGTAGACTCTGAACCTCAAGGAGCCAGAGAACAAAGTGAGGGCTGGATACAAGTTCCCCAAAATTAGAACACACAGTTTAGGAGTTGCGAGCTGACCATTGCCCCCTAAAATATTCCAGAAATGAAGCCAGTTGACCGAATTCATCTTATACCACAACTAAACTCTCAAGATCATTAAATAGAAAAAAAAAACAAAAAACAAACAAACAAACAAAAAATGCCTAAAGGTCAGAAACCTTAAAGACTGAAGGTATATAAGCACACAAATATGGGAAAGAATCATCAAAAGAATACTGACAACTCAAAAAGCCAGAGTGCCTTCTTTCCTCCAAATGACCACATCACCTCTGCGGTGAGGGTTTGAGACTGGGTTGAGGCTGAGATGGCTGAAATCACAGGAATAAAATTTAGAATATAGACAGGGACAAAATTCATTGAGCTACAGGAGTACAGTGTAACCCAATGCAAGGAAGACAAAAATCAAGATAAAACATTGCAGGAGCTGAAAGACAAAATAACCAGTGTAGAGAAAAAAAGTAACCAACCCGATAGAGCTGAAAAACACACTATGAGAATTTCATAATGAAATCACAGGTACTAATAGGAGAATAGACCAAGTGAAGAAAAGAATCTCAGAGACTGAAGACTTCCTTTCTGAAATAAGACAGGCAGAGAAGAACAGAGAAAAAAGAATAAAAAGGAAAAAACTAAACATTCAAGAAATATGGCATTATGTAAAGAGGCCAAATCTACAACTGATTGATGTGCCTGAAACAGATGGAGAGAATGGAACCAACTTGGAAAACATATTTTAGGATGCTATCCAGGAGCACTTCCCCAGCCTAGCTATAGAGACCAACATTCAAATTGAGGAAATGCAAAAATCCCCAGTAATATACTCCACAAGAAGATCATCTCCAAGACACATAATCATCAGATTCTCCAAGGTCAAAATGAAAGAAAAAATGTTAAAGGCAGTTAGAGAGAAATGTTAGATGACCTATGACCTACATAAGGAAGCCTATAAGACTAACAGTGGGCCTTTCAGCTGAAACCCTTCAAGCTAAGATAGATTGGGGTCAATATTCAACATTCTTAAGGAAAATAAATTCCATCCCAGTATTTCATATTCAGCCAAACTAAGCTTAATAAGTGAAGGAGAAATAAGATTCTTTTCAGACAAGCAGATGCTGAGGGAATTTGTTACCACCAGACCTGCCTTACAAGAGCTCCTGAAGGAAGCACTAATTATGGAAAGGAAAGATTGTTACCAACCACTACAAAAACACACTGAAGTACACAGACCAGTGACACTATAAAGCAAGCATATACCTAGTAACCAGCTAGCATCATGATGACAAGATCAAATTTACACATAACAATATTAAACTTAAATGTAAATAGGCTAAATCCTCCAATTAAAAGACACGGAATGGCAAGCTGGATAAAGAACAAAGAACCATCAGTATGCTATCTTCAAGACACCCATCTCACATGCAAAGACTCTAGATAAGCTCAAGATAAAAAAAATGGAGGACAATTTACCAAGAAAATAGAAAACAGTAAAAAGTAGGGGTTGCAATCCTAGTTTCTAACAAAACAGACTTTAAATCAACAAAGATCAAAAAAGACAAAAAAAGGCATTACATAATAGTAAAGGGTTTTATTCAACAAGAAGAGCTAACTATCCTAAATATATATACTTCCAATGCAGGAGCACCCAGATTCATAAAGCAAGTTCTTAGAGACCTTCAAAGAGACTTAGACACCCACACAATAATAGTGGAAGACTCTACACCCCAATATCAATATTAGAAATATCATCGAGACAGAAAATTAAAAGAGATATTCAGGAACTGAACTTAGGTCTGGATCAACTTGACCTTACAGATATCTATAGAACTTGCCACTCCAAAACAATAAAATATGCATTTTTCTCTGTGCCACATGGCATTTACTCTAAAATTGATCACATAATCAGAAGTAAAACACTCCTCAGCAAATACAAAACAACTGAAATCAAAACAAATCTTTCAGACCACAGCACAGTCAAATTAGAACTTAAGGTTAAGAAATTTACTTAAAACCACACAACTACACGGAAATTGAACAACCTGCTCCTGAATGACTCGTGGGTAAATAGTGAAATTAAGGTAGAAATCAAGAAGTTCTTTGAAAATAATGAAAACAAAGATACAGCGTACCAGAATCTCTGGGACACAGCTAAAGCTGTGTTAAGGGAACATTTATAGCACTAAGTGCCCACATCAGAAAGCTAGAAAGATCTCAAGTTAACAACCTAACATCACAACTAAAAGAACTAGAGAACCAAGAGCAAACAAACCAAAAAGATAGCAGAAGACAAGAAATAACCAAGATCAGAGCAGAACTGAAGAAGATAGAGAGACAAAAAACCCTTCAAAAATTTAACAAATGCAGGTGCTGTTTTTTTGAAAAAAAATTAATAAAATAGGCTGCTAACTACACTAATGAAAAAGAGAAGAATCAAATAAACACAATCAGAAATGATAAGGGGGATACCACCACTGACCCAACCAAAATACAAACGACCATCAGAGAATACTATAAACACCTCCAAGCACATAAACTAAAAAATCTCAAAGAGATGGATAAATTCCTGGATGCATACATTCTCCCAAGACTGAAACAGGAAGAAATTGAATCCCTAAATAGACCAATAAGGAGTTCTGAAAAGGGGGCAGTATAAAATAGCCTACCAACCAAAACAAGCCCAGGACCATGTGGATTCTCACTGAATTCCACCAGAAGTACAAAAAAAAAAAAAAAAAAAAAAAAAGAACTGACAACATTTCTTCTGAAACTATTCCAAACAAACGAAATGGAGGGAATCCTCCCTAACTCATTCTGTGAGGTCAGCATCATCCTGATACCAAAACCTGGCAGAAATACAACAACAACAAAAAACTTGGGGCCAATATCCTTGATAAACATTGATGCAAAAATTCTCAATAAAATACTGGCAAACCAACTCCATCAGCACATCAAAAAGTTTATTCACCAGAATTAAGGCAGCTTCATCCCCAGGATGCAAGTTTGGTTCAACATATGCAAATCAATAAATGTGATTCATCACATAAACGGAATTAAAGAAAAAATCATGACTATCTCAATAGATGTAGAAAAGGCCTTTGATAAGATTCAACATTTCTTAATGTGAAAAATTCTCAATACACCAGGTATTGAGAGAACATACCTCGAAATAATAAAAACCGCATATGACAAACCCACCAATATCATGCTGAAGGGCAAAAGCTGGAAGCATTTCCCTTAAAAACAGGTACAAGACAAGGATGCCCTCTCTCAACACTCCTATTCAACATAGTAATGGAAGTTCTGGCCAGGGCAATGAAGCAAGAGAAGGAAATAAAATGTATACTAATAGGAAGAGAGAAAGTCAAACTATCTGTATTTTCAGGTCACGTGATTCTATATCTAGAAAACCCCATCATCTCAGCCCAAAAACTTATTAAGCTGGTAAACAACTTCAGCAAAGTCTCCTGATACAAGATTAATCTGTAAAAAATTACTAGCATTCCAAAACACCAACAACCATCAGGCCAAGAGCCAAATTATGAATGAACTCCCATTCACAATTGCCACAAAAATAATAAAATACCTAGAAATAGAGCTAAGTAGGGAGGTGCAAGATTTCTACAAGGAGAAATACAAACCGCTGCTCAAAGAAATCAGAGATGACACAAACAAATGCATAAACATTCCGTACTCATTTCATGCTCATGGATTTCATGATCATTGGAAGAATCAATATTGTTAAAATGGGCATATTGCCCAAAGCAATTTACAGATTCAATGCTATTTCTATTAAACCACCATTGAGATTCATTTTAAAATCCATATGGATCCAAAAAAGAGCCCAGATAGCAAAGGCAATCCTAAGCAGAAAGAACAAAGCTGGAGGTATCATGATACCCAACTTGAAACTATATTACAAGTCTACAGTAACCAAAACACCATGGTTACTGGTACAGAACCAGACACATAGACCAATGTAACAAAATAGCCCAGAAATAAGACTGCACATCTACATGATCTGATCTTCAACAAATCTGACAAAAGCAAGCAATCAGGAAAGGATTTTCTATTCAATAAATGGTGCTGGGATAACTGGATAGCCATGTGCAGAAGATTAAAACTGGATCCCTTCCTTAGATCATATATAAAAATTAACTCAAGATGGATTAAAGACTTAAATGTAAACCCAGTGCTATAAAAACTCTGGACGATAACCTAGGCAATACCATTCAGGACATAGGCATGAGCAAAGATTTCATGACAAAGATACCAAAAGCAATTAAAACAAAAGCAAAAATTGACAAATGGGATCTAATTAAACTAAAGAGCAAAAGAAGTTATCAACAAGAGTAAACAAACAACCTACAGAATGGGAGAAAGTTTTTGCAAAATATGCATCTGACAAAGGTCTAATATCCAGCATCTATAGGGAACTTAAATTTACAAGAAAAAAAACAAACAACTTTATTACAAAGTGGGCAAATGAAATGAACAAACACTTCAAAAGAAGACATACATGTGGCCAACAATCACATGAAAAAAGGCTCTACGTCACTAATCATTAGAGAAATGCAAATCAACCACAATAAAATACCATCTCACAACAGTCAGAATTACTATTATCAAAAAGTCAAAAAATAACAGATACCTGTGAGGTTCTGTAAAAAAAAAATGCTTATACCACTGGTGGGAGTATAAATTAGTTCAGTCATTGTGGAACACAGTGTGACAATTCTTCAAAGGCCTAAAGACAGAAATACCATTTGACCCAGTAATCCCATTACTGAGTATATACCCAAAGGAATATAAATTATTCTATCATAAAGACACATGCACATATGTGTTCACTACAACTCTGTTCACAGTAGCAAAGACATGAAATCAACCTAAATGCCCATCAGGGATGGACTTGAAAAAGATAATGTGGAACATGTACACCATGAAATACTATGCATTCATAAAAATGAGATCATGTCCTTTAAGGGAACATGGACGGAGCTGGAGCTGGAGGCTATTCTCCTTAACAAAGTAACACAGGAACAGAAAACCAAATAGTGCATGTTCTCACTTATAAGTGGGAGCTAAATGATGAGAACACATGAACACATAGACCGTCTATGGGTCTATGTAGAATCACACACACACACACTGTGGCCTATTGGAGGGTGGAGAGTGAGAGAAGGGAGAAGAGCAGGAAAATATCTATTGGGTACTAGGTTCAATAGTTGAACCTATTGAACGGGTGATGAAATAATCTGTACAACAAGTCCCATGACACAAGTTTACCTATATAACAAACCTCTACATGTACATGTACCCCTGAACTCAAAAGTTACAATAAAGGCAAGCTACATACTGAAAAAATATACTTTGTATTTGTACTGTTAACAGATAATTGATATCTAAAATTTATAAAGGAGTTATGTAAATAATAAAAAAAATCCAAAAGCTAAATGGACAAAAGTTAAAGGCTAATAATTTATAAAATAAAACATATACGTGAATTTTAAATATGTAACAAAGTGTCCAAGTTTATTAGCAATTAAAGAAAAGTAAATTAAAATAAGACTATCCAGACTTGCAAAATTTCTCAAAGTTTAATAATTTGAAGTTGCCATGGGTGTGGGGAGATAGAGTGCCTGTTTTTATAAATTGTAGGTGCAGGGGTGAGATTAGTTCAGCCACTTTGGATTTTCAATATAAATAAGATTTGACTCAGAAATTCTATTTTTCAGAGTTCATTCTGAAAATACATATGCAAATGAACATGAATATATGTGAATATTACAGCACTATTTGTAACAGTAAATTGAAAATAATCTAAGGGAGTGTAAACTGAGGTTATTGAAGTAAATTACAATGCAGCTATTGTTAGGATTAATATGGCATCATTAAAAAGAATATGTTAAATCTGTGTGTATTGACACAGAAAGTCAGGCAAGCTTTATGCTGCAGAAAAATGTCAATGGCAGTGCAATACAAATACTACGACTCCATATGTGCCTAGAACAAAAAAGTTTATTAAGATAAAGTCCTAATTAACAGCAATTACCCCTAAAATTAGTGTTTGAGGTGGGGGAATGGACATGAGAAAATGGAAAAGAGAAGGAAGGAAGACCATTGCTTTTCCACTACATTATCCTGTATCATTTGGAACTATTACTGTGTGTATTAACTCTGTGATTAAAATTTTTAAAAGTTCAATAATTATAAATCAATAATACATAATGATAAGTATGGACTGAGTAGTGGGAAAGGACAGAGAAGATCTCAAACTAGTAGATAATAATTTTCCACAAAAGTTTATTCATTTAAAGCTAAAGAATGGAAGGGAGATGTTCTCTGGAAGGCCTAGGCTGTGCAGTCTTTAAGTCACTGCTTGTTCTTGTGGTTATTAATTACTCATAGATGAGATTTCATAGGTTTTCCATGCCCGGGACCTGGCATTATATCAGAAATGTATGCATGAATATTCAGAATGTGGCCAGGCAAGGTGGCTCATGCCTGTAATCCCAGCACTCCCAGAACTTTGGGAGGCCAAGGCGGGCGGATCACAAGGTCAGGAGTTCGAGACCATCCTGGCTAATACGGCAAAACCCCATATCTACTAAAAATATAAAAATTAGCCGGGAGTGGTGGCAGGCACCTGTAGTTCCAGCTACTTGAGTACTAATCTCACCTCTGAGTCAGAAGAAGAATCGCTTGAACCTGGGAGGTGGAGGTTGCAGTGAGCACCCCCAAAAAAAAGAAAATTCACAACGTGTGTGCCTGAAGGTGTGCGTATGTGTGTGTTCATGAATTTTAGAATTAAGAGACTTAAAAAAAGATATGTTGCTTATTTATCACTTATTATTTTAAGGCATTGATTAGGGAGAAACTTGAAGTATTACCTCTTTGACCTGTGTCTTTCCACCTTACTGTTGCTTGAGGCCTAGTGATATTTATTTGCAACATAAATTGCAGATATTGAACAACCAAAAACTGATTTCTCTCCTAGATATAGAACAATTTGCAAAAAACAGCTTTTGATCGTTTTGGGAAAAACTGAAATCTTTATGTCTCCCGTAAATGTATACATATTCTTTTTCTCTAAGGCCTTTTACTCTGTGCTTGTAAGACCGACTACCAACATCTCTCCCTAGGTATATTTATTGAATTTAGGAGTTTCATTTTGTTGCCAAAAATGTAGTAATTGTGAAGAATGGCAAGAAATAATAAAATATAGATAGAATTAGCTTTATACTGACATCCCTGGATATGTCTTCCACTGGCCTTAAATTTGGATCCTGGTTCCATTTTAGTCTTCTCAGTGTTGTAGGCACAAGGAAATGCAGCTCTTACTAGTCAAGGAAAATACTACTCAAATCATCAAGCAGGTATGTGGCAGGTGGCCATTCAGGAGTTCAAACTCAATAAATTTCAAACTCCATGAAATAGGGAGCAGGGAGCTTCACAACACTATTGTTTTTGATAGCATCTGCTCATTTTCCAGTCACCAAAGAAAGCTCTACTACTCTTGAGATATCTCAAAATACAAGATTTTTTCACTTACTTGAAATGAATCTATTTTAGAAGTGCTGTTTGTGTCATAAATTCAGTTTCTAACCAAAACTGCTTCTGTGTGGCTGAAAAGGAGTGGGTTACAGTAACATCTTTTTTAGCTAAATATTTCTTAAAGTCCTATCACATGAAATATGAATGTTGTATCGTGGAAGGTTAATAATTAATCTTGCATATTTTAGACTTGCAAACCCTACCAAACATTAGAGGCTGTGTGGCTTGCCTGGAACCACAGCAAATTGGCTGAATAACCAGGACTAAGACACAGAATGTTCTGTTTCACAGTTCAGGGCTTTGCAACCACACTGATTTATCATAATGACACCTCAAGACCAGAAAACATTGGCAAACAGGAAGAAAGAAGGATTTGTACAAAACAGAGCAATGAACTAAGGGGAAAAGAGAGAAGGAGAAATGGGGCATAAAGGTAAAAAAGGAAAATGAGAGAGAAAACAATATAAGATTAGAGGAAAAAATAAAACTAAAATCTATTATTAAGTGCTTTTATCTCAGTGGACAGAATATAAACATCCGAGCACCATTATTTAATCCATAATTCACTCCAGAAAACTGTATTGAGGACCTCAGTAAAGAAGACAGACCGCAATAAGTTTTCAAATCAATGTCAGTAAGCATTAATATTATAATATGAAAAAGTAAAAAGGAAAAAATAGAATAGGAAGAAGGGAAGAAAGATCTCTGTTTCTTATTGCTCTCATTTGACATTTGTTCATATAATATTTAATTAAATTATGTAAAGCACAAAAATTCTAGAAACAAGTACATTTGGTGAGCATAGAATTTTGTAGCTATATTAGGCAGGAATTTACTAGCAGGGAGTATTCAGAATGCCATTAACATCAGTCTGTGAGGTTTATGGAGTGTAGATTAATTCAGTGCATTATTAAGTGGAAGTCAGTTCAGAGAGCTTCTACTGTAAATGACCAATAACAATAGCTTGCCCTTTTAGCACCAGCTTTCTGAAATTGTTCTGGAAATGAACTCAGTTGGTAGGCATTCCCCTAAGCAATTTAAAAGGATAGATTTAGAAGCCTGAAATGTATGCTGACTCTGAATAAACTCTCTCTAAAACTAGAAAGGAGAATTTTCTCCTGTAGATAAGTTCGTCAGTGTGGGATATCCCATCTTCTATAAACCAGGCAAAGTAATTCAGGAGTACCACCAGCACACAACTAGGATTGTAGAATCTAACCATGACATTCTTTCATATTATATCTGTAAGGTGTGAGCCAAGCTTTTAATACAGTTTTCCTCTATGCTGAAGACAAAGTAGCTTAGTCAGACACAAGATAAGTTGTCTGAAACGATTATTTTGAATAATTGGGTATGCTTGGCAACAGAAAACATAAATTTTATAGAAATTAACTGAAAGTTTCAGAATGAATCAGGCATAAGACAATATTTTTTAAGAATCTGATGACTTTAGCCAAATATGTGTATGTTTCTGCACACACATGTATGTGTCCATGTGCATGCATGCACGCATGCACTTGCGTGGATCTACTTTTTATTAACTGGCACTGTTTAACAATATAAAGAAGCTAATCAATGTTGATGAAAAACCAAACTCAGTAAAAATATTTAAAGAGATTTATTATCAGCCAATATGAGTGATCATGGCCTGCAGTACAGTCTCAAGAGGTCCTAAGAAACGGTGCCCAAGTTGGTTGGGTCACAGTTTGGTTTTATACATTTTAGGGAGACAGGAGTTACAGGCAAAGACATAAATCAATACCTGTAAGATATACATTGGTTGGGACCCCAAAGGCAGTACATCTCAAAGAAGGGGAGGGGGTGACTCTTACAAGTCATGCCTGGGTTCAAAGATTTTCTGGCTGGCAATTGTTTGAAAAGGCTCAGCTTTCTCTAAAGACTTGAACTAAATGCTTGAGTTAAGATAAGGGGGAACGTGGAAGCCAAGTTTCCTGTACATAGGTAAAGCCTCTAGGTAGCAGCCTTAGAGAGAATATGGTTAATGTCTCTCTCTTTTCAGATGCTAAAGATATTGGACCCTCATTTAGTCTCTCTCAGACATAGGAAAGACCTAGAATGGGAAGATTCTCTGCAGATGTATATTTCTCCCACAAAAGACAGTTTTCCAGGACCACTTCAAAATATGTCAAGGAAATATATTTTGGTGTAAACTATTTCGATTTCTCTCAGGGTCTGTGTATTAGTCCATTCTCATGCTGCTAATAAAGACATATCCAAGATTGGATAATTTATAAAGAAAAAGAGGTTACATATGGCTTGAGAGGCCTGACAATCATGGCAAAAGGCGGAGGAGGAAAAAAGGCATATCATACATGGCGACAGGCAACAGAATGTGTGTAGGTATAGGGGAAGTGCCCTTTATAAACCATCAGATATCGTATGCCTTATTTACAATCATGAGAACAGCATGGGAATGACCTGTCCCCATGATTCAATTACCTCCCACTGGGTTTGTCCCGTGACACATAGGGATTATGGGAGCTACATGCAAAATGAAACTTGGGTGGGGACACAGCTAAACTACATTAGTCTGCTAACTGTCATGTGACGCTATACCAGAGTCAGGTTGGAATTAATAATCTAATTGTTACAAAGAGTCTTTTTTTTGTCAGTCTTATGCTCTATCTTTTAATGTTAATGCTGGTTAGTTATGCCTAAACTCCAAAAGGACTGGGATATAACAAAGTGTGTTCAACCTCCTGTCCTGTCATAGCCTAGAATTTAATTCTTCAGCTTTCTCTGGGTTCCTCTTTGCCAAAGGGGAGTCATTGAGTCAGCTGAGAGGCTTAGGCTTTTATTTTTGATTTACAGCAGTAATTGGGGAAGATACTCATTTTTTAAAACTATTCATTAAATATTTAGTAAAATGAAAAGCTCCCTGGTGTGTGTGTGCCATTTGTTTGAAATGCAGCTTTCTAGGACCATATCAGTTAAAATAGTCTGGGACCAATGCCCACCATTTGTCTTTTCTATCTGTTCACAGGGCATATAAATGAGGAACAATAAAGCTTATTAGAAAACATTGCCATACAAGTGTTTACCCTATACCATTCTTTGTTTTTCTCTTCTTTTTTTTTTCCTTCTCTGAACCAGTTCTACTCTGCTTTTCAATGGGATCATTATGTACCTAATCACTGAGTTCCACTGTATTGGGTGCTTGAGTAGTATGGAGATGCCTTTTAATTTTTCAAGCTTTTTTGAGAGCTATCTCATTTTCTAGATGAGAATAAAACAGAAAGCAACTTGACTGATGTCACATACAACAATAACTAGAACTACCTGGTGCTAACTCCAAAACCCATTGTTTCTCAGATTGATCCTTGGCTTTCCCAGCAATTTGGGATTTCACTAACTATTTATCCTCTCTAATTTAGATGCATGTGGGTAACTTGTCTCGATGCCAGCCTTGTGAAAGAGAAAACCCTGACTCTTTCTTTGTCCAAAATGCCCCACCCCTGCAGAATTGAGGTAGTAAAATATCGAACACATTTGCAATTAGAATTTTAAAACATGCTATGTGAATCTTCAGATTTCCTTTTCTTTGCTGTATATAATACACAAAGCTAAATTCCCTGCTATTAATAATCCTGCTGTGTGTGGGGATGTGGCAGGAAAAGGCCACATTATGATATTTTTATACAAATTATTGCAAGTCATGCTGTCCTGTCAACCTCAAAATGAGAGCCCTAGCTGCAACTTAAGTAAAATAATTCATCAAAGGTAAAGGGATTAATGGTATGTCTTGCATGCATAGTTATTTCCTCATTTACCATTCAAAAACTATTTATGACTGTCTAGTAATTTAGGCATGGCATCATATGCATGGGCTTTGTGTAGTTACATTGCCAATATTAAGATTCTTTCTGGCCCTGGGAACTGTGCTGGTTAAAAGTGGAGTTCAGGAAATGCCACCCCCAAATATACCACTTTGGAGTATATACTGATATCTTTGAACCAAGGGCACTTGGGGAAGATCAGATATAAGCAGAATCTTTCTCTGAGCTCCGCTTAGCTGCCTAACAACAGATCCTGCAAAATTAACCCATTTGTCATGAATCTCTTCCCCAGGGATTCTATTAACCAAGGAAAATTAACTGGGATCCCAGGAGATAAGGATGAAGTTTGATACCATGCCCAGATAGACAATCACCTGTTGTTCTGAGTGCTGCTCCAAGACAACTTTTATTACCTGAGAGATGCTTTATCTGTATAATAAGACAACATTTATTCACCATACATCTCCTCCATCACCCTCCCACAGCTTGTGTTACCACCATCTCCCTGAAGCGCCTCAAGATGTTGTATAAGCTGCAATCTTTTGATTCTTCTTCAAGACTCCTATATTGTGGGACTCCCATGCATACATATGCAAATAAATATGGTTTTTTCTCCTGTTAATATGTCTTATGTCAATTTAATTTATAGCCCAGCCAAGGAACCTAAAAGAATGAAGCCAAGACATTTGTTGCTCTCCTACAAAACTAATTTAAAAGACACATTTCAAGAAGATAAAAGTCTCTTTCCATTAGTTCTGGTAGGAGAGCAGTCTTGCATTACTTTTTGGTCTTCATATTAGTGATTAATAACACAGTTTGTGAGTGATTGGCTATTATCCCATACATAAGCAGATAATTTCTGAGGTTGGGTTTTTCTGCTGCTGATAAGTGGATGTATTTTATATCATCAAAGGAATTTAGATATTTCTATTCGTTCTCTGTCCATGCATTATTTTTAACATATTTACCAAATATTCACTATGTGCCAGGCATTATGCTAGTTACTGAATATACAGTAGTAATTAGAAGCCATCTTCTTTATTCTCATGAAGTTTAAAATTTAATAGAGGGTTTCAGCTTTATTAGAGTGAAGGTTGTCACTTACGTGCTACAAACACAAAGCTGGACAAACTGACTCACCATCTTTTGGATGCATCAAAAGACTGATATTGCAGGGTGAGCTTCCAATTGAAAATTGAAAGAGACACGTGAAACCATAGAGTCACAGCTGAGATTTTCTCCCAAAGAACAGAAGCTGATAAACAGCCATAAACTGACAGGAACACTTTAATGGCAATTTTGATCATTTGCTGGAGGCTGAGAGTGACTGTTATGAGAACAAGTAATTCCTGGGGACTGTGGTCTTAGAGGGATCCCACACTTTCCTGGGCTTTACCTATCAACACCCCATCAAGTTCTCTCAGTGAAAATCAGATGCCCTCCAGGCCAGGAAGTAGGTGGAGCAAGAAATGTACAAGATGATCCTGGAGTATCTAGTAGTACCAGCAAGTGAAGAAGTGCTAAAAACTCAAACAAACAAACATAAACAAGACCATGATAACTAGGTTATGTCAAATGGATAAAAAAAAAAATGAAAGAATGCCCAATGGCTAAAGTTGAAGTGATTTGAGCTACAAAAATAAGTAATATGGTATAGGATTATAGTCCAAATATGAAATAAACATTCACAAGTTCATACTAATGTAAGTAAATGATTGACTATATTCACAAACAGGAGAGGAAGGACAAATCTCTTATCCAGAAGAAGCCCAAGTAACTGATGTAGACACTCCACTTTCAAGGGGGGTGGAGCATATCTCATATCTCCCTGTTCTTTAACTGTAGACACTGCATTGTGACTTCCTTCCAAATAGTGCAGTATGGAAAGAAGAAAACTGGTAACTTTACAATAGAGAAACCTGACAAAGAATCTTATCCAGGTGGTAAAGTTTAACATAAATAGTGACAAGTAATGTTCATAGTATGCACCCTTGATGTGTGATGAAAATGATGCTTTACCTCTGAGTCTTCCCTAAAATCACATAACTCCAGTCTAATCACAGGAAAAATATCAGACAAATCCCAGCTGAAAGACATTCTACAACATATCTGACCACTACTCCTCAAAACTTCAAGGTTGTCAAAAACAAGGAAAATCTGAGAAATGCTCACAGCCAAGAGACTAAAGATACTTAAGACTTAATGTAATATGGTATCCTGGGTGTAATCCTGGAACAGAAAAAAGGACATTAGGTTTAAAAGCAAATTAAGTATATATAAATAAAGTATTATTTTAGTTAATAATAATGAACTAATATTGGTTTATGAATGGAAATAAATGTACAATACTAACGTATGAGATACTAACAATAAGAAAAACTGGGTACAAAGTATATAGAAACTCAGTACTATCTTTACAACTTTTTTGTAAAACTAAAACTATTCTAAATTTTACTTTTTAAAAAGTGAAATGGAAATAAAAATATTCTCAGACAAAACTTGAAAAAAATTATCACTAGAATACCTACACTGCAGAAAATATTAATGTAAATTCCTTAGGTAGATGGAAAGTATGTAGGTCAGAAACCTGGATTTATGTAAAGAAAGACAAAATATCAAGAAAAAATAAATAGACAAAATACTTTTCCTCTTTTTTTGCTGATTTTAAATAAAGAAACACTGCAAAACCCAAAGTATAAAGCCCAGAGATAAATATTTAGTTATGAATGTCCATGACTTTTATTATGAAATGAAAATGACAATGGGAAGCTGGGATTCCTAGGCTATATGACTTGCGGAAAAAAAAAAAAAGAGACACAAAAAGCAAAGTAAATTGTTTTTGCCCTATAGCCTTGACCTCATCATGACTCCAGATTCTCCACGTTTCTCCTAATGCTCTTGAATTTTTCTTCCAAAGAATATGGAAAAATCAGTCTCTAGTATTATAAATAATGATGTTACTGTGAAATAGTTACACAAAATTAAACTAACAAAGGCTTAGATTTGCAAATAGCACAATTTTTCTTAAATAGAAGAGTAACTGAGAAATCATATTGGCAAAATTGCAAACTTCAATTACTACCCACCCAAGACTAGACTTAGTTGAAATAATCAAACAAAATGGAAGGATTACCCCTGGTAAGATACATGACTAACTAAAAATAAACAGACAGATTAAGACATGATGATAAAATATAGAAATAAAAAGATTGACCAGGGAAAATTGGACTTGAGAGAAATAATGACAACAAAATATGGTAAACAATGTCAGAGCTATAAAAGATACAATTTTACAAAAGGAAAAATTTTCACAGTGGAGAAAACCTGACTGATGAACCTAACCACTTACATAAAATGTGTGCTGTAACAAACCCAGGAGCTGATTTCTGGAAAACATTAATAAAATAGATAGACCATTAGCTAGACTAATAAAGAAAAAAGTTCCAAATAAACACAATTAGAAATGATGAAGGGAATGTTACCACTGACCCCATAGAAATAAAAACAACCATCAGAAACTACTACAGATAGCTCTATGCACACAAACTAGAAAACCTAGAAGAGATAAAAAATTTTCTGAACACATATACCCTTCCAAGGCTGAGCCAGGAAGAAATGGATTCCCTAAACAGACCAACAATGAGCTCTGAAATTGAATCAGTAATAGCCTATTAACCAACCAAATAAATAAAGAAATAAATGAGCCCAGGGCCTGATGGATTCACAGCCGAATTCTACTAGATGTAGAAGTAAGAGCTGGTACCATTCCTACTGACACTATTCCAAAAAATGAGGTGAAGGGACTTTTCTTCAGTTCATTCTGTAAGGTCAGTATCATCTTGATACCAAAAACTGGTAGAGACACAACATCAAAAAATTCAGGCCAATATCTTTAACGAACATTGATGCAAACATCCTCAACAAAGTACTTGCAAACCAAATTCAACAGAACATTTAAAAGCTTATTCACCACGATCAAGAAGGTTTCAGACCCAGGATGCAAGTTTGATTCAACATATGCAAATCAATAAATGTGATTCATCGCATACAAAGAACTAAAGACAAAAATCACATGATTATCTAAATATACTTAGAAAAAGCTTTTAATAAAATTCAATACCCATTCGTGTTAAAAACTCTCAATAAACTAGGTTTTAAAGGAACATACCTCAAAATAAAAAGAGTCATCTATGACAAACTGACAGCTAGCATTATACGGAAAGGGCAAAAGCTGGAAGCATTCCCCTTGAAAACCAGCACAAGACAAAGGTGCCCTTTCTCATGACTTCTATTCAAAATAGTATTGGAAGTTCTAGCCATGGCTAGAAACAATCAGGCAAGAGAAAGAAATAAAGGGAATCCAAATATGAAGAGAGAAAGTCAAACTATCCTTTTTTGCAGACAACATGATTCTATATCTAGAAAACCCCAGAGTCTCAGCCCAAAGACTCCTTCAGCTGACAAACAACTTCAGCAAAGTTTCAGGATACAGAATCAACATACAAAAATCACTAGTATTCCTATACATCAACAACAGCCATGCCAAGAACCAAATCAGAAAGCAATCTCATTCACAATTGCTACCAAAATAATAAAATGCCTAGGAATGCAGCTAATCAATGAGGTGCAAGATCTCTACAAGGAGAACTACAAACCACTGCTCAAAGAAATTAGGAAAGACACAAACAAATGGAAAAGCATCTGATGCTCAAGGATAGAAAGAATCAATATCACTGTAATGGCTATACTGCCCAAAGCAATTTACAGATCCAATGCTCCTCCTCTCAAACTGCCTATCATTGAAATTATTCATAGAACTAGAAAAAAAACTATCTTAAAATTCACATGGAACCAAAAAAGAACCCAAATAGCTAAGGCAATTCTAAGCGAACAAACAAAGCTGGATGCATCATGCTACCTGACTTCAAACTATAGCACAAGGCCACAGTAACCAAATCAGAATGGTACTGGTACAAAAATAGGCACATAGACCAACAAAACAGAATAGAGAGCCCAGAAATAAGGCTGCACACCTACAACCATCTGATCTTCAACAAAGCTGAGAAGAGTCAATGGGAAAAAGACTCCCTATTCAATAAACGGTGCTGGGATAACTGGCTAGACATGGGCAGAAGATTGAAGCTGAACCCCTTTCTTACACCGTATACAAAAATCAACACAAGACTTAAAGACTTAAAGGTAAAACCCAAACTATAAACAATCTGGAAGACAATCTAGGCAATCCATCATGGACACAGGCACAGGCAAATATTTCATGCTGAAGATGCTGGAAGCAATTGAAACAAAAGCAAAAATTGACAAATGAGATCTAATTAAGAGCTTCTGCACAGCAAAATAAACTATTAACGGAGTAAATAGACAACCTACAAAATAGGAGAAAACATTTGCAAACTATGCATCTGACAAAGGTCTAATATCCAGCATCTATAAGTAACTTATACAAATTTACAAGAAAAAACCAAACAATACCATTAAAAAGTGTCAGATGATATGAACACACACTTTTTAAAAGAAAACATATATGAGGCCAACGAGCATATAGAAAAAAACTCACTATCACTGAGTATTAGAGAAATACAAATCAAAACCACAATGAGATACCATCTCAGCCCCAGTCAGAATGGCTACTATAAAAAGTCAAAAAATAGGCCAGGCACGGTGGCTCATGCCTATAATCCCAGCACTTTGGGAGGCTGAGGCGGGTGGATCATGATGTCATGAGATCAGGATCACGCTGGCTAATACGTGAAACCCAGTCTCTACTAAAAATACAAAAAATTAGTCGGGCGTGGTGGCTGGCACCGTAGTCCCAGCTACCCAGGAGGCTGAGGCAGGAGAATGGCATGAACCCGGGAGGCAGAGCTTACAGTGAGCCAAGATTGCACTGTATCCAGAATTGGTGGGTTCTGGGTCTCACTGACTTCAAGAATGAAGCCACGGACCCTAGCAGTGAGTGTTACAGTTCTTAAAGATGGTGTGTCCAGAGTTTGTTCCCTTTGATGTTCGGACGTGTTCGGAGTTTCTTCCTTCTGGTGGGTTCATGGTCTCGCTGACTTCAGGAGTGAAGCTGCAGACCTTGGTGGTGAGTGTTACAGCTCTTAAGGTGGCGCGTCTGGAGTTGTTCTTTCCTCCCATCCAGAGTTGTTCATTCCTCCTGGTGGGTTCATGGTCTCGGTCTCGCTGGCCTCTGAAGTGAAGCTGCAGACCTTCACGGTGAGTGTTACAGCTCACAAAGGCAGTGCGGACCCAAAGAGTGAGCAGTAGCAAGAGTTATTGCAAAGAGCAAAAGAACAAAGTTTCCACACTGCAGAAGGGCACTCGGGGCTGCTGGCTTGGGCAGCCTGCTTTTATTCTCTTATCTGAGCCCACCCACATCCTGCTGATTGGCCCATTTTACAGAGAGCTGATTGGTCCGTTTTGACAAGGTGCTGATTGGTGCGTTTACAATCCCTGAGCTAGACACAGAGTGCTGATTGGTGTATTTACAATCCTCTAGCTAGACGTAAAAGTTCTCCAAGTCCCCACCAGATTAACTAGATACAGAGTGCTGATTGGTGCATCCACGAACCCCGAGCTAGACGCAGAGTGCTGATTGGTGTATATACAATCCCCCAGCTAGACATAAAAGTTCTCCAAGTCCCCACCTGACTCAGGAGCCCAGCTGGCTTCTCCTAGGGGATCCCATGCCAGGGCCGTGGGTGCAACTGCCCGCCAGTCCTGCGCCATGCGTCTGCACTCCTCAGCCCTTGGGCGGTCGATGGGACCGGGTGCTCCGGAGCAGGGGACGGCACCCCTTGGGGAGGCTCAGGCCGCAGTGGGAGCACACCACAGTGCGGCTCGGGCATGGCAGGCTGCAGGTCCCCAGCCCTGCCCCGCGTGAAGGCAGCTGAGGCTGGGCGAGAATTCAAGTGCGGCGTGGGTGGGCTAGCAGTGCTGGGGGACTGGGCATCCCCTCCACAGCTGCTGGCCCGGGTGCTAAGCCCCTCACTGCCCAGGCCGGCAGCTCTGGCTGGCTGCTCCCAGTGCTGGGCCCGCCCAGCCCACGCCCACATGGAACTCGCCCTGGTACTCCAGCAACGCACGCAGCCCCCGTTCCTGCCCATGCTTCTCCCTCCACACCTCCCTGCAAGCAGAGGGAGCCAGCTCAGGGCCTCAGCCAGCCCAGAGAGGGGCTCCCATAGTGTAGTGGCAGGCTGAAGGGCTCTTCAAGCGTGGCCAGAGGGGACGCCGAGGCAGAGGAGGTGCTGAGAGTGAGCAAGGGCGGCCAGCACGTTATCACCTCTCAGTGCCACTGCACTCCAGCCTGGGGTACAGAACGAGACTCCGTCTCAAAAAAAAAATAAAAAAAGTAAAAAAATAACGGATGCTGGCAAAGTTGCAGAGTAAAGGGAACACTTACAGACAGTTGGTGGGAGTGTAAATTAGTTTAACCGTTGTGAAAAGCAGTATGGCGATTCCTTAGAGAACTACAAGCTAAACTACCATTTACCTCAGCAATTCCATTAGTGGGTATATACTCAGAGGAATAGAAATCATTCTACCATAAAGAAATATGCATACAAATGTTCATTGCAGCACTATTCATAATAGCAAAGACATAGAATCAACGTAAATGCCTATCATTGGCAGATTTGATAAAGAAAATGTGGTACATATAAACCATGAAATACTATGCATCCATAAAAAAACAAAGAGATGATGTCTTTTGTGGGAACATAGATGGAGCTGGAGGCTATTATCCTCCAGCTAGCTACTAATACAGGAACTAAGTACCACACGTTCTCACTTATAGTTCGAGCTGAATGATAAGAACTTAAGAATACGAAGAAAGAAACAATAGACACTGGAGTCTACTTGAGGGTAGAGGGTGAAAGGAGGGAGAGAAGTAGAAAAGATAACTATTGGGTACTTGGCTTAATACCTGAGTGATGAAATAATCAGTACAACAAACCCTCATGACACGAGTTTACCTATGTAACAAACCTTCACATGTACCCCTGAACCTAAAAGTTAAAAAAAAGTGAAAATGAATGAATACATAAAATGTGTGCTGCAAAGTACTGAACATGACAAAAATAGTTTGACAAAATATAAATAAAATACTAAAAATAAAAATCGCTTAAGTGAACTATGTAAAAATTGATAGTTCTTGATTTTAATGAAATTTATTCTAGATGATATTCTCATTCTCATGAAAATGTGTCAATTTGGATAGAATTTTGACAAAAACGTATTAAACATTTTTGTAAAGCCTAAAAAATATGGATGCAAAGCTATACTTAAGTCCTGAAACTAACCATTAAAACAAACAAAAAGCAAGATTTACCGAGTATTGATTATAGTTAACACTGCGAGATGCTAGACATTTGTTATTTAAGACAGGCACAATTCCTGTCTTCATGGAACTCAAATATATTGTGATAAGTTGGCTTTTAAAAAGTAAAATAATAATCAATGTAATAAATACTACAATTTCAATATTGGTAAAAGCCTTATAGCAAAATAATAATATGTAAGAAAGCTGAGTGATCCAAATTAAGTAAGAAAGCATTACGAATTTTTGTGGAAAGCTTCTCTGAGAAAGTAGCTTTGAAGTGGATATCTGAGGGAGAAGGAGCTAGTCTCAAAAGAAGAGCGTATTTCAAAGTCTGGGAGAAGGAAAGGCCTTAGCATATGTGAGTCAAAGGAGGGTCACATGGTGTCAGAGCGGGAATGAGAAACCAATGAGATATAGCTGAAGAACAATGCAGAGCTTTGGACTTAACTCGTGGGGCTGATGTAAAGATTATTGGCAGGATTACAACTTATGTTTGAGGATGAAAATTGAATGAGCTCAGATTCAACAGAAGTTTACTGGAGGCAGGAGAGAGAAGACACTAGACATTACAGAGATTTAGATCAAGAATTCAGTTTCGGAAATGTTAAAGGTGACATGCCTGCTTGATATTTAAATGGGGGACTCCAATTGGGTATGAGTCTGGAATGTGCAAAATATATCTGCAATTACATGTACCTTAAGTGCCAGACTCCTGTGGGTGGTGTTAAAAGCACAGGAATGCTTGAAGGTGTAAGAAAAGATAGGAAGATAATTGAGAGGGAATCACCCAAGAAAGAGGCACTGTCTAAATCTGTATTAAGGAAGTCAATAGAAGACATTTTCAAAACACAGAACACCATCAACTATGAAAAACACTTTTGAGATTTGGTGACGTTTGCACAGGAACAAAAATGAGGGAAGACAGAAGCAAATACTAGACTCATTAACATAGCTATTTTCATTATTTGCCTTTTAAAAATATATTTATTGTGGCAAAATATACATGACATAAAAATTACCATTTTAACTCTTTTAAGTATACAATTAAATGGCATTGGTCATTCACATCGTGCAACCACCATCACCATGCATCTCCAGAACTTCTCATCCCAAATTGAAACTATACAAATTTAACTTCCATTTGCTCCCTTCCCAGCCTTGGCAATCACTGTTATCTGCAAAGAGAAAAAATTTTACTTCTTCTCTTCCAAGTAGATGCCTTTTATTTTTTATTATTGCCTAATTGCTCTAGTTAGAACTTCCAATATTGTGTTTAATTAGAAGTGACACAAGCAGGCATTCTTGTCTTGTTATTAATCTAAGGGCAAACACTTTTGTTTTTTTTCACTATTAACTATGATATTAGCTACAGGATTTTCCTAGCCTTTTCATATTGAAGAAGTTTATTTTTATTCCTAGTCTTTGGAGTGTTTTATTATTAAAGGCTACGGAAGTTTTTTTGTTTTTTTTTTCTGAATATATTGAGATGATTCTTTTGTTTTTGGTTTATTTTGCGGTGTGTTATTTTGCTTTTGCTTTGATTCTGTTACTAGGATGAAAATCGATTAATTTTTCCGTATTGAACCACCTTTGAATTGCAGGGATAAATCTCACTTGGCCATGGTATATAATCATTTTCCTATGCTGCTGAATGTGGTTTGTTAGCATTTTGTTGAAGATTTTTAAATAAACAATTCACAAAAGGCATTGGTCTGTAGTTTTCTCATAATATTTTTGTCTGGCTTTAATATCATGATAATGCTCGCCTCATAAAATGAGTTAGAAATTGTTTCCTCCTCTGCAATTTTCTAGAATAATTTGAGAAAGATTGGTGCTAATCCTTTCAATATTTAGTACAGTTGTGAAGCCATTTTGTCAAATAATTTTCTTTGTTGGTAAACTTTTATTATTGATTCTACTTCCTTACTAACTATAGGTCTATTCTTATTGTCTGTTTATAATTTGGTCTTGTTAAGTTTGTGCTTCTAGGAACTTGTCTACTTCATCTAAGTCATCCAATTTGTTGGTGTACAATTATTCATAGAACTCTCCTATAATTTTTTAATTGGTAGCAATGCTCCCACATGCAGTTCTGATTTAAGTAATTTGAGCCTTCTCCCGTTTTCCCTTAGTCAAGCTCACTCATGTTTGCCAATTTTGTTAAGCTTTTTAAATAAAAAGTTGTGGTTTCCTTGATTTTCTATACTGTTTTTCTATTTTCTGCTTTATGTATCTCTCTTGGACCCTTTATTGTTTCATCCGTTCTGCTATTTTGGGCTTACTTTAATGCTATTTTTCTACCTTTTTAAGGTGTAAAATTGGGGTTTATAATTGAGATATTTCTTCTTTTTTAATGTAATTGATTGTGACTATACATTTTCTTTTTAGCACTGCTTTCACCAAATCCCATATGTTTTGGTATGTTGTGCTTTTATTTTAATTTGTCTGAAGGAATTTTCCAATTTCTCTTGGAATTGCTTCTTTGATCTATTGGTTTAATGGTGTGTTGTCTAATTTCCAGACACTTTTACGTTTTCCAGTGTTACTATAATTATTGATGTCTAGCTTTATGCATTGTGATATAAAATGATACTTTCTACAATATCAGTCTTTTAAATTTTACAAAAACTTTTTTGGTATAACATATGGACAATGATCCATGCTCAAATGAGAAAAATGGTTCTTTTTTGCTCTTGTTTGCTGTTTTGTTCTGTGTATGCCTAATCCAACTGGTTTACAGAGTAGTTCAAGTTTTCTACTTCCTTATTGATCTTCCATTTGGTTGTGCTATCCATTATTGAAAATGACATATTAAAGTCTGCAACTGTTACTGTTGAACTATTATTGATTATTATCAATTTCTGCCTTTAATTTTGTCAATCTTTGTTTCATTTATTTTCACATTTTGATGTTGACTTTATGTGTTTATAATTCATATATCTTGTTGGTTAATAGCTCTTTTATCAGTATGTAATGTTCTTCTCATCTCTTGTAATAGTTTTGGACTTCCTAATTTGCCGGATATTAGTATACACATAAAAATGCATATGTGTGCTTTTTTCTTAATATTTGCATAAAATGTCTCTTTTGTTTCCATTTTAACCTGTTTGTGTCTCACATCTAAAAAGAGTCTCTTGGCCGGGTGCAGTGGCTCATGCCTGTAATCCCAGCATTTTGGGAGGCTGAGTCAGGAGGATCGCTTGACCGCAGGAGTTTAAGTCGAGCCTGGGCAACACAGGGAGACCCTGTCTCTACAAAAAATAATAAAATAAGATAAAATAGAGTTTCTCATAGACAGCATAAACTTAGAACACAATTTTTTTTCCTTTTAAATATTCTGCTACTGTTGACTGGGGAGTTTAATTCATATACATTTAGAGTAAAAAATAAGTTATTTTTGCAATTTTGTTATTTTTATGTTTGCCTCATAGCATTTTTATTTCTCATTTCTTCTATTATTGTTTTTTCATGTATACAGTTGATTTTTAGTAATATATTTTGGTTCTTTTTTCATTTCCTTTTATGTTACTGTATAGTAATTATTTGTGCTCCCTATAAAGTTTGCATATAATATCTTTAGTTATAACAATCTAATATTAATTGATAATACCTAACTTCAACTTCACAGACAAACTCCTATACAGTTCTATCTTCCACAATATTGATGATGCAAATTACATCCTTATACATTGTGTACCCACAGCATATACTTATAATCTTATATGGTTGGTCATTTAAATTATGTAGATAATACAAAGTGAAGATACTAGCAAAAATTATAAGAATAGTGGCTTTAATATTGTTTAATGTAAACTGTAGGAAACTACAGTTTACTCAAATCCAAGATTTCTCTACCTTCATACAAGTTTGTATTACTGTCTAGTATCCTTTCATTTCGACCTGAAGAACTTCCTTTACATTACTTGCAGGCAGCTCTAGAGCAGTAAATTCCATCAACTTTATTATCTGGCAAGGTTTTAATTTATCTCATTTTTGCAGGACAGTTTTCCTGGATATAGAGTTCTTGGTGACTTTCTTTTTTATTCCAGCAGTTTAAATATCCCACTGTCTTGTGGCCTCCAACATTTTTTTGCTCAAAACTATGCTTAGAAACTTCTTGAAGATTTCTTATTTATGAGAAGTCACTTCTCTCTTGCTGCATTCAAAATTGTTTTCTTGTGTTTGTCTTTCAACACTTTGATTACAATTTGTTTCAATGCAAACTGCTTTGAGTTAGTTCTATTAGATTTTATGGAGTTTCTTATTTTTGTAGATTAATGTCTTTCCTCAAATCTAAGATGTTTTTAGCCATTATTTCTTCAAATAATCTCTCATCTGTTTTCTCTCTCCACTCTCCTTCTGGGACTTCCATAATGTATATATTGATCCACTTGATGATGTCCAAGTTTATAGGCTCTGGTCACCTTTTTTATTCTTTTGTTCTTTCAGTTCTTAGTCACAATAATTTCAACTGTCCTGTCCTCAGGTTCACTAATTCATTGTTTGTGCTCGCACAATATGCTATTGAACCTTCTACTGAATTTGTCAATTCAGTTGTACTTTTCAGCTCCAAAATATCTGTTTGGTTCCTTTTTGGTCATTACTGTTTCTTTGTTGATATTCTTATTTTTCTTAAATACTGTTTTCGTAATTTCCTTTAGTTTTTTTACTCATATTTATATTTTGCTCTTAGATACACTTATGGTAGATTCTTTATCTAGTTTGGTATTTGTATATCATCAGGGATAATTTCTACCAATTTATTTTATTCTTTTTAGTGGATCATGTTTTTCTGTTTCTTTGTATGCTGTGTGATATATTTATATATATAAATCTGTGAGTATTTTCAGACTGCCATTTTGCCAGGACAGCCTATCATTGATTAGCTGTGCATGCTCTGAGTCTAGGGATCAGGCCAAGGTGAAAGCATTAAGCAATTTCAGAATGTTTCTGAGCATATCTCTTGACTGGATCTGCATGTAGCTTTCTCAGTTATCCCTAATACATGGCTGCTTTTCAATTTCTTAGTCTTCCAAAGAATTTTACTTCAGCTTTTCCTCAGGATCTTAGATGGTCTGTAGAATGATGCTACCATTATCTCTTGCAACAGGTATATGTGGGTCTGTTTTTACCTTATAGCTATCATAATCATTGGTTACTGCTTTTCCCTGCTTCAGATTTGAGTTAGATGTGACAAACATCTTTTCTTTAGATAGCATATAGATAGGTTGAAATGTTGCAAATAGTGCTAATCTGCTCCCTGCAGTTCAAGAGAGAGGAGCAGGAACCAAGTAATGCTTCCTTGATACCAAGGCCACAACACCACACCACATGGGGAGGGGATTGAGCAAGAATAAGTAAAATTGCCATGCAATTTCCTATCATTTTTAAGGTGGGCTTTCCCTAATTGGTCACTTGCTTGGTTGTTGTAAACATTTGACTGTTTTCCAGAGTTCTTATAAAGTGAGTTCATCTAATTTTTGCTCATTTATTTTGTCTTTATAGAAAAAAATGGCTTGAAGTTTCCTAGTCAGCCATTTCATTGACATGTATCTTTTCACAATAATTATGAGAAGGGGATTGGCCAAAAACATCTTGCTGCTGATGGCAGTGTGTGTGTGTGTGTGTGTGTGTGTGTGTGTGTGTGTGTGTATACATGCGTCTGTGTTCCTATTACAAGAGTGCATTGGGTTCCACCAAATTATATCTATGAATGGGAAATACCATGCTTCTTTTGTGTTTTCCTTTGTTGTAATGTTGTAAAGATAAGTTGGCTCAAGTTAATAACCATTTTTTGACACCAGGTAAATAACTAGTCATTGTGCTGAGGACTAAGCATACAAAGAGAAATAGAATAAAATTAGCATCTAAAGGCTCTCACAGTTTAATGCTAATAAAGCCAGATCAGGCTGGGCATGGTGGCTCACACCTGTAATCCCAGCACTTTGGGAGGCCGAGGCAGGCAGATCACGAGGTCATGAGATGGAGACCATCCTGGCAAACACAGTGAAACCCCATCTCTACTGAAAATACAAAAAAAATTATCTGGGCATGGTGGCAGGTGCCTGTAGTCCCAGCTATTCGGGAGGCTGAGGCAGGAGAATGGTGTGAACCCAGGGGGAGTGAGGCAGGAGAATGGTGTGAACCCAGGAGGAGGAGCTTGCAGTGAGTGGAGATCGTGCCACTGCACTCCCGCCTGGGCGACAGAGAGAGACTCTGTCTCAAAAAAAGAAAAAAAATAGAACCAGATCAATAAAATTTGTTATGGTTTGAAAGTTGCTCTGTAATAAAAATATTAATGAGGTGGGGGTAGAGGATAAAAAGGAATAGGGATGTAAGAAAATATTTCTAGATAATACAATATCTGTGCCATACATGGAGTATAAATAATTTTTTTTACTAAGACTTGTCATAGGGTCTTCAGACAAGAAAACAGTATTACAAAGATGCATTTGTGTGATAGTTTGTTGAAAATGAAGGGACTCATTTATTCATTCAACAAGTGTTTCTTGAGTTGTTATTAGGTTTTAGGCACTGCCCCATGTCTGAGAATGCAGTAGTCAAAAACACAGTCTCCAAACTTATGAAATTCAAACTCCATTTGATAGGAGGTAAAAGTTAATCATGAGATTCTACTTTGGAAATCACTAAAGGCTTTGTTGAAGAACTAATGTTTGAACAATATCTTGAGAAAATTGAAGAAGTAAGCTATATGAATATGCAGGGGGAGATTGTCTTTAACTAAGGGTACCATAACTACGACAATTTTGTAGGTAAAGTATACTTGGCCAATTAAAGAAACAACAAAAATTTCAAGGTGCTTCCTCAGTGAAAAATGTGAAAGGAAATGAAGTCACTGAGGTGCTAAGATCATGTAGCACTTTGTTGGCCATGGTAAGATTTTTCATTGTAAGTTTGAAAGTAGATGATTATAGTGTCATAGGACTGTAGCGTCAAATGAAGAATTAATGGTGAACAAAGAAGTAAAGAGTTAGATAGAGCCCACATGGAAAATAACAGTTAAAAGTCATTTTGAATTTTATGTGGAAAAATCCACAAGATGTTTAATGCTCAGAAACATCATATGAAATGAGGACAGCTGGCTAGGCGCAGTGGCTCACGCCAGTAATCCTAGCACTTTGGGGGGCCTAGGTAGGCAGATCACGAGTTCAGGAGATCGAGACCATCCTGGCCAACGTGGTGAAACCCCATTTCTACTAAAAATATAAAAAATTAGCTGGGAGTGGTGGCACAAGTCCCAGCTACTCAGGAGGCTGAAGCAGGAGAATGGCGTGAACCCAGGAGGCGGAGCTTGCAGTGAGCCAAGATGCAGCCACTGCACTCCAGCTTGGGCGACAGAGCGAGACTCCAACTCAAAAAAAAAAAAAAAATGAGGACAGCTAGGGGTAAGTAGATCAGCCAGCAATACATTTGTGTGTGTGTGTGTGTGTGTGTGTGTGTGTGTGTGTGTGTGTGTGTGTATCTCCACACAAACTGTATGTCAGTCAGGGTTCTCTAGAGGGACATAACTAGTAGGATATATATATATGAGTTTATTAAAGAAAATTGACTTACAAAATCATAAGGTAAAATCCTATGATAAGCTGTCTGCAAGTTGAGGAGAAAGGAAGCCAGTGGTGTATCAGTCCGTGTCTCAAAACCTCAAAAGTAGAGAAACCAACAGTGCAGCCTTCAGTCTGTGGCCAAAGGTCCAAGAGTCCTTTGCAAATCACTGATGTAAGTCCTAGAGTCCAAAAGCTGAAGAACCTGGAGTCTGATGTTCAAGGGCCAGAAGCATCCAGCACGGGAGAAAGATAAAGGCTGGAAGACTCAGCAAGTCTGCTGTTTCATCTTCTCCTACCTCCTTTGTTCTAGACACTCTGGCAGCTGATTAAATGATGCCCACTCAGATTGAGGGTGATTCTGCCTCTCCGAGTCCATAGACTAAAATGTTAATCTCCTTTGGCAACACCTTCACAGACACACCCGGGAACAATATGTTGCATCCTTCAATCCAATCAAGTTGACACTCGATATTAACCATCACAAAGTGGCAGCACTGACAGATGGCTTGAGAGAACAGCTTCAGCCTCCAAAAATCTCTACTAGCTCTCCAAATCCTTCTTTTATTAAGATGAAGCCTTAAGTAATAATAATGTCTTTGCTGCATAATTTAAGCTTTAAAGCTAATCTCTAACTGCACCATTCAATTAGATTACCACCTACTAAATTATTGGATGGATGTCCTTGATCTGGCATTTGTTTTATTGTGAA
Organism: Homo sapiens; assembly: GCF_000001405.40. Lineage (NCBI taxonomy): Eukaryota > Metazoa > Chordata > Mammalia > Primates > Hominidae > Homo > Homo sapiens. The sequence goes on from NC_000002.12 coordinate 123,836,607, forward strand.
TCCAAGAGAAAAATGCCAAGGACTTGTGAAATTGAAGAGTGTGAATTTTTAATAGGCAGACTAAGTACATGGTCAGGATACTTGCCAGGCAGGGACACCAAAAGAAGTGAGAATTCTGTTATTAGAAGATCCAGAAAAATGTAGATTTAATTTGAATTAGTCTTATTTTTATTTCTTTTTCTTTTTTTTTTTTGGTGGCGGAGAGCAGGGCATCCTAGTCTTTTCAGTGGCTTTGGCATCTGCAGTTCTTTCTTTGGTCTCATATGGCAACAATAATTGAGATATAGAGTGGCACAGTAGATTTGAATGATGAGTACAGAATGAACAAGGCCTCTGTCTTGAATAAGCTGGTCTTGAAGAATATAAACAGAAAGTGATACATTTCTTAGATTACCAGTTAAAAAGAAGAGGAAATGCTGGCTAGAAGAGAAAGAGTCATTAATCTAAAACAACTGAACTGAGTTGATGTGCCTGGGAACACTGTTAAAGAGAATATTTTAATAGTGTAAGAAAAAAATGTTAAGTCAGTTTCAAGTCAGTTTGAAACATTCTGGGTTGAATAAAATTATCAAGATATTTTTAGTTAATATCTTATTGAAGATGTTTCTCAGAGCTTTTGAAATGCTATAGGCCACATGAATAGGTATACAGGACAGCAATTTCCCTGACAATATGACCATCATCCTGTTGTCCTTGGAGAATTCATTAGCACCTTCATAATTGTGGCTGGCTGCTCTCCCCAGTTCAAGAAATTTTAGAAAGGTGTTTTTGTTTGCTATTCTTAAAAATAGTTGGTTTAATAGTCTCATTCTTCTATAAATACGATGATTCCTTTGGAAAAGACTCTCTTCTCATGGCTATTACAACGAAGTTAAGACAGTTTTTCTACAACTTGAAATTGTTAACTGAAATATATATTTTTAGTATTTAATGAGGCTGAAATTACATGTTTTATTAAGCATGCTTTTGCACTAGAATGCTTCCGCTTTTTTGTATACACATATAGATAGGTTAAATGGCTGTGATTTATGAAAAGATACATTTTTAGTGTTATTTTAAATTGGTCATGGTTACCAATCACCAGAGCTGTCTGTAAATACATTTGTTAATATGTTTGCAGAACTAGATTTCCCATTTCTGGTCCACTGTAATTGTTGCACTATAAATATGTAGGTTTGTTTTTAACTGTCTCATGTCAATGGGATCTTACTTCATAAAACATAGAAACAAGAAAATAAATGAAAATAGTGTTTTTTGCTTGACCTTAGATGAGGGCCACAAAAAATAAAAAGAGAGAAAAAAGAATAAACAAAATCAATACCTCTGGCTAGATTAACAAAGAAAAAAGAGAGAGGACCCAAATGAATAAAATAAAAAATGAAAAACAAGACATTACATCTGATGCTACAGAAATACAAAAGATAATCGTAAACAACTATAAGGTAAAAAACTGGGAAAGCTAGATAAAATAGATACATTTCTGGACATATACAAGCTACCAAAAATGAACTAGGGAGAAACAGAAAACCCGAACAGACTAATAATGAGTAACAAATTTGAATTGGTAATAAAAATCTCCTAACAAAGAAAAGCTCGGGACCAAGTGGTTTTACTGTCAAATTCTATTAAATTTATATTTAAAAAGTAACACCAATTGTTCTCAAACCATTCAAAAAAATTGAAGAGGAGAGAATTCTTCCTAACTCATTCTACAAGGCCAGAATTACCCTTATATAAAAACAAGCCAAGAACACAACATCAAAGGAAAACTGCAGGTCAATATTCCTGATGCATATTGACGCAAAAATCCTCAACAAAATGCTAGCAAACTTAATCCAACATATCAAAAAGGTAATAAGCCATGATGAAGATGGATTCATCCCAATGATGCAAGGATGGTTCAACATATGGAAATCAAGAATTGTGATAAATTACATTCAGCAAAAAGAAAGAAAAGCCCCATATGATTATCTCAATAGATGCAGAAAAAGCAGTAGGTAAAATTCAACATAACTTCATAATAATAAAGTAAAACTATTTTTCACTCCATTAAAAAAAGATTTTTTTCACTCCACTAAAATACCCGCAATAAACTATGCACAGGAGGTACATACCTCAACATGACAAAGGCCGTACATGACAAACTTACAACTTCATTATACTGAATGGGGAAAAGCTGAAATCCCTTCTTTTGAGAACTAGAATAAAACAAGGATGTCAAATTTTACCATTTTTATTCAACATAGTACTGGAAGTACTAGCCAGAGCAATCAGGTAAGAGAAAGAAATAAAAGGCATCTCAACTGGAAAAGAGGTGGTAAAATTGTCCCTTTTTGCAGGTGACATGATCCTATATTTAGAAAATCCTAATTCCTTAACCAAAAAAATACTTAGAACCGATTAAAAGATTCCATAAAGTTGCAGAAAACAAAATTTACATTAAAAAGTCAGTAAGATTTTTACACACCCAAAACGAACAAGATGAAAAAGAAATAAAGAAGACAATCCTGTCTATTATAGCTACCAAAAGAAAGATATCTAGGAATAAATTCAACATGGAAGCGAAAGGTCTCCACAAGGAACATTACAAATGACTGATAAAAAATATTCTCTCTCTCTCTCTCTCTCTCTCTATATATATATATATATATATATATATATATTTTTTTTTTTTTTTTTCCCAAGATGGCAGATTAGGGGCTTTCAGCATGCCTCCGCCATTTGGAAATAGCAAGATAGTACATAGAAATAAATTCTGTGAGCTTTAAATCAAGAAGGAAAATGGGAATCCTCTTGAATCATGAAGGTCACCCCAGATCCTGAAGAAGATAATCTGGCAAACTGCCCCTGTGGCAGCATGTGGTTGATAAAAATGAGTAAAGACCTGGTAGGTGAGAGGGCAGAGAGTCTGTCTCTGTGACTCACCTTTCCACTGGGAATCCAAGCAACCTAGGCCAAGGGAGAACACTGTTTCTCTCAAGCCCTGGGGCTAACTTGGGGAGAGGCTTGGAGATGCTGTGATGGAAAGACACTGGAAAAAGCTGCAGACATTTTCCCAGATCCAAGACTGAGAGCAGTACACTATTTTAAATCTAGGTATATAGAAAGACATACCTTAGTGACCTGGCAGTGTGGCTGCACAGGCATTGTAGTTTTGGCCAGAGATTGGAGCACCTTCTCTTGAGTGGGGTTGAGGCCTCCACAGTCAGAACCATGGACATCACCCCAGGAGCAGGGCTAGAATTGTGCTCTTCCCCATGGTAAGCCTAGGCAGGAGGGGAACTGCTACAGCTGCTATTTTTCCTGGATGGTGAGACTTGTAGCCTGGACCAGCTTGGTGACTTGAAACCAATCTGTGTGTGCCATTGCTGTGTGTCTTCCCCGGCTCTCCTAAGATCATGGTGCAGCAAGGGCCACTCTGCTCCACACCTAGGCAGAAATCCAGACATTTGGAACACTCACTTGCCTGAACCAGAAGCCTGAGCTACCCCACCCTTCCTAGGATTAGGTTGTGGTTCAGTGAGGCACTCTGCTCCACACCCAGGCAGATCCCATGGAATTTGGCATACCCACTCACCTGGTTCAGCAGCCTGAACTGCTCCACCCTTCCTGAATATAGATCATGGTGCAGCAGAGCTCCCTCTGCTGCATGCCCAGGCAGGTCTGCAAAAATGAAAAGCACCCATTCACCTAATTCAGTAGCTGGAAGTGCCCCAACCTTCATGGGCATATATTGTTGTAAAGTGGGGCTCTCTTTGTTCCACACTGAGGCAAATCTCCAGGAATTTGGACCACCAGCTAGCCTGGATCAGCAGGCTGATATGCCCTCCCCTTACTGTGCAGAGATTCTGGCACAGGAGGACCCTCTCTTCTACATGCCTAGCAAATCTCCAGGCATTTAGAGCACCTGCTTGCTTTGTTCAACACCCTGAGTAACCTGCCCCTCTTGTGCAGAGCTCTTGATGCAGGGGAACCCTCCCTGCTCCACATTCAGACATTCAGATCACTGTTCATTTGGGTCAGCAGCCTTATCTGCCCCACCCTTCCTATGCAGAGATCCTGGTGCAGGGAGGCCCTTTCTGCTTCACATCCAGGCAGATCGCCAGGCAATCAGAGAACCCACTCATCTGAATCAACAACCGGAGCCACCCCACCCTTCCTGGACATAGATTGTGGTGCAGCAAAGCCCTCTCTGCTTCACATCTAGGCATATCTCTAGGCATTCAGAGAACCGGCTTGCCTGGATCAGCAACCTAATCCACCTCACCTTCCTGCACAGAGACCCTGGTGAAGGAGAGCCATCTCTGCTACATGCCTAGGCAGATATCTAGACATTCAGAACACCTGCTTGCCTGGTTCCTGGTTCAGCAGTCTGAGTCCCCACAGCATTCCTGTGCAGAGATCTTGGTACAAGGGGTCCCTTTCTGCTCCATGTACCATCTGACAGATCTCCAGGCATCTGAGATCAGAAACCATCTAAAACCTGCTGAAACCATCTTCTGGATTAGAAGTTTAAGCTTCCCACCCCCCTTCAATTTGTGTGCAGAGAACTTAATGCTGAGGTGATTTCTCAGCTCTATGCCTAGGCACAGCTCTGGGTGCTTGTTGACTTCCCACTGGCTTCTCCCACAGTGTTGGTGCTTGTGCTTTCCATCAGGGGACCAGTAGGAGGATCTGCCCAGTCCAATCTCACATTTCATGGTTCGTGTCCCTTGGGCTAAGAAGCAAGCTCAGAATACTGTGCATTCCATATATCAGACCATTATCTGAGGCAACAGAAAGCTTCTGCCAACAAATAAAAAATGAAGTGTATACGCACCCATGTTGGCCATAGTCAGCTCTTACCTATTAGTGCCATCTGTGGGCTTGTGGGTCAAACTCCATATCCTATAACCTACTGAAAGAAGTGCATAGAACTATAGAGGCAAATCTACAAGATCCTGCCCAGCCTTCTACACAGTCACATCTCCCAGCAAGGATTAAAAAGGGAAAGGGAAAGAGAATGTAATAATAATAACGTAAAGGAAAAAAAATGCTCCTGCATGAAAATAATTACAAGAATTAAAGTTCCAGTGTCTCCAGATGAGAAGAAGCAAGTGCAAGAATCCTAGCACTATGAGAAATCTGAAAGTAATACCAGCAAGGGATTACAGTAGTTCTCCAACAATGCTCCCAAACCAAAATGGGAACTCAGAAATGACAGATAACATATCCAAAGCATGGATTACAATGGATTTCAATGAGATCCAAGACAAGTTGAAAACCAAAACAAAGAAACTTCTAAAGCAATTCAAGAAATGAAGGAAAATATAAACACCTTTAAAAAAATCAATCAGAGCTTCTGGAATTGAAAAACTCCCATAAGAAATTTCAAAATACAGTTGAAAGCTTTAATAATAGAGCCAACCATCAGAAGAAAGAATTTCAGAGCTTAAAAACCAATCTTTTGAAATAACTCCATCAAACAAAAATAAAGATAAAACAATTTAGAAAAATAAACAGTTTTTGAGAAACATAAGATTATGTAAAACAAACAAGCCTATGAATTATTAACATTTCTGAAAGAGAAGGAGAAAAATAAATAACTGGAAAATATATTTGATGGAATATTTAAAAAAAAACTTCCATAATCTTGTTAGACATCCAGATTTAGAAAAATAAAACAGAATGCCTGCAAGATATTATACAAAACTAACATCACCAAGGCATATAATCACCAAATTGTCCAATGTTAATGTCAAAGAAAAATCTTAAAGGTAGCTAGAGAAAAAGGGCAGATCATGTACAAAGGGAAGTTTATCCAGCTAACAGCAGACTTCTCAGTAGAAACCTTACAAGCCAGGTAAGAATGGGGGACTATTTTCAACATTCTTAAAGAAAAGAAATTCAAACCAAGAATTTTTATATACTGTCAAACTAAGCTTCATAAGCCAAGGGGAAATAAAATATTTTCCAGGCAAGCAAGCAATTAAGGGAGTTTGTTACCGCTAGACCAGCCTTACAATAGATCTTTAAGGGAATTCTAAAAATGAAAATAAAAGAAAGATATGTGCTACAGCAAAAACACACATAAGTACACAGCCTACAGACCCTATCAAACAACCACACAATAGATATAACAAAGCAACCAGCTAACAGCTTCACCAAAGAATCAAAACTTCACATGTTAATATTAATCTTGAATGTAAATGGCCTAAACACCCCACATAAAAGGCACAGACTGAAAGGTGGTTACAAAAACAAGACCCATCTGTCTGCTCTCTTCAAGAGACCCATCTCACATGTAATGACATCCATAGGCTCAAAATAAGGGCTTGGAGAAAGATCTACCGCACAAACAGAAAACAAAGAAGAGCATGGGTCTCTATTCTTACACCAGATAAAACAGACTTTAAGCCAATAACAGAAAAAGAAAAAAGACAAAGGAGGTCACAGCATAAAGATAAACAGTTTCATTAAACAAAAAGACTTAACTGCCCCAAATATATACACACCCAACATTGGAGCACTGAAATTCATAAAACAAACACATCTAGACCTGAGAAAAGACTTAGAAAACCACACAACAATAGTGGGGGACTTCAACACTCCACTGAACGCACTAAACAGATCACTGGGGCAGAAAACTTACAAAGAAATTCTGGACTTAAACACAACACATGAAAAATTGGAGCTAATAGATATCCACAGAATATTTCACTCATCATCCAGAGATTATACATTCTTTTTCTCTTCACACAGAGCATACTCCAAGACCCACCACATGCTCAGCAATAAAACAAGTTTCAATAAATTAAAAAAAAATAAAAATTATACCACCATACTCTTGGACCACAATGGCATAAAAATAGAAATCAGTACCAATAAGATCTCTCAAAACCACACAATTATATGGAAATTTAAAAATTTGCTCCTGAATGACTTTTGGATAAATGATAAAATCAAAGCAGAAGTTTAAAAGTTCTTTGAAATAAATGCAAACAGAAATATAATATACCAAAATATCTGGTATGGCCCAAAAGTTTTTTTTTTTTTTAGTCTGAGCAAGACCAGTAGACCACTAGCTAGATTAACACAGAAAAGAAGAAAGATGATCCAAATAAGCACAATTAGAAATGATAAAGGTGACATTACAACTGATCTCACAGAAATACCAAATACTGGAGCAACTATTATAAACACCTCTATACACACAAACTAGAAAATCTATAGAAAATGGATAAACTCCTGGTAACACACTGACTCCTGAGACTTAATCAGGAAGAAATTGAAACACTGAACAGATCAATAATGAGTTCTGAAATTGAAACAGTGATAAAAAAATCTACCAACCAAAAAAGCCCTGAACCGGATGGATTCAAAGCCAAATTCTACCAGATGTATGAAAAAAAGCTGGAATAAATTCAACTGAAAATATTTGCAAAAATTAAGGAGAATGAACTCCTCCCTAACTGATTCTATGAAGCCAGCATCACCCTGATACCAAAACCAGACAAAGACCCAACGAAAAAAGAAAACTACAAGCCAGTATCACTGATGAACATAAGATGCAAAAATCCTCAACAAAATACTAGAAAACTGGATTCTACGGCACATCAAAAAGTTAATTCACCATGATCAAGTAGGCTTCCTTCCTGGGATGAAGGGTTGGTTAAACATATGCAAATAAATAAATGAAATTCGCCACATAAACAGAATTAAATTAAAAAACATGGTGATTATCTCAATGGACATTGAATCAGCTTTCAGTAAAATGCAACATCCCTTCATGATAAAAACCCTCAAGAAAGAAAGCATCAAGGGAACATACTTCAAAATAATAACAGCCATCCATGACAAGCTCACAGACAACATTATACTGACTGGGCAAAAATGGAAGTATTTCCCTTGAGATCTGGAAGAAGACAAGGATGCCCATTCTTACCACTCCTGTTCAATATAGTACTACAAGTGCTGGAAGAGCAACCTAGGTAAGAGAATTGAATAAAAGCATTCCAATAAGAAAAGAGAAAGTCAATCTATCTCTTTTTAATGATGATATAATTCTATACTTAGAAAACCCTAAGGACTCTGCCAAAGGGCTATGAGAACTGATAAACAATTTTATCAAGGTTTCAGGATACAAATTCAATGTACAAAACTCAGTAGCATTTCTATACATCAATAAAATTCAAGTGGAGAGCCAAATGAAGAATAGTAATGCAGACCAGTTTGCAATAGTTACCAAAAAATCATATAAATACATCTAACCAAGGAGATGAAAGTTTTCTACAAGGAGAACTACAAAACACTGCTAAAACAAATCATAGATGACACAAACAAATGGAAACATATACCATGCTCATGGGTTGAAAGAATCAGTATCATTAAAATGGCCATACTTCCCAGAGCAATCTACAGATTCAATGCTATTTATGTCCAACTGCCAACATCATTTTTCACAGAATTGAAAAAAAACTTAGTTAAAATTCATGTGACACCAATAAAGAGCCCAGATAGCCAAAGTAATTTGAAGTAAAAAGAACAAAGCTGGAGGCATCACACTACTTAACTTCAAATGATACTATAAGGCTATAGTAACCAAAACAGCACAGTACTGGTACAAAAGCAGACACATAGACCAACGGTACAGAATAGAGAGCCCAGAAATAAAGTCACAGGCCTACAGCCATTTGATCTTTGAAAAAGTTGACAAATATAAGCGAAGGGGAAATAACTCTATTCAATAAATGGTGCTGGGATAGCTGGCAAGCCATGTGCAGAACTATGACACTGAATGCTTACCTTTCACAATGTACAAAAATTAACTCAAGGTGAATTAAAAATTTAAACATAAAATCTCAATATATAAGAATCCTAGAAGGAAACCTAGAAAACACCATTTCTAGACATTGGTCATGGCAAAGAATTTATGACTAAGTTCTCAACAGCAATTGGAACAAAACCAAAAATTGACAAGTGGGACCTAATTAAACTAAAGAGCCTCTGCACAGCAAAAGAAACTATCAACAGAGTAAACAGAAAACCCACAGAATGGGAGAAAATATTCGCAAACTACGCATCTGACAAAGGTCTAATATCTAGCATCCATAAGAAACTTAAACAATTATACAAATAATATTGAACAACCCCATTAAAAATAGACAAATGGCATGAACAGATGCCTGTCAAAAGAAGATATGCTAGCAGTCAACAAACATAAAACAATGTTCAATATCACCAGTCATCAGGAAAATGCAAATCAAAATCACAGTAAGATATCCTCTTACCCGACTTAGAATGGTTGTTATCAAAAAGACCAAACAAACAACAAAAAAGACAGATGCTGGTGAAGATACAGAAAAAAGGAAACTCTTATGCACTGCTTCTGAGAGTATGAATTAGTGAAGCCATTATGGAAAACACTATGGAGATTTCTCAAAAAACTCAAAAAACAACTACCATACAATCCAGCAACCCCATCACTAAATATATACCCAAAAGAAAAAAAATTATTCTACCACAAAGACATATGAACTCACATGTTCATTACAGCCCTGTTCACAATAGCAAAGACAAGGAATCAACCTAGGGCCTCAGCAATGGTGGATCGTATAAAGGAAATATAGTACATATACATCACAGCATAGTATGGAGCCATAAAAAATAATGAAATCATGTCATTTGCAGCAATATGGATGCAGGTGGAGGCCATCATTCTAAGCATATTAACACAGAAACAGAAAATAAAATATTGCATGCTCTCACTTACAAGTGGGAGCTAAATGCTGTTTACTCACGGACATAAAGATGGCAACAATAGAAACTAGGGATGACTAGAAGGAGGATGGAGAGGGGGGACAAATGTGAAAAATTAACTCCTGGGTACTATACTCAGTACCTGCGTCACGGGATCACTTGTAACCTAAACCTCAGCATCATGCAATATGCCCAGGTAACAAACCTGCACATGTACCCCCTGTATCTAACATAAAAGTTTATGGGGAAAAAAGAAAAAATATATTGAAGAAAAAACAAAAAATGGAAAGACATCTCATACTCATGAGTTAGAAAAATTAATGTTGTTAAAATGATTATACCACCCAAAGCAATCTACTGATTCAATGCAATCCCTATCAAAATACCAATGAACATTTTCACAAAATAGGGGTGAAAGCTCTAAAGTTTGTATAAAACCAGAAAAGATCCCCAAAAGCCAAAATAATCTTGAGCAAAATGAAGAAAGCTCTAGCTATCAAACTACCTAATTTTAAAACATACTACAAGGTTATAGTAACCAAAACAATATAGTATAAGTATAAAAATAGATTCATAAACCAATGAAACAGAGGAAAGAACCAGAAAATAATCCCTCATAGTTACAGCCAACTTACTTTTAACAAACACACCAAAAATGTACACTGGAGAGATGACACCCTGTTCAATATATGGAGCTAGGAAAACTGTATATCTATATGCAGAAGAATAAAACTAGAGACATATTTCTCCCTATATACAAAAATCAACTCAAAGTGGAATCAAGAATTAAATGTAAGACCCCAAATGATAAAACTACTAAAAGGAAACATTGGGGAAATACTCTAGAACATTAGTATAGGTAAAATTTTTACGGCTGAGGCCTCAAAAGCATAAGCAACATAAACAAAAATAGACAAATGCGACTAAATAAACCTTAAAAAAAATCTCTTAGCAAAAAGGAAAAAAAAAAACAGAAAGAAGAGACACCAGCTGAATGGATGAACACATCTGCACAATATTCATCTGACAATGGATTAATATCCAATAACAAAAAATAATAATAATCTCATGAAAAAGTGGGCAAATGGCTGGGCCTGGTGGCTCACGCCTGTAATCCCAGTACTTTGGAAGGCTTAGGCTGAGGGATCACAATGTCAGGAGTTTGAGATCAACCTGGCCAATATGGTGAAACCCCATCTCTACTAAAAAATACAAAATTAGCTGGGCATGGTGGCATGCGCCTATAGTCCCAGCTACTCAAGAGGCTGAGGCAGGAGAATCTCTGGAATCCGGGAGGTGGAGGTTGCAGTGAGCTGAGATAGCGCCACTGCACTTCAACCTGGGCAACAGAATGAGACTCCCTCTCACAAAAAAAAAAAAAAAGAAAGAAAAAGCCGGCAAATAACATGAATAGAACTTCCTCAAAAGAAGACATACAAATGGCCAATAGATGTATGAAAAAATGTTCAACATCACCAATCATCAGGGAAATGCAAATTAAAATCACAATGAGACATGCTTTTACTTAGAATGGCTATTATAAAAAAGACAGAAATTAAGCTGGTGAGAATACAGAGAAAAGAAAACTCTTAAATACTGTTGGTTAGTGTCCATTAGTGTAACCATTACGGAAAGCAGTGTGCAGATGTATCAAAATGCAAAAAATAGAATTATCATACAATTCAGCAATCTCACTGTTGGATGAAAGGAGAGGAAAGGAAAGGAAATCAATGTATCAAAGGGATACCTGCATCTACATGTTTGTTGCAGCACTATTCACAATAGCGGAGATATGGAATCAATGTAAGTGTCCATCAGTGGATAAATGGATTAAAAATATGGCATTTATACACAATGGAATACTATTTGGTCATAAAAAAGAATGAACTCCTTTCATTTGAGCAGCATAGATGGAATTGGAGGTCATAATGTTAAATGAAATAAGCTAAGCACATGAAGACAAATGTTGCATGTCTCATTCATGTGTGGGAGTTAAACAGTTATCTCAGGGAGATAAAGAGTAGAATGATAGTTACCAGAGGCTGGGAAGAATGTGTGTAGATGGAGGAAGGGAATAAAGAGAACTTAGTTAATGGGTACAAATATACAATTAGATAGAAAAAATAAGTTATAGTGTTCAATAGCACAGTAGAGTGACTATATTTGATATATATTTTTAAAAAGCTAGAGGATGAGATTCGAGGTGTTCTCAACACAAAGAAACATAAATGCTGTAGTGACGAATATTCTAAATACCTTGACTTGATCATTACACATTCTATGCTTGTATTGAAATATCACATGTATTCCATAAATATGTACAATTATTATGTATCAACAATAACCAAAAGGCTTTCTGGATGATTGTAGTATACAGACAATATTGAGAATGTATACTGAGACAACAGAGGACTTGTTCACTTGTGAGAAAAGGGATTCTCTATGAGACAGGTCATAAGAGACAATAGAATACATATACAAATGCTGTGAAATTTACACTGTCTAGGTGACAAGGTACATAAAGTCAACCAGAACACACGTAGAGATGCGCTCCCACTTGGATACAAAGATGGAGGAAGTAGCAAGAAATCTTTCAACAACTGACTTTTTTACACATCAGCTGACTCCTTACTTTTTTATTATACACCTCTATCATCAAAAAATTTAAAGTCTGAATTATATGTACATCTCTTGTAATCTGTGAAAATAGACTATTCTATCTATTTATAGATATTATAAAGCACACACAAAATAAAATATTTTAAAGGGATAAAATAAAAATAAAATATATTGTTGAAAAACAGGCCAGGCACGGTGGCTCACTCCTATAATCCCAGCACTTTGGGAGGCCAAGGCAGGTGGATCGCCTGAGGTCAGGAGTTCAAGACCAGCCTGGACAACATGGTGAAACCACATCTCTACTAAAAATACAAAAATTAGCCGGGCATGTTGGCGTACGCCTGTAATCCTAGCTACTCAGGAGCCTGAGGCGGGAGAATCACTTGAACCCAGGAGGCGGAAGTTGCAATGAGCTGAGATCGTACCACTGCACTACAGCCTGGGCGACAGAACGAGACTCCGTCTCGAAATAAAAATAAATAAATAAATAAATAAATAAATAAGTAAATACAGAAAATACAGAAAACAAATTGTAAAATTTTTTAAAAGCCCTAATTTACACTTGAGACACATAGAGCTATATATTCTCAACTCTTGAGATTTATTCCTAAAATTCAGAGAGCTGTTTTCTAATTTTCTTATTTAAAATAACCACATCTATCTCTTCTACCACTGTTTTATTTCTTACCCTTTTTTGTTTTTCTTCAAAGTATAAGCCTGAAATTTGGTTTTAAATTAACTTATTAACTTATTTATTAACTGTCATCTCCCTCGAGACGGTAAAGGCAGGGATATGGTCTTATTCACTACCAAATCCCCAGTGCCTTAAACAGTGACTAAAACAGAGTAGAAAAAAAAAAGTATATATTTGCAAGAAGAATGCAAGGAAAGGAAGAAAGAAAAAAAGGAATAAAAAAAGGAAGGAAGGAAGGTAGAAGAAAAAAGAAGGAAAGAAGTAGGGAAAGATGAAAGGATGGAAGGGAGAGAGAGAATACAAAAAGATGAAAGAGGGAAAGAGACAGATAAAGGAAAAGAGGAAAGGAGGGCAAAAATCTTGAGCATCTTTTTTTTTTTTTTTTTTGAGACAGAGACTCGCTCTGTCGTCCAGGCTGGAGTGCAGTAGTGTGATCTCTGCTCACTGCAAGCTCTGCCTCCTGGGTTCATGCCATTCTCCTGCCTCAGCCTCCCGAGTAGCTGGGACTACAGGCACCCGCCACCATGCCCGGCTAATTTTTTTGTGTTTTTAGTAGAGACAGGGTTTCACCATGTTAGCCAGGATCGTCTCGGTCTCCAGACCTCATGATCCTCCCACCTTGGCCTCACAAAGTGCTGGGATTACAGGCGTGAGCCACCAGGCCCAGCCAAATCTTGAGCATCTTATACTTCTTTTTATATTTAGTAATTCCCAGCATAATCATTATCACAGTGTCTTTTACATATACAGCACTTAACAAATATTTCTCCATTGACTTAACAAAACCAAAAACTACCTGACTGCTGCTAACGTCGCAACCTATTACCAATATCCTGGAAGCAAAACTTTCATAGTTTGCCCAGTGCATTTTTCCTTTGTATTCAATAATCAGAGTGTGCCATCTCTTGAAGGTCATGGAGTCTTTCCCCTTTGCCCTCTCTTCCTACTGCTGTCATCTGCTTCAGGGCCTCTGTGCATAGGGTCACCCCTAGAGAAATAGTCTTCTAAAAGTATCCCTTTGTTTCTCAAAATCCTGTCAGATTAATCTTCCTGAAAAGAGATCAATTTATTCCCCCTCAAAAAAAGAAATTCAAAGGCCTATAATTATATACAAAATAAGGTTGAATCTCCTTCTTCTCACATTCTAATTGACTCTGTCACAAACCTTCCCCACCAGTTTTTTCAGTTAATTACTTACCCACAGTGGTTGGGCATGTGGGCTTGGGATGTAGACCAGAAAAAAAAAATATTCTCTAAGTCCATATGGTCTTGAGCAAATTAATTATGCTCTCTGTGCCTCAATTTTCACATGGATAAAATGCAGATAAGAATACTGCCTTTGTTATAGATTTGTTGCAATGACTAAATACTATTAAATGCTTGGCTTCCTGGGTTCAAATTAAAGCCCTTGGATATGTATTTATAATTTTGGCAAATTACTCGACCTCTCTTTGTCTTGATTTCTCAAGCATAAATAGAAATTGTACCTGTGTATAGTGTTATTAGAAAAATTAAATGAGTTAAAAGTTTCCAAAATCCTATAACACATTGTTATGTTCATATATGTAAATTCATAATGTACTTTCACATAATGTACTTTCACTTTTAGCCAAACTCTTCTAATTAAAACACACACACACACACACACACACACTACATTCTTTATTTTGCTTGTATTTTTAAAAAATTTCATTGAAGACTTCCTCTGACACCTCTGTCTATAAAAGGCTTCTTCATGAGGCTTTTCTTGGGTCCTGTATTGATGTCCTGATCTGCCCACCAATCATGATTTCTCTCTTTTTTTAGGATGTTAGCCACGTGTTGTTTTTTCACAGTAATGCCCTTTCCATGAACTCATTGACTTATTTAAGCATGATTCCTCATTAATGGAGACCTATTTTTTGCAGACACTAAGCTTTTGTTATATAAATACTTTATAAAAAATTTGTAACTATAGTGAAAAATCAACAAGATGACAGATTATGAAGCTTGGCCCTTGATCACCAAAGGAAAAACAAAAACTAAGAATGGCTAAAGTAATTTTACAAAAGCTATGGAAATCAGTCAAAGATCTGCATCAACCAGGCAAATGCCCAATCCAGTAAAAGACACCTCCAAATAGTAGGAAATTTCATGGCATTTTTACTTAGCTTTACTCCACTCCTTCCCTGGCGTGGGAAAATCTTGAAGAAGCAGGCTAATTCTTGGTTCCTTTTCTCAGACAGGAAAGAAGCAGAGCAGCGTGCATTTCCAAAAGTCTAACCTTTCTGTAAAGTGGCCACCAGAGGACAAGTTTTTGTTTTGCCTGACTGGGAACTCAGATGGGGAAAGGTGACATAGCTTGGATCTCAGGCCAAGAAAGGCCACAGAGGAAGTAGAAAATGCTGTGATATGTAAACATCATGGAGAAAACATTAGACTCTGGAGTTAGACTTTGGAAAATGAAAAGCATCTTCTCCATGACTTGAGTGTCATATTGTAATTCTCTACTTGAAACTACCTGTCCTAGGCATATGAAGATTTTTAGGTCCATTTTGTTTTCATATATCACCACATATGGCATCTGTTACTTCCATTATGACCTTTCTCAATTTTAAAACTACTGTCTTAAATAGGCTTAAAGAGCTAAAGAAAAACATGTACAAAAAAAATAAATAAATCATGAAAATGACATATGAAGACAATGAGAATATTAACAAAGAGAGTTATCATTTAAGAAATAGAAATTCTGGAGCTGAAAAGTATAATAGCAAAATTGAAAATGATATTATGAGAGGTTCAACAGTAGATTTAAATAAGCAGAAGAAATAATCAGCAAACCTGAGGACAGAACAATTGAAATTGTTGACTGAGAGCAGAAATAAAAGTGGATGGAAAATGTAAACAGAGCCTAAAGAACTTGTGAGACAGCATTAAGCAGACCAATTATGTTGGGGGCAAGCCCCCCCAAATCTGGCCATAAACTGTCCCCAAAACTGGCCATAAACAAAATCTCTGTGGCACTGTAACATGTTCATAATGGCCCTAATGCCCAAGCTGGAAGGTTGTGGGTTTGCAGAAATGAGGGCAAGGAACAGCTGGCCCCAGGGCGGAAAATCGCTTAAAGGTATTCTTAAGCCACAAACCAAAGCATAAGCAATCTGTGTCTTAAGGGCATGTTCCTGCTGCAGTAACTAGCCCAACCTATTCCTTTAATTCTGCCCATCCCTTCGTTTCCCATAAGGGATACTTTTAGTTAATCGAATATCTATGGAAACAATGCTAACGACTGGCTGGCTGTTAATAAATATGTGGGTAAACATCTGTTCAGGACTCTTAGCTCTGAAGGCTGTGAGACCCCTGATTTCCCACTTCACATCTCTATATTTCTGTGTGTGTGTCTTTAATTCCTCTAGCGCCACTGGGTTAGGGTCTCCCCGACCAAGCTGATTTTGGCACAATTATGCATTATGAGAGTCTTGGAGGAAGATAAGGGAGAGAAAGAGGCAGAGAAATTCTTGGAAAAAATAATGGCTAAAAATGTCCTGAATTTGAGGAATGGCATATATCTACATACAAGAAGCTTAATAAAAACCAATAAGATAAACTGAAAAAACCCACACCAAGCCACGTTATAATCAAACTGTCAAAAGCCAAACACAAAGAGAGAATCTTGAAAGCAGCAAGAGAATTGTGACTTGTCACTTAAAAGGGGTTTTGAAGTGGGTTACCAGCAGATTTGTCAGCAGGAAACTTTGTGGTCAGAAGGCAGTGGGAATATATATTTAAAGTAGAAAAAGGAACAAAGTAAACCTGTAAAACAGAAATTTTAGGTCTCTCAAAACTGACCATCAAAGATGAAGGGGAAATCAAGGTATTTCAAGAGAAACAAAAGTTGAGAGTATTTATTGCTGCTACACTTGCCCTATTAAAAATGCTAGTGTCTGTAAGCTAAAATAAAATAAGTAACAGTTACTTAAAGTCAGATGAAAAAATATAGTTATCTGTTAAAGGTACATACATGGACAAATATGAAAACTAGTATTATTTTGATTTTGGTTTGTAACTCCACTTTTTTATTTTCTACAGAATTTTAAAGGCAAATGCATAAACAAAGTTTGAATCTATGAGAATGAGGTCAAAATATATATAATGTAATTTGTGACATCAATAATGTAAAGTAACAGAGGAATTAGTCTGTAAGCAGGTAGAATTTTTGTATGCAATTGAAGTTAACTTGGTGTTAATTTAAAATAGATTATTAAAACGTGAGAAAGTTATATGAAATCCACATGTTAACCACAAAGAATACATGTCTAGAATGTTTGTAAAAGAGATGAGAAGGAGATCCAAATTTGTCACTATGTTTTTTAAACAAAAAGTAAGGCAGTAATATTAATAGAAAAGAGAACAAAACTGAAAGACATGCACCAAACAAACAAAAAATAGCAAAAGTAAGTTATTCCCTATTAGCATTTACTTTAAATGTAAATGATTTAAATCTTTCAATGACAAGAAATAAACAGAAAGAATCGCAGCACTTTGGGATGCTGAGGCAGGCGGATGATGAGTTCAAAAGATCGAGACCATCTTGGTTAACATGGTGAAACCCCATCTTTACTAAAAATAAAAAAAATTAGCTGGGCATGGTGGTGTGCTCCTGTTGTCTCAACTACTTGGGAGGCTGAAGCAGGAGAATCGCTTGAACCTAGGAGGTGGAGGGTGCATTAAGCCAAGATTGTGCCATTGCACTCCAGCCTGGCAATAGGGCAAGACTCCATCTCAAAAGAAAAAAAAAAAAAAGAAAAGAAAAAACATGATTCAAATATATGCTGCCTCATTTTAGATCTAAGAACATGCATTAATTGAAAGTAAAAAGGTGAAAAAATATATACCTTCCATCAATATATTAACTAAAAGAGGGGAGAGATAGCTAATATTGGACAAATAGATTTTAATTTAAAAACTATAAAAGGACCTAAAGAAGGAAATTATATAGAAATAAAAGTGTAGATTCACCAAGAAGATATATAACAAGTAAAAACATACATGTACCAAGTATTAGGGTTTTCAAATATATGAAGCAAATAATGAAGGGATAAATTATTCCACAATGATGGAAGATAATTTCAATATTCTACTTTTAAAAATGTGGCTAGAACAATCAGACAGAATATAATTAAGGAAATAGAGGAGTTTAATAACACTATAACCAATTGGAAATAACAGCATTCAACAAAATTCAATACCTTTCCCTGATAAAATCAGCCATATGTTGGGATAGAAGGAAGTTCCTCAACAAGATAAAGTCAATATTTGAAAAAGCCTCAACTAATATTACATTCAATGTTGAAAGATGATAGCTTTTCCCCAAAGATTAGGAAAAAAAAAGGTATCTGCTTTTTCCATTTTTTCAACATAGTAGTAGGAGGGCTAGTCAGAGAAATCAGGCCAAAAAAAAAAAAAAAAAAAGAAAATCCAAATTTTGAAGAAATAAGTAAAATTTTCTGTTTTCAAGTGACATAATCTTATATATGTAGAAAACCCTAAAGACATTACATAAAAAGAAAATTGTTATAACTAATAAATGAATTCTGAAAAGATACAGGATACAAAATGAATGTATCAAAAGAAGTTGGCACTTTATATGCTAACAATAAACAACCTGAAAAGGAAAGAACAGGTGGGGCCACGATGGCTGACTAGAAGCAGTGGCAGTCGAAGGCTCCTCCTGAAAAGAACCAAAACTGCATGCAAATCCTGCACTGACAACCGAGGTATTGAGGCTCTATCATCAGGACTGACGAGGCAGCTGATGTGACTCACAGAGAGCAAAAAAAAAGCAAGGTGGTTCATCGGGCCACATGGGGCAAGGGAAGCACCCTCTCCTATCTAAGGGAGATGATAAGTGACCATGCTACATAACCTGGGGACCCGTGCTTTTTCCACCGATCTGTGCAACCCACAGATCAGAAGATCCCGCTCATGAGCCCATGCCACCAGATCCTTGGGTCCTAACTACAGAAACTGCACAGATTCTCAACAGCCACTCAGCTAGAATCTGCCTAAGACTACCGAGTTCCCAGGGGGTGGGGCAGCCGACATCACTGTGGCTGCCTGCTGTCTAAGCCATCTGAGCTCCCTGGGGGAGGAGAGGCAGCCATCACTGAAGCTGGCTGTGGCAGACCCTGGCCAGACTGCCTCTTTAGGCCAGACACCCACCCATCCCTTTTTACTGGGCGGGGCCTCCCTGCAAGAACTCCATCAACTCCAGCCAGAAGACTGGGGACAGAACTCAGATCTCCCTGGGCCTGAATCCCTAGCGGGAGGGATGGCTGTGATCTCTGTGGACCAGCAGACTTAGTCTTTCCCCTACTAGCTCTGAAGAATCCGGGCAGCCCAGACAAGTGGGTTTACCCCTAGTGTAGCACACCCCCTCCACCTATGGGTTAGCCAAAGTACTTTGATAAATGGATCCTGATTCCCATGCCCCCAAACTGGGTGAGATACCCCAAAAAGGGGTCACCAGACACCATATGTAGGAGCATTCCTTCTGGGATCAAGTCAGTGCCCCTCAAGGTCAGAGATCCCAGAGAAAGGAAGAGGTACCCATCTTTGCTATTTTCCAGCTTCCTCAGGTGACATCTCCAGGTGCCAGAGGGACCCAGATGAATAGAGTCTGAAGTGAACACCCAAAAAACAGCAGCAGCCCTACAGAAGAGGGATCAGGCTATTGAAAGGAAAACAAACAGAAAGCAATAACAGCATCAATGAAAAAGTCCCCATAAATACCTTATCCAAAGGTCAGCAGCCTCAAAGATTGAAACTAGACAAACTCATGAAGATGAGAAAGAATCAATAGAAAAATGCTGAAAACTCAAAAGGCCAGAGTGCCTCTTCTCCTTCAAGTGATCGCAACACTTCTACAGCAAAGGTACAGTACTGGGTGGAGGATGAGATGGAAGAATTGACCTAAGTAAGCTTCAGAAGGTGTGTAAAAACAAACTTCACTGAGGCAAAGGAGCATGTACTAACCCAATGCAAAGAAGCTAAGAACTTTGATAAAAGGTTACAGGAACTGCTAACTAGAATAGCCAGTTTAAAGAGGAACATAGACAACCTGACAGAACTGAAAAACACAGCACAAGAACTTTTTGATGCAAACACAAGAATCGATTGCCTAATTGATCAAGAAAAAGAAAGAATATCAGAGCTTGAAGACTATCTTGCTGAAATAAGGTAGGCAGGCAAGATTTAAAAAAAAGAAAAAAAAAAAAGATTAAAAAGGAACAAACAAAACCTCTGAGAGCTATGGAACTGTGTAAAAGACCAAACCTAAGACTGATGGGAGTACCTGAAAGAGATGAGGAGAATGGAACCAAGTTGGAAAACATACTTCAGGTTACCATCAGGAGAACTTCCCCAAACTAGAGAGACAGGCCAACATTCAAATTCAGAAAGTACAGAGAAGCCCAGTAAGATGCACTATGAGAAGATCAACCCCAAAACACAAAATCATAAGATTTTCCAAGGTTGAAATGAAGGAAAAACTGTTAAGGGCAGCCAGAGTGAAAAGCCAGATCACCTACAAAGGGAAGCCCATCAGACTAACAGTAGACCTCTCAGCAGAAACCCAACAAGCCAGAAGGGAGTGGGGGGCCAATATTCAACATACATAAAGAAAAGAATTTTCAACCCAGAATTTTATATCTGGCCAAACTAAGCTTCATAAGCGAAGGAGAAATGAAATCCTTTTCAGACAAGCCAGTGCTGAGAGAATTTGTCACCACCAGGCCTGCTTTGCAAGAGCCCCTGAAGGAAGCACTAAATATGGAAAGGAAAAACCATTACCCCACTGCAAAAACACACTGAAATGCAAATATCAATGACACTGTGAAGAAACTGCATCAACTAGTGTGCAAAATAGCCAGCTAGCATCATGATGACAGTATAAAATTTATACATAATAATATTAACCTTAAATGTAAATGTGCTAAATGCCCCAATTAAAAGACACAAACTGGCAAATTGGATTAAGAGCCAACACCTATTCACGTACTGTATTCAGGAGTCCCGTCTCACGTGCAAAGGCACACATAGGCTCAAGATAAAGGGATGGAGGAAAATTTACCATACAGATGGAAAGCAGAGAAAAGCAGGAGTTCCAATCCTATTTTCTGACAAAACAGACTTTAAACAAAAAAAGATCAAAAAAGACAATGAAGGGCATTATATAATGGTAAAGACTCAATTCAACAAGAAGAGCTAACTTAAATATATATGAACCCAATACAGGAGTACCCAGATTCATAAAACAAGTTCTTAGAGACCTACAATGAGACTTAGACTCCCAAGCAATAATAGTGGGAGACTTTAACACCACACTGTCAATATCAGACAGATCATCAAGACAGAAAATTAGTAGATCTTCAGAACTTGAACTCAGCTCTGGATCATGTGAAACTAATAGATATCTACAGAATTCTCCACCCCCAAAGAATAAAATATGCATTCTTCTCAGTGCCAAATGGCACTTACTCTAAAATCAATCACATAATTGAAAGTAAAATACTCCTCAGCAAATGCAAAAGAACTGAAATCATAACAAACAGTCTCTCAGACCACAGTGCAATCAAATTAGAACTTAAGATTAAGAAACTCACTCAAAACCACACAACTTCATGGAAATTGAACAACCTGCTCCTGAATGACTCCCGGGTAAATAATGAAATTAGGGTAGATTTCAAGAAGTTCTTTGAAACCAATGAGAACCAATAGAAAACATACCAGAATCTTTTGGACACAGCTAAAGCAGTATTAAGAGGTAAATTTATAGCACTAAATGCCCACATCAGAAAGCTAGAAGGATCTCAAATTGACACCCTAACATCACAACTTAAGAACTAGAGAAGCAAGAGCAAACAAATCCAAAAGCTAGCAGAAGACAAGAAATAACTAACATCAGAGCAGAACTGAAGGAGATAGACACATGAAAAATCCTTCAAAAAATCAATCCAGGGGCTGGTTTTTTGAAAAAATTAATAACATATACTGCTAGCTAGACTAATAAAGAAGAAAAGATAGAAGAATGAAAAAGACACAATATAAAATGATAAAAGAGGATATCACTGACCCCACAAAAATACAAACATTAATATTATAAACTAGAACATCTAGAAGAAATGGATAAATTCCTGGACACATACACCCTCCCAAGACCAAACCAGAAAGATGTCTAATCCTTGAATAGATCAATAACAAGTTCTAAAATTGAGACAGTAATAAATAGCCTACCAACCAAATAACAGCCCAGAACCAAATGGATTCACAGCCAAATTCTACCAGAGGTATAAAGAGGAGCCGTTACCATTCCTTCTGAAACTGTTCCAAACAATTGAAAAAGATGGACTTCTCCCTAATTCATTTGATGAGGCCAGCATCATCCTGATACTAAAACCTGGCAGAGACACAACAAAAAAAGAAAACTGTAGGCCATTATCACTAATAAACATCAATGCAAAAATCCTCAATAAAATACTGCCAAACTGAATCCAGCAACACATCCAAAAGCTTATCTACCAAGATCAAGTCAGCTTTATCCCTGGAATGCAAGGCTGGTTCAACATATGCAAATTAGTAAACATAATTCATGACATAAACAGAACTAATGACAAAAACCACATAATTATCTCAATAGATGCAGAAAAGGCCTTCAATAAAATTCAACATCTCTTCATGTTAAAAACTCTCAATAAACTAGGTATTGATGGAACATAATTCAAAATACTAAGAGCCATTTATGACATACCCACAACCAATATCATACTGAATGGGCAAAAGCTGGAAGCATTCCCTTTGAAACCCAGCACAAGACAAGAATGCCCTCTCTCACCACTCCTATTCAACATAGTATTGGAAGTTCTGGCCAGGGCAATCAGGCAAGATTAACAAAAAAAGCATATTCAAATAGGAAAAAAGGAAGTCAAATTGTCTCTCTTTGCAGAAGACATGATACTGTATCTAGAAAACCCCATTGTCCCAGCCTAAAAGCTCCTTAAGCTGATAAACAACTTCAGCAAAGTCTCAGGATACAAAATCAAAGTGCGAAAATCACAAAACATTCCTATACACCAAAAATAGACAAGCAGAAGCCAAATCATGAATGAATTCCCATTCACAATTGTTACAAAGAGAATAAAATACCTAGGAATACAGCTAACAAGGGATGTGAAGGACCTCTTCAATGAGAACTACAAACCACTCCTCAAGGAAATAAGAGAAGACACAAACAAATGGAAAAGCATTTCATCCTTGTGGATAGGAAGACTCAATATTGTGAAAATGGCCACACTGCCCAGCCCAAAGTAATTTATAGATTAAATGCTATTCCCATGAAACTACCACTGACATTGTTCACATAATTAGATAAATCTACTTTAAAATTCATATGGAACCAAAAAAGATCCCATATAGCCAAGACAATCCAAAGCAAAAAGAACAAAGTTTGAGGCATCACGTTACCTGACATGAAACTATACTTACAAGGCTGCAGTAACCAAAACAGCATGGTACTAGTACCAAAACAGACACATAGACCAATGGAACAGAATAGAGAGCTCAGAAAAAAGATCACACATCTACAACCATCTGATCTTCAACAAACCTGACAAAAACAAACAATAAGGAAAGGATTCTCTATTGAATAAATGGTGCTGGGAAAACTGGCTAGCCATATGCAGAAAACTGAAACTGGATCCTTTCCTTACACCTTAAACAAAAGTTATCTCAAGATAGATTAAGACTCAAATGTAAAAACCCAAAACCTTAAAAACCGTGGAAGAAAATCAGGGCAATACCATTCAGGATATAGGCATAGGCAGACTTCATGACAAAAATGCCAAAAGCAATTTCAACAAAAGCCAAAACTGACAAAATGGGATCTAATTAAACCAAAGAGTTTCTGTACAGAAACAGAAACTATCATCAGAGTGAACAGGCAACCTACAGAATGGGAGAAAATTTTTGCAATCTACCCATCTGATAAAGGTCCACTATGCAGAATCTACATGAAACTTAAGCAAATTTACAAGAAAAAAAAAACTCCATCAAAAAGTGGGCAAAGAACATGAACAGACACTTCTTAAAAGAAGACATTTATGTGGCCAAGAATCATATGAAAAAAAGCTCAACATCACTGATCAATAGAGAAATGCAAATCAAAACTACAATGAGGTACCATCTCATGCCAGTCAGAATGGTAATTATTAAAAAGTCAAGAAAAAGTAGATGCTGGCAAAGCTGTAGAGAAATAGAAATGCTTTTACACCATTGGTGGGAATGTAAACTACTTAAACCATTGTGAAAGAGAATCTGATGATTCCTCAAAGATCTAGAACCAGAAATACCATTTGACCCAGTAATACCATTACTAGGTGTATACCCAAAGAAATATAAATCATTCTATTATAAAGATACATACACATGTATGTTTATTGCAGCACTAGTCACAATAGTGAAGACATAGAATCAACACAAATGCCCATCAGTGACAGACTGGATAAAGGACATGTGTTACATATACATCCTAGAATACTATGCAGCAAAAGGAATGAGATCATGTCCTCTGCAGGGACATGGATGAAGCTGGAAGCCATTATCCTCAGCAAACTAACATGGGAACAGAAAACCAAACACTGCATGTTCTCACACATAAATGGGAGCTGAACAATGAGAACACATGGACATGAGGAGGAGAACAACACACACTGGGTCTTTTTTGGGGGGTTGGGAGACAGAGAGCATCAGGATAAATAGCTAATGCATGTGGGGCTTAATACCAAGGTGATGGGTTGATAGCTGCAGCTAACTGCCATGGCATACATTTACTTATGTAACAAACTGGTATTCTCTGCACATGTACCCCGGAACTCAAAATAAAATAAAATTTAAGAAAAAGAAAAGAAAAGAACAAGAATAATTCTACTTACTATAGCACTAAAAAAAAAATACTTCAGAAAAAAAAAAACAATCAAAAAGCAAATGGCTTATAGACTAAAAACTGAAAAAAAAAAAAAAAGGAAATTGCTGAAAGAAATGAAAAGAACCACCAGTAAATGGTATCAAACCCTGTGCTTATGGACTGAAATATATAATATTGTGAAAACATCAACACTACCCAAAGCGATCTACAGATTCAATGTTAAACCTATAAAAATCTCAACAAGGTTCTTACAGAAAAAAACATATTCACTCTAAAATTAATATGAAATTTCAAGGGATTCTGTATAGCTAAAAGAATGTTGAGTAAAAAGAAAAGAGTTGAAGACCTCATTTCTCCTATTTCCAAACTTACTACAAGGCTATAGTAATCAAAGTTGATTGGTACTAGAAAGAGACAGATACAGATCAATGTACTAGAACAAATAATAAAAAAATAAAGATATACATATATGGACAAATGATTCTCTTCAAGAGTTCTAAGACCATTCAAGAGTGAAATGAGAATTGTTTTAATAATTGGTGCTGAGAAAAATCAATATGTCCATGCAGAAGATTAGGGTAGATCCTAATTTTTTACTTTACTTCACACAAAAAAAAATTAACTCAAGAGGGATTAAACACCTAAATGTAAGATCTAAAACTAAAAATTCCTTTGAAAAACCATAGGAGAAAAGTCTCATGGCATTGGATTTGGCAGTGATTCCTTGGATCTGACACCAAAGTAACAGGCAACCAAAGTGCAAATAGAAAAATTGGACTTTATCAAAAGTTAAAATGTTTGTGCTTCAAAAGGCACTACCAACAGAATAAAATGGCAACCAACAGAACTTGAAAAAATATTTTCTATCCCACATTTAATAAGAGATTGATGTCCAGATTATGTAGAGAACTCCTAAAACTCAACAACGAAAAACCCAAATAGCCCAATTCAAAAATAAAGAACTTGAATAGGCATTTCTCCAAAAAAGTATTTAAATGGGCAATAAGCACATGAAAAGATGTTCAACATCACCATTCATTAGGGAAATGTAAATAAAAACAAAAAAGTGAGATACCACTACACACCCAGTAGGATGGATTGCAATTATCAAACAAAACAGACAACAAAAATAACAATAATGAAAATAACAAGTTTTGACATGGCTTGGATAAATTAGAATGCTGTGTATTGCTGGTAGAAATGTAAAAGAGTGAAGCTGCAATGACAACTGCATGGTGGTTCCTCCTAGAATTACCCTGAGATCCAGCAATTTCACTTCTGAGCATATACCCAAAATAATTGGAAGCAGGGACCCAAATGTGAGATATTCATTCACTTGTGTTTCTAGCAGCATTATTCTCAATAGCCAAAAGATGGAAGCAAGCCTAGTGTCCACTGACAAATGAGGGGATAAACAAAATACAGTGAAGTGTTATTCAACCTTCAAATTTTTTAAATTCCAATACATGCTACAACATGAATGAATCTTGAGGAAAATACACTAAGTGAAATAAGCCAGTCTCAAATGGGCAGTGTATGATTCTCTTATATGAGGGAATTATAGAGAAGTAATATAGACAGAAAATAGAATGGTGATTGCCAGAGGCAGGGCAAAGAGGGGAATGGAGTACAATTTTTTAATAAGTACAGTCTTTTAGTTTGGGAAGATGAAAATGTTCCAAGAATGGATATTGGCGATGGGTGCATTACAAAGTGAATGTACTTAATGCCACAAAAATATACCCTTAAAACCAGATAAAATGGTACATTTTATGTTCTGTATATTTTACCAAAAAAAAATGCAATGGCCCCAAAAGATGACTACTACAAAAGAATATTATAACCTATTAGGAGTTGCAAACTCACACACCTTTGTAAGAGAGGAAACATTTTCCCTCTACCTTCTTAATGTTCGATAATTGAGACTATAATATAAACTGACAGCAGGCAAATTAACAGGAGAAAAGATATACAAAGTTATGATGTGCATGGGTACATAGCATGAAGGAAGGGTGAATATACACAAACCCAGTGAGACATAGAAGCTTATATATCCTCTTCATAGGGAAAAGCAGAGCCTGGATGTAGGCAATTTAGGGGAGAATAAACAAATTTTGGGAAAGATGAATGGGCCCTCAAAACAAATGATAGTCTATCTAGGTGTGGTGTCCTCTAGTCCCTTGAGTTAATCTTTTCTGGTTGATAAGATTCCCAGGGAGGAAGGAATTCAGGACAACTGAGCTCCTTTTGGTGGTTCTCTCTTTAGGCAGATAAGGAAACACAGAGAAAAACTTGGCCTGACTTGGGGTTCCCAAGTGCCCTCAGCTTAAAGTGGCATATTTTGGGGTGGCATTTCCTGAACTTTCACCTTCATCATGGACTTGGTGATGGAAAGCAATAAAATAGTAAAGATGATATTAGAAATGGAGAATGGGTTTCTCACCTAACAGCATTTAAAAGGAAACAAATACACATTATATTAGCTAAACAAGCTAAATTGTTCCACTACATTTAACTCAGAAGCCTTAAGTGTACAGTCCCTATGTAGACAAGAAAAAAAAAAAGACAGGAAAAAGAAAGAGAGACAATTTGTGTGTATGTGATTAGTTGCAAAGAAAAACTACAGATATATAGCTAGCAATGACAATGCTGAATACATTCGGGGACGGACAGGAGTTCCCACAGCTGGGGAGCAAGGTTTTCCAGCCAGGCCAGGCTGTCCTATAGTGAGTGTCCTATAGGACTATCCCATCCTACTGCTCTCTGCATCTGGTCTAGTGCAGAGCCGTCATTTGCAAAGTGGTCATGTGAAATGTATATTGAATTCCCTCTGTACAATTACTTCTTGGCATCCATGCCTGATTCAATATCTTGACAGCTCATTCTGCTTCTCAGAAGTTACAGGCTAAGTTTGAAATTGACAGTTTCCCAAATTGTTCTGAAATATTTAATGTGAGAAAGGCCCAGAATAAACCCTGCTCTGTCTTGCTCTATTCTGGGCTCGCATGGACAACTCCTTGGGGTTAATAATATGTGACATAAGGAGACATTATTCTCCACTGTTTATGGTTTAAAGGGTCATTGTGTAAAAGCAGGAAAATTAAACTCACAGTGGTAAAATTCAGTCATGAACAGAGCTGTACCATTATTCATTCAGTGCTACCATCCCTTAAGCAGATGTTTTAGATTTAATCTGCCTATTTCTTTGTGTATTAATAAAGAAAATTATAGAACTCCATCTGCAATTGATACTTAACTACAATGCCACTTGAAATGTGCTGATTAGGCCATTGTAGTAAAGACCTTAAAAATTCTGTATCCATTTTTCTTTTTTTCTTTTCAGAGAAAAAAGGCAAATTTGCCAGTATGGCTGTTTAAAGTGATTTCCAAGAGGTGCACAAGATATCTTTCAGCCATTGCTCTTATTATCATTTTAGCAAAACAGTATGTCCCCCACTCCTCCCCACTTCACCTTGGCCACCAGGATGAATATAAAATGAATTTTTGATTCATTTTGAATGTATTTATTTATTAGGTCCACACCTCTCTGGAGTGTGTTACATGGCTCATTTATGGGGAAAGTTCCTCTTCCCTTAACACTAAACTTACTCCATCACGTGTGTCAGAATTGTTAGGCAAACAAGAGATAGTTTGAGTTGTAGATACTGCTTTGCTTTGTGCTGAGTTCTTAGCTAGGTTTTTAGTATCATCTGCCATCCTTCCTATACTCTTAATGTCTAATTTGCTAATACTACAAATACAGTTTTTACCAATATACAGCTCTTAAAAAGGTATTCATATTTTAGATAGGGAAAAAGGCCAGGCGCGGTGGCTCATGCCTGTAATCCCAGCACTTTGGGAGGCCAAGATGGGTGGATCACGAGGTCAGGAGTTTGAGACCAGCTTGGCCAACATAGTGAAACCCCGTCTCTACTAAAAATACAAAAAATTAGCTGGGCATGGTGGCAAGTGCCTGTAATCCCAACTACTTGGGAGGCTGACGCAGGAGAATCGCTAGAGCCCGGGAGGCAGAGGTTGCAGTGAGCCAAGATCATGCCACTGCATTCCAGCCTGGGTGACATTGTGAGGCTCCATCTGAAAAAAAAAAAAAAAAAAAAAAAAAAAGACAAGAAAAAAATACAGAATCTAATCACTTGGTATTGGACATAACAACATAGATTTGGAGACTTAGGGGTGGAAATACCTTTACAAGGCAATATGTCAAAACTGACCTTTTCCCCCTAGAAGTCAAGGTGGTTTGAATATTAGTTTTGGAGTCAGATTTGTTGGGATTAACTCTGGGAGTTAGTATTAGTTTATCTAGTTGTGTGACTTTAAGAATGCTACTTGTCTTCTTTGTGCCTTGTTCTCTTTATTCATACATTAGGGTCATAATAATAGTAACTACACCAAATCATTAATTATAAGAGACCAAAAAGTTAATTCACATATACATATATATATATATATATATATATATATATATATATATATATTCTAAATATATTTAGAACAGCGTTTGGCGCAAAATGGGCAGTAGATACTTTTTAGCTATAACAGTGAAATATAGTTTGGAATCAGGCAGACTTGGTAGAAATTTAAATCGACTACCTACTCATTTAGCTGCATATAGCCTCAGTTTTCTGATCTGCAAAACAGATACAGAAAGGTAGTGTAAAGAGTTTATGAGATAAAGTACATAAAAATCTTATCGCAGTGGCTGGGCATCTTGAATAGTTTTTGATAAACGTTATGCTAAGACAGTTATGCATTGCTTAACGATGGGAGTATGTTCTGAGAATACATCATTAGGACATTCCATTATTGTGTGAACATTATAGAGTGCACTTACACAAAGTTAAGTGGTATAGCCTATTACACAGTTATATGTTATAGCTGTAACAGTAATAAGTTCCTTGCCTTATGCATGCAGCAAGTCAACCCACAAAGATACTGGGTTACGGCAGAATAAGAGGTTTAATCCTAAGGCCACTGAACAAGGACATGGAAGGAAAAGTCAAATCTGTCTCTCCAAGGAGTATGGGGCTAGGAATTGGAAGAGTTTTGAAGTGGGCTGAAGTGTGATGGTTGATTTGTTGAAGAGTTCAGGGTGAAGTTATGAGACAGAAAGATGAAGAAACTATTCTCTTGTTAATTCAGTTCCTCTGTGGGATCTTTAAACTGGTTGGCTTTTCCACTGGAATTCAGGATCTGCTTAAACAATTCTTAAACACAAGCTTTATGATTCTAAATTCAGAAATCCTATCTATAGGAACAATGGAAATGGAAATGGTCAGTGTCTAGTGCTATGTGACTTTTGGTTACAAAGAAGTGGGTCAAAATGCACAAAAGATGTGATAGGCAGGAGAAAAAGCAGGCCATTTGACCTAGACTGAGCTAAAATACTTTGTGCTTCAAAATCAACCCACGTTTGACATTAACAACAATGATTGTATTTCTGTCCAGAATTCTTGTTAACCCTGTGAGGACAGTTTCATAGCTTGTTTCTCCTGGGCTACAAACCGGTACAGGGTACAGAATGTTACTGTATTGAACAGTGTAGGTAATTATAACACAATGGTATTTGTGTATCTAAACATACCTTAACATAGAAAAGGTACAGTAAAAATACAGCATTATAACATTATGGGACCACAGTCACACATGCAGTCAATCATTAACCAAAACTTTTTTTTCCTTTGGTGGCACGTGACTGTACTTTTAAAGTAAGAGATGGGTATGAAGTCAGAATTGAATACATGTTTTTTTTCTCTCCCTTATCTCACAACCTCTTACTTGCTCATTCAATCTTTATGAAAGATGTGACAGGTAAAAGAAAAAGCAGGTCATTTGATCTAGATTAGCTAAAATACTTTGTGCTTCAAAGTCAGCCCACGTTTGACATTAACAACTATAATAGTCACCATTTACCGAATATCCCCTTACTGCATCTCACATCATCTAGGTAGGTTCCTAGAAACCTATTATTCTATAATAATTATTATTTCTGCTTTTCTGATGGGGAAACCAAGGCTTAGGCGGTGAACTAACCCATGCACAGACCACACAGCTAATGCACAGCAGACACTGGATGTGAAAGCAAACTGTTCAAACTCATAGTAACACCTGCCCCAAAATTAAAGCAAATGGTCTCTATAAATGTTATGGATAAGTAGGCTTTTTAAAAAATAAATTCTATACTCATTCTCAGGCTCCACAGCCTATTTCTCTAAATTGTTCTCAAATATTGGGACTTTAAACATAAAAATGGAGACACATTCCATTCTGAAATACAAGCAGAATACCTAAGAAACAAATTAGCCTGTTCAATGAAATTGTGACTGAGAAAGGGCTGTAGAATAACCCTGGGCTGGTAATTATCTCTGGAACAGTCAGCTTTTTCAAAGCAAACAGACTGACTGGTGATTATAAAGTGATGACCAGTTCAAAGAAAATTACACTTGCTGAACAGTTAAATGAGGCCCCTGGACTGGGCCTCTCCCCTCTTTGAAATTTCTGAGATCTTAGAGAAAATCATAGCATAAAGATAATTTTTTTCTTTATAATACTGAAATCCATTGAGAGAGTGAATAGTAGATAAATTTCTGATTTAGCTCATATACTTAGAAGGGCTAGGTTGTGAAATGTCAAAATTACAGCCACAAATGATGCCTGAAAACAGTTGCAATCTTTCATTAAAAAATAAGTACAATTAAATAAAATTGCAAAGACATCCATTTCCAAGAACAGAAAGTCTGCCTTGTCTTTGTATAAGCTTCAAATTAATCCTTTGAATAAAAGTGCCATGAAATAACGTTGTCTTGGATATTTATTGGAAAGATCAGAAGTATTTTCCAAAAAATTTTTAGTGACTTTGTCTGTATGATACTGTGACCACACCCCTGCCCTTTAAGTTTGGTCAGTTGGTCAAGTCTACCCCATGAACATTGTTCAGTTCACTTTACATTTAGTAGTAGCTCTTCGGTCAAGCACCTGATATTCTGCTCAGTAGTGAGGATTCAGCACTAAATAAGATGTCATCCTTTTCCTTAGGAAGCAGACAGCCTGGTCTGGGGAACCTCTAGTCTTGTGGAAATAAGTATGAAGATTTTCCTTCCAGCCGATACTTGCTTCAGCAAAGGAATATGGAAATATTTGTAAAACAGGTCTGGAATCAGGGTAGGCTGCTGAGATGACTTAACATTCTCTATTGTAGTATTAATGTTTCCTTTCTTTTTGTGCTTGGGTCTCATACCTAGGTCCTGGAGAAATTTGGCATGGCAGAAGGTAAATGAGAGACTTAATTTTTCTGATAAGCATTTAAAATACACTATAGCATTTATGAAACATATTGCCAATATGATAGAGGAATAGGGCCACTCTGATGAGATTGTCCCCAACATCATAGTCCAAGTAGCATTGTCACACTCTTTTCCTAATTTCTATGTATTCTCAGCAATGTTAAGGTCCCATATCCATCCCTGGATTAGAGTAGTTTTCATTTCTGCTGATACCACAGCTGATGTGTCATTTCAAGGTTCTGTTCCCAATAGGCCCCTTTGCAATCAGCCCTACTCTTAGGCTCTTCCTCTTAACTGCCACCAAATTCTATGGAACATTTGGGGATGTGGAGACATTAAATTAAAGCAGCGCAAACAACTTTAAAGTCAATATTAGATGTTTCTACAGCTAAAACTTCACTCTCATTTTCTTGAGAGCTTGTTTGGAGGTTCTAGCAGGGCAGTGCAGCTACTCGTATACCCTTGACCGAAGACCAGTCCTCCTCTATCAGGGATGGTCATCCTGTTTGGCCGAGCGCGCAGCTTTGGGAAGGGACACACATGGAGTGGTGGGGGAGGAGAGGGACACCCCCCCAGCCAGCCAGATTAGCCAAATCTACCCTGGCGATCAATGGGTGACAGATGTCGCAGCCAGATCGATCACCTTCACATCCCACTCTCATTTTCTTAATTCAAACTCTAGATTCTTACATGTCTTCCTCCCTCCTTCCATGTTTTGATCTTCTCACTTAACATTCATGTTCTAGTGTCTGTTTATTTCTAAAACAGATCATTTATTTACATATTAATTTTTCTTTGCTTTTTTTTGTTGTTGTTTTTTGAAACAGGATCTCGTTTTGCCACCCACGCTGGAGTGCAGTGGCATGATCTCAGCTCACTGCAGCCTCTGTCTCCTAGATTCAAGTGATTCTCCTGACTCAGCCTCCTGAGTAGCTGGGATTACAGGTGCACACCACCACAGCTGGCTAATTTATGTATTTGTTTTTAATAGAGATGGGGTTTCACCATGTTGGCCAGGCTGGTCTCAAACTCCTGACCTCAGGTGATCTACCTCGGCCTCCCAAAGTGCTGGGATTACAGGCAAGAGCCACTGCAGCCGGCCTTCTTTGCTTTTTTTTTTGTTTGTTTTTCAATAAACAGGAGACAATTTAGGGACCTGGAGCTGTACCCTTTTCCCAAAGAGTCATCTAATAATACTTGTAAAAGAAAGAGAAATTCTAGGTACTAATTTCAAGATGATATATGGTTTCATTCTTCTGCCATATGTGAATAAGCAGATGATTTAACAACAGGAGTCACACATATACCTTGTCTCCCAGATGGACGCCACAGTTCTTGTGAATGAGATTCATATTTTACACTTTTTTGAATGTCCTATTTCATTTAATATAGCACTCTAAACATGTAACTCATAGAAGGCAAAGAATGTGCCGCATGCTAAATGAGCATATGTTGCTGCTTTTGTTGAAACAGCAGAATGTAGGAGGTAGAATTTTATGGAAAAAAGCAGGCTTTACAGCTATCCACTTACTATATGAATTTGGGGTAAATCATTTAACTATTCTGAGCTTCAGTGTCTTCGTCTGCCAAATTGATTTCATATGTCACAGGAATGTTGTGAGAATTAAATGAGGTAAGAAATCAAAATACAATTATGTTTCTTCCTCTTTTTCACAGTATATAGTCCTGTGAATGCAAAAAAAAAAGTAAGTACAGAATGAAAAGTTTTAAGCTCTCTCCATGTCCAGATTCAAATAGAAAGAAAGGCAAACTTGCTGTTGGCTAAGAGTCTTGGTGTTGGATCTCATTTGTTTTTCAGCCTACGTGGCTTCATTTCCAGTGGATGACAGCATATTCACCGTGTATCTGGCCTGTAAAATCATGCTTTAGCATCTGCACTACATGCCTACGCCAGATACAACTTGCTCTGGGACAATCTAATAACACACTTGAGTCATTTCACCTTGACCTCCTGCCTTCCCTGTCACCTCTTTCCTCTCCTTGGGAGGAGCTGTCCTCCCAGGGGCACACTTTACAAAAACAAATCAACCAATCTCAAATCACACCCCTAACCACCTCTCTTACCAGGCTGTCACCTTACAGCCACCATTCCACTGCCCTAATCATCGCAGGGCCAAATACCAGACAACTAAGGACAGCCCCTATGCTCCAGAGCCCATGGCAGTTATTCAAATGAGCTGATCCCAAGTCTGCAGATCTAACCTCGCCTGCTTCTTCCTGTGGTAAACACAATAAAGGCTGTGTCCCTTGCTTTTTCCCCATTCTCTGCCTCTTGACCAACCCTGGTTCTTTCCCGCATGGCCTGTGTGATGTGCTGCACCCCGTCTGGTAGGGAACTGTAACAAACTATTTCTTCAATGGAAACCATGTCTTGACTTGCTGACCTTTCTATATTTCAAATTTTCTATTAATACACTGTATTTTAAAACACATAGCATAATTCAGACAAGTGTCAATGGGACCATTCTATTCTTGCTTTGCCATTAAGCCAATTGGTCTAAACTGACTTTTTCTTTTAAGCTAGATATCTGAAAAGAGAATTGATTGGCCTATAGTTACATGGTTTATTTCATTTGTGAAAAACTGGCATTATTTGGTTCTCACTGAACTTTAATATTGTTATATTTATTATTTTTGAGTATATAATAGGCACAGAGACACTCATGGGACAATCGGGAGAAAAAAGAAATTAAATAATCAGACAAATATATGTAAACTTATATCTGTGAAAATTGCTGTAAAGAAGAGTCATGAGACATAGAATAAGTTTCCAACATCGTTTGATGGCTCAAGGAAAGATTCCCTGTGAAGTTGACACCTGAGCTGAGATCTGACAGGAGAGCAGGAGACAAGTGATGCGAGGAAGGAATCTCCCTTCCCTGGGTAGATGTCAGGCTAGAGAGTAGCAAAGAAGTTCGCGGCTTCTCCCTTAGCACCCAAGATCTCTTGCAATAATAATAATAATAATAATAATAATAATAATAATAATAATAAATTAACAAGGAGAGCAATAGAATATGTATATTTTTAAAAAATCAACAGAATTCTTCTAAACTAGTATAATTTTAATATTATTTGATAATAAAGACACATACCAATTTGAAGTCAATGTCTTATGTAAAAAATGTTCTAAAATATAAAATTAACAATAATATATGATACTAAGATGAATCTAACTGGAAATAGAATAAAATATTTCCTCTTGTAAAGTGCTGAAGACATTACAATGCATGTCATATACGTTCAATGTGCAGGCAACACCACATTATATTCATTTGTTCATCTATGAAACTTTTACTGACAGCTACAAAGTTTTAGGTCCACAGGATGCAATGTAATAGAGAGTCAGATTTCCTATGCCAAGGTATTTACAGCATAGCTAAGGGTACAGAAAAGAGATGCATGATTACAACACAAAGGACCTTTGAGGAGACGCTAAGGAGTGAAATTATATCAGACAACAGAATCCCAGCAGGCATTTTAAAAGAAAAGAATTGTGAAAGGAACCTTAAAGAATTAAGTGGTGTTGCACACCCTGGGATTCTTGACACATCTAACACTTAAGCAAGGGAAACAGGTTGGGAAAGCAAGGAAATGAAGAGGCCAGGAATGTCTTTTAGGGAAACTTTTAAATAATTTCATAATGAAAATTTTAGAGCTGGATAGCAATGAATGCTTCGTTTTATATTTAAAGGTTTGCTGTGATTTGGAGAAGTCAGGTGACTTGCTAAGGGATACACAACTAATTAGTTCCTTAGCCAGAACCAGATTCTCTGCCTCCTAACTCCACAGCATGTGGCAGGAACCAGAGCCATACAGGAAAAGCAAAAGTGCTGTAACATAATGTTGAGGTATTTTAGGGACATGATCTCACATTGGAGTCTTTTTCAAGACTTTGTGCTGCCAAATGTGTTTAGGAATAAATTCGCATCCCTGATCCCCTGTATCCTGCAAGGGTTATGCTGTAATTGACCTCACTAGGAAAAACCCACTTGTGCTAGAAATGCATCGCTGCAAAGAAGTCAGCTCACCTATGGAGTTGCTCAATCCAGAAAACAAAACTAAATGAAGGTTGGAAGAATTTTTGAAAAGACCAGGAACTAAGACAACAAATATTCTTTCTTGACTTGTGAGTTTCTTCTGTCATTCTTCCATACCATATATTAGCACAATAGAGAAACATAAAGAAAAGTTTGTTTTTATTAGTTTGTTGTTGTTGTTGTTGTTGTTTGTTTGTTTGTTTTTAACATTTGTTTTTCTAGTCTGTGCCTAAGAGACCCATATAGGAACTGGAACTTTAGTTAGCTGTATCTTCAATAGAGCTAAGGCACGTTGCTTGAATAGTGCATAATGGTCTCTTACCTAAGGCACATCTATTAACCAGTTAATGCATTCTGTCAGAACACAGTAATTCATTAC
Organism: Homo sapiens; assembly: GCF_000001405.40. Lineage (NCBI taxonomy): Eukaryota > Metazoa > Chordata > Mammalia > Primates > Hominidae > Homo > Homo sapiens. The sequence goes on from NC_000002.12 coordinate 123,873,358, forward strand.
TTATTAATGTATGTGCTACTGATACATCAGTAAATTATGTAAGTCTTTCACATCATCCTACCATTTGAGAGAGACCATGGCTCTTGTTCACTGAAAGTTTTATATCTAATAAGGTTGGATAGGAAACAACCAACCAACCAACCTATATTTCAGTTTGGGAAATTCCCCCACCCCAGTCAACTCTATCTTAGCATTCCTTTAAGATTTATTTCAAGTGTCTGTCACCTCTTTTTTCTTTTTTGCCTGACCTTCCATAAATGGGCCATGTCCTCTACCTCCTTGCTCTGAAATTACTCTGTACTTATTGCAATTATAGCACTGATCACGTCACACTGTGGTCATAGGCTTAGGTGTCTTTCTCCTCCATTAGACTGAAAACTCTTCAACGTTAAGGACTGTATTATATTTATTTTTACATTCTGCATATAAGAATATAGAATGCTTAGATGCCCTAGTAATGTGGAAGTGAAGACAATTAAATACATGCCAAGCAGCTGTACATTTCACATGGATAAGGATCATGCCATGTTCATGTTTGCATCCAAGAGAATTCTAAGCATGGCACAGGGCAGAAACACAGTAAGTTTAATTAATAAATGTGCATGAATAGAAAGTAAATTGAGGGTAAAAACCTTATACGTTAATAACAATAAACAAAAAATATATCTCTTTTTATTTAAAGACTAAAGAAATTTTATAGACAAGGAGAAGGTGTTAGCTAGCTGAAAACCCTGAATTCTGGACAGAGAGAAAAAAGGAGGCAGAAACCTCAAATGGAAGACAAGTTACATACAGACATATCAATGAGAATGAATCCAGCATGCTTAAAGAGAGGTTGGTTAGAATATTGCCACATAGGTGGGTAAGTCCAGCCAGTCAAACCTAAACAAGGTTCACAAAGCCATAATTTATAGGTTTTTGAAGATATGTGACAAGAAACATGAGGTAAATACAGATTAATACCCCAATTTTAGTCAGTCGAATTTAGGTATTTCCTGGAGAAGCAATGACAAGCTTCTACAACAATCTGCAGATGATATACATGTTTTACTTTCCTAATTAATGCTAAATGGAGGGTGCAGATTTGTTAATGATGATAGAATTTTCACATTCAAACAAAACTTAGCGATGTACAAAAATTGCAGTTTTTAAAATTTCTTTGGCAATGTCTAAAAATACATAAGGTCTTGTGAATATGACTTAATTAGTTACTCACACTTTAGTCCATCATGTAACAGGTGTTAAATTTACAAATAAATTTACCAAACTAGAAGACTCAGATCTTTCCTACCCATGACTATGCTATCTGACTAGACTTTCTCTAAAGTTATGAGAGTTAACTTCCTCCATAAAAAAAAAACAGCCTCTGCCTGGGAACCAGATTAGTCTCATTTCAAATATCTTTTGCATAATTATCACAAAGGATATGTAACATTTCCAAGCCTGATCTTCATCTGTGAATACCTACCTTAAAGGATTGCTGTTAAGATTAAAAGTAGTAATTTATATAAAGTTTTGAGCCTACTATCTGAAATATATTGGACACCAATAAATGCAATACTTATTTATTGTAATTTACATATTCATTGTCATTCCTTTATTTATTTATTCATTTTGTGATTACTATATGTTTTTTGTTCTAATGTATGTGCTAGTGATACATCAGAAATTATGCACACAAAAATCTCTAGTCACAGTTGTTTCTATTCCGCTGGGGAGAAAGAGAAAAACAAATCAGTTAAATAAAGAAGCAAATTCTATAATATCTACTATAAATGATAATTGCTAAGAAAGAAGATTGATATGGTTGGGCTGTGTCCCCACACAAATCTCAACTTGAATTATAGCTGTCATTATTCCCACGTGTTGTGGGAGGGACCCAGTGGGAGGTAATTGCATCATGGGGATGTGTCTTTCCAGTGCTGTTCTCATGATAGTGAATAAGTCTCACAAGATCTGATGGTTTTGTAAATGGCAGGTCCCCTGCACATGCTCTCCTGCCTGCCACCATGTAAGATGTGACTTTGCCCCGTCTTCTCCTTCCATCATGAGTGTGAGGCTGCCTCAGCCATATGAAACTGTGAGTTAATTAAACCTCTTTCCTGTATAAATTACCCAGCCTCAGGTATGTCTTTATTATCAGTGTGAGAACAGACTAATGAAGGGATAAACCAGGGAAGGGGATAGGGTTGGTTAGAGGTAGGGAAGTTGCAATTTTAAGTAAGGCAGTGAAGAAAAGACTCAATATTAGGAAACACTGTGCCAAAGCTTTTAAGAGGATGAAAAAGTAAGCCACTTGTGTATCTAAGAGAGAACATTCCAAGCAGAGAAAGAAGCCAAGCACAGTAGACCTGAAGTGGTGTTGGCTCCACCTGGTTTGAGACCAGCAAGGAAAATGTCATAGAGTGAGCAGAGGGATCTGGGAGAGCTGAAGATAGATTCAGAGAGGCAGTGGTGCCAGCCACTAAAAAAGTGAATAACTTTGGTTTTATTTCTCCGTGGCATGAGTATAATAAAGAGAATTAAGCAGAGAAATGACATGACCTGACAGCTGACTTTTTTTAAATTATACTTTAAGTTCTGGGGTACATGTGCACAAAGTGCAGGTTTTTTACATAGGTATACATGTACCATGTTGGTTTGCAGCACCCATTAACTCATCATTTACATTAGATACTTCTCCTAATGCTATCCTTCCCCCTGCCCCCAACCCCATGACAGGCCCTGGTGTGGCTGACACGTTGTTTTTATAAGGTATTTCCAACTGCTCGATAAAAACAGACTGCCTGGGAGTGAGAACAACCAGTTAGGATGGGGGCAGGATGGGGGTAGCGGAAGGACTGAATGGGGTCAGAGTTCTGGATTAATTGTAAACATATCAGACATGGAGTGTGAAGTGAAAAGCAGTGTCAAGAATGATGCAAGGTCTTTGTCCTAAACCAGTGTAAGAATGGAATTGCTGTAAGGGGTATACAGAAAATAGCAGAAGAAGCAACCATGCCTCTCTTGGGGAGCTTCGTGCCTCCCCAAGAAAACTGTAAGTTCTACAAAAGCCATACCATGACTTGTGCCATGACATGTCTCCATCCCACTTGTGTTTCCAACAGTTTCAGAATAAAATTCTGGTCTTTGTTACCAGCAACAAAAAATACTTGAACAGAAAAGGAGCTAACATTTGTTATGGCCTCTGTAACACTACACAATGGAAAGCACTTCACATGGCCTTCTTTCATTTTGTGTTTGAAGGGTGTTGTGACATTGATTTTATTATTAAGAAAAACTCAAGACTCTGAGTGGTCTGTCTACATTTTCCACTGAAATTATCTATGACCTCTGGCATCCAAAGCACAGGATATTATTGTTAAAACACATCCCAGATCTATAGAATCAGAACTTCTTACTTTCAGCCCTGGGAATTTGAATTTTTAACAAGAATATGTGATAATTCAAATGCACACCAAAATTTTAGAATGACTACAAATCATAACTGGGTGACTGACTGATAATTAAAAAGGAATTAGGTGGTAGGATACATACATCCTCCATGGTAGCTATAATTATATCTCATTGTTATAGTTCTAGACATTCTTTTATTAATATTTAAATACGTGATTCTGTAGGAAAGATCTGCACATAACTCCTTACTTTACCACTAACAAGCTGTGTCAATATAGATATGTCCAATTTCTCCCCAGACAAGGAAGAATAATATATGCTAGTCTCATTGAGAGCATTGTATGAAAAGCATTCAAACCACACCTCTACTTACAGATGAGAAACAAAAATTGACTTGCCAGATAATATATTCTTCTTTTAGAGGAAAAACACTTAAACCCACAAGTAATATCTGTCCTTGATATCATCCTGTCATGGCTAAATTAGTACTTGTTTAAAATTTTGAAGTAACCAAAACTTCTCATTAATTTCAACCCAAGAGTTGGCATGCATTTTCTTTTTAAAGAAATCAGAATTAAGGACTTGCTTTGGGGAAATAAGGTAATTCATAATAAAGAAACAGAAGATAATTATTATTTAAACAAATAAAAATAAAGGAACTATATTTAGTTCTGTTATTCAAACTGTTTTGTTAATCACTCCCTGTCTACCACCCGTGATGTTCACACATTGTTTGAATTAGAAAAACATAGGTCTATCCCGGAGGCAGATTTAGCTCTACAAACAACCCTAATAGTTTTGGTAAAGTAAGGGGTTTAATGAAGATCTTTCCATTATGCTCATTAATGGCAGTCTAATATTGGAAGTTTGAGTGCAGTGTTTGCCTGTGCCTCTTTTTCTAAAGTAGGATCAAGTTTCAATAATGACGTATGCGCTTGTCTGTGCATAATTCTCACTGAGCTAGACCTCCATTTATTTACCAGGGTAGACTTTTCTGATGCATGTTCTAGGGGACACTAGAACATGCATCAGTGTTCTCTCAGACACTGGTGATGCTCTAAGGTCAAGATTTTATAGGAAATGTTTTTTTTTTCTTTGAATATACCATACACTTTAACAAAATAAAGTGTCTGAGACAACCTGCAGTAAATAAGTATGTTTGATTTTGTCTAACCTGATGATACCAATCTCATTGTATCATGGAACTGTTTTATCACCCAACACTGCAGTGAAACCAGGTATCATAAAACACCCTTGAGAAGCACTGTTATCAGGTTAATATACGGGTGGCTCTGACCATAAGTGTCAGTAGGTTTGCTTGAGTACATATAACGGCCATATCAGTTCACATTTTCAGAGGTTATCCAAGTATTCATTCTAAGAACTATGAGCTCTAGAAAGTTATCACACTTCCTATTGTCATTGATCCTACTGTGATCCAGGTGCATTGGTAGACACTAGGAATATTGCAGAGAATAAAATCTCACAGCCACTCACAACAATTGGGGAACACAACCATTTAGCAACTTAAGGTGTGATGAGGTTTAACTTAAATAATGCAAAAGAAGACAACAGGACAGCGCCTGGCAGTTGGCATATCCTCCAGTTTTTTTCTCTCCTTTATTCTGCCCTCCATACTGGAAAGTACATGTAAGGAGGCAATGAAGAGGTGACATCCATAGCATGCCCTGGTGAAAGCTTAGCATCAATTCCCTGACATCTGCCTATGGAAAACAAGCAGAGAAGAACCAAAGTCCAGAAGTGGGCATAAGGTGGGTGATAAGTAGACTGAGGCGAAGACATAAGCATGAAGGTATACTCCCAAAGAGAACTAAAGGTAGCATTTAGGGAGCAGGAAGGAAGCCCATCCTCCCCAACCTCTGCCCCTAGTCCTACAGAAATGAGACTCCAAGTGAAGCAAATCAGCAAATGAAAATAGAGAAAAGATTTTTTGTAAACGTAACAATGCTCATGGGTTTTAGAGCCAGGAAAATAGTCGTCCATTCATTGAACTGAGAGAAGATGATGGTCAGTGACCCACAGGGGCTGACCTGATATGGAGGCCCTGGCCACTGACTTATACTTCTCCAAGGACTCCTATGCAGGAGTCAAATCAGCCTCATGCCTGGGACAGAACTCCAGGTAGGGGACAAAAGGCAATCCAGAGGGCTCTAGATTGATAATACCCCAAGGCCAACTTGCTGAACTTGATTTGTCAAACATATCAGTTGGCACCATGCACGATGTCTGACAACCTATCAGGAGAAAAGGGGAAGTCAAACTGAGCCCAGAACAACAGGCTCCCACCTTTTAGACTTCAAGCCTGAAGTGGGGATGTTGAAGGTTATGAGGAGGATTTGGGAATAAAAACAGTATATCATCCCCACTTCATTGTCAATGATAATGACAGTTAAAGTTATACCCCATAGGGTAGCCACCAGAGCTGGTCTCTGTACTTTCTCCCTAGGGGTCTTAGGCATATGCACATGCACAAACACAGAGATACACACACAGATGCACACACACTCTCTGAAACCAAACCAGGAGTCTGTTGCTTCTCCTTTGGGTAGAATCATGTGGTAGCCTTCAGGTAAGCTGACCCAAACTGCTGCTGATACACACTGTCCAACAAAGGGATTATATGGTAACCTAGTCATTTGAGGAATTCTTTTCAACCGATTTGTTTTTTGCAAATTGTGCTGCTTCCATCAAAGCAGGGGGGTAGGCCTTTCTATGAACCCCCCATGTATCTTTCTCAGGGCATGTTACTGCACCAACAAATTGTGGCCATTGGAAAAGTCTGCTTGCTAGGTTGCCAAAGTATAATAAATGTTATTTGAGAGTGATATATTTTGGTTATTCTCTCTTCCTGTCGCTACAGCCACAGCCCAGAGTGGAGCAGGGGTGGGAGGTGCTATCTACCCAGCTTCCTAAATCCTTCTACTTCCTGGGAGGTCCACTCAATCATCTTATCTTCATTGGCGCATCTGCTTGAAAAATACTCTTCCTCTTTCACTCTGTTTCGAATGCTGATTTCTTTGGTGAGGTGATATAAAGAAATATGGATGATTAAACTAGTTTATGTTAAGGTATGAGTGACTCATCACTCATTTGATGCACCAGTGAGTATTGCATCTTAATGAAAACTTTTCTGGCAATGATAATGACAGTAAAGAATTTCCTATGGGAAGCGGGGGCACAAACTACCTTTCTGCCTAGCATTTTCTAAAAAAAAAAAAAAAAAACATATTTTTTTAAATGCCTATCTTTTGTCTTGGTCTTTACAGCTGATATGAAATTTGAGGTGACTTTAAAAGTACAGAAAAAGAGAGAGAGGAATAAATTTCGGTCTAGAATGATCTACATAATTGCTTCAATTGTGTTTTGTTTGGGCTTCTCATAACTGGCTTTAATAAGCAAAACTTCTGCAAGAAGCAAAAATGAACCATTCTAACAGAGCAGTGAAACTCTAAGAAGTATAGCTAATGGAGAAGCCATACAAAAATAATGAACTATGAGTTTCAATCGTCAAACTAACGCCGCATCCTTGTGTCAGAAACACTAATCAAGTTGAGAGCATCTGGTTCATTTTTGATTTTTTTTTCTTAAGTAACCAAATTAGTCACCCATACAATATTAAATCTCTTGTTCATTATCCATAAAATGTTTTGCTTTAGTTTAGAATAGAAGTTGCTGAAATTAAGCAGAGAGTGACACAAAGTTATAACTAGATTTCCTGTAAATGAATGTCTTAGTATGGCATATATTTTCATTTTCTTAAATGCAGTTGGCATCACACACATCATGCTTCCTGCAGAAAATTCAATTTTGGTACTAAACACAGAAACATTTCTGTAAATTTTATTGTCCCATATTATCTATTGTAATTTTATATTTTCTTGAAAGTTCAGTCACTTTGCTAGAAAAGGGGCCAACTGCACGTGTTATCCTCTTGCTAATTTAAGTGTGAGTGTGAATGTGCGTGATGGATACTTAATAGAGGATCTGAGTTTAAGTTGGGTCAGATTCAAGACTGTGTTTCCACATCACTGAAGCTAAATTGGGCTCTAATTTTTTGAGCTATCACTGAGAACACTGGAGATTAAGGAAAGAAGGTGACGTGGATCGCAAGAGCAGGAGACTACACTTTTCATCGTTCAAGCTAGGGATAGATGAAGGGAGTTTGCACATCACCCTGTACTACTAATAGAGGGCAGGAGACTGACCTGATTGTGGCAAGGGAAAGAGTCTTGAGAGACTCCTTTCTGCACTGCTGTGTGTTGGTGAGGACATTCTGCAGGGAGAAGGCCAAGTAATACCGCATGTCAGATAAGGGAACAGGATTGCTGCTCTGAGTCTATGCTCAGTGTGCTTTTTTCCAACACTATAAGCAAAAGAAAGATGTAAATTTGCATTGCATATCTATGATGAGTTTTCAAATTACTCTGTCTCTTATTGCATACTTTCTGGGAAAGGAAAGATAATATTTAGTCTTCAGGAGAATTTTATACAAGCTGTTGTTCCAAGGAACATGACAACTACATGGAGAACACATACTTGGTGACTTGAATGCTCAGATCTATCATATGCATCAGCTCTCTTGGACAATATAGGACATTGTGCTGCTTTTGATTTGTTTGTTGATTTGTTGTTAATGTTTCACGCCCCAACCTTACACATTCTTTCTTTAGTTATGTTAACATCACCACTTAAGCTACAGCCAAGTAAATTCTGCTGTCCATTCAGGAAATGCTCTGACTCTTCGTAGGTATTAGGAATTAAGAATACTTTGGTAAAAAGCCAACAGCATTTTCTTTATCACTTACTTTCATTCTTAGACATTGCCTTCAGTGGCAGGAATCCTCTCCAGAATCCTCTTTACTTCTAAGCAATGTTATAGACACACAGATTCCCAGTGCTATTGGAGCTGTCAAACCTATCACCAGACTAGATGGTTGTTCCATTTTAGATAATAAAGTTTAACAAGCAACAACATACACTGCCCACTGACCTCATAAAACCATCACATATCACTACAGGGCTTTTATTTGGCAACCTCTAAGCAGAGTTGGCTGCCGTGAAAAGTTCACTAAGAACCTCAGGCTCTTGGGTTATGATGGAAAATGTCATCCACAACTGATTTCCCATTAAACTGCACTAACCACAGCTGGGCACATCTGAGGCTCAGCACCCCTTTTATTCACCTTCAGTTGGCTTCTCCACACACCTTTTGGCAAAGACGTTTCGCCCTCCCAGTGCTGAGATCCTTTCACTTTCAACAGATGACCATTGTCCAGTCCTTCTCTGAGACTACTTAGGCCTTTTTACACAACTTTTCTACTTCAAAATTATTTTTTTATCCATTATATCTTTCCTCTCCTCTTCCTTTTTCCTCTCTCCTGTTTTTCCTTTATGTTTGCTTCTATTTAAAATTAATAAGCATCTATTCAGTGTTTATTAATCCAGGTAATTTACAATCTAAGGCAAATTCCCTCCTGTCTCAGAGGAAGTGCCCCTCCTCTCCCTAAGATGAGACTTACAGCTCGAAGCAGGTGCCACTTGTTCTGAGAAGTGTTCTCTGAAATCTCTAGGCTGATTGGATTATCTTTCTATGTTATCAGTGACCATGGGCTGACCTCTCTCCTCAGCAAACTCCAATGTAATTGTAATTTGCTGTTCTACTGCTGACTTCACTCATCTCTGATCTCTCTTTGAAGAAAATGGCTGCCTTTGGTCATTCCTGTGCTTTGCATAGCATTAGGCACATAATAAGTTCTTAATAAATAAATATTTATGGAATTACACACACACACACACACACACACACACAAACACACTTTGTTTCTGACACCTCTCTATCCTTTTCCAGGATCTTGATGAATAAATTATTCACTGTCTCTGCCTCAAACATTTCAGCTTTCTACCATGTATTTTAAAAAGGAAATAGCTGTGAATGTGCTTAATCTTTGTAGCTAAAATCAAAACCTTTGAAAAAAGTAGATTTTCTTGACTCTGATGAAAAATTTTAAATGCCCTTCATTTCTTGGGGAATCATTTGTATTTGTTCCCTAATTTATTACTTCTAATGCACCATTCTACTCCAGTGGTTCTCAAAATGTGATTCCCCAGTGGGCATCATTGTCATATCTTATAGGCTTGTTAAAGATGCAAATTATTTTTCCTCATCCAAGAACTAATGGATTAGAACATCTGGGATGGACCCAGTCTTCTGTATTTAATAGGCTTGCCCAGTAATATCAAGATGTTCTTATGTTAGAGAGCCACTGTGCTTCTTGAATTGCCCTTCCCAGTAAGATTTATGACCTTGGTTTAGCAGTCAAACTAAAAAACAACTTTTCTGTTCTTCTACTAACGGATATTTAGAAAATTTTCACATATCTCAATAATGAGGCACATACTAGGAACCATGGTATGACTTACAGCTAAAATGGTACTTACAGGAAAACTTATAGCATTAATTGAAACTATTACAAAATACTAATTCATATTTTCTCCGTAAGTGTTTAGAGTGCTTTTATATTTCTAGATATTTGGGAGAACATTTTATTGGTTTCTAATTTTATCATGATAATAAAATATGATTTGTGTGATATTGATTCTGTTATTGTTTGGGATTTTCTTTATGACCTAGAACATGATTGATATTCCTTCTGTGCCTGGTAGGTCTCTATCTATTATATATCAAGTTTGATAATCGGGTTTTGATAATCTTCTATAAAAGCTGATTTTCACATTGAAATAATTATTACTGATAGTAGTTTAAATTGTGGATTTGTTAATTTTGACATATTCTTTTGTCACATTTTGCTTTATGTATTTTGATGTTATATATTATGTATGTACAAGTTTAGAATTTTTATATTTTGATTGAACATTGTTCTTTTTTATTATTTATTCTTTTTATTACTTAAAAATCATAAATTTTTATCCATAAATATTTTTATCTGTAAATTTTTTTGCCTTACTATTATTAACATAGCTACAGTAACATTATCTTGGTTATTATTGGACTGGTTTTTTTTTGTACTTTTTATTAGTGTTTTTCTGCTTTAAAAAATGATAACACAAATTCAGTAAGGAAGAGCTTAATGTTAAAAAATTGCCTACCAGAGTTAAAAAAAAAGTAGTTTCCTTTTGGTAGGGGTGACAGAAAGTAAAAAAACAAACATTATTATTATAAGAATGAATAAAATTAAAAACAGAAACAAAAATAGGTATAGTAAAAATGGAAATGTGGAAGTAGAAAAGAGGTTTGACATGATAAAGTAAATGTAGAGGAAAAGGACGAAGAGATTAAGGGAAATAGAATATCATAGATATGGAGAGCAAGGAAGAACAAAGGATTGACTGTATTTTCAGCTACTGGCATTTTCAATAAGATGAATGCTGAGGATAAACTCTTGGATGTGAGGGTGGTGGTCTCCAAGGATCGGAGCCACTCCATCAGAGGGAGTGAAAAGGATGCCAGACTAAATGGCAGTCATGAGAAAATGAGAAGTGGAAACTGAAAGTAGAGGCAATCTTTATTCTTTATGAGTTGTCAAACTTCCAAAATAATGAAAGAATGTTTACATCATTTAGCCATGAAAATCAAGTCACTTATAACAAAAACAAAAGTAAGATCTTCCACTTGAAAGTGAAGTGACCAGAAAGGAAGAAACACAACTGTAGGCATACAACACTCCCATTCATTCTTGCATTTATAAAGCATGTAGCCGATGTAATCAAATGTGTGACCTGGAAATGTAGACTGTGTGTATGCTCTTTTCTTTGGAAAAAAAAAAAATAGACAGAAACAAAAAAAATTGGCAAAATGCAAAAACCTAAATGGCTGTGATAAAAGTAATCTCTTATCTACAGACGACATGAACATCCACATGAAACCATTTTTATTATAGCTGTATTATGATTATGTGAGCTACAAACCATATACACCAGAATACATGAGGAATGAAAAAGCCATGGCAAATTAGTGGAAGTGAAGGTTTATTCCTCTGAGATATTGAAATAAGACTAAAATCATCTGATAATAACAGTCACAGAAAAGAATACAAATGTGCTAAACTCCAGCAGGATTGATATCTTTTTAAATTAACCAAAATAAAAAAATACAAAGGTGAGAGCATAAATGAGGTGTTAAAGCTTAAACTAGCTTATTTTTTCAAGTTTGGAAGTAGACAGAAAAATTGCTGTATGTTAAATTGAAACATGTAGTTAATGAGAAATAATTGTAAATATAAAGCATTTTAAAAATCAGTATTTCTGGCTTTGATTAAATATTGATCTGACATGTTGAAATTTTTTAAATTTATATTTATTTTTCTGTTGTTATACTCAAGTTAAAATAAATGTAATAATTTATACTAAATGCTATCATTTCATTCTATTTTATAAAATTATTTCTAAACACGTAGTAGGCTATTTATGTGTACTTAAATGTGTCTCAGTATTTGTCCATAAAAATACTTACGGGAATATTAATATATTTATATTGGATGTAGAGATGTTTTTCTTTCCTTTTGTACTTTTCAATAGTACTGAGTTTTGTTTTTTTTTTTAAAAAAAAAGAAGCTGGAGTCACCTTTATAAAACTATTTTATCTTAATTTTAACTTATTTTTAATTTTTGTGGGTACCTAAGAGGTGGATATATTTATTGGGTACATGAGCTATTTTGGAACCAGCACACAGTGCATAATAATCACATCATGGAAAATTAGGCATCCATCCCCTCAAGTATTTATCCTTTGTGTTACAATCCAATTATACTCTTTCAGTTATTTAAAAATGTACAAATAAATTATTATTGACTATAGTCCCCCTGTTGTGCTATCAAATACTAGGTCTGATTCATTCTTCTCATTTTTTCTGTACACATTAACCATCCCCACCTCCCTCCTGCACCCCCATTACCCTTCTCAGCCTCTGGTAATCATCCTTCTATTGTCTGTCTCAGTGAGTTCAATTGTTTTGATTTTTAAATACCACAAATAAGGAAGAATATGCAATGTTTGTCTTTCTGCGCCTGGCTTATTTCACTTAACAAAATGACCTCCAGTTTCATCCATGTTGTTACAAGTGACAGAATCTCATCGTTTTACATGGCTGAATAGTGCTCCATTGTATATAAATACCATATTTTATTTATTCATTCATCTGTTGATGGGCAATTATGTATCTTCCAAATCTTGGCCATTGTGAACAGTGCTGAAACAAACATGGGAGTGCAGATATCTCTTTGATATACTGGTTTTCTTTTTGGGAGGTATATACCCACCAGTAGGTTTGCTGGATTGTATGTTAGTCCTATTTTTAGTTTTTTGAGGAACTTCCAAATTATTCTCCATAGTGTTTGTATTTTCTTTCCCACCAACAGTGTGTGAGGGTTCCCTTTTCTTCATGTTTTAACCAGCATTTCTTATTGCATGCCTTTTGGATATAAGCCATTTTACATGGGATGATATTATATTTAATTATAGTTTTTAATTTGCATTTCTCTAATGATCAATGATGTTGAGCATTTTTATCATATGCCTGTTTGCCATTTGTATGTCTTCTTTTGAGAAATGTCTGTTCAAATCCTTTGCCCATTTTTTGATCAGATTATTAGATTTTCCCCATAGCATTATTTGAGCTCTTTATATATTCCAATTATTAATCTCTTTTCAGATGGGTAGTTTGTACTTTATTGGTTGTCTCTTTGCTGTGCAGAAGCTTTTTAACTCGATGAGTCCCATTTGTCCATTTTTTTCTTTGGTTGCCTGTGCTTGTGGAGTATTGCTCAAGCAATTTTTGCCCAGACCAATGTCCTGGAGATTTTCCCCAATGTTTTCTTTTAGTAGTTTTAGAGTTCGAGGTCTTAGATTTAAATATTTAATCCATTTTGATTTTATTTTTGCATGTGGCAAGAGATAGGTTCTAGTTTTATTCTTCTGCATACGGAGATCCAGGTTTCCCAGCACCGCTTAATGAAGAGACTGTCTTTTCCCCAGTGTATATTCTTGGCACCATTGTCAAAATGAGTTCACTGTAGGTATGTGGATTTGTTTCTGGGTTTTCTCTTCAGTTTCATTGGTCTATGTGTCTGTTTTTATTTTGTTTTGGTTACTATAGTTCTGCAGGATAATTTGAAGTTAGGTAATATCTTTCCAGTTTTGTTCTTTTTGCTCAGGATAGCTTTGGGTATTCTGGGTTTTTGTGGTTCCATATAATTTTTAGGATTGTCTTTCCTATCTCTGTGAAGAATGTCACTGATATTTTGATAGAAATTGCATTGAACCTGTAGAATGCTTTGGTTAGTATGGACATTTTAACAATATTGATTCCAATTTATCAACCAATCCATCATTCCAGTCCATGAACAGGACATGTCTTTCCATTTTTTGTTTCCTCTTTGATTTCTTCCATCAGTGTTTTATAGTTTTCTTTTTCAACCAGATCTTTTGTTTATTTGGTTAATTCCAAGATATTTAATTTTATTTGTGACTATTGTAAATGGGCTTATTTTTTATTTCTTTTCAGTTTGTTCACTGTTGGCATATAAAAATGCTGCTGATTTTTGTAGTTGATTTTGTGTCCTGTACCTCCACTGAATTGGTTTATTAGTTCTAATACTTTTTTGGTAGAGTCTTTCAGTTTTTCCAAATATAAGATCATATCATGTTCAAACAATTGTAATGTCACTTGTTACTTTCCAATTTGGATGCCATTTATTTCTTTCTCTTGTCTGATGGCTCTAGCCAAGACTTCCAGTACTGTGTTGAATAACAATGGTGAAAGTGGGCATCTTTGTTGTTTTTGAGACCTAAGAGGAAAGGCTATCTCTTTTCCTCATTCAGCGTGACACTAATTGTGGGTCTAACATATATGACTTTTATTATGTTGAGGAATATTCCTTCTGTATCCAGTGTTTTGAGAGCTTTTATCATGAAGAGATGTTGAACTTTATGAAATGCTTTTTTGGCACCAACTGAAATGATTATATAGTTTTATTTTCCTTTTAGAAACAGAATCTCACTCTTTTGCCCAACTTGGAGTGCAGTGATGTGGTCACAGCTCACTGCAGCCTTGACCTCATGGGTTCAAGCGATTCTCCCACCTCAGCCTTCCAAGTAGCTGGGACTACAGGTGCACTACACCATGCCTGGCTCTGTTTTTTATTTATTTATATTTTCTGTGTAGAGACAGGGTCCCATCATGTTGCCCAGGCTAATCTTGAGCTTCTGGGCTCAAGAAATCCTCCCACCTTGGTGTCCCAAATCATATGAAATTTTTTCCTTCATTATGTTGATATGATGTATTACATTATTGATTTACACGTGTTGCACAATCCATCCTGGAATAAATTTCACTTGGTCATGATGAGTAATCTTTTGAATGTACCGTTGAATTTGTTTTGCTATGATTTTGTTGGGAGTTTTTATATCAATATACATCAAAGATGACGGCCTGCAGTGTTATTTTTTTTTTTAATGTGTCTTTGCCTGGTTTTGGTATCAGAGTAATACCAGCTTCATAGAATAATTTTAGAAGTATTCCCTTTTCCTCTTTTATCAGAACGGTTTGAGCAGAATTGGTATTCTTTATATGTTCAGTAGAATTCAGCAGTGAAGCCATTGGGTCCTAGGCTTTTCTTTACTGGGAGACATTTTATTATGGCTTTGATCTCATTACTTGCTATTGGTTGCTTCACACTTTGGATTCCTTCATGCTTCAATCTGGGTAGGCTGTATGTGTCTAGGAATATATCTATTTCTTCCATATTTTCCAATTTATCAGCATATAATTGCTCATTGTATCCATTAATGATCATTTGAATTTCTGCAGTTTCACTTGTAATGTTTCCTTTTTTAGCTTTGAGTTTATTTCTTTGGGTCTTTTTTTTCTCAGTTATTCTGGCTAAAGGTTTGTCAATTTTGTTTATCTTTTCAAAAAACTAGCTTTTTGTTTCATTGATCTTTTTTATTGTTTTCTTTATTTCCAATTCGCTCATTCTACTCTAATCTTTATTATTTTTTTTCTTCCAGTAACTTTGGGTTCAGTTTACTCTTGCTTTTCTAGTTTTTTAGAATGCACCATTAGGTCAATCATTTGAAGTTTTTCTTTTTGTTTTGATGTAAAAGCTCATAGCTATAAATGTTATTCTTATTACTGCTATTGCAGTATCTCATAGGTTTTGATATATTGTGTTTTCATCATCAGTTGTTTCCAGAAAACTTTCAATTTCCTTCTTAATTTCTTTATTGACTTACTAGTCATTCAGGAGGGTATTGTTTAATTTCCATATGTTGTATAGTTTCAAAATTCCTCTTGTTATTATTTTATTACACTGTGGTCAGAGAAGATGCTTGATATTATTTCAATTTTTTGAGTGGTTTAAGACTTGTTTTGTGACCTACTATATGGTCTATCCTTGAGAATGATCGTAGTGCTGAGAAGATGGACACGTATTCTCTTGTTCTTGGATTAAACATTCTGTAAATATCTATTAGGTTCATTTGTTCCATAGTGCAAATTAAGTCTGATTTTTCTTTGTAGATTTTCTGTTGGGGAGATCTTGTCTAATGCTGAAAATGCTATGTTGAAGTCTTCTGCTGTTATTGTTTTGGGGTCTCTCTCTTTCCCTTTTTAGCTCTAATAATATTTGCTTTGTGTATCTGGGTATTCCAATGTTGTGTGCATATATATTTACAATCATTATATCTTTCTGCTGAATTGACCCATTTCTCATTATATAATGATGCCCTTTGTCTATACTTACAGTTTTTGTCTTGAAATTTATTTTTTCTGATATAAGTACAGCTATTGCTTTTTTATTTGTATTTTTTTGGTTTTCATTGGCATGAAATATCTCTTTCTGTCCCTTTATTTTGTGTCTATGTGTGTCTTTATAGGTGAAGTGTGGTTCTTCTAAACAACAGATCATTGGGTCTTATTTTTTCATCTATTCAGCCATCTGTGTCTTTTGTTTGGAAAGTTTAGTCAATTTACATTCAATGTTGTTGCAGGAAGTCAGGGACCCTGAATGGAGGGACCGGCTGAAGCCATGGCAGAAGAACATAAACTGTGAAGATTTCATGGACATTTGTTAGTTCCCCAAATTAGTACTTTTATAATTTCTTATGCCTGTCTTTACTGCAATCTCTGAACATAAGTTGTGAAGATTTCATGGACATTTATCACTTCCCCAATCAATACTCTTATAATTTCCTATGCCTGTCTTTAATCTCTTAATCCCATCATCTTCATAAGCTGAGGATGTATGCCACCTCAGGATCCTGTGATGATTACGTTATCTGAATGAATTGTTTGTACAGCATGTGTGTTTGAACAATATGAAATCTGGGCATCCAAAAGGAACAGGATGGCTACAATTTTCAGGGAACAAGGGAGATAAACATTGGGCCTGACTGCCTGACGGGCCAGACAAAACAGAGTTATATTTCTCTTCTTACAAAAGCAAAGAGTAGAAATATCGCTGAATTCTTTTTCTCAGCAAGGAACAGCCCTGAGAAAGAGAATGCATTCCTAAGGGGAGGTCTCTAAAATGGCTGCTCTGGGAATGTCTGTCATATACAGTTGAAGATAAGGGATGAAATAAGCCCCAGTCTCCTGTAGCGCCCTCAGGCTTATTAGGATTAGGAAATTCCTGCCTAGTAAATTTTGGCCAGACTGGTTGTCTGCTCTCAAACCCTGTCTCCTGATAAGATGTTATCAATGATAATGCATGCTCAGTGGGACATGAAACTTTGTCAGCAATTCTAATTTTGCCCTGGTCCTGTGATCTCACTCTGCCCCCATTTGCCTTGTGATATTTTATTGCCCTTGAAGCATGTGATCTCTGTGACCCACATCCTATTCATACACCCCCTCCCTTTTGAAATTCATAATAAAATCTTGCTGGTTTTGTGGCTCAGGGGGCATCACAGAACCTGCGAACATGTGATACCTGCCCCAGACACCCAGATTTAAAATTTCTCTCTTTTGTACTCTTTCCCTTTATTTCTCAGACTGGCTGACACTTAAGGAAAATAGAAAAGAACCTACATTGAAATATTGGGGGCTAGTTCTCCCGATACAACATTATTATTGATTTGTAGGAATGTACTCCTGTCATTTTATTTGTTTTCTGGTTGTTTTGCTGTCTTCTCTTTCTACTTTTCTTTCTTTCTGTCTTCCTTTTAATGAAGGTGACGTTCTGTGATGATATGCTTTAATTTTTTGCTTTTAAATTTTGTGTATCCATTGTATGTTTTTTGATTTGAGGTTAACATGAAGCTTGTAAATACTATCTTATAACCCATTATTTTAAACTGATGACAACTTAACATTGATTACATAAACAAACCAATAAACAAATGAGAAAAAAAAGAAACTAGTAAGTACTCTACACTTTAACTCTGTCAACACCAAACTTTCTATTGCTTCTCTATATGTCTTATTGTATTGTCTATGTCTTGAAAAGTTGTTTTGGTTATTATTTTTGATTAATTAAATATTTAATATTTCTACTTAAGTCAAAAGATGTTTCCACACTACAATTACGGTGCTGTACTGATCTGTTTTTCTGTGTGCTTACTATTACCAATGTGTTTTGTACCTTCAGATGCATTCTTCTTGCTCATTAACCTCCTTTTTTTTTTAAGATTAAATAACTCCCTTTAAAATTTATTGTAGAACACATATGACAGCTTGCATTTATCTAGGAGGGTCTTTGTTTCTCCTTCATGCTAAAGGATACTTTCACTGGATATACTATTCTAGGGTAAAAATTCTTTTCTTTCTGCACTTTAAATACATCATGCTACTCTCTCTTGACATGTTCAGTTTCCACTAAAAAGTCTGATGACAGATATATTGGAGCTCCATTGTACATTATTTATGTCTTTTCCCTTGCTGCTTTTTAGGATTTTTTCTTTATCCTTCATTTTTGGGAGTTTGATATTAAATGATTTGAGGTAGTCTTTTTTGGGTTAAATCTCCTTGGTGTTCTATAACCTCCTTTTACTTAAATGTAGTTATCTTCCTCTAGATTTGGGAAGTTCTCTAATATTATCCCTTTGAATAAGCTTTCTAACACTATCTCTTTCTCTACTCATTCTTTGTGGTCAGAAACTCTTAGATTTGCCTTTTTCAGGCTATTTTCTTTATCTCATAGGCATGCTTCATTGTTTTCTACTCTTTGTTTTCCTTTTGTCTTCTCTGACTTTGTATTTTCAAAAAGCCTATCTTCAAGCTTACTAATTTTTTCTTCTGCTTGATCAATTCTGCTATTAAGAGACTCTCATGCATTCTTAAGCATGTCAGTTGCATTTTTCAACTCCAGAATTTCTCTTGATTCTTTTTAATTAATTCAATCTCTTTGTTAAATTTATCTAACAGAATTCTGAATTCTTTCTCCGTGTTATTGTACATTTATTTGCATTTCTTCAAAACAGCTATTTTGTATTTTCTGTTTGAATGGTCATGTATCTCTGTTTCTCCAGGATTGGTCCCTGGTGCTTTATTTAGTTTATTTGGTTAGGTCATGTTTTCCTGGATGTTGTTGATGCATGTAGATATTTTTTTGGTGTCTGGTTATTGAAGATTTAGGTATTTATTATAATCTTCACAGTCTGAGCTTGTTTGTGCCTGTTCTTCTTAGGAAGGCTTTCCAGGGGAGTGACTTGGCCCCCAAGACCAATAATGCTGTAGTTTTGCAGACTCATAGAGTTACTGCCTTGGTGCTCTCAGATAAGATCTGGAATAATTCTCTTGATTGCCAGGTAGAGATGATTGTTCTTTTCCTTCGCTTACTCCCAAACATATAGAGTCTCACTATCTGTGCTGAGCCACATGGAACTGGGGGTGTGGTGATTCGAGCACTTCCGTGCCACCACCACAGGGACTGTGCTGCAACAGACCTGAAGCCAACACAGCACAGCCTTTCCCGGGGTCTTCCCTTTCAGTGTGGCAAATTCACTTAAGCCCTAGGTTGGTCCAGATAAACTGCCTGAGGGCCAGAGATTAGAGTCAAAAGCCTTAGCAGTTTACTTGATGTTTTATTCTACTGTGGCTAAGCAGGCATTCAAAACACAATATAAAGTCCTTCTCATTCTTCCCTCACCTTTCCACAGGGAGAAGAGCCTCTCCCGGTAGCCACCACCACCACCAGTCCACAGAGGAATCTGCCAGTCCTTGGGGGATACTGCCAGTCCAGTGCTGTAGTTTACTTAAAGGATGAGCTTGTGGTGAATGCTGCGATGCTTGGGACTCACCCTTCAGGGCAGTGTGCTCCCCTCTGTCCCAGGGAAGGCCAGAAATGCTGTCCAAGGCCTGCATTTAGAGACCCCAAGGGCCTGTTTGTTGTCTTACTCCACTGTGGTTGAGCTGGTACATAAAGGGCAAGACAAAGTCTACCTCACTTTTTTCTCTGTTTTACTCAAACAGAAGAAATCTTTAGATTTCTTAGCCACTGTAGATTTCACCATGGTCACCCTGAAGTCAGCATGTCTCAGAGCCCAAGCCCCATGGTGTACTCCCTGGCTATTGCTGCTTGTTATTCAGGGCCTAAGGGTTCTCTAGCCAGCAAGTGAGGAAGTCTGTCAGGACTAGGCCCTTCCCTTCAAGGCAGTGGGTTCCTTTTTGGTCCAGGGTGTGTCCAGAAATGTCATCTGGGAGCTAAGTCCTAGAATGGGGGCCTCGTGACTGCCCAGTGCCCTAGTCTACTGTGGTTAAGCTTCAAAGTCCTTTTTACTCTTCACTTTTGTCTCCTTAAGGAGAAGGATGGAATTATTTTCCTTGCTATGAGCCACACTCATGTTGCAAGCCATCCCTTTGCTGTGACAGCTGATATCGCCCTAGGTCATGTGCCCCCCCTAGTTCACTGGCTCTAAACCTAACCTAGCACCAGGAGTTGCCTAGGAATTGCAATCCTTGTGTCTTAGACTGCCTTTCAAGTTTACCTAACACTCTAGAGCACTCTAGCTCATTATGGTGAGGCTTGAAAAGAAAGTCAAGTTCTGGCCACTGGGATGGGCTACTCCCCTCTGGCCAGGGCTGGTCCAAATGCTCCCTCTGTTTATGGGTGCTGACTGAGCCCATGACAGCTATATTTTTTGTTGTGACTGGGCAGCACTGTTCAGTGAAAAGTCCCCCAGTATCTGCACTCTCCCTCTTCAAAGTGCACAGATTCTTCCTGCTGCATACCCCCTTGCCAGTGTATGGGGGAGAAGAGGCTTCAGCAATTCAAGACTGTATCTCATGCCCTCCTCAATATCTCTTTCCATGATACAAAGTTAGAACCAGGTACTGTGATTGCTGACCTGATTTTTGGTTCTTGTCATGATGTTTTTCTGTGTGCAGATAGTCGGTAAAAATTGGTGTTCCAGCAACGGGATGAAAGGTGTAGGCTTCTATTCCACCATCTTAATTTTTATTAAAAATAGTATTTGTTGTAATAAATTTTTAAAGACTCAAAAGGGAGAAAACAGGCTTTTGGTATTTATTTTCTAGGCAAGTTTCTAACTTCCTTTCACCATCCACTGTGTGAACCCAAGTAGCATTCCACGTCAAAGGCAAGGCTGTCAAACCTGTCTCCTCTGGGCACTGAAATGTGTCAATCTGCACTGAGTTGGTAAATTTAGCATGCATTATTTCAAGCAATCTTGGAGCTACAAATGCTCTTGTACTTATTTATTTAAAATAAAATAGGAATGCCTCTGAAATAAGTCAGTTTTTCAGGAGATGAGCTAATAAAAGCAGAAAAGAAAAAAGCTTCATGCCAAGTTCTGATCCAAAGAAACTGAGGTGATGGTAGAAAAGTAAATTATAGTCATATGGCCACAGAAAACGCACTATTGAGTGGGTGCTCATGTCTGGCACCGTCAGTTAGACACAGTGAAAGTAGAGAACTCTCCAAAGGAGACTCTATGGTTGTGGGGGATGGGGTGGAGTGGAGAGTCTCCAGAGGCCACCAGCATGGGAAAGATTCACAGGATGTCATTATTTCCCAGTTAGTGGCTTCTCTTCTACATATATCAGAGGGCTGCAACATACATGCTGGCTGGAGATTATCTGATTAAGACCATGATTTATAGTTTTTGTGAGAACATAAAAAAGGTGTGTATAATTGCCATTTATAAATAAACCTCAACAGGAAGTAATTACATTTTTACCAGAAATTTTAAATATTAGGCTATAATTCTTTCTGTGGTATTACATATAATAGTTCTAATATTTCTTTCAAGCTTTGTAGTTCTGTGCCATGATAATCAAAGAGAAAGACATGAATACATATTTCATGCCATTAAGTATCATGTATGTGGGAGTTTCAGGCATTGTTGGGTGTTGACTGAGAGTTCATATGTAGTAGAAAATCAAAATGATAGAATTAGAATTGGTGAAGCAAAAGTTTCCCAGGTGATGTTATTATACGCAGTAAACTGGTGAAGATAATTAATTTGAAAAGCTACTCATTTTGTCTGCATTCCTTTCTTTATCATTCCAGTTTAAAACTTTGCTAAATTTCATGGTGCCTTATAATTTCAGCCCCAAAATAATAGCAGCAAGTGACAGCACCATGTGATAGAGCAAGCATGGACTTCAAGGGGAGGAAAAAAAAAAGGCTGAACAGAATTTAAACACAAATTCTATCACTTAATGTCTGTGAAAACTTGGACAAGAAACTCATCTTTTGTTTTGCAGCTTCCTGTGCAGCAATATGGGTAATAACACCTAGCACACATAGAGGTTGCAAGGATGTTATGGGATAGCATATGCAAAGAGCTTGAGACATAGTAAGTACTTATAAGTGGCAACTACTGTTGCAATTGACAGCTGAAAATAATATTTGGAAAGTTTGGTCTCAAAAGGATGTATAACTTGACATTTCAAAATTCTTACAAATTTTAACTTTTTTTATTAGCATCCTCATTTCATTAGCAGATGTACTGTTATTGGCATATGCTGCTATTTCTTAGGTAGAACATTTGCCTGCGGTTTATTTGGCTGCCATTCTCAGTTATATCCTAACTAACTATGATTTCATATTCTGTCCCTGAAGCACCAAGCACTCAAAAGCACACTCATTTTTTTTGCATGAAGCACACATGAATATGATTGCACAGTTGTTGATGACACAAAACAGTCATCAATATGGTTTACTCATTTAATCCAAATAAGTTATGAATACTGGCCCAGATTCAACTAGACAAATCTCCATTCCAAGCCTCAAAGCATTATAAAAAAGAACAAAGAGTAAAGCATCGATTGGGCCTTGTGTCCTCCCTGCTCATGAATTCTCACCCATTTTAACTCTGCTTACACCTTGAACATCAATACTTCCATCTAATATCTCTGGATTTAGAAAAGTATCCATGCGTGAGGCAATATGTTAAGTGATTTATGTACGTGAAAGTGTTCAAACCTCACAACGACCTTGAAAAGTTATTATGTTTATTTTATGATGAGAACTTTGAGGCTCAAAATGTTTACATAATTTTTCAGATATTGCACAGCTAGAAAGTAGCAGAGCTAGATTTTAAATTCAGGTCTTCATGACTCACAGGCCCAGAGTTTTTATTATACAGAGCATTGCAATAATATGATTAGTAAAATATTGCTTTGTTTTGGTTTTCATATAATTTTCTAGCCAAATAGCATTCACTAACCACCCCCCCACCCCCCCACATTGCGTCCTAGATAAAGATTATGTGTCGGGATCATTCACAGTCTGAACTCAAACTTTGATTCAGCTTAATTAACACATCATAAAGGGCAACCCATGTTCTAACGAGTGTGTCTCATTCAGTCTCTATGAGCACATACTATCCTCCACACATTCAGGATTCTTCCATTAGAAAAGAAAAATGTGTTAAATCAAATTAATCCCAAGCCAGGATGATTTCACATGGTTTCACAAAGGGACGTTAAGAACTGTGGAAAGGAAGTGTTAGGAAGAACGTATTAAGGAGAAACTCTTAGAACACTGTATAACTACCTATTTTATTTCCTTTAATAAAGGTGAGTATTTTCAATGTTCCTTTAATCTACAATAGGAAGAGGATTTTCTTGAATATTGAATACAATACAAAGTAGAAAATACAGGCCCTTTTTTTCCCTAAGAAGCAACTATGAAAACTGCTATACTTAAAATTCTTCACTGTATTTTTTATTGCTATATTATATTTGTACATATTTGGGGGTACATGATCAAATCAGGGTAATTGTAATATCCACCACCTCAAACAATTATATTTTCTTTGTACTGGGAACATTACAATTCTTTTCTTCTAGCTGTTTTGAAATATAGAATAAATTATTAACTATAATTTTCCTGCTGTACTATTGAATACTAGAATGTATTCCATCTCTCCAATTTTATTTTTTTATAGAGATAGGGTCTGGATCCATCCCCCAGGTGGGAGTGCAGTGGCGTGATCATAGCTTACTGCTGCTTCAATTTCCTGGGCTTACATGATCCCCTCCCCTCTCAAACTCCTGCGTAGCTGACACTACAGGCATACTCCACTACGACCGGGTAATTGTTGCCCAGATTGGTCATGAACTTCTGGTCTCAAGGTCTTTCTACCTCGGCCTCCAAAAGGGCTGGAATTACAAGCATGAGCCACTCTGCCCAGCCGCCAACCTTATTTTTGTACTCATTAACCAACTTCTGTTTATTCTCTCTCCTCCCTTGCCTTCCCAGCCTCTAGTAACCACCATTCTACTCTGTCCCTCTGTTAGATACGCTTGTTGATTTCCCACATGAGTGACAACACGCGATATTTATCTTTCTGTGCCTGGATTATTTTACTAACATAATGACCTTCAGATCCATCCATGTTACTGAAAATGACCGAATTTCATTTTTTTTTATGGCTGAATATTATCTCACTTTGTATGTAGAAGACATTTTCTCTATCCATTCATCCATTGATGGACACTTAGGATGATTTCATATCTTGCCCATTGTGAACAGTGCTGCGATAAACATGGGAGCACAGAAGCCTTTTTGATATACTGATTTCCTTTCTTTTGGATATATACCCAGCAGTGGGACCACTGGATCACACAGTAGTATCATTTTTAGTTTTTGTAGTAAACTCCATACTGTTTTTCATAATGGCTGTACTTTACATTCCCACCAACGGTGTACAAGCATCTTCCCTTCTCCACATCTTTGCTATCATATGTTACTTTTTGTCCTTTTAATGATAGTTTTTCCAACTGGGGTGAGATGATATCTTATTTTGGTTTTGATTTTCATTTCCCTGATAATTAGTGATGTTAAGTATTTTTTAATATACATTCTGGCCATTTGCATGTCTTCTTTTGAGAAACGTCTATTTATGTCCTTTGCCCATTTTTTAATTGAATTGTTTTGGCTATTGAGATGCTTGAGTTTCTTATATATTCTGATGATTATTTTCCTGCTAGATAGTTAGCTTTCAAATATATTCTCCCATTCTATATGTTGTCTCTTTACTTCTTTATGGTTTCTTTTGCTGTATAGAACTTTTTCGCTTTACATAATTCCATTTGTTGCTTGTGCCTCAGTTGCCTATGCTTATCAGGTCTTACGCCAAAAATCTTTGTCCTAGACCAATGTCCTGTAGTGTTTCCCCAGTGTTTTCTTCTAGTAGTTTCATGGTTTTAGCTCTTAGATTTTTCTAAATATAAGATATTATGTGTAAACAAGGATAATTTGACTTCTTCTGTTCTATTTTGAATGGCCATTATTATTTTTCTCTTTTCTAACTGTTCTGTCTAGAACTTGCAGTATTATGTTGAATAAAAGTGATAAAAATAGGCATCCTTGTCTCATCCCTGATCTTAGTGAAAAGGCATTCATTTTTTCTCCATTCAGTATCATATTAACTGTGGGCTTATCATATGTAGCCTTTATTGTGTTGAGGTATGTTCCCTCTACACCCAGTTTGCTGAGGATTTTTGCTGAGGGTTTTTATTATAAAAGGATGTCGAATTTTATTAAATGCTTTTTCTTCATCTACTAAAACGATTATGCGGTTTTTGCCCTTGATTCTGTTACTGCAAAGTGTTACAGTTATTGATTATGCGTATGTTGAAACATCCTTGCATTCTTGAAATGAATGTCAATTGATCATGGTAAACGATCTTTTTAATATGTTGGTGAATTCTGTTTGCTACTATTTTGTTGATAACTTTTGCATCTATGTGAATCAGTGATATTGGCCTGTAGTTTTCTTTTTTGTGTGTCTTTGGTTTTGGTATCATAGTAATGCTTGCCTTATACAATGAGTTTGAATACATTCCCTCCTCTTCAACTTTTGAAATACGTTGAGCAGAATTAGTACTAATTCTTCTCTAAATGTTTAATAGAATTCAGTAGTAAAGCCATCAGCTCCTGGGAGTTTCTTGAATTAAAGACATTTTGTTGCAGCTTCTATATCTTTGCTTGTTATTCATCTGTTCAGGTTTTCTATTTCCACATGGTTTGATCTTGGTGAAGTTGTGTGGGTCCATGAGTTCATCCATTTCTTCTAGATTTTCTAATTTGTTGGCATATTGTTGCTAATAGTAGTCTCTAATGATTCTTTAAATTTCTGTGGTATCAACTGTAATGTTTCCTTCTTTTGTCTCTGATTTTATTTATTTGGATCATCTATTTTTCCTTAGTCTAGCTAAAGACTTGTTGATTTTGTTTATCATTTCAGAAAAATAGCTTTTTGTTTCATTGATCTGTATTTTTAGGCTCAATTTCTGCTCTAATCTTTATCATTTCTTTACTTCTACTAATTTCGAATTTGATTTGTTCTTGCTTTTGTAGTTCCTTGGGGTGCATCATTAGGGTGTTCATTTGGAATCTTTCCTTTTTTTAACGTAGGCATTTATTTCTATAAAATTCCCTCTTAGTTCCATTTTGCTGCCTCCCATAAGTTCTGGCATTTTGAGTTTCCATTTTCATCTGTTTTAATTTTTTAAAACTTCCTTCTTAATGATTTCATTGACCTATTGTTCATTCAGGAGCATGAATGAACATTGTTCATTTAATAAAATTGTTTAAATTTATATATTAGTAATTTCCAAAGTTTCTATTTGTTATTGACTTCTAGTTTTATTATGTGTAGTCAGAAACAATACTTATATGATTTCTAGTTTTTTTTAATTTGTTGAGAATTGTGTGACCTATTATATGGTCTATCCTAGAGTATATCCCATGTATTCATGAAAAGAATGTGTATTCTGCAGCAGTTGGATAAAATGTTCTGTAAATGTTTGTTAGGTACATTTGGTCTAGAGTATAATTCCAACTTTTTTAATTGATTGTTTTCCTGGATGATCTGTTTATTTTTGAAAGTGAAGTGCTAAAGTCCTATACCATTATTGTATTGCAGTCTATCTTTACTTTTAGATCTATTAATATTTGCTTTATATATTTGGATGCTCCAGTGTTGGGTGCATATATATTTAGTATTGTTACATTCTCTTACTGAATTGACCGTTTTATCATTATATAATAATCTTCCTTGTTTCTTTGTATGAGTTTTGGCCTGAAGTCTTTTTTATTGATATAAGTGTAGCTAGCTCCTACTGTTCTTTTCTGGTTTCAATTTGTGTGGAATATCTTTTTTTATCCCTTCGCTTTCAGTCTATTTTTGTCCTTATAGATGAAGTGAGTTTCTTATAGGCAGCATGCAGTTGGGTCTTTTAAAAAATCCATTCAGCCACTCTACATCTTTTACCTGGAGAATTTAGTCCATTTACATTTATCAGTATCAGTAGGTAAGGACCTACTAATGACGCTTTTTTACTTGTTTTCTAGTTGTTGTGTAACTACTCTTCATTTTTCCTTTCTTATTATTGGCCTTTGTATTTAAGTGTTTTTCTCTGGTAATATGTTCTAATTAATTGCTTTTTATTTTTAGTGTATCTATTGTAGGCTTTTGCTTTGTGATTACTATGAGGCTTATAGAAAACATTCTATAATTATAGCAAGTATTTAAAACCAGTGCCAACTTAAGTGTGATAGCAAAAAAAGAGGAAACAAACAAAAAATAGAAAAAACTGTACGCATTGATTTCCTTCTCCATTTTGAAATTTTGATATCATAAGTTACTTTTTTTTTGTTTTTTTGAGATGGAGTCTCACTCTATCACCTAGGCTGGAGTGCAGTGGCATGATCTAGGCTCACTGCAAACTCCGCCTCCTGGGTTCAAGCAATTCTCCTGCCTCACTCAGCCTCCTGAGTAGCTGGGATTACAGGCATGTTCCACCACTCCCAGCTAATTCTTTTTGTATTTTTAGTAGAGATGAGGTTTCACCATATTGGCCAGGCTGGTCTCAAACTCCCAACCTTGTGATCTGCCGGCCTCGGCCTCCCAGAGCACTGGGATTACAGGCATGAGCCACCGCCCCTGGCCCACAAGTCACATTTTTATATTGTCTAGCTTTTAATAAGTTGCTATAGTTATTATTTTTAATAGCTTGGCCCTTTAGATTTCCTACCAAAGATATAAGTGTTTTAAACACCACAATTACGATATTAGTATAATAATTATGCTCGTGACCTTTTTAATCAATTTGAAGAATTCCCTCTAACATTACTTATAGGACTAGTTTCGTAGCAATAAATTCTCTCATCAGTTGTTTTTCTGGATAAGTCTTTATATTTCCCTCATTTTTGAATGATAACTTTGCTGGGTACAGTATTCTTAGTTGGCTTTTTTTCTTCAGTACTTTAAATATATTGTTTCACTCTCTCCTGGCCTGTGAGCTTTCTGCTGAAGTCAGCTGCCAGACTTATTGGTTTTAATTTATTCCAAATTTTTATTAGTACATACTAGTATGCTAGGTGAGGTGGAGGGTGTGATTAAATTGAGTAATCTCTTCACTTAAAGATTGGTGAAAGAAAATGTCACTACTTAGAAAGATAAGCAGTTTTCAACTATGCTCATAAATAATCAAGCTTGTTGTTGGGTGTCCCATTAAGCTGCCATAAAAGAAGTGAAACAGATATGGCAACCAGAAAAAGAAATTGATCACGTAGAAATAGACTCACTTTTGGTCAACAACTAGTTGGATCTCCACATTCTAATTACGATTTTCAATTAAAAAGTTTCTTGAATTGACTTTATAAAAGCAACCAGTGATTGGATAAATGTACTTATGTAAAGCAGTTTTACTTGACTCTGCTATATAAACTATATACCAGTGTCATCGTTTATAATTCTGGCTATTCTTTTCTCATGACTGAAACACTTACCTCCTTATATAAGACCCTTATTTTTGGAGGCCAAGGCTTCTGAAAATTGAATTGATTGTCAAAATGTTGAAGTAAAGGAGAATGGACAGCCTTTGGGTGTCATTTATTGAATCTATGGTAAGCTTTGGTGAAAAGATTTCCGCCAATATAAAATGTAGCACTACAGAGTTCCAGTATCCAGGTCAGAACAATCCCCTTTATTTTATTACATTTTTTCCTCTGTAGAGATAACAGTGTTTTCAGACTGTTTTACTGCCCTTTATAAACATGCTTTCAAAAGATGATTTTGAGAACCAAATCTTCTTGTTTTTAACTGGTCCTTTCTGATTACCTCGGCAAATGACTAAATCTTATTCCATGTGAGTGGAGTTTGTGGGAGTCCACAGAATCATTGAGGGTACATTCTGAATGTGTATGGTGAGGCTGACCCTGGCTCTTGCTTCCTTGGGATAACTAAAGAGAATCCAGGCTTGTCCTGCATCAGTTTCTTTCATTTCTCCACCCTCCATCTAGGATGGTTCCTACTTTGTTAAGTTGACTCTTGAATTTTTACAATAGAGAAAATAGTGAAAATATGAAAAAAACAGGTCAGTGAGGGTTTGTAAAAACCAGGACTACAAATTATTGTACAGGGTCATTGAGAAGAGCAGCCTTGGAAAAACTGTATTTCTGATCAGAACTTTTTACTTGATATTTAGCATTTATCAGCTCTATAATAAGGGGAAAATAATCTAATTTCTAAAAGTTTGAAAAGGAGTTCTTTTTTTGTTGTTATATGTCTTTTCTCTGAAGAAATACAAATAAAAGACAATTTTAAAATTGAATTTGGTTGCATAGACAAAAAAGCAATTAATATCTATTTTATCTATTTTGTATTAATTTTTGTATTACCTTTAGCCTGATACATTATTATTACAACTGTAATTTATAGGCAAGTCTTTCACTAGGCTTAATATGTATTTTTATTATATATTACTACAAAAGTATATTTTCTTTTGCATATTTTTAAATTTATGTAAATTTATATATATATTTATATAGCAGTCTTTGTCTTAGATATTTTTACTAATCACTTAGATTTTAAGATTTATCCATGTTCCTATGTGTACACTGAATGTAATGCCTTCAAAGGCTATATAAAACTTAAAACTTAACATTTTTACTTGTTCACTGTCCTGGTGCTGACCACCAGGTTGCTCTCGGTTCTTAGCTACCATACATTACCCTGCAATGAACATTTTTGTGTATTTTCTTTTATTATAGAGCCATGTGAGAATGTATTTGAGGTATATATACAGAAATATATTTGAGATACATGCCCAGGAATGGAAATACTAAGGCAAAATATATGCGTATATTTAATGTGACCATCAGTACCCATCCAGGACAGCTGCTCCAGCTCATGCTTCCTACAGTGAAAAAAAAGGACAATTTTCTATTACATGTAAACACTTGGCTTTATCCAACTTTCTAATCTTTGCCAGGTTAATAGGTGTATTCTGATGTTTTAATAGGTGTTTTAACTTTGCACAGTGTTATTTTAACTGTCACAATACGTTTAGACTGAATTACGTGGATTACAGCTTTGTCAGTACTAAAAGCCTATACTTTCCATTTAGAATAAAACAAATAAGGACTGTACCAGTCAAGGGGAAGATGTAAGTCCACATTTGCCTTTTTTTTTCTTTTGGTTTGGAACACTGGAGAAGGTAAAAGTTAAAGAATCCATGTAGGTAACTGAGAGCTTAGCCCAGTGGCTCAGAATCCTATAATAACCAACACATCCTTTTATAATCAATGCTTCATAATGCACCTTTACTATTTTGAAATGAAATTTATAGATAGTCTGATTCATCAATACAATATTTTTAAAATATTGCACTAATAATTGTATAAAGGGGAAACTTAACGAAAGTAATTCATAATGAAATAACATGCTTCTCAATATGTAAATTAGCAGGCAGATCTATAATAGAAGACAGAGAGAAACAAATACATGCATCTGTACATAGAATCATAATGAAAGCAACAGCAATAGAAGCTACTTGAAACAGGTGTATTTTATTAGCAATTTAAATAGTACAGCATTGTTGCTCATGATGTGCTTTTCCAGTAGAGTGAACAATTTTTGGCAGCATTCTTAAAAAGAGTAAAACTTTGCCTCAATTTATAGGTTAGTTGCATTTCTGGAACACTCAGTAATATTATAACCTAGTGAAAACTATGTTTTTCATTCAAACATAAAATAAAATTAGATTCCAGAATCAAACATTTTTGAACAAGTCTTTCTACCTGCAATAATGTCCAGCAAGATATTAGAAAGTGATGCAAAATGCACATAAATTAATTTTGTGGGATTCTCTCATGCTCTATTGTGTTTGCTTCTGCCTATGAAAAACCAGAAGCACACCCTTAAGCAAACAAAATATCCATTGGACTTGCAAAACCACTCACTTGGCTAAAAGAGTCTTGACACCCAGTCTTAGCTTGTATTTACTGGATTTTAAAATTTTAAATTAATTAATTAATTGATTGATTGATTTTTTAGAGATGGGATCTCATTATGTTGCCCACACTGTTCTTGAACTACTGGTCTCAAGCAATTCTCCCACCTCAGCCTCCTGAACAGCTGGGATTATAGGCACAAGCCACCACGCCCAGCTACTATTTTAAGTAATAGTTAAATCTTCTTAATGTAACAAGTCACTAACTAGTTACTATCCATGCTGAGCACATACCAACTTCTAATTGCTCACTTAATTAAATCATATATATAAAACCATGATGTATTTTGTAAAGTGACAAAATTTGATAAAGCTGGGGTGGACCTCTCTCTCTTATTATCTATGACAGAGACAGAAATTGCTAAACATAGAGATCACAGGTTTTTTTTAAATTATACTTTAAGTTTTAGGGTACATGTGCACAACATGCAGGTTTGTTACATATATATACATGTGCCATGTCGGTGTGCTGCACCCATTAACTCGTCATTTAACATTAGGTACATCTCCTAATGCTATCCCTCCCCCTTCCCCCTACCCCACAACAGGCCCAAGTGTGTGATGTTCCCCTTCCTGTTTCCATGTGTTCTCATTTTTCAATTCCCACCTATGAGTGAGAACACGTGGTGTTAGGTTTTTTTGTCCTTGCGATAGTTTGCTGAGAATGATGGTTTCCAGCTTCATCCATGTCCCTGAAAGGGACATGAACTCATCATTTTTTATGGCTGCATAGTATTCCATGGTATATATGTGCCACGTTTTGTTAATTCAGTCTATCATTGTTGGACATTTGGGTTGGTTCCAAGTCTTTGCTATTGTGAATAGTGCCACAATAAACACACGTGTGCATGTGTCTTTATAGTGGCATGATTTATAATCCTTTGGGTATATACCCAGTAATGGGATGGCTAGGTCAAATGGTATTTCTAGTTCTAGATCCCTGAGGAATCGCCACACTGACTTCCACAGTGGTTGAACTAGTTAATCTAGTCAGGTTTGGATTCCAATTCTGGTTCTCTGGCTAGTACCATGAACTTGATCAAGTTAACCAACATCCCTAAGCCTCCAAGCCAACTTGAAAGACTAGGTTGTTGATATTTGCTATATGGCATTGCTGCTTAGTACAAATAAAATAATATATGCACATTCATGCCTCAGTGCAGGCAGTCAATGAATGTCAGTGTACTTCCGATGATGGATGACATCCCTGTAAATGGACCTCAAGACTTCGACTAGCACAATAGCCATTGTGCTTTGCATGGCTTTGTCTCGACATAAACAAGACATTATGTTGATTGATCAACCTCTAATTACAGGAGGACAGAATCACTTGAAGTAAAATATTGAGAAATTTTAATGTTTTAGTGCAAAAGAGAAAAAGACAGGTTAGTGAGAGGAAATATTCAGAAATAAAGAGGGTTGATGAAACATTTTTGGAATTGAATTTAGGTATCTTCTCTCAGATTCATTCTCATTCTGTACCATTCCATCAACCTTAAGTTGACAAAGTAACTTGAGTTTCATGTTGGATGTCTAACACCCTCTGAAATACTGCACAAGAAGTATGCCATTCTCAGAGTTGGTCTTCATTCTCTGAGGTGTCGTGTGTGTGTGTGTGTGTGTGTGTGTGTGTGTGTGTGTGTGTGTCTGTAGGGGTGGGCATATTTAAAGCACAGCTCTCTATTACATTTTGTGATGAGCTTTAGATTATTAATGTATTTGAGCTCTACTAACTCTCTAATGTGAATTATGTTATTGTATACTATTTAAAACTGTTTTTTTAAAGTAAAGACATGATCTGTCATATATCGTTTATCATGTGAAGTTGGTCCTAAAGTTAATTTTCTAAAATTCTTACTGAGAGGCCACTCTTGCCCAGGAATCACATTTTAATATTTACCTACATTGTCTTTTA
Source organism: Homo sapiens (assembly GCF_000001405.40). Lineage (NCBI taxonomy): Eukaryota > Metazoa > Chordata > Mammalia > Primates > Hominidae > Homo > Homo sapiens. Next base: position 123,906,418 of record NC_000002.12, read on the forward strand.
AACAATGAATACATTTTAGAGAAATAGGAACAGCTCCAGAGAGCACTTGGCCCCTTTAAGTTCGTCCTGCAATCCATTGTTATTGATGAAGTGCCACATGATAAAGAAAGAGGTTTGCATTCCATTTCCCCTTTTGGAACTAAGGACAAGAGCAAGTTTTGCAAAGTGTTTATGCAGTGGTTGGAGATGCCTAGATGAAACATGTAGTAGAAGAGCATGACCCTATAAATGGAGTGCACTGGCTTTTATCTCTTAGAAGTACAGTCTGATCTTTGCCTCCTGCATCCCTCTAGCTGGGCGCAATAGGATGGGAGGTGTGTGGGAGTGTGCCAGCACACAAGTGTGGGGAAGGGAGGTGGGCACAGAAAGATGAAAAAAAAGTGGAAGCTCAAAAGTTTCCAGAGTCAGAAACAAGAGGCGTATTGCCAAGGGACAAATTTCCAAATAGATTTGATGCTCTTTTATCTTGCTGTTGCTTTTCAAAAGTTGAAAGTTTTTAGGGGCAGATGCAACTGTCTGCATCCAGACAGTCTGTTTGTTTTAATAGAACACTGCATTCAAAGCATTTTGAACAGTGAGAGTTCAGATGATCTTCTGCCTTTACCTGGAGCAGAGAATAATCTAGTCTCACCCTTCCATTGCTGCCAAAGTATGTGACTAATTATGGGAGAGAGTTTTTGGGGAGAGGCCAAATGTAGCTGAAGATTAAAGAGACAGAGAGGATAGAGCCTGAACTCTGGATACAGATGCCATATGAATTGGGTGCTATAGGACCAGATTGTCATGATGGTAAAGAATAAAAATAAAATGGACTTTTGAACTGGTAAATGGAAAAGTCAAATTCAGAGAAATAAGGTTAATCAGAAATAAGGTTAAGCCTTGGGGCATAGAAGTTTTTAAAGAGCTATTCAAATAATTAAGACCTTGAGGACCAATAAAAACAAAAAAGAGGAGAAGGGGAAAAGCATTTGAATTCCTATAGATGCTTTACACCCTCTGCTAAGTGTTTTGTTTTAATCATTGAATAACTTCCAAAATGTAGCCTCTGGACCAGCCACATCAGCACTTCCTGTATACTTAGCATAAGTGCAAATTCCTGGAGTCTCCCCCAGATTTAGAGCCAGAGCTTCTAGGGGTGGGGTTCAGTAATTGATACTTTTTAACAAATCTTCCAGAAATTCTGATGTGATCCAAAATTTGAGAACCTCAGTGTGAATTTATGTCATCTTCACCAGAGCTCTGTGAGCTTTTAAGATAATGAAGCATCCCGGTGAGGTTAGGGAACACGTGAGAGGTGGCAGCAGGACTAATATTCAACACTCAAATCTGTTTCATTTCCTGCCCTGCTTCTTGTCTGATTTTTCCCTCACTGTTCCTCAATAAGAATTACAGGTATTTTGTTGGAATGTAAGAGGAAGGAAGGGATCGTATTCATCATCCAGCAAGGTGCGGATGCCTTGTGAATAGATGATAAGTGTTAGGTAGGTTAAAAAGACAGAGACTGCAAGCGTTTTAGATTCTGACAAAGGGTTCAATTAAAATTGGTTTTCTACAGCAAATAACTAGGTACTGACCCAGAAAATGAGAATAGGTTGCCCACAGCAAACAGCTGGATTCTGAGCCAAAAGCACTTCTGAGCCAGGATCTTTCTGGTTAGTTAGGGCAGTGATTTTCACTAAACCAGCAACATTAGCATCCCTTAGAAACGTGTTAGAAATGCAAATTCTGGGCCCAAGAATCAGAAAGTCTAGTGCGGCCCAGCAATATTGACGTTAGCATACTCTCTAGTTGATTAAGACGCACACTGAAGTGAGAATACCTCTGGGATAGAGGCACAGTTGGTCTCAGAGGGAGTACTGAGTGAGGCTGAAAAGAGGTGATTGGTAATAATTGGGTTGAGTAAGTGGGGAAGGCAGGGTGATCAAGGTAAACTATAACATGGAGTCAGAGAAAGGAAGAATGAGAAACAGAAAACAGAGAGGCCTCAGAATACTAGCTGGAAAGGAATCTGAAGTCCTCCTTTCCTCTAGCATCTTCTTTTTGCTTGATCTATGCAAACTGCCTGTCAAAGGGTAATTTATTCACTGTTGGTGAAACAGTTAATGGTTTTGTAATTTTGTTCTGAATAAGAAATTGTACACTTATTATTTCATGCATTTAACAGAGCTTGAAATTAACACTGTTGCCAGAGCAGGATTCATGTTGTTACCTCCAGCCCCTGGCAGGAAATGTCCTCTACCAGAGGGGAGAAGTAGCCTAGTGGTCTTCTGTCTGTGGTGATGCTCTCCGTGTGTCCCCATAACAGAATCAGAAACAATTAGGTTCTGAAGATCATTATCATTTTTATTAGCAATGCTTGCTTGTCAAGGTCTGTAATAATCATTTTTCAGTTTTCGAGTTTATTTTGCTGCTTAGTGAGGTTGATTTTAGAAAAGGGATTATGTCTGATAGCCTAACTCACTATCAAGCAAAATAAATTTAGAATTCTCCCTAAAACTTTTTCTCTATATTCAGATGGGGTCACTTTCCCCACAATGCCAGCCCTGACCCCAGGGCACTTTCCAGGGAAAAATGATGTGAAATGAAAGGCCAGGCATTTAGCAACAGCATAGGGCTTCAGCCCACTTACAACTGCAGTGCCCTGGGGAAGTTTTTGGAGCTCTTGAGCCTCTCTTTTCCCTTACATAAATTGGGGATAGAGAAGCATAATGCAACACTTACCTGTAAAAGTTAAACATGGTAACAAATATAAAGAGCCTGAAAGGTCATAATCAAAATTTACTGACCACCTGCTCTGTACTGAATGCATGCTTTACTCAAGATATCTTGAATTTTTAGTCAAGAGTTTCTCAAACATTCAACTTTTATAACTTTAGTAACACAAAACAATAAAGGATTTCACAACAATCTAGAGTAGAAATGTGGCCTGCAAGTAGCATTACATTTGTAAGAAAACCTGTATTTCATATTTTAGGTGAATTACATGTTTTGCAAGAACATCATTATTTTTGCTTTTATAAAACTATTTTAAATACTTACTTAAAGTAAATAAGTCATCAGAGATGTGCTACCTTAGCCCTGTGGATTTAATAATAATACAGTGCAAGGAGACACGATGAAAACAAATGGGAGGGCAAAGCACACCTCTCCCACCAGGGACTAGGTCAGGCACTTCCTTTGCATTAACTTGTCCAATACTCACAATTACCTCGTGTAGTAGGTTCTACTATTATCTACACTTCATAGCTAAACAAACTATGCTTTCAGAGGTTAAGTAAACTTCTTATGATTACAGAGTTTTGAACGGGATAGGGATTGGAACCCTGGAACCCATGTTTTCTGTTTACAGCCCTGGACTCTGTTTCACCTCTCAGTGGAGGTTTTATTTTCCCTTGATTTCTTTCATCACCTATATGTGTTTATTTCTAATTTAACTTACAATTTTTTTTCACAAATCTTTTCATAGTTTTCATTCTCACTACTCCTGCTTTCATTTAGGATAACTCCACTGGGCAAAGAATTTCAAATAAGTAACCAGTTATTATTGTGTAATTATTTCTATAATTGAAGACACGTGAAATTTGCTCCTGAATCAATAATAACTTGATGAATGATTAATATACAATCTAACACCAAGATAAACACTTTGCATAAAAAGATCTCCAATAAGTGCTTATTGAACTTAATAAAAGCTTACAAGTTATAAAAATGAAACTAATTTACTCATCTTAGAAGAAACTTCCAAATAGAATAGTTACATGGTAACTGATTAAAATTCAGATGTATTTTTAAAAGCAAGTTGACAAAGTGCTTTAAGTTCCTTCAGCTTAATTTGATTTGTTCGTATACTCCACCACTCATTTATTCATTCATTCAATGAACATTTATCTGGTGCTTATAATGTTACAGAAATCACAATGAATCTCAAAACTGTAAAGAAGAATCAAGCATACTATTTGCATTTGGAAAATTTAAACGTGTTGACTTAGGCTACTGATATTGTTTGTTTCGTTTCTATATTAGCAAATCTTTAAAAATGGTTATCTTTGCAATCATCAAACACAAGATTTTTACCAATTTAGACTGAGATATAATTAAGTTAGTTGAACAAGTAGTGTTGAGGCAGTGTTAGCAGTTTTTGCAAATAAAAATAAGGAGCTTTTAATTACATTAAAATTTTCCATAAATAATGCTTTTTTAGTATAAGTAATATACTTATTTAGCATGTATTTACATAAAAAAGTATTTATTGTTTATCTGGAATTCAAATATAACTTTGTGTTCTGTATTTTATCTGGCAACCCTAATTTGGAGTGCTCATAATTTCATTCCCTTCTTGTTTTAATAGAGTTATGAAAGTACAGCAAAAAAAAAAAAAAAGAGCAAGCCTAATCAAGCCTCTTGCCCATGGTCAACAAACCACAGAATCTCAGGCACCTTAAACCAAACTAATGAGGTTTTGAGACCCTTGTATGAAAGACATTTTTCTGAAGGAAAATTATATACCACGTCAGACATATTTTCCACTCAGAGAGCAATAGTTCTCTCATTTAAGTCTGCCTGTCAGGGACTATTTTGAGTGCAGTGATATTTTTAATATCATATTTCACTCAAGGATTTCAAAGTACTTTATAAATAATTACATTATTAATGCCTTTGTGACCCCTGTGAAATAGCTAGGGGGCATGTATTATTTATAATCACATTATGGATGGAGAAACTGAGATAAAGAAAGGTTTAGTGGTTTGATCAAGGTCATGAAATGAATCACTAGTGGTGCTGAGTACAGAACTCAAAATCGGTGGGCTGTGCAGTTCTGCCCATTTAGAGCATGGGGGGTTTTCACCAGGGATGAAATTTGGTCCAGCTTTTAAAAACAGGACAACCATAATTACAATACACTGAAATTACTCTTTATGTCTTCCTTTTCCTGCCGATGCTCAACTCTGCCTGCCGACCCTCCACACCACTATACCTGGTGCGTGTTATATGAGCAGAAGAGAAGAGAATATGAAGCACTTTCCTATGGGACACAGGAGCTCTGGGGTCTAGTCCTGATTCTACTCAGATGAGTGGGCGACTTCAGGACAGGTTGAATAGAAGCTACAGGGTGCAGGTATTAGAACCAAACCTCACTTCAGTCCCAGCCTTGTCACTTTACTAGACTTTTAACCCTGAAAAAGCCACCCAGAGTCCACCAGCTTCCAGGGCTTTATCGCTATGATGAAAATGTTAATGTTAATCTGGACATGTTGTGCTATTATAAGTGTTATTCATAAAGCCCTTAGCAAATCATTACTACATATTTTGACAAAAAGGCTACCATCTACTATTTTTCCTCATCTCTGGTTTTTGGTTCCATCAGCAAAAAATGGTGGGATTAGAAATAGATGATCTCAGAGGTCTTCTCTGGATTTAGGATGACAAGATTTCCCGGGCGCAGTGGCTCACACCTGTAATCCCAACTTTGGGAGGCTGAGGGGAGCAGATCACCTGAGGCTGGGAGTTCAAGACCAGCCTGGCCAACATGGAAAAACCCTGCCTCTACTAAAAATACAAAAAAAAATTAGCCGGGTTTGATGGCGCATGCCTGTAATACCCAGCTACTTGGGAGGCTGAAACAGGAGAATCGCTTGAACCCGGGAGGTGGAGGTTGCAGTGAGCCGAGATCATGCCATTGCACTCCAGCCTGTGCAACAAGAGTGAAACTCAGTCTCAGGAAAAAAAAAAAAATGACAAGATTTGACAGACTGGGAACTTTAAAAAAATCACGGAGTGTTCCCTTAAAATGGTGCCTACATTTATAGGCTGTCCCTTAAACATGCTTCAATTGCATGGGCCCATGCTTCAAATACAATGTTGCTGCTACTAGGCGTCTATGTGTGGGTGTAGAGAACACTCTTTACACTTACAAAGCACCACCTGGTAGCGAAGATTTATGTCTAGCATTTAAAAGGAACCATTTTCAGTATCTCAGAAAGCCCTCATGGCACGGCATTCTCATTCAAGCTATTGCTGTGAAAAACAGGGTACCTCTACCCAACACCAATTTGCCTCATGCTGAGTAACACAGAAGCACCCCTTGACTTATGAGTTAGACATTCATTTGACTTTGGGCAAGATTGTTAATTTCTCTGCACCTCAGACACTTTATATTTAAAACAGGAGTAGTAAGTCCACACCTATAAGGTTGTTATAGGAATCAAGTGACATAATTTAAAACTATCCTCTTCAGTAACCCAGTAAATTTTCCAAGTGACAATGGAAAATCTCTTCCAACGTGCACCTTTCTATGTGCGGGTCTTGACAGGCCGCTCCACAATAAAAGAAAGATAGAAAAATATTCTTAAAAGATGCACTCGTTCATTCAAGAGTATGCACTCTTTTTTATTTGAAAATAATAGCATATTGTTCCAAAGGATAGCATTTTGGTAAGATTAAAATGTTTTATTATTCTCTTTTGTTAACAATTCAGCATGTGAAAACACATGCTTATAAAATAAGATATCTTTTTTATTTTTTTCCCTTTTTTCATTAGTCTAGTAATCTTCCTCCCACAATCTGAAGTAGCTGTTCTGTTTATAATGATATGGCAAATGAACAAAATAGAAAACTGTACAAACCTGGTAGCAAGTTTAAATACACACACACACACACACACACTCTCTCTCTCACACACACACACACACACACACACACGATGAAAGGCAAAACCTTGCAGTGAAGCGGCACATTCTTTCAGTGAACTGCTTATACAATCTCTAAATAACAACTCACCTTTCAAATCCGAATTTGACAGTCTTACTGTTCCTTTGGCCATGCTATTTTACCACCTGCCACATCAGATAGATCTCTTATCTTCTGGTGAGATATAGCCCTGATTGTTTATCAGGGCAGCAAAACACAAATTAACAAGTAAGATTGTCTTCCGGATTGAGCCATGATCCTGGACGCTGTGGCCGGCTGCTTCCCCATCACACACCCTCTTTTTGCTTTTTAGCTTCTTTGTGGTGGAACCCAAGTTCTCTCTATCAGCCCAGACCCACCTGACACCACACCATTGACCTTGCTTTCCTCTCCACTGCTCTCTTTTTTCATCCAGGGCCAATAAACTGCTAGGACTTTCTCAAAATAGCATGCTGGCTCATGCCTCTGCACCTCTGCTAGTGTTATCTCTGTTCAGAACACCCTTCCCAGCACGCTTCATTTCCTCTGTGGCTTCTCTATGTAGATTCCGTTGCTTCCTCAATGCCTTACCCAGCGCCCCATCCTCATCTTCCACACCACTACCAGGCTGGCCCAGCAGTTTCTTCTGTGACCGGTGACTTGTGGTGTTTCCACCACAGTACCTGCCACAGTGACGGCCAGTGGCTTAAGAAGGTCGTGGCTGTCAGGGACCCTATCTTTTTCATTTCTAAATTCCCAATGCCTGGGACATGAGAGCTAAATATATGCTGAATGAATGAACAAATGGCAAACAGGTGGATAAATGGAAGACCATACTCGTTGATATCTTCCACAGGGACCTCGCTTATCCATCTTTAGGATGACCAGGTGATTATAAAGTGGCCCTAGGGAGCTTGGACCGACAAGGTAGATCCCAGAGGATCATGTTTAAATGAACCAAAGAGGCCTGTCTTGGGAGTCTGGGTCCAATACACACAGAGACATAAACACTTGGTGTTGGAGGCAGAAGCCAGAACAATACAGGGGAAAGGGCAGCAGTATATGTGTCATGAATTTTGAGAAACTGTCTGCAGTATGGGTATGACAGATGTACCTGCCTCACAGGAACTTTGCAAAAATTAAGGAAATCAATACATGTAAAGCACTTAGAATGGTGCCGGGCTCCTAGAAAGAAGTTAGTAAAGAATAAAAATAATAATCATTATTACATGTTTTATTTAGAATAATAAAACTGCATAGAGTTCTCTGAAGACACCGTAACTCTGTGCCTGAGGTTCTCTTACATTACATGATACCTCTGCCATCATGTTTATTGATTTACTGGTCAGTTCATTCAAAAAATCCATTTGTCACAAACATATTGGGTGCCCATGCTATTTCAAATACCCTTCTTGGCATTTGTTTCACTCTCTATGTAGTGAGATCTCGGTAACCACATTTTTTAAATCTCTCTAGTCTTGGGTAGAAGAGTAAATGAGTAGAAAACATTCACTACGATTCACAACTTTTATTTTCCTTTTCTACATACAGGTACTTTAGCTTAAACAAGGCTCAGTTTCTTTATGAAAATTATGTGCGTGAGTCTCTCAACAGGCCCCTAGTTTTCCTAAAGTGCTGCAGGTCACAAAGACTTTCTGACATCTTCAGGTCTCTTAACAAAGAAGGGTCCCAGCCTTTGCCTCTGAGTGAAACCAGGATCTAACTGAGTCCAAGAGGTATGTGGCATTTCTTGAATATTACTTTACAAATATGTGTTATTTAGTCTCTATTATGTTGGGCAAATTCCTAGGCACCAAGAATTAAAAGATCAATAAAAATAAATCCAAGATTTAAGGAACTCAGATAGGAAAATCAACGATAATTAAACAATGCAAAAACATCCATTCTAAAGAGAAGTATGAGCTCCGAGAGTCTAGAAAAGGGACATCTAACAATAGGGAAAGGCAGAGGTCAGAAACAGCTTCCTAAAGGAGGCAATAACTGAAAAGAATTATTTAAAAAAACAGTCAGTGTTAGTAAAATACTAAAGGAGGAGAACAGGTTCTCAGGCAGAAAGAGTAACACTTTTGAAAGCAAAAGACATAAATATTAAAATACACTCAAGTGATGATACATACATACTTCAGACATGTTTAAATGCAATATAAAACATTATATTATGTAGCTATATTTATACTTTATACAAATCAATTTACCAAAGTTAAAACTTCAAAAGGATATACTTTATGCGTAAAGTCCAGACTTCTTACAAGTCCACATTTTTTGACAAAGCAATTTAACCTTTTACATCTTGACTCCTGTTTACCTCACTAGTTTCATTTTCCCTTTCTAACTACCATCTTTGGTTTAGGTGTAGGAACATTCTTTCCACAAAAGGTCAGAAAGAAAATATTTTCAGTATGGTGGCCCAAGCAGTCTCTCTCACAATCACTCTGTTGCTCTCGGCAAGCAGCCATAGGCATGGCTGTGTTCCAATAAAACTTTATTCATGGACACAGACATTTGAATGACATGTGATTTCCATGTGTTAATGAGATCGTCTTCTTCAAATTTTTTCAATTATTTGAAAATGTAGAAAACTTTATTAGCTTGTGGACCACATAAAAAAATGCAGCAAACTGGATACAGATTCCAGGACATAACTTACCTACCCCTCTTTCAGAAAATCTTTATAACTTGGTGGTTGGGAGCTGGAGCAGGAGTCTGACTTCATGAGGTTTACTCGCAACTCAGCCACTATACTAGATGTATGATCTTGAACTAGTTAACGGGAGCATAAAGGGCGTGCTTCAGGCCATCTCTCTGTTGGTGACGGGGAGCCATTTAAAAAGTGTCAACTAGGCAGCAATACAAAAATTAGCCAGGACTGGTGGTTCGCACTCGTAGTCCCAGCTACTCGGGAGGCTGAGGTGGGAGGATGGCTTGAGCATGAAAAGTATAGGTTGCAGTGAGCCGAGATCGTACTACTGCACCGTGCCTGGGTGACAGAGCCAGACCTTGTCTCAACAAAACAAAACAAAATAAAACAAAACAAAACCAAAACCCAGAAACCAAAAATAACAACAACAACAAAAAAAAACAGGGCAGTAGAATAATGTGATATGCCTTTTAGGGAAGTCTCTCTGACTGGAAAGAGAATCTTAGACCACAGCAGGAAAACTTGATAAGGAGACAACTGTTAGGAGGGCGATAGAACAAATTTCATTCATCTACTTCGATTTTACTTATCATTAGATCTGAAATATGAATATATCATACTTAATTGTATTATCTATCTGTACTATACTTACTGTGTTTTTTCTAATGTCATTTACAAATATACTGCATTTTCCATTACAAAGCAATTAAAGGTCCATCATAAATGATGACCTTGTGAGCACTGTGTTTGAGAGGAATGGATTTGGAACCTATGAACTGCAGATAGAAATGCCTTGGTAAACTGGTTTTTTTTTTTTTTTTTTTACCAGGAACACAGACCATCTGTTTCCTTTGGTGATACAGTATCTCAGTCCACAATGTGGTTCCAAATGAATAATGGAGATTGGTTTTTACAAGCCAGCTTTATCTGTTGCAGCAATGATTAATAACCCCATGGCCAACCTTGCTTATAAAAAGAGAGAAAACATGTGAAAACAATTTTGTATCTGAGTGAGATGAATCCATATTTTGTAAGTAAGATTAAAGTCAACATAAGCAGATGCCATGGAGTTTAGAGATTTCCCTTATTGGGCTGTGTAAAAGAAACCACTGAAGCATGCACGGCTTGCACTGGAAACCAGGTTCCAAAATAAGCCTAGTATGCAGCCTCAGACAAATGACTTAAGATCTCTAAGCCTCATTCAAATGACTTAAGATTTCTAAGCCTTCATTTCACTTATCTGAAATAAGGATAATGGTGTATGCTTTATAGTATTTGGGTAAAAATTGATTATTCCATGTACAGTATTTGGGTAAAAATTGATTATTGCATGTAAAATATGCTAAACTACATAGTATGCCATGTTGTATTTGGTAAAATTATTTTTGGAATGGGGTTTTTTTGTGTGTGTGTATGTGTGTGTGTGTGAGTGTGTGTGCCTGATTCCACTCCAACCCTTAAAGGTCTCCTCACCCCAAATTTGCTCTTGATTTGGGCCGAGTGACTTCCATGAAGGTTCCTGAAACTTTTTCTCCAACTTTGTGCCTTATTTGACTTCTCAACACTATTCTGTCATTTCTTCAGCTCTCCTCCCTTGACGTCTTTTACAACACATTCTTTTTTTTTTCCTACCTCTCTGATCTGATGTGTGTTCTCTTTCTTTCTCTTTCTCTCTCTCTTTCTCTCACACACACACACCCACCCGCACACACACACACAAACTCCCCCCTCTTTTATCTCTCTCTCTTCCCTTTTCTGTTAGTAAAAGGCCACTAAACATTTCATCCCTTCAAGGCTTAATCCTAGGGCACTATTTATTGTTTTTACTCAAGTGGAAACTCTAGGAGATACATTTAAGCCCATGTTTTCAAATATCATCTATACCCAGATGACTCAAATTACAAATCTCTAATGTAAGATTAAAATTACCTTTTGTGCTCTAGAACTGAATAAAACCAAGCAGCTCCAGAACGACTCTCTTTGAATGATTATGTAACAGGATATCCCTAAACCTGGTTCTTTTCCTGGGCTCCCTACTGTGTTGTCACTTTCTTCTCTGTTATACATGATCCTTGACACACCCTGCTCTCTCGTCCCACATATTCCATCCACCATCCAGCTGTATTTATTTTCCCCCTGAAATATTCCTTGCTTTTACTTTGTAAAATTATGTTAACTGATGCATCATAATTATACATATTTATCAGTAACCGTGTGATATTTCAATACATTTATGTACTATGTAATGATCAAATCAGGGCAATTTGCACACCTATTACCTCAAACACTGTTGTGACATTTCAGCAACTACCTTACAACCTCTCAATCGCATTTCTCAGTAAGTTAGTTCTTAGATGGTCATGATAATCAGTTTAGTTATTTTGACTTTGGTAAGCTTGCTGATACCATTTTGGGCTGAATAATTCTTTGTTGAGGGGGGCTGCCTTGCATCACCTTTGGCTTCTATGCACTAGATGCCAGTAGCGTAGCACTCTACCCTCAAGTTCCGACAATCAAAAACTGCTCCAAACATTGCCAAATGTCCATCAGTGGGCATAGAAAGCAAAATTACTTCCATTTGAGAACCACAATCAATTCATTTCTTTCCATTTTGTCTTGCAGATATAGACCAAGGTTTCCTATTCTCTTTCCTGGATGGACAAAATAGGCTTTTAACTGGGCACCCAAATCTATACTGCTACTCTTTCCATTCTTCCTGTGATGTGGAGTGAGTGCTGAAATCAGCTGGGGTCTGCTCTGTCATACAGTTACTGTGTGATTTTGGACAAAATCATTAATGTTTCTCAACTCTTCACTCTTGCCATGGGTAAACAGTACAAATATTATAGGGTTGTTGTGAGTATCAAATATGTAGTACATGCATGGTGCTCAAAACAGTGGCTGGCATAGGGTTTAAACTTTCAATGAATATTATTTATGGTAGCCAGAATTGTCTTTGAAAACAGAAGTCTTATGAGAACCAATGAAATGCGATAATACCAGCTCTCAGCTAATAGGTTTGTCTGGCATTGTTCCTGCTCACACAGTCTTATGTTGCAAAAGGCTCCATCCTGATACCTGCCCTCTAGATACTTTGTTTTGGTTTATGCTATTTCATATTTATCCAAGATATTTGTACCAGGAATACTTTAGGCCTCTTCCTGTCTGTTCTCTCAGAAATGCCCTTTTTTCTCTATCTCTATAATCGTTGCCTATTTCACTTCTATCCTTCCTCAGTTTTCAGTCCAATCACTACTTTTGCAGAGAAGCCTTCCCTGGCTTGTATGACTAGATTGATTAACCCTATTTTACCAATTGATATATGTTATACTTCTTTTAAACATTAATTCATTTGCTATTAATTTTTTGTGTGATTCTTTGTATGCTTTCTCCACTAGACTATAAATTATTTGAGTGCAAAGTTTTTTTTTTTTGTTTGGGTGGTGGTTTTAGTTTTGCTTGGTGTTAGACTCATGTCAAGCATAATTATGGACTTATCATAGACATTCAATAAATAATTCATGTTGTATAAAAGTATGTAGTTTTTCTAGCTGATTAAACAGCTTTGAAGATATAAAGTTAATGTACATTGTTTTGTAAATAAAAACCAATGTCTTTGCAAAGTTTCCTGAAGAAAGCAAGAACTGAGAAAAAGGTTTATGTGCAGGAAGTTTATCCAAGGATACATTATCCAGTTGATTAGCACTGTGGGCAACTGGGTCTGAATTCTACTAGGGACAATATAGATGGAGCCTGTGGAGAAGGCAGCTGAGAACTGTCTACCCAGGGAAGAGAAGAGGTGGGTGTTTATCTACTAGCTCCCACTGCCCATGCTCAAGGGTCCACTGCCTGAGTTCTAACATCTTTGCATTTGCATTTTGCAGATGCATGAATAAAAGCTAAGCAGACGTGGAAGGCTTTCCGTGTGGCAAACTCAGAGAAATCTATGATAGAAAGTCAAAGAGTTGAAGAGCAAATATTAATGTCTAACACTTTTAATTTATATTTTCAGAACTCCTACTAAAGTAAATCCTAATTTCATACATTTATTGGTGACTTTCTTCTTCACGAAATGAGTTTTTTTAGCCCAGTTAGACATCTTGTATAGTTACAATTTTAGGAGGTCTTTTGTAGAGCAATTGTATGTTTCCTTTGTCTTTCATCATTTCATAACATAGTTAAGTCTGATAGTTTGTTATTTATACATCCTTGGTTTCTTCTCTTGCTTCCAGATTTTAATAGAGTAAGTAAATAATTAGAATTTTTCTTCTAATAATGTTATACATGATATATTATCTTTTTAATGCAAATCATTGGTCCATTTAGAATTAATTTTGGTGCATCTAGGCAACGTACGAGTGATCTAGTGATCCAGTTCCTCTTCATTCCTACCAGCATTTAGTGTTATCACTGTTTGGTTTTGTTTAGTCTGTAGTCATTCTAGTCATTTAGTCTGTAGTCTTTAGTCTTTAATCTGTAGTCATTTAGTCTGTAGTTTGAATTTGAATTATCTTAGTGGCTAACAGTGTTGAAAATTTTTTCATGTACCTATTTGTCTATGAATCCTCTTTAATAAAACATAGTTTTGTCCTTCTTTCCTTCCTTCCTTCCTCCCTTCCTCCCTCCCTTCCTCACTTCCTCCCTTCCTTTCTCCCTCCCTCCCTCTCTCCAGGGTTCTCCAGAGAAACAGTACCAATAAGAGGATAAATAGTATCTTAGTGCATTTTCTGTTGCTATAACAGAATATCTGAGGCTCAATAATTTATAAAGAAAAGCATTTATTATTCACCTCATGGTTCTGCAGGCTGGGAAGTTCGAGGGGCATGGCACCAGTATCTGCTCAGCTTCTGGTGAGAGCTTTACTGCTGGGTAAAAACATGGCAGAAGGTTAAAGAGGAAGTGGACACATGCAACAGGAGACTAAATCTGAAGGGTGTCATTTTATAATAATCCATTCTTGCAGGAATGAACCAGTTTCTGAGATAACCTATCCAGTCTTATGAGAGCTAGAATTTGCTCACTACTATAAGAAAGGCACAAAGTTATTCATGAGGAATCTGCCTCCATGATCCAAATACTCCCCACTAGGCTCCACCTCCCACCTCCTAAAACTACCATGTTGATGATCACATTTCAACATGAGTTTTGGTGGGACAAACCATATCCAAACCATAGTAGAAGGTAGAAAGATAAATAGATAGATAGGAGACAGATAGAGGTAGTTTCTTTCTTTCTTTCACATATATATATATAAAAACCTTAGAATGACCTTCAGGACCCGCAAGAGCTGGCCTTCTATTAACTACCTGATCTCATCTGTTCTTAGTCTCCTCTCCACTGATTCATTCTGCCCCACTGAACTTAGTGAACTCTTAGTCTCCTCTCCACTGATTCATTCTGCCTCACTGAACTCCCTGTTATCCCTCTTACACATTAGGCTCACTCCCACCACTTCATGTACTGCTTCTTCTTCTTCCAGGGATTATAAAGGAAACATGGGTCATTTCTGTATTTTCATCAGAACTTTTAATATAAAACAAAACAAAACAAAAACAAATTTTAAAACAAAACAACTACAAAAGAAAAAATGAAAAGAGAAAAGAAAGAAAAAAGGAAAGGAAAGAAAGAAGGAAGAAGGAAGAAAAGAAGGAATGAAGGAGGGAAGGAGGGAAGGAGGGAGGGAGGGAAGGAGGGAGGGATGGAGGAAGGAAGAAAGGAAGGAAGGAGGGAGGGAGGAAGGAAGGAAGGCAGGCAAACAATACACACACATATACATATATAAATATATATGTATATCTTAGAAATTTTAGGAATACTAAGGAAATAAATAAGGTACACTCTGAAGTATTTTATTTGCTCCTGATAAATGTGTAATGAATATTTCTGCACAGTTCTTACTTAAATAAACACATAATGTAACCAGGTGAGCATTTCTTATATATTCAAGCAAGACATACAACCAAGACTTGCAGGGAGAACTAAAAATGGCTTCTTCCAGAAATCTAATGAGTAGAAAAATAGAAGAGAAGGAAAATAATCTTAGTAATGTTTTTCAAACTTCACATTAAACCTATGGGACAGCGTGGACTATTTGAAATCATTAGGATTACTCATTGCCTCCTTGTTTGCTGCATTTAATTTGATTGGCTCTGCCTGGGTTTTCTATTTACCCAGTCTGTCCATGTGAGAGATGTTGGTGGGATCTGAGTTTAGAGCTCACCTGGTTGCAGGGCAGAGCTCAAACAGCACAGGCTTTGGTGTCAGCCAGTCCTGTCTGATGACCCAAGTTCCTTGTGTTAGTAACTGTAGAGCTGCAGAACTCAGTTTTTTCACCTGAAAAGTGAGGTTATTGACCTCATATAGCTAGGAGGATTAGTAATAGCAGTTGTAAAGAACTGTACACATAACAGAGACTTGGTCGATAGTAGTTAGTGCTGTGATAAATATTTCTTAAAGGGGCTTAGACTTGGAATTAGCCTCAAAAGGGCCAATTGAGACTGAATAGGCAAAGACTGGTTATAAGACTTCTTCAACTTTTGAAAGACCTCCAATCCTTGGAGAGATGCTTGAGATATTTTATAGGGCTGAAGATACAAGATATTTTATGAATATTTATTGAATTTAACAATAAAAATATGAGGTGACAATTTGAGCATAATTTAGTATAAGATGTGTTAGCTCATTTGCATTACTGTAAAGAGATACTTGAGAGTGGGTAATTTATAATGAAAAGGGGTTTATCTTGGCTCATGGTTCTGCAAGCTGTATAGGAAGTATGACACCAGCATCTGCTCCTGGTGAGGCCTCAGGAAGCCTTCAATCATGGCAGAAGGCAAAGAGGGAGCTGGTGTATAAAATGGTGTGACAGGAAGCAGACAGAGGGAGCAAGAGAAAGAGCAAGAGAAAGAGGGAGGAAATGCCAGGCTGTATTAAACAACTAGCTGTCACATGAACTAACAAGGTGAGAATTAACTTACTACCATGGGGAGGGCACCAAGTCATTCATAAGGGATCCATCCCCATAACCCAACACTTCCTACCAGGCCCCAACTCCTCATGTCATCCCAATAGTCCCCTAAAGTCTTAGCTTGTTCTTGCATCAACTTCAAAGTCCAAAATCTCATCTGACACTCAAAGCGTATTTCTTTCACCTATGAATCTTTAAAATTAAAAACTAGTTACTTACTTTCAAGACACAATGGTGGTTCTGGCATTGGGTAAAGATTCCCATTCTCCCCTGTGTTCTCCAGAGAAACAGAAGGGAGACATTGACCAAAAGAAAAGGGTAACAGGCCCCATGCATGTCTGAAGCCCAGCAAAGCAGACAGTAAATCTCAAATTTCCAACAAAATCTTTGACTCCATGTCCCACATCCTGGGGACACTGGTGTGAGGGGTAGACTCCAAGGCCTTGGGCAGCTCCATCTCTGTGGCTTTGCAAGGTGTAGTTCCCATGCTGCTCTCACAGATTAGAATTCAGTGAGGCTTTCTCAGGTTCTGCGTACAAACTGCTGTTGGCTTTACC
The DNA here is from genome assembly GCF_000001405.40 of Homo sapiens. Taxonomy (NCBI): domain Eukaryota; kingdom Metazoa; phylum Chordata; class Mammalia; order Primates; family Hominidae; genus Homo; species Homo sapiens. The sequence continues at coordinate 123,923,267 of NC_000002.12, forward strand.
ACTGGGGAGGCTGGAGGGCAAAGGCCCCTTTCTCATGGTCTCAATAGACAGTGCCCTGGTGGGGACTCTGTGTGGGGTGTTCAACCCCATATTTACCCTGGGCACTGCCCTAGTAGAGGCTCTCTGCAGGGGCTCCACCCCTGTGGCAGGCTTCTGCCTGGGCACCCAGACTTTCTCATATATCTTCTGAAATCTAGGTAGACACTGCAGCCTTCTTCACTCTTGCATTCTGTGTACCCACAGGTCTAACACCACATGGAAGCCACCAAGGCTTGTGGGGGCTTGTGCTGTCCAAAGTGGCAGTTCAAGCTATGGCTGTGGTCCTTTGAATGGAGACTGGAACTGGAGCTACTAGGATGTGGGAAGCAGCATTGAAAGGCTAAGCAGGGCAGCATTGTCCTGAGCCTGTACCCTGAAATAATTCTGTCCTCTTAAGGCCTCTGAACCTGTGATGGGATGGGCAGTCTGGAAGACTTCCAAAATGCCTTCAAGACTTTTTCTCGTTGTATTGACTATTAGCACTTGGCTTCCTTTTAGTCATGCAAATCTCTCTAGCAAGTGGTTATCTGCAAAAATTCCTCTTCTGAAAATGCTCTGTTCTTCTCTACAACATGACTAAGTTGCAAATTTTCCAAACTTTGACACACTGCTTCCTTTTTAAATATGTTTCAAATTTAAGTCATTACTTTGCTCCTATATCTGATTGTAGGCTGTTAGAAGCAGCCAAGCCACATATTGAATGCTTTGCTGCTTAGAAGTTTCTTCCTCCAGATACCCTAAGTCTTCACTCTTAAGTTCAACCTTCCACAAATCCCTAAGACATGAACACAATGCACCCAAGCTCTTTGCTAAGGCATAACATGAGTGAGGATTTGTTCCAGTTGCCAATAAATTTCTCATGTCCATCTGAGAGCTTGTCAGCCTGGACTTCACTGTCTATATTTCTATCAGCGTTTTGGTCACAACCACTCAACTAGTCCCTAAGACATTCCAAACCTTCTTTCTTCTTCCTGTATTCTTCTGAGCTCTCCAAACTCTTCCAATTTCTGCTTGTGACACAGTTTCCAAAGCTGGTTCCACATCTTCAGGTATCTTTATAGCAATGCCCCACTTCTAGTACCAATTTTCTGTTAGTCCATTTGTGTTACTGTAAAGAATACTTGAGGCTGGATAGTTTATAACAAAAAGAGGTTTATTTTGGCTCACAGATCTGCAGGCTGTACACGAAGCATGGACCCAGCATCTGCTCCTGTGAGGCCTCACGAAACTTCCAATCACAGCAGAAGGTGAAGGGGATGCCAGAAAATCCTATGGCAAGAGAGGAAGCAAGAGAGAAGGGACAAGAAAAAGAGGAGAGAGGTGCCAGGCTCTTTTAAATGACTAGCTTTTGTGTGAACTAACAGAGTAAGAACTCACTTATTACAATGTAGAGTGCATCAAGCCATTTATAAATCTATCCCCATGACCCAAATACCTCCCATGAGGCCCCACCTCCAACACAGGGGATTATGTATCAACGTGAGATTTGGAAGGGATGAACATAATAATCTCAAATAAACTATTTTTTTTATTAATTTATAGAAGTGTTTATGTATGATAAATATATATATACAGTTATGACATATATAGTAAGTTAAATAACTTTTGTCTCCATAAATGCAGTGCACATTTTATATTACTTGAAAAAAAGAAATCATGTACATATTAGTCAACATTTACTGAGTTTTGCCAGGTTCCTCTATATGCTCAAAGGAATAGGAAACATCAAAACAGCCATGTTCTGTGTGACGAAAGGGGAGAAGAGTCTGTCTGAAGACACAATTGGAAATAGTGAAGAAAAAATGCAGGTTGTGCTAAATGGATGTGCACATCAAACACATGCTTGGGTGAGAAGAGGAAAACTGAATATGAATGAAAATATATGCAGCTATGCCTTCCAAAAATATTTACCTTTGCGGTTGTCTTTTTAACAAACCTGTAGTAGAGTTTCTATTCTTATTCTCATTTTTCAGATAAAAAAACCTGAAAAACAGAAAGGTTAAACTATTTTTCCTTGTACACACCTTGTAAGTGTGGAGACAACTACAAACTCAAGCTGCATGACTTCATCCCCTTAAAGACAAAATGATGCATGTATGACTGCCTGCACACTCGCATTTTTATCTTTTAGAATATGAATGAATGAAATGTTATATCTACTCTTGTGAATGTTAATATTTCACAAACCATGATTCATGGAGCATACTTCCCAGGAAGCATACCACTTTTGGACATATAAGCTGGAGGAAGACTGACCATCACATTCCTTTCTTTGAGGTTGACAGTGTTCATTAACATATTAAGGCTCTGAGAGAACTACACATAAATTTTAACAGTCAAAAACAAACATTCACACACGGAGATAATATATTTTCCTTTGCACATCTATCAATGATATCCCCTTAATACCACCTTGGGAAGTGTGACTTGAGGTCATTCTTAAGACCCAGGAGTGATGCTAGCAAACTTCCTTCTGCAGAAAAACCAAGCACACTAATTAGCCTTGTGGCACCTGGTTGTGTCTTTAACAATGGCAGATTTTTCTTAGCACAGTTTCTGATACAGTCCTAATGCAGATGTCATTTTTTGTGTGTTTTTTTTTCTGACATTGGGAACTTTATGATGCAGGCTTGTGGTATTATAGCAAAATAGTTCCCATTAAGTCAACATTTTCCCAAACATTTCTTATCAAAAGGAAGTCTTTAGAAAAGACTGCAAATTAAAGATTTAATATTTGGCCTGTTTTAAGATTTCTAGTTCAAATCTCTTTAAAAAAAAAGAAAAAAATCAAAAGCCAAGTTGAAAACTAATTCTGTATGCTTTGTAACTGGGCAAAAATTAAGTGTTTGAAGGCACAGTTGAAACTAAGTCAATAGTCTTCTTTACCCTTGAGGTTTCTTCTGCAAATGAGACAGCCAGGTCAGATCCTAAGTATGATCCATGAGTACTGCTCTTTTATGTATTCAAGTGAATAGAAAACATCAAAACAGCCCAACTCTGAAGGAAGGGGAGGAGGACCCACATGAAAGATAAGGAAAGCAGGCTGTGGCAAGTTGATGCGGACACCAGGCACATGTTCATGTGAGAGGAAGAAACTTAACAAAACATGAGAAAAAAAATGCAGCAATGGCTTCAGAATACTGATTTTGTCCTGGTGCAAGTCCCCTTACATTTCATTGACTCAGGGTCTTCATCTGTAAAATGAGTTCTAACATTTTCTAATTCTACTTTTAGTTTTATAGCTTGTGCTAGAGAGCTCCTCTTCTTATATGCATACATACCCCAGTTCCTTCCAGAGACTTTTAGGCACCTTATAAAGAATGTGAATATTAAGATAAAACAAATTTTAAAATTTAAGGAAAAATCAAGACAGTGTTAAAGTGAGCACACAGAAGTGCATACATGCACCAAGGAATTGCACAACTCTTCGAGATGGGCTCTTAGTTTAATTCAGAATGTCCTACAAGAGAAAAACTAGAAGTGACAAGTTTCATAGTATGAGAAATGTAACTGGCCCTCGGGGGCTTAGGAGCAGAAAGGCATGTTTGGTGTTGATGTATACAACAAACCCTATGCTAGCTCACTGTGAGAGGCTGCTCACATTGTCCTGGTAATTGCATGGATGCGGAGTATGACCACACATCATATCTGGCTGAATACCTCTTTCATCCTCTTTTTTTTTTACAGCTGTCTGTCAACAATCATATGTGGCAGCCTTAGAGACAAGACTTTCAAAATGGCTATTTTTAATAACACTGATCAAATCCAGTTAAGGATATTCTAAATTATTTTTATTTTTCAGGATACTATGTCACTTGCTCTAGCCCCCTGCTAATTCAATTTGTGTTTATCATTCAAATAAATGCAGATAACATAGTCTCTACCTACTAAAGTTTCTGTTCTGGAGAAAAATAATTTTATTTTAAATACCATTACCTACACTGAAGATAAAATAATTAAATGACTTTCATAACTTACTGTACTCTTATTACCTAGGCTCAGCCGGAGTAGTGTTTTCCCTTTAAGGAGGGAAGGTATACTGGAAAGAACATTCCACCTGCCAACCCTGTGACTCTGATCTCTACTTGTCTGATCTCAGCATGCTTATTGAAACAAAAAAGTCAGTGCTGTCTGACAGGTATCCATAGTGATGATTAATATTGAACTTATTTTATCTACTTAAGAAATATTTACTGGATGACTACTATTCCAAGCACCACGTCAGGCATCAAATCAGAAATTGAAAGAAAATGTTTATTACCTAGTGATAACATACATGAAGCCTGTAAAGTAGTCATTAAAATTACTTATTGTTGTTATTGCTTGGAGAAAGTGCCTGTATTTTAACAACAACAAAAAAGGAACATAGGAGATGTCAAGCCTAAGTATGAGTAAAAGGCAATGTTGATTACTAATGCAATGTCTATTATATCTTCCAAACTTTTCTCATGGTATTTGAAAGGCTATGTGGCAAAGTCTCTGCAGCTGCAATTTGCTTAAATGTAAGAATCTGTCAGAATCTGTCTGAGGGACGCTCCTAAGATCTCATTTTCTGCTATGGTATATTTGAATGCATGCTTATTCATTTAAACATTCATGTGGCATTATGCTCAGTGATCTGATGTGTACAAAAATTACAGAACATTATCCATATCCTAGCTTGATGGAACAGGTATAAACTTTAAAAATGTTAATTATAAGGAACTATAAAGCTACTAATTTATATAGAACACTTCCTATAGTAGTATACCAAAGAATGCCCTCTCTAGGAAGACTAGAATTGCAAAGTGACCTCATATTTGAATGAAAATTAGTTTTTTAAAAATTTCTTCCTTCCTCTGGGTAGATGCAGCCTTGTACCAAAGCACACAGCTTGGAAAGCTAGCTTGTGTTGGATGGTCATCCCCCTACCCTCTTGGCTGGACAGATTTTGGCAGGTCTTAAACCACAGAAGAAAATGTGCAATCCCGAGCTGGTGCCTCTAGAATCAATACCAATGAGTATAACATTAATTAGAAAATTCGTAAAGCTATTGTTTTTAAAATATTAAAAGAAAAAAGCTCCCATTAGGCTACTCTTTTTGAAGAAGGCTTTATGAAAGAGGAATAAAGATTCGTTGTATTTTGAAGAATAGGTAGCATTTGCATAGGTAGAAAAAGTCAGAGAGATACTGTTAGTTGGCTAGCTGAAACAGATTGAACAGGAAAAGGAAGAAGGGAGAGGAAATTCTGTGGAAACAGCTGGTAAAAGCATTTGGTTGGAACTGATGTTTTGAGAGTGAGAATTACGATATGAGACTGGAAATGCAGCTGGGTGCCAGCTGACAGGGGACTTTGAATATTAGAATAAACAATTTAAACTCTATCCTTTAGGCAACATCAAATCATTGAAGCATTTTAAGAAAATGATTGATATAATTTGAAGGAATAATTTTGGAAAATATCATTACAATGAAAAGACTTTTTTTAATTAAAGTAGAAATCAGTAACACATGGTTGTTACAGAGAAATGTAAAATTGCAGATAAGGTAAGTAAAATCACCTCTAATTAAACAAGATGGAAGTAATTATTATTAATTCTTTGATGTATTTAAATGAGAATCCATTCCTTGCATATAAAAATGTATACAGTATAAAATGGAGTCACAATACCCATAATATTTTTGAAACGTTATGTCATTTAATGAAATCATATTAACTAATACTTTAAAGGAACAGTAAATTTTATCTTTTTAGTTTTTTGTGGAGGGGAGGATCTCACTATGTTGACCAGGCTCATTTCAAACACCTGGCCTCAAGTGATCCTCCTGCTTTGGCCTTCTAATGCACTGGAATTACAGAAGTGAGCCACCATGCCCTGAATAGTAAGTTTATTTTTATTTACTATTACTATTTTTTTTTATGAGACAGAGTTTCTCTCTTGTTGCCCAGGCTGGAGTGCAATGGTGTGATCTCAGCTCACTGCAACCTCCACCTCCTGGGTTCAAGCAATTCTCCTGCCTCAGCCTCCTGAGTAGCTGGAGTTACAGGCATGCGCCACGACACCTAGCTCATTTTTGTATTTTTAGTAGAGATGGGGTTTTGCCATTTTGGCCAGGCTGCTCTCAAACTCCTGACCTCAGGTGATGCACCACTTCGGCCTTCCAAAGTGCTGAGATCACAGGCGGCCAGTAAGTTGATTTTCAATTAATATAGTTATCTTTCATTTTACTTTTAATTGACACATAGTAATTATACATACTTATGGGGTGTAGAGTGGTGTTTCAATACATGTATAAATTGCTTTAAAATTATTTTGTATATCCATCATCTCATATATTTATCCTTTATAGTGAGACATTCAAAAACTTTTTTTAATGATTTAAAAATAAGTTTAAATTTTGTTCTCTTTTGTTTTTATTATAGATTTAGATGGAAAAAGTGCAATTTTGTGAGATGGATATATTGCATCGTGATGAAGTCTGGGCTCTTAGCGTTCATTGTATCTATTAAGTACTCTCGTATCCCACATCCTCCACCAACCCTCCCACCCTTTGGAGTCTCCAATGTCTATTATTCCACTCTCTATATCCATGTGTATGCATTGTTTAGCTCTCACTTATAAATGAGAAAATATGGTATTTGGCTTTCTGTTTCTGAGTTATTTTACTTAAGAATAATGGTGTCTCATTCCATCCATATTGCTGCAAAAGACATAATGTTATTCTTTTTTATGGCTGGCTAGTATTTTACGGTATATGTGTATTGTATTTTCTTTATCTGGTAATCTATTGATGGACACTTAGGTTGATTCTAGATCTCTGCTGCTGTGAATAGTGCTGCAATTGACATGAGAGTGAAGATATACCTTTGACATTCTGATTTCCTTTCCTTTGGTTGTATACCCAGTGGTGGGATTACTGTATTGTATGGTAGTTCTATTTTTAACTCTGAAAAATTGCCATACTGTCTTCCATGGAGGTTGTACTAATTTACATCCCCACAAACAGTGTATAAGCATTCTCTCTTCCCCATATCCTCACCAACATATTTTATTGACATTTTATTAATGGCCATTCTGAATGGTGTGAAAAAGTATCTCACTGTGGTTTTAATTGGCATTTTTCTGATGATTAGTGATGTTGAACATTTTTTCATGTGATTGTTGGCCATTTACATGTCTTCTCTTGAAAAGTGTCTGTTCATGTCTTTTCTCCATTTTTAAGGGGGTTATTTGTTGTTGTTGTTGTTGTTGTTCTTGTTACTCACATATTTGAATTCCTTGTAGATTCTGGATATACTTTTGTTGGATGCATAATTTGCAAATATTTTCTTCCATTCTGCAGGGTGTCTGTTCACTCTGGTGATTATTTCTTTTGTGGCATGAAAGCTTTTTAGCTTAATGAAGTCCCATTTGTTTATTTTCGTTTTTTGTTGCATTTGCTTTTGAGTTCTTAGTCATGAACTCTTTGCCTAGGCCAATGTCAAGGAGAGGTTTACCTAGGTTTTCTTGTAGTAGTTTTATAATTTCAGGTCTTACATTTAAGTTTTTAATCTATCTTAAGTTAATATTTGTATACAGTGAGAGATGGTGGTTCAGTTTCATTCTGCTGTATAACAGGAATCCAATTTTCCTGCAACCATCTATTGAATAGGATGCCCTTTTCCCACTTTATATTTTTTGTCAACTTTGTCAAAAATGAGTTGACTGTAGGTATGAGGCTTTATTTCTGAGTTCTCCATTCTGTTTCTTTGATTTATGTGTCTGTTTTTACACAAGAACCATGCTGTTTTGGTTACTATAGCCCTGCAGTATAGTTTGAAGTCAAGTAATGTGATGCCTGTAGTTTGGCTCATTTTGCTTAGGATTGTTTCACTACTTGGGCTGTTTTTTTTGTTCCATATGAATTTTAGATTTGTTTTCCCTAATACTGTAAAAAATGATGTTGATTTTTTTTTATTATTATACTTTAAGTTTTAGGGTACATGTGCACAATGTGCAGGTTAGTTACATATGTATACATGTGCCATGCTGGTGCGCTGCACCCACTAACTCATCATCTAGCATTAGGTATATACCTAATGCTAGATGTTGATATTTTGATAGGAATTGCATTGAATCTGTAGGTTGCTTTAGGCAATATGATAATTTCAACAATATTGATTCTGTTGATTCAAGAGCATGGGAAGTTTTTCCATTTGTTTTTGTCATCTACAATTACTTTCATTGGTGTCTTACAGTTTACATTGTAGAGGTCTTTCATCTCCTTGGCTAAATGTGTTCCAAGATATCTTATATTTTGTATTATAATGGAATTATAAATGGGATTGATTCTTGGTTTGGTTCTCGGGTTGATGGCTATTGGTATATACAAATGCTACTATTTTTAATATTAATTTTGTATTATGAAACATTATTGAATTTATTTAACAAATCTAGGAGTCTTTTGAAGGAGTCTTTAAGGTTTTCTAAGTATAGGATTATATTATAAACAAACATAATTTGACTTTCTCTTTTCCAATTTGGATACATTTTATTTCTCTTGCTTGATTTTTGTAGCTAAGACTTCTAGTGCTTTGTTGAATGTGAGTGGTGGATGGGCATCCTTGTATTGTTCCAGTTCTTAGTGGGAATGCTTTCAACTTTTCCCCGTTCAGTATGATGTTGGCTGTGGGCTTGCCATATATGGCTTTTATTATTCTAAGATATATTTCTTTTATGCCTAGTTTGTTGAGGGTTTTTATTATGAAAGGATGTTGAACTTTATCAGATGCTTTTTCAGAATCAGTGGAAATTATATGCTTTTCGTCTTTCACTTTATTAACAGGATGTATTACATTGATTAATTTGGGTATGTTGACCAACCTGCACATCACTAGAAGAAATCCCACTTGGTCATGATGAGTAATCTTTTGATTGTTGAATTTCGTTTGCTAGTATTTTGTTGAGGATTTTTGTATCTGTGTTCATCAAGGTTATTAAATATAGTATTCTTTATTTTTATTTTTTTGCATTATTGTCTGTCGTTAGGATTGGGTGCTACTGGCTTTGTAGAGTGAGTTGGGGAGCATTCTCCCTTACTCAATATTTTGGAACAGTTGTGGTAGGATTGACACCAGTTATTCTTTGTGTATCTGGTATAATTTGACTGTAATTGATCTTGTCTTTGGCATTTTGGGAGAGATGGAGTTTACTATTGATTCAATCTCACTATTCTTAATTGATCTGTTCATGATTTCTGTTTCTTCCTGGTTTAATCTTGGGATATTGTATGTTTCCAGGAATTTATTCAATTCTTCCAGGTTTTCTAGTTTGTGAGCATAGAGAGGTTCATAGTAGTCTCTGACGATCTTTTGTCTTTCTTTAGTATCATTTTTAATGTCTCCTTTTTTCATTTCTGATGTGGTTATTTGAATTGTCTCTCATTTTCTTAGTATCTCTAGTGAGAAATCTATAAATTTTGTTTATCTTTTCAAAGAACCAACTTTTCATTTTGTTAAATCTTTTGTATTATTTTGGTCTCAAATTCATTTTATTCTGCTAAGATTTTTGTTATTTCTTTTTTCTGCTAGGTTTGGGTTTATTTTTTTTTTTCTAGTTTCTTGAGATGTGACATTAGGTTCTTAATTTATTATCTTTCTTTTTTAATGTAATTCTATAAACTTTCCTTTTAGCACTGCTTTTGTTATATCCCAGAAGCTTTAGTATGTTTTGGTCTCTATTTTCATTCAATTTGTAATATTTTAAAATTTTTCCTAAATTTATCTTTGACTCAAAAATTGTTCAGCAGCATGTTGTTTAATTTCCATGTGCTCGTATAGCTTCAAGAATCTCTTGGAATTGACATCTAGTTTTATTCCACTGTGCTCCAAAAAAAATATTTAGGATTATTTCATTTTTTTAAATTTATTAAGACTTGTTTAATGGCCTAAAACATGACCTGTCTTGGAGATTGTTTGATGTACTGATGAGAAGAATGTTCTATGCACTGATGAAAACAATTCTGCATTTGTTGGGTAGAGTGTTCTGTAAATGTCTGTTATGTTCATTTGGTCTAAAGTCCAATTTAAGTTCAGTGTTTCTTTGTTGATTTTCTGTTTCAATGATCTGTCTAGTGCTCTCAGTGGGATGTTGAAGTTCCCCATTATTATCATATTGCTGTCTATCTCTTTTCTAAGGTCTAGTAAAATTAGGTCTAGTATATTTGCTCTGGCATTAAGTGCAAATATATTTTGAATACTTACATTTTCTTGTTTACTTGATCTCTTTATCATTTATATAAGAATGTCTTTGTCTTTTTTTTTTTACTGATATTGATTTAAAGTCTGTTTTATCAGACATAAATAAGGCTATTTGTAGTCACTTTTGATTTCCATTTACATTGAATATCTTTTTCCACCCCCTTTCCTTCAATCTATAGGTGTCTACTAATAAGATGAGTTTCTTATGGCAGCATGTGGTTGGATCATGTTTTATTATCCAATCAAACAATCTTTATCTTTTAAATGGAAATTTTAAGGCATCTATGTTCAAGGTTTATATTGATATGTGATGTGTTTCTGTCATAATATTGTTATCTAGTTGTGTTGCAGCCTGATTTGTGCAATTGTTTTATAAGACCTGTGAGTTTTATACTTCCAAGTATTTTTATAATAATGAGCATCAACCCTCTGTTTCATTTCTGGAACTCCTTGAGCATTTCTTTTAGGGCAGATCTTGTTATGACAAATTACCTCAGTCTTTGCTTGTTTGGGAACGACTTTAATTATCTTCTACTTATGAACTTTTATAATACAAAATTTGGGATTGACACTTATTTTCCTGAAGCACATTGAAAATGGAATCGCAATCTCCTCTGACTTGTAAGATTTCTGCTAAGAAGTCCACTATTAGTCTGATGGAGTTTTCCATATAGGTTACTAGACTCTAGTCGCTTGCTGATTTTAGGATATTTACCTTTGTGTTAAACTTAGACAATCTGAGAATTGTATGTCATGATGAGGTCTTTCTTGCAATGTATTTCTCTAGAGTTCTTTGAACTTCTTTTATCAGAATGTCTTGCCCTTTTGCTGGACAAGGAAAGTTTTCCTCAATTATTTTCTTTTTTTCTTTTTCTGTTTTTTTTTGTTTTTGTTTGTTTCTGAGAAAGAGTCTCACTCAGTTGCCCAGGCTGGAGTGCAATGGTGCGATCTCAGCTCACTGCAACCTCCGCCTCTCAGGTTCAAGTGATTCTCCTGCCTCAGCCTCCCGAGTAGCTGGGACTACAGGCATGCACCACTGAGCCCAGCTAATTTTTGTATTTTTAGTGGAGATGAGGTTTCACCATGTTGGTCAAGCTGGTCTTGAACTCCTGACCTCAGGTGGTCTGCCCTCCTCAGCCTCCCAAAGTGCTGGGATTACAGGTGTGATCCACTACGCCCAGCCTGATCATCTTCTTAAATAGGGTTTCCAGACTTTTTATATTTTCTTCTCTCTCAGGAATACCTGTAATTTATAGATTCAAATGTTTTACATAGTACCATAACTCTCAAGGCTTTGCTCATTTAATTTTTTTTCGTCTGACTAAACTAATTCAAAAGATGTGGCCTCAAGTTCTGAGAGTCTTTTTTTCTGTTTTATCTTGGCTATAGTTCAAACTTTCAACTGCATTTCATAACTCCTTCAATATTTTTTTCATTTCCAGAAGTTCTGTTTGTTTTTTTCTTTAGTAAATATCTATCTCTTTGATAAATTTCTCATTTATATTCTGGCTTGATTTTCTGATTTCTTTGTGTTGGTTTTCAGGTTTCTCTTGGATCTAACTGACATGCTTTAAAATAAGTATTTTGAATTCTTTATTTGATATTTCAAATATTTCATTTTGGATTGTATCTATTGCTGCAGAGTTAGTCTAATCTTTTGGAGATGTTGTAACACCTGTTTTTTCATACTTTCAGAATTGTTATGCTGTTCCCTTCTCTTCTGGAGAAACTGTCAGTTCTTCTTATTTCGAATTTATTTTTGTTTGGAATGAATATTTTTTCCCTTTCAGGGTGTAACTATAATATATGTTGAGTAGTGTCATTTGCCTTTGTTTCTGTGGGCTTCTGTGTGACTGCCTTCATATGATGACTTTCTCAAATGCCAGTTGTGGTAGCAAGGTACTAAGTGTTTAAGAAGCTCACAGTCTTTTTCTGAGCTGGGGTGGTGGAGGTCTCCATAAGCTTATCCCATTTCCAAGCACTGTGCACTTGTGTCAACAAGTTTTGTATCAGGTTGTGCAATTCAACCTCCAGGCCAATAGATGGCTCTTGCACGTAAGAGCCAGCTGTGGTGGTGGCAGAAGGGTTTACGCTTGATCTTTGTTTACAGGTAGAAGCTCTCCAGTTCCTCAGGCAATAGGCTGGTTTGTGGAATATCCAGTGGCCTGCGCTATGTGCTCAGCCCTGTGGTGTGTAAAGTTGGGCTGAGTTAGACCGAGCAGGCCCTCAGATCCCCCAGTGGTGGACACAAGCACCAGTCCTGATAGGGGTGGTGTGGGAGTGATACAGACTCTGCATGATTTCCTTGGCTATAAGTAGACCCAGTGTGGTGGCTTTCTCAAATGCCAGTTGTACTAGTAATGTACCAGATGGTTATGCAGGTTCAAGGTCTACTGAGTATCCAGGGTAGTGTGGACAATGGTGGTAGCAGAGGTTGCATAAAGCTTGTGTCCTTCCTGAGTGACTTTAACACACTCCTGATCCAATTCTGTAGTGATTACACACACACACATGATCACACACACACACGCACACATGCATATGTATACATAATATAAGCAATATAAATATAATCCTTCGTTTGGGCATGTGATACAATAAAAGTGAAAAGTAAAAGGCTGAAGTCATGAACACAGATAAAACCATCAGAACTGATCAAAGAAAAAGTGTAAAGAAACTCCCCCAAAAATATTTTGTTTGAAAAAAGTAAAAATAATTATATGTATAATTGAATTTTAGAAATCAAAATGTTTTTTTCTATTTCTGTGAAAAATGACACTGAAAATTTGATAGGAATTGCACTGAATCTGTAGATCACTTTAGGTAGTACAGAAATTTTAACAATATTAGTTATTCCAGTCCATTACCACGAAACGTCTTTCCCTTTATTTGTGTCTTCTTCAAATTCTCTATCAATATTTCTACCATGTATATATAAATCAAAACATCATATTTTACCGAATAAGTATACAAAATTGTTAACTAAAAATGAATTTTCAAAAACCGAAAGATGAAAATGTGAACAACTTCCAATCAATACATAAAAATAGACATTTTGATAGTTTCAACCAATACGCAAGATTTTTTTTTTAAAGTTCAAGAATGTCACATAAGTAACTATTAGAAAACCTTCAAGGAGAAGAATTTTTTCAGAGGAAGAAATAATGAATATGTGTTTAATAAAGGAAAGAGAACAGCTAACAAATTTTATAAGGTAGAATAATGTTGAAATCAAACAGAATAAGAACACAACAAAAATATAAACTACATAAAATCTCTGGAAAAAAGTACATATAATAATAGCAAGCGAGTGCAGTTCTTCACCTAATCCCTGAAAGTCTACTGTGACTTTAGTGTGATTATTTTATAATTTTTTTTTTTGAGACAGAGTCTCGCTCTGTCGCCCAGGCTGGAGTGCAGTGGCGTGATCTCAGCTCACTGCAAGTTCCGCCTCCCAGATTCATGCCATTCTTCTGCCTCAGCCTCCCAAGTAGCTGGGACTACAGGCACCCCACCACAACGCCTGGCTAATGTTTTGTATTTTTTAGTAAAGACGGGGTTTCACCTTGTTAGCCTGTATGGTCTTAATCTCCTGACCTCATGATCCGTCCGCCTCAGCCTCCAAAATGCTGGGATTACAGGCATGAGTCACTGTGCCTGGCCTATTTTTTGACTTTTTATAGTAGCCATTCTGACTGGTGCTGAGATGGTATCTCATTGTGGTTTTGATTTGTATTTCTCTAATACTCAGTGAGTTTTTTTCTATATGCTCGTTGGCCTCATATATGTTTTCTTTTAAAAAGTGTCTGTTCATATCATCTGACACTTTTTAATGGTATTGTTTGGTTTTCTCTTGTAAATTTGTATAAGTTACTTACAGATGCTGGATATTAGACCTTTGTCAGATGCATAGTTTGCAAATGTTTTCTCCTATTCTGTAGGTTGTCTATTTACTCTGTTAATAGTTTATTTTGCTGTGCAGAAGCTCTTACATTTAATTAGGTCTCATTTGTCAATTTTTGCTTTTGTTTCAATTGCTTCCGGCGTCCTCAGCATGAAATATTTGCCGTGCCTATGTCCAGGATGGATTGCCTAGATTGTCTTCCAGATTGTTTATAGTTTGGGTTTTATATTTTTTAAAGAAGAGTCCTGAGTCACGAAGAGATTAAATACTTTTGTTCATGGCCCTACTTACTTGTGAAGGAACCAGATTTCAAATTCAGTGGTATGGCCAAAATAATTTATACTTTTACATTCCTCAATCCATGCTCATCCCACTATATTTTACATCCATATTAAATAAAATATGGCAAATAAAATACATATATATGTGTGTGTGTATAGACACATATATACACATATACAACTGAATTGACCCTTGAACAACACAGGTTTTAGATGCACAGGTCCATTTCTACGTAATTTTTTTCAAAAAAAAATTGGAAAATTTTTTGTAGATTTGCAGCAATTTGAAAAACCTCACAATTTATATATCCTAGAAATATGAAAAATTAAAACATCTTATATATGTCATGAATGCATAAAATATATGTGAATAGTAGACCATTTTATCATTTGCTACCATAAAATATACATAAATCAATTATAAAAAGTTAAAATATATCAAAATGCATGCACACAATCACTTACATACCATTCATGGCACCATTCATACTTGAGAAAAATAAAAACAAATGTAAAGATGCAGTATTAAATGATAACTGCATAAAATTAACTATAGTAATACTGTACTTCTGTGATAATCTTGTAGTCACCTCCTGTTGCTCTTGCTGTTAGTCCAAGTATTGCAAGTATCCGCTTAAAATATTGTGTTACACTAATCACCTCCACATTTCCAGTAAATTGCCTTCCACTGTAAAAACTGATCTCTTGAAGTTCTCACATATTTTTCATTGTGTTTACTGCAATATTATAAATCTTGAATAATACCGTAGGACCCATACAAAGTGCCACTAGAGATGTTAGAAGTACTCCCAAGACACAGAGAGATGTCATGACATTACAAGTTAATTCATTGTAAGAATACATTGCATTATATATATAATGTATAACATGTGTTTATCGACTGTTTTTTTGTCCGTAAAGCTTCTGGTCAACACTGGGCTGTTAGCAGTTAAGTTTTGGAGAGTTAAATGTTATACATAGATTTTGGGCTGCACAAGGATCTATTGACATTAATAGCCTTAACCTCCACATTATTCAAGGGTCAACTGTATGAATAAGATAAGGAACAAATGGATAAACAAATTGTGATATGTTTATACCATAGAATATTATTCAGTTATAAAAAGAAATGAAATGACATGTTACAACAGATTATTTTTTAAGCATAACACTAAGTTAAAGAAGTTAGATTAAAGGGTTACATACTGTATAATTCTATTTATATTAATTCCATTTATATGACTTGCCTATAGTAGGCAGATCTAAGAAACAGAAATCAGATTAGTGTTTGCCACAGGCTGGTATAAGGGCAGGTGAGAAATGTGTTAGTACATATGGGGTTTCATTTTGGGGTAATACAAATGTTCTGGGCATTAGATAGTGGTGATGCTTGCACAACTTTGTGAATAAACTAAAACCACAGTACATTACACTGTAAAAGAACAAATGTAATGGTAGGTAAATAATATATCAATTTAAAAAGCCACCAAATTTAAATGTGAAATATGATCTTGTATTGAACAATTGAACACTGGGGTAAAAAATAAGTTGCTCTAAAGAACATTATCGGAATAATTATCAAAACTTAAGTGAAACCTGTACATTAGGTAATAGTATTTTATTAACATTAAATTTTCTGTTTTGTGATAATTTTGGAAATTTCACATTAAAGTGTTTAGTGAGAAAGGGATCTATTGCTTTCTACTTAGTCTGTAACGATTCAGAAAAGAATAACAAATCAAATGTGACAAAATGTCAACAATTGCTGAATCTAGGTGAAGGGTATAAATAAATTCTTTGAACTTTTGTACTTTTCATGGTCACTTTTATGTAAAAAATGTTGCAAAATAAAAATGATTATCATAAAGTCAAAAAAAATGAAAAACGAAAGAAAAATGCAAAACAAAGCAAGCCCAATCCATCTAGCAGTGTGTGTATGTGGTCCTTTCTCAAAAGAGAAGTTAATTTTAATGATTCTTTGAGGTTATGTGAAGCTTTCTCAGCTGGCTATTAACAGTGAATTTATAACAGATTAGCTATTGAACAAAAAATCCCAATATCCTGTGGGGTAGGAAAAAAAGGCACATTGATGTTTATCTGATTAATTCACAAAATTTATTTTACTATCCATGTTCGATTTATTTGCTTACGTTAATGGAGTTCTAAAAAGGTAGATGATGATTTTGTGATTCTAAAGAGCTTCAATCAAAATGTAAGATAAACAGTAAGAATTATAAAATGATAAAATATTATTATGAAATATTGATGCAGAGATTATGTTTACACTTCCTGGCATTGCTACATTTGACCTATTATTAGTGGTGCTTCTGAATCACCAAATATTAATATTCTCTTTTCAAATCTTAGGGTCTTTTTTCCTAATTCTATGATTCATTAGATGACTGCATATCTTTAAACCAGAATTTTTAATTGCCACAATATAGTAGCTACTCTAAATTTGAGTTTGTCTTAAGTCCAAGAAAAATGTGGAGATGATATTAAGAGAATTCAGTTTTATCCATCCTTAGATAAAAATAAAAACTAATCATCACTTCTCCTTATTATAACAATTTAGAAAAATTATTGAGAGATGTCAAAAACGGGGGCAATTTATCAGTGCTGAACTATAGGAGACAAGTATTGTCCAGTTCTGCCCAGCATGGTTAAGTCATCAGATCTACTCTTGAATTGTGTACCTGGTACCACAATGGGGAGTTCTGCTTTCTTCGTTGCACTTTACTTTCCTCATTTCTTCTCCATGATCTGAATTTGTTTTTCATGGAAGGCCTTAGGATAGTCATAATAGTTAACACTTACTATGTGCTTATAATATGCCAGGCACTGAGTGAAGTATTACATCATTTAAGAAGGACAAACAAATCTAATTTAAGTCTCACACACCCAGAGAATAGTAGTGAAGCAGGTGGACTTCACATTCTGCCAAGATAGAACAGCCTCAGTCGGTAGCACCTTTACAACTAATTGACCAAAAATAATAATAATAATAACAAACAAGCATTAGAAATTTCTGGAAGGTGAAAAGAGGAAGGCATGCTGTTTAGGGACTTATGAGCTTCAGAAATGACATGGCAGTGAGCTCTCTGGGTATCTTTATTGCCAGACAGGGCACTAGAGCACTACAGAGACTTCTAATCCACAACCTCCAACAGACACAGATGCAAAACACTCCACAAAAGTCTATTACTTATAGCCACAGGGCCAAGAAGAAAAGGAAAAGAATAGCCTAAGCCTTAAGCCTAAACAAAACAGAAAATGTTTTGTTTTGTTTTTTGCCAGAGTGAGGGGAGCAATATGCTTTTTAACTCCAGCTAAATACCAACAGAACAGCATGCTAACGTCCTTCACCATTGTGGTTTCATGGGAACTGATTACATAGTTATTTTCCAACTCATTCCCACCCACACTCCCTCCCTTCCCCTGGTCTCCCAAGCAGGTAGAGTGCAACTTAAATTCCTCCACCGGGTGGTTAACTGGGGGTTAATCTTACATCCCCTGCCTAGATATTGTCATCAGGGGGTGATCTTCCATCCTGACAGCAGAAGAAGACAACCAGACAGTGGAAGGCAGAGCCAGTACTCTAGGCTCCACCAACTCCTCTTTCCACCCATGTGGAAGTAGTGCCAGTGGTGCCAAGGGAGGAGCTGAGTCAACACCCCACAGAGCACCAAGGAGAGGAAACAAAGTAGTGAAAGTCCAGGCTATAAGCTCCTCATTTTCTCCTCTTTTCTGCTATCAGAGGGACACAGAGAGCTATACATACCCAGAGAGCTATCAGGGAGCTATACTTTCACCCAGCCAGCATGATTTAGTGGGAGACAAGGGAGAGAAGCAGCCCTATTTGGTATTCCACTTCCAGCCCCCTGGTATGAGTGAAGACCAAGGAGGAGATGAACTTCTGTTCTCCGTCGTGCAGCAAAAAAAAACTGAAACCCATCAGGGAACTAATCTTCCACCTGCACTTGGAGTCAATGGAGATTGAGAGTGAGAGTCAAATGGTTGAAGGAAACTCTCTAAAGAAAAAGGAACTAACAGTAGATGGCTTGAAACTTCAGAAAAGAAAGAAGAGTATGCAAATTGGTAAAAATAAGGGTGTATAAAATAGACTATTTGCTATGCGTGAGTTTCTTAAGGTATATTTGAAGGTTGAAAGAAAAATTATACATCCAAAGTTCAGCTTAATGCATGCAGAAGGAATATTTAATACAATTATATCTTAAAAGTTCATAGGCACTCAAATAAATGTAAAGTTTCTCAAATTGATGTGCAAAAACATCAATTCCAGTAGACCATAGTAAGTTATACGAATATATATTGTTATGCATGTAGCAACCAGTAAGAAAACTACAAAATAATATACTAATTTAAAGACTGAAAATAAATTGAGATGGAGTTTTTAAAAAGTTTAAATAACCCACAGAAAGGTAAAACAAAATCAGAAAATAGCATAAGAAATGATCCAAAGACACATAATAAAAGGTCAAATTAAGTCCTAACATCCTAATACAGCTTTATATCTATCTCTGTATTAATCTATTCATCTAATCAAAAGGCACAGATTGGCAGCACATTAAAAATAACAAGATTCAAAAATACACTGTCTACAAGAATTTCACTTCAAATAAAGGATATAGGTATATTTAAAATAAAAGAATAGAAAATGATTCAGCACAGAAGCATTATTTTTTAAAGCAGATGTGTTATATATTAATTTTTGATAGACTACATTTCAGAGCAAAGAAAATTACTACAGAGAGAGACATTACATAATAATAAATGTATTAATCCAACACAAAGACATAAAAGTCCTAAATATGCACATTAGAAAACCACACCAGAGCCTGAAAATAGCAAAAATTCAAAAATTAAAAGAGCTTAAATAAGTAGACAAGCCACAGTTATGGTCGGGGACTTCAAGATTCCATTCTCAGAAAATGATAAAACAGTAAACAGAAAATCAGCTGTGATATAGAAGAACTGAACAATATAGTCATATAACAGTATCTCATTGATATATATAGAACACTCCACCCAACAAGAGAAAATACACATTTTTCAAATGTTCATGGAACATTGACTAAGATAAACCATATATCCTGGACCATAAAACAAACTTCAGCAAATTTAAATTGCTCTCTAATTAATTTAATCTAATTTAAATCACGTGGAGTATGTTATTTGACCAAAGGGGTATTGAATTCAAAATGAGTAAGAGACAAACAGCAGGGAAATCTCTAAATGTGGAAATTTAGCAATGTATTTTCAAATAATCCATAATCAAAAAGGAAGTTTGAAAACAAAAAATAAATAGAATTGAATATAACATGAAAATATAACATATCAAGATATGTAGGAAAACATCTTAAAATATGTGAAATTAGTTAATACTTAAAATTTTATAGCACTTAATAATTACATTAGAATATAAAAAAGAAAGGTAGAGCAAGATGGTGGAGTAGAAAGCTCCACCGATACGAAGGACACCAATTTAACAACTATCTACACAGAAAGAACACCTTCATAAGAACCAAAAATCAGATGAGAACTCATAGTACCTGATTTTAACTTCCTGTTACTGAAAGAGGCACTGAAGAGATAGAACAAACAGTCCAGAATTACTGATGCCACCCCTCCTTGACCTCAGCAACAGTGTGGTCCAGAGAGCCTCTCTGGGTGCTGGGGGAAGGAGAACACAGCAATTTTAATTGAACTCAGTGCTGTCCTGTTAAAGCAGAAACAGGAGCAAACTTAGCTGACTCTTGCCCACCAAGGGAGCATTTAAACCAGCCCTAGCCAGAGGGGAATTGCGGATCCCAGCGGTTTGAACTTGAGTTCCCACAAACCTTGCTACCAAGACCCAAAGTGCTCTTGGTCTCTAAGTAAACTTGAAAGGCAGTGTAGGCCATAAGGAATGCAATTCTTAGGGAAGTCCTAGGGCTGAACTAGGTGCAAAGACAGTGGACTAGGGGGCAAGCGACATACTGAGACACCAGCCAAGAGAGTGCTAGCATCACCCCTCCCCTAACCACAGGCTGCACAGCTCACACCTCCAAAAGACACTCTTTCCTTCTGCCTCAGGAGAGGAGAGGGAAGAGCAGGAGGACTTTATCTTTCATCTAGGATACCAGCTCAGCCACAGCAGGATAGGACACCAGTCAGACTTGCAATGCCGCTCTTCCAGGCCTTAGCCCCCAGACCTTTCTAGACACAGCCTGGGCCAGATTCTGTTGATTCAAGAGCATGGGAAGTTTTTCCATTTGTCTTTGTCATCTACAATTACTTTCATTGGTGTTTTACAGTTTTCATTGTAGAGGTCTTTCATCTCTTTGGTTAAATGTGTACCGAAGTATCTTATTTTTTGTATTATAATGGGATTATAATTGGGATTGATTCTTGGTTTGGTTCTCAGCTTGATTGTTATTGGTATATACAAATGCTGCTGGGCCAGAAGTGAACCCACTGCCTTGAAGGAAAAGACCCAGTACTGGCAGCATTCAACATTTGCTAACTGAAGAACCCTTGGGCCTTAAATACCTAGCAGCAGGATCCAGGTACTACATCAAGGAATTTGGATAAGCCTCTGAGATTCACTGGCTTCAGGTGGGACTCAGCACATTCCCAACTGTGGTGGCCTCAGGGCAAAAATCTTTCTGCTTGAGAAAAGCAGAGGGAAAAGTAAAGGGGACTTTGTCTTGCACCTTAGGTACTGGCATAGCCACAGGGGGTTAGAGCACCAAACAGGCTCTTGGGGTCCCTAATTCTAGGACTTAACTCTTAGATAGCATTTCTGGACTTGCCCTGAGCCAAAGGGGAGCCCACTGTCCCGAAGGGCAAGTCCCAGGGCAGGCAGCATTCACGACAAGCTGACCTAAGAGACCTTAGGCCCTAAAGGAACACCAGTGGTAGTATGGTAGTATGCCCTATGGCCCGGGGAGGTGGTGGCTACAGGGTTAGGCTTCTCTGCCTTTGGAAAGGAAAGCAAAGAGGGACAAGGACGGTGTCTTGTGGTTTTGGTGCCAGCTCAGCTACAATACAGTAGAACACTAGGTAGACTTCCAAGGTATCTTACTCTAGTCCCTGACTCCTAGATGGTACTTCTGGACTCACAGAGGGCCTGGGGCGACTTTCTGCCCTAAAGGGAAGGAAACAGGCCTGACTAGTTTTGACACCTGCTGATTGTAGGGTCCCAGTGCTTTGAGCAAATGTAGGCAGTAGACGGGGAGTAGTTAGAGCAGGCCTTGGGTGAGACTCAGCACTGTGTTGGCTTCAAGTCTGACACAGTGCAGTCATAGTGATGGCGTCCACAGGTGTGTTTTTGTCATTCTATCCCAGCTTTAGGTGGCTCAGAACAGAGAGAGAGACTCCATGTTTGGGAGAATATAAGGGAAGATAACAAGAGTCTCTGCCTGGCAATCCAGATAATTCTCCTAGATGTTGTCCAAGATATCAAGGTAACATCTCCATGAGTCTATAAGAGCCACAGCTTTACTGGGCCTGGGTTATCCCCTAAAATCAGATGCAGCTTCGATCACAACATCTAAGTTTTTTCAAGTATCTAAAAAGCCTCTCAAGAAGGATGGCTGCAAATAAGCCCAGACAGTGAAGAATACAATAAATACCTAATACTTCAATACCTAGACACTGAAAAACATCTAATAGCATCAACACCATCCAGGAAAACATGACCTCACCAAATGAAATAAATAAGTCACCATGTACCAATCATGGAGAAACAGAGACATGTGACCTTTCAGAATGAGAAGTCAAAATAACCATGTTGAGGAAACGCAAATAAATTCAAGATAACACAGAGAAGGAATTCAGAATTCTATTGGACAAATTTTTAAAAAGATTGAAATAATTAACATAAATCAAGCATAAATTCTAGAGCTGAAAAATGCAATTGGCATACTGAAGAATGAATGCATCAGAGTTCTTTAATAGCAGAATGGATAAGGCAGAAGAAAGAATTAATGAGCTTGAAGACAACAATTTGAAAATACACAGAAAAGACAAAAAATTGACTAAAAACAATAAAGCATTCTTACAGGATCTACAAAATAGCCTCAAAAGGACAAATCTAGGAGTAACTGGCCTTAAAGAGGGGGTAGAGAAAGAGGTAGGGATAGATATAGTTTATTCAAAGGGAAATAACAAATAACTTTTCAAACCTACAGCAAGATAGCAATATCAAAGTGCAAACAGGTTATAGAACACCAAGCAGATTTAACCCAATGAAGACTGTCTCAAGGCATTTAATAATCAAACTTCAAAATCAAGAGTAAAGAAAGGATCCTGAAAGCAGCAAGAGAAGGCACAAATAGCATACAACAGAGGTCCAATACATTGGCAGCAGACTTTTCAGTGGAAAGGTTACAGACCAAGAGAGTGGCATGACATATTTAAAGTGCTGAAGGAAAAATATTTTACCCAAGAATAGTATACCTGTCAAAAAAAAAAAGTCCTTTAAACATGAAAAGCAAAATAAAGATTTTCCCAGGCAAACAAAAGCTGAGAGATTTCATCAATACCAGACCTGTCCTACAAAAAAATGCTAAAGGGAGTACATCAATCAAAAATAAAAGAACACTGAGTAATAAATAATCTTCTGAAGGTAAAAAACTTACTGGTAATAGTAAGTACACAGAAAAACAGAGAATAGTACAACACTATAACTGTGGTATGTAAACTACTTTTATCCTAAGTGGAAAGACTAAACAATAAACCAATAAAAACAGTAACTACAACAACTTTTCAAGACAGAGTCAGTAAATAAGACATAAATAGAAACAACAAAAAGTTGAAAACTTGGAGGACATTTGACTGGGTGCAGTGGCTCATGACTATAATCCCAGCACTTCAGGAGGTTAAGCAGGGAGGATTGCTTGAGCCCAGGAGTTTGAGATTTCATTTCCATAATAAATATATTTGTTTAAAAAAGGGGGAGGACAAAGTTAAGGCATAAAATTTTGTTAGTTTCCTTTTTGCTCGTTCGTTTATGCAGTGTTAAGTTGTTACCAGGTTAAAATCATGGGTTATAAGATAGTATTTGCAAGTTTCATGGTAACCTCAAACCAAAAAACATACAATAGACACACACGAAATAAAAGCAAGAAACTAAATCATATCACAAGGAAAATTATCTTCCCTAGAGGAAGACAGAAAGGAAAGAAAGAAGAAAGAGAAAATCACAAAACAATGAGAAAACAACAACATGGCAGGAGTAAATTCTTACTTATCAATGATAACATTGAATATAAATGGACTAAACTCTCCAATCAAAAGATGTAGACTGGCTTAATGGATGAAAGGCAAGACCCATTGATCTGTTGTCACAAGAAACACATTCCACCTATAAAGACATACACATACTGAAAATAAAGGAATGGAAAAAGATATTTCATGCCAATGGAAACCAAAGAAGAGCAGAGGTCACTATACTTACCTCAGACAAAATAAATTTAAAGACAAAAAGTATAAGGAGAGAAAAGAAGGTCACTATATAATGATAAAAGGGTCAATTCAGCAAAAGGATGTATCAGTTTTAATTATATGCACCTCAATATATATAAAAAATATTGTTAGAGCTAAAGAGAAAGATAGGCCCCAATACAATAACAGCTAAAGAGTTCAACAACCCACTGTTAGCATTGGACAGGTCTTCCAGACAGAAAATCTACAAAGAAACATCAAACTTAATCTTCACTATAGAATAAATGGACCTATTAGATGATAGTTATAGAACATTTTATCCAGGAGATGCAGAATACAGATTCTTTTCCTCAGTCATGGATTATTCTCAAGAATAGACCATATGTTAGGTCACAAAATAAGTTTTAAAACATGTTTAAAAATTGAAATAATATTAAGCATCTTCTCTGACCACAATGGAATAAAATTAGAAATCGATAACAAGAGGAATTTTGAAAACAATGCAAACACATAAAAATTAAACAATATACTCCGGAATTACCAGTGAGTCAATGAAGAAATTGAAAATGAAATTAAAAAATTATTGAAACAAATGATAATGGAAACACAATATACCACAACATATGACAGATAGCAAAAGCAGTAATAAGAGGGAAGTTTACAGCTATAAGCTAATTGTATTAGTCCATTTTCACACTGCTATAAAGAACTACCTGAGACTGGGTAAATTATAAACGAAAGAGGTTTAATTGGCTCACAGTTCTGCATGACTAGAGAGGCCTCAGGAAACTTACAATCGTGGTGGAAGGCAAAGGGAAAGCAAGGCACGTCTTACATGGCAGCAGGAGAGAGAGAGTGAGGGGAACGTGCCATACTTTAAAACCATCAGCTCTTATGACAGCAGCAAGGAAGAAATCTGCCTCCATGATCCAATCACTTTCCACCAGGTCCCTCCCTTGACACATGGGGATTACAATTCAAGATGAGATTTGGGTGGAGACACAGAGCCAAACCATATCACTCATACATCAAATAAGAGGAAAAACTTCAAATAAACAATCTAACAATGCATCTTAAAGAATCAGAAAAGCAAGAGCAAACAAACCCAAAATTAGTAAAAGGAAAGAAATAATAAAGTTCAGAGCTGAAATGAATGAAATTGAAATAAGATAGACAATACAAAAGATCAATGAAACACAAAGTTGTTTTATTTAAAAAGACAGACAAAATTGAAAAACCTTTAGCCAGACTAACAAATCAAAAAGAGAGAAGATCCAAATAAATAAAATCAGAAATGAAGAAGACTTTTTGACTGATACTGCGAAATTCAAAGGATCATCAGCGGCTACTATGAGAAACTATGTGTAAATATATTGGAAAATCTAGAAGAAATGAACAAATTCCTACATATATACAACCTACCAAGATTGAATAAGGAAGAAATCCAAAACCTGAACATGTCAATAACAAGTAGTGATATTGAAGTTGTAATAAAAGTTCTCCTAGTAAAGATAAGCTCAAGACCTGATGGCTTCACTGCTGAATTCTACCAAACACTTAAAGAGTAGCTAATATCAATCTCACTCAAACTATTCTGAACAATAGAGGAGGGGGGAGTACTTCCAAACTCATTCTATGATGCCAGTATTAACTTGATACTGAAACCAAAGACACATCAAAAAAAGAAAATTACAGGCCAATATCTCTGAAGAATATTGATGCAAAAATTCTCAACAACATAAGAGCAAATCAAATTCAACAATACATTAGAAAGATCATTCATCATGACCAAGTGGGATATATTCCTGGGACACAAGAATGTTTCAATACATGCAAATCAATCAATGTGATATACATCATTATCAACAGAATGAAGGATATAAACCATATGATTATTTCAATTGTGGCTAAAAAAGGATTTGATAAAATTCAACATACCTTCATAATAAAAACCCTCAAAAAACTAGGGATTGAAGGAACATACCTCAAAATAATAAAAGCCATGTATGATAGACCTACAGCTAGTATCATACAGAAAGTCTTTTCTCTAAGATCTGGAACATAACAAGGATGCCCACTGTCCCAAGTGTTATTTAACATAGTACTGGAAGTCTTACCTAGAGAAATCAGATAAGAGAATGATATAAATGGCATCCAAATTGGAAAAAAAAGAATTCCAAATATTCTCGTTTGCAGATGATATGATTTTATATTTGGAAAAACCTAAAGACTTCACAAGAAAATTATTAGAACCGATAAATTCAGTTAGGTTGCAGGGTATAAAATCAACATACAAAAAATCAGTAGCATTTCTATATGCCATCAGTGAGCATTGTAAAGAAGAAATTAAAAAACAATCCCATTTACAATAGCCACACATAAAATTAAATACAAATAATTAACCAAAACAGTGAAAGAGGTCTATAATAATTATAAAACATTGATGAAAGAAATAGAAGAGGACATCAACAAAATGTAAAAATATTCCATGTTGATGGATCAGAAGACTCAATATTATTAAAATAGCCAAACTACCCAAAGCAATCTACAACTTTAATGCAATCCCTATCAAAATACCAATGATATTCTTAACAGAAATAGAAAAAAAAGTATCCTAAAATTTATATGGAACCACAAAAGACCAAGAATAGCCAAAGCTACTTTAAGCAAAAAGAACAAAACTGGAGAAATCATATTACCTAATTTTAAATTGTACCACGGAGCTATAGCAACCACAACAGAATGGTACTGGTTTAAAAACAGACAGATAGACCAATGGAACAGATTAGAGAACCAGGAACAAATCCACACATCTACAGTGCACTCATGTTCTACAGAGGTTCTAAGAACATACACTGGGGAAAAGACACTCTCTTCAGTAAACAATGCTGGCAAAACTGGATAATCCACATGAAGAAGAATGAAACTAGATGCTTATCTCTCATCATATACAAAAATAAAATAAAAATGGATTAAAGTCTTCAATCTAAGACTTCAAACTGTGAAACTACTACAAGAAAACATTGGGGAAAATCTCAAAGATATTGGTCTGGGCAAAAATTACTTGAGTAATACCCAACAAGCTCAGGCTACCAAAGCAAAAATGGACAAATGGGATTACATCAAGTTAAGAAGCTTCTGCACAGCAAAGGAAACAATCAACAAAGAGATAACATACAAAATAGTAGAAAATACTTGCAAGCTACCTATTTTACAAGGGGTTAAAAACTAGGCCGGGCGCGGTGGCTCACGCCTGTAATCCCAGCACTTTGGGAGGCCGAGGCGGGCGGATCACGAGGTCAGGAGATCGAGACCATCCCGGCTAAAACGGTGAAACCCCGTCTCTACTAAAAATACAAAAAATTAGCCGGGCGTAGTGGCGGGCGCCTGTAGTCCCAGCTACTTGGGAGGCTGAGGCAGGAGAATGGCGTGAACCCGGGAGGCGGAGCTTGCAGTGAGCCGAGATCCCGCCACTGCACTCCAGCCTGGGCGACAGAGCGAGACTCCGTCTCAAAAAAAAAAAAAAAAAAAAAAAAAACTAAAATCTGTAAGGAGTTCGAACAACAATACATATAAAAATCTAATAGTGTGATCAAAAATGGGCAAAATATTTGAATAGACATTTCTCAAAAGAAGACATACAAATGGCAAATAGGCATAAGAAAAGGTATTCAACATCACTGATCATCAGAAAAATGCAAATCAAAACTACAATGAGATGTCAGCTTATCCTAGTTAAAATGTCTTTTATCCAAAAGACAGGCAATAACAAATGCTGATAAGAATGTGAAGAAAAGGAAATTCATGTACACTTTTGCTGGAAATGTAAAGTAATACAACCAGTATGGAGAACAGTTTGGTGGTTTCTCAAAAAGCTAAAAATAGAGCTAATATATGATACCCACTGTTGGGTATATACCAAAAGAAAGTAAATCAGTATATGTAAGAGATCATCTGCATCCCTATGTTTGTTGCAGCACTGTTGACAATAGCTAAGATTTTGAAGCAACCTAAGGGTCCATCAACAGATGAGTGAATAAAAAAAGTGTAGTACATATACACAGTAGAGTACTATTCAGCCATAAAAATGTGAGATCCAGTCATTTTCAACAACATGGGTGGAACTGAAGATCATTATGTTAAATGAAATAAGCCAGGCACAGAAAGGCAAACATTGTGTGTTCTCACCTATTTGTGGGATATAAAAATCAAAACAATGGAACTTAGAGACATAGAGTGGAAGAATGGTAACCAGAGTCTGAGGAGTTTAGTGGAGGGCTGGCAGGTTTGGGAGATGATTAACGGGTACAAAAGAGTAGTTGGAAAAAATGAATAAGACCTACTATTTAATAGTACAACAGAATAGGGTCACTACAGTCAATAATAAGTTAATTGTACATTTTCAAATAACTTAAAGAGTGTAATTGAATTGTTTGTAACTCAAAGAATAAATGCTTGAGGGGATGGATACCTCATTCTCCAGGATGTGCTTATTTCACATGTCATGCCTGTATCAAAATATCTCATGTACCCTATAAATATATACACCTACTTAATACCCCTAAAATAAAAAAGTTAAAAAAGAATATAAAAAATTATCACATAAATAATCTACATTCCCACCTTGAGAAAGTAGAAAAAAAAATAAAGAAGCCCAAAGCAATCATAAAGCAGAAAATAATAAAGGTAGGAGAAAAAAATCAATGAAATTGAAAAAAAGACAATAATGGGGAAGATTGATGTAGCAAAAAGATTATTTTTAAAGAAATAATAAAATGTAAACTTTAAGAAAAATGGACCAAAAAATTCAAACTAGTGATTTCAGGAATAAAACATTGTATTATAGCTCATACAACCAGTAGAAGGATAACAACAGAATATTATGAACAACTTTATATACATAAATACAACATCTTAGAATAAATGAACCAATTCCTCAAAAACCATAAATTAATAAAACTCAAACCAAAATGCAATAGAAAACCTGAATGTCTTATACCCATCTAAGAAATTGATTTGTAATTTAAAGTTCCTTTTTAATAACAGCCATTCTGACTGGTACGAGATGGTATCTCATTGTGATTTTGATTTGCATTTCTCTAATGATTAGTGATGTTGAGCTTTTTCCCATATGTTTGTTGGCTGCATGTATGTCTTCTTTTGAGAAGTGTCTGTTCACGTCCTTTGCCTACTTGTTAATGGGGTTTTTTTTCTCTTGTAAATTTGTTTAAGTTCCTTATAGATGCTGGATATTAGACCTTTTTGAGATGCATAGTTTGCAAATATTTTCTCCCATTTTGTAGGTTGTCTATTTACATGTACCCCCAAACCTAAAATAAAAGTTAAAAAGGAAAGAAATTGAAAGCACCTGAAAAAAAGTCTTTTGGCCAAGATGGTTTCCCAGAAAATTTTTACTAAAAATTTAAAGAAGAATTAATACCAGTTTCATACAATCGCTTTCAGAAATAGAAGAGGAAGGCACACTTCTCAACACATTTCATAAGGCTCTTGATACCAGAATCGGACAAACACAATTCCATCCCCCAAGAAAAAACAAACAAAAAAAAACAAACAATCATTACAAGTCAATATTCTTCACAGATGCAGAAATTCTCAGCAATATATTAGCAAATGCAATCCAGCAGAGTATAAAAAGATTTATACGCCATGAACAATTGGGATTTATTCTAGTTGTGCTAGGCTGGGTTAACATTCAAACACCAACCAATGCCACTTGCTACACGAACAGGCTAAAGAAGAGAAATCATATGACGATATTAATTAATGCAGAAGTACTTTACAAAATCCAACCCTCAGTCATCTGAAAACTCTCAGCAAACTAGGCATAAAAGGGAACTTCAACTTGATAAAAAGCATTTACAAAAAAGCCCTAGAGTTAATATTATACTTAATGGTGAAAGCTTGAATACACTCTTACCACTCTTTTTCAACAAAATATGGAAGTTTTAGCCTAAAATAAAAGTTTAAAAAAGAAAGAAATTTAAAGCTCCTGAAATACACACATATATATATATGTGTGTGTGTGTACTTGAGCCACGATGGTTTCCAGGATTTAGACCAAGGCAAGGATATAGTCTCAGAAACATGAGAGATTGAAATATGTGAACACTCACAAAATATGGAAGTTTTAGCCACTGCGATAAGACAAGATCGATATAAAAAGAATACAACTAGAAATAAGTAAAACTGCCCCTATGTACAGATAATGTGATTTTTCATACAAAAATATAAAGGAGTTTGACATCAAAAACTGAAAACCCTAGAGCTAGTAAGTGAGTTTAGTAAGGTCAATTGCTATGACCTTATTAATTAATTGTTTATTTGTTTGTATCTTTACTATATATGTCCATTGTTAGTATATAGAAATTCAATGAACATGTGAAAACCAAAATTAAAATATCATTTAGAATCACTCCAAAGAAAATTAAATAGTAAGACAAAATATTATATAATATAGATGCTAATGTTGTAGTAGGATATTGTGATAAAAAGATAACAGGAATCACCCTGGGGGTATTGAAACTGTTCTGTGTCTTGACGGTATCAGTGTCAATATCCTGGTTGTGTTATTTTACTGTAGTTTTGCAAGATGTTACCATTGGGAGATACTGGGTTATATTAGTTTGCTAGGGCTGCCATAACAAAATACCAAACTGGGTGACTTAAACAACCGATATTTATTTTCTCATGGTTCTGTAGACTACAATGCCAAGATCAAGGTGTCAGCAAGTTTGGTTTCATCTGAGGCTTCTCTCTATGCCTTTCAGATGATGACTTTCTCCTTCTGTCTCTTCTGTCTTTGTCTTTCCTCTGCATCTGTGTCTTTATCTCCTCTATAAGGACATGAGTCAGATTGGATTGTGGCCAGCCCTATGATTCATCACCTTAATTGCCTATTTAAAGGCTCTCTCTCCAAATACATTCACATTCTGAAGTGTGGAGGTCAGTACTTCAACATATGAAGTTTAGGGAGACATAATTCTGCCCATAACACCGGGTGAAGGGTACATGCTTTTTAATGAATTATTTCCTATATCATTTATTATTACTGCATGTGAATCTATAATCATCTTAAAATTATAAAGAATGGAACCATTTTTATCATCCTCACTGTCTTAAGAAAATAACTGAAACCCAGAACATTACTGTTACTTGTAGGCATTGCAAGGTAGCAACAGAACTGGGCCAAAAATGAATTCGTTCTTTGCAATTGAGATATTTAATAAGCAACTAATAAGTATCTATTGTGTCAAGTGACATAATAGTTTTTAAAATATAGTTTTTGGTAAAATTTAAGTAGGTGTAATGGCTATTTTTATGCATCAGCTTGACTGGTCCATGGGTTTCCAGTTATTTGGTCAAACATTATTCTTAGTGTGTCTATAAGGGTGTTTTTAACATGAGATAAACCTATAAATTGGTAAAGTTATATGAGTCTGAGTAGAGCAGACTGCTTTTCCTTATGTGGGAAGAGCTTATCCAATCAGTTGAAGGTCAGAATAGAACAAAAAGACTTACAATTCACCGAATAAAAGAGAATTCTTCCTGCCTATTGGCCTTTGGCTTGGAACTACATTACCTCTCTCCTGGGTCTTCAGTTTGCTGGTGCATTCTGCAGATCTTGGGACTTTGCATTCTCCATAATCATATGAGTCAATTTCTTACAATAATTTTTTATGTATTGTATACATTTGCTAGATTTATAAAACACATATATGTATCTATATAAAGACATACATGTATGTGTCTGTATTTATAATATAATATATATCCTATTGGTTCTATGTATCTAAATAATCCTCACTAATACATACAGCAGCCATAATGTTCTCTTCAAATCTGAGATATCCAGTGCTCCAGGGGCTATCCATGTCTGCTGAAGCACATCTAGGCAGTTGAGTGATGTAAACATCTATAACAGTGCTGTACATTTCCCAGAAGTGTTGGCTACCAGAGACAACTCGTGCTGCTCTTGCGGGCTCTGGACTCCGGAGGCCAACCTTTCTCTTGGCCTTGATGTCACTTGATTAGGTGTGCAGAACTTCCCCATAATGGGGCAATATACTTGCTATTTCCTGGAGTGCCTTTCTTCCTGGGTGGAGTGAACATGATTGAAAACAGGTGATTCCAAGCTAAATTTTTCCCAATCAGAATCTGGTTTGAATGAACTCCCTGAGAAAGGAATATAGTGTCTTCATGATGTATCAGCAGTACCTAGCATAAAGCATAGCATGTGTTTATATAGTTACTGGCTATATATATACATATATATAGTATATGTGAAGAGTGTATGTGTGTGTACATATATACATATGTGTATATATACATACATACATATATATGTGTATATATGTGTATATCTATATATAAAACACTTGCTTGCCATCCATAGCCTGTTTTTGGATTACCTAATTCTACACAAGATTCAGTTTAACTCAAGAGCTTATTCTAATTGTAAATTTCTTTCTACAGAGGAAAAAATGTGCTCATTCATTCAAATACATACACATATATGCATATGTGCCATGCTTTACTCTAGGTACTGGTGGCTATATATATATATATATATATATATATATACACACACACACACACACGTGTATATGTGTATATACACATATATACACATGTGTATATACACATATATACACATGTGTATATACACATATATACACATGTGTATATACACATATATACACATGTGTATATACACATATATACACATGTGTATATACACATATATACACATGTGTATATACACATATATACACATGTGTATATACACATATATACACATGTGTATATATATATATATATACACATATGTGTGTATATGTATATATGTGTATATATGTGTGTATATGTATATATGTGTATATATGTGTGTATATGTATATATGTGTATATATGTATGTGTATATGTATATATGTGTATATGTGTATATATGTATATACATGTGTGTATATATACACATATGTGTATATGAATGTATATATATGTATATATGTATGTGTGTGTGTGTGTGTGTGTGTATATATAGCCACCAGTACCTAGAATAAAGCATGGCACATATACATATATGTGTATGTATTTGAATGTATTGAATGTATGTATTTGAATGAATGAGCACATTTTTTCCTCTGTAGAAAGAAATTTACAATTGGAATAAGCTCTTGAGTTACACTGAATCTTGTGTAGAAGTAGGTAATCCAAAAACAGGCTATGGATGGCAAGCAAGTGTTTCTTTTGCCATAGATGATGTTGTCAATAGGAGGTTCTAGAAGGATCTGTGATTGTACCTGCACTTGAAGCCTTTCTTCTTTAGCCACAGATATATGTTGGCTATGAAAACAGGACAATTGTCAGCCTCAAATAACTTTGATTCCATGTGGCATGGGTGCCTTGATACTTATTAGATATTATTCTCCCTCAATTAAAGGGATCTTTTTCAAGTTAAGTTTTGCAGAAGTGAGTTAGCAATATTCTCCAAAGATCTATGAGGAGCTAGGTAGAGACAACCGCAGACACCCATGATGGCATGACACTATAAAACCAAGCACCGTATATGAGCACCCAAGTGGCATTTGCACAGCACACTAACCCTTTCACGGTGGGGGGTCGGGGAGGGGCTCAAAATTCCTTTTTCGAGTGAGCCTCCGAATAACCATGGGTCATGCCTTACATCATCCCTCCAACATTCTTCAAGTAGGAGGCACACTGACTAACTAGCTTGTTGGAGTCGTGACTGCTCTCTCCACTATTCAAGTACACAAGGCAGAGCAGCAGAGTTATTTGATTGGGCCGAGGGAATTGGTCTCTTTAGTACACATTTAATGAACCCAATCAACAATATCATTTAGGAGTCTCTGGAGGTAGACAAATAGTTGAGTAGATGATTCTTTGCTTTTCCCTTAGCAATCAAAATTGCCATCCTTCAATGATTCCTGGCAGTAGGATGAGTGAATATCGATATTATTGTTTCTACAATGTCACTATATTATTAATAAACTCTTCCTGTGCACTGGTCCTGGGCCAGGCATAAAGTCTATGAGTTGTTCTGATAGAAACACAAATTGGGGGTGAATGGGAGAGATGGGCATTTGCTTAGAAAGTGTGATTGTCCAGGGTTGAATCAGTAAATACTAGAGTAATTGATTAGGCTTCAGAAGACAAGAGTTATTGCAACAGTAACTGTGGGAATAATCTCTCTCACCTCATGTTGTCTTCATTTTTCTCTTCTGTCAAAAAGGAATAATTCCTATAGTTGCCTCCTACTTGATTGTTCTACTTTAAGTTTCACTGTTCCAGCTCTAAGCTCAATCCAC
Source organism: Homo sapiens (assembly GCF_000001405.40). Classification (NCBI taxonomy): domain Eukaryota; kingdom Metazoa; phylum Chordata; class Mammalia; order Primates; family Hominidae; genus Homo; species Homo sapiens. The sequence continues at coordinate 123,957,508 of NC_000002.12, forward strand.
TTTCTGTGACTTCTATAAGACAAACAACAACAACAACAAATGGCAAATGATTTCAAACATATGATTATTAGAAATAATACCAGGCAGCTATAACACAGATTTTTATTTTGTCATATATAATTCAGATTTTTATTTTAAAGAAGTATGCAGTTGAAGTCCTCTCCCATACTCTCTCAATTGCAATTTTCCTCTCATCTTTTCCATAGCTTGCTTCTGAAGTTAGCATGCATCATTTCCATGTATGTTTAAAAATTGTACTCCATGTACAAGTTGGCAAAATCTATATATTATCATTTTGCAGGTTTTAAACTTAGAGAGGTGGTCATTTTCTCCACATGTTCATTTGCATTTTCCTTTCTCTAATATATATTTTTTCTTGACATTTGCATTTTTATCTTTCTAAAATGCTAGTCTTAGTATGTAAATCCATGGATAAAAGTATTCAATGTCTTCTTTCTCAAACATAAAGTTTCTCAAGAGTAGCAAAAAGTCCCTTGAATGGCCCCTTCCTTCTTGTCCATAGTTCACCCCTTGCTCGAAACCTGGGAGAAATAGTGAATTTGCCATGGTGTCTGAGACTTATCTTCTTTTTTCCAGACCCCTCCTCTTCTTTCTCTTTTATTAGCTGCCTAACGCCCTTTGCCCTTCAAACACCCTTAGCAAGCTCGTCTCTACCATTCTCCTTGACTTGCTCTGAGTCATGGAATCCTCCTTACTTTTGTCCACGCCCATGACTCACTGAACAATAATCATCAGATTTTGCCAACAAACTGTAAGCTTTATAAGGACAGATATCATGTGAATTATATCTGCATCTTTGACACTGGGACAAAGAAAGTTCTGAAAAATATTTTGTAACTGGATAAATGGTCTTCCTTGCTCAACATATATGATTAAGCCAAAGAATAAAGGAAGCAATGAAAATGGGATTGCTTTAAAGGGCACAGAGTTCAATACAAACACAAGGTTATGCTAATATTGCCGGTGGCCAAAATAATAATAATATTGTTGAAATAGTGTGTCTTTACTGAATTGTTTGGAAATTACTCCATACCTTTTTACCTTCTGCAACTCATAGTATTATATAAATATCCCCAAGATGAGTAGCATGTCTGCAGGGATGCTTCATAGCTGCTCTACAATACCACTCATGAACTCTCTAACTGTGAGGGTAATCCTGGGTATAGCTGGCACTATTGTCTTGTATTTTAAACTGAAACAGTACCTGATATCATGCAATTCTGATTATATACAAATATATGCAATGATGATCAATTATTATGTCTTCCTTCCGATTGGTTATAAATCCTGTGGTATTCTTATGCTATTTGCATTAACTACAAAAGAAACCCAAAATCTACAAAATCACATTACCATATGACTGATAAATTACAGTGTGATATTAACTATTTATTAAATATATACAATATAATAAAAATAAATATATACAATGAAAACTGATGTTGCAATGTGTGTATACAAAGGGAAAATATGAAATTAAGCTCATTAATATACCCATCACCTCAAATACTTTACAATTTTTGTGATGAGAACATTATAAGTTTATTCTTAGTAATATTGAAAGGTACAGAACTCAATTATTAGCTATATGCATTCAGTATGTTGTGCAAATATTCTAAAAAGAAAAATCAAACTTATTCCTCCTGTATAACTGAGGCTTTGTAACCTTTAATTATCATCTCCCCATTCTTTCTAACTGCAGCCTCTGGTAACCACCACTCTAGTCTCTGCTTCTATGAATTCAATTGTTTTCGATTCCACATATAAGTGAAAACATGCAGTGTTTGTCTTTCTGTGTTTGTCTTATTTCACTTAACATAAAATTCTCCAGTTTCATCCATGTTGTTGCAAATGACAGAATTTCTTCCTTTCTTAAGGCCAAATAATATTCTATTGTATATGTATATAATATTTTCTTTACTTATTCATTGCTGATGCACACCTACGTTCATTCCATAACTTGGCTATTGTGACTACTGCTGCAATAAACATGGGAGTGCAAATATTTCTTTGACATAGTGGTTTCAAATCCTTCAGGTACAAACTCAGATATGGGATTGCTGGATCATAATGATAGTTCTGTTTTTAGTTTTTAGAGGAACCTTCCTACTGTCTTCCAAAATGGCTATGCTAATTTCCATTAGCACCAACAGGGTACATGGGTTCCCTTTTCTCCACATCCTCACCAACACTTGTTATCTTTTGACTTTTTAATATTAGCCATTCTAGCAGCTATAAGGTTATCACCTTGTGTTTTAATTTACATCTTTCTAATTATTAGAAATGTTGAGCATTTTTTTTATATATCTCTTAGCCACTTGTATGTCTTCTTTTAAGAAATGCCTATTCAAGTCCCTTCCTTCTTAATCGAATTATTTTCTCTCTGTAGAGTTGTATTAGTTCTTTATATATTTTGGATACTAATCCTTCATCATATGTGTGACTTGCAAAGCTTTTTCCTCCATCTGTAGGTTGTATTTTTACTCTTAATTGTTTTCTTTGATGTGAAGAAGCTTTTTATTTTGATGTGTTCCCATTGTTTATGTTTGTTTCTGTTGTCTGTGGTTTTAAGGTCAAATATAAGATATAATTGCCCAGACCAATGTTGTGTGGGTTTTTTCTGATATTTCCTTTATCAGTTTTATAGTTTCACGTCTTATGTTTAAGTCTTTAATTCATTTTGAGTTGATTTTTGCATATGGTGAGAGATAAAGATTCAGTATTACTTTTTTTGCATGTAGATACTCAGTTTTCCCAACATTATGTATTTAAGAGACTGAATTATGAGAGAACTAATTTTACAGCTTGCCTATGTTTGAATCATTGCAGTTTTTAATCAGTCCCTCTGCCAGCCATCTCCCTCCCTCCTGAAAGACACACCTTATTTTTCCCAATGGTTATGCTTCATTCCATATGTGATTTAATTTCATTTCTTTAATGATTATGACTTTGAAATATGTGTGTTCTGTTTATTGTGACACTTCTGCACAGATTACTTCCTCCTTTAAATTGCTCCTTTTTCTTTTGCTTGTATCCCTCTCCAAGTTTTGATCTATTTAATAAAAAATGTTGTGCCAGTGGTGAAGCTCTCATCTCTCAGCTTCAAACCTGCACTTCTATTCTCTGTTGCATGATGTTGCAGCTGAGACTCAAGACTACAATTCTCTTTTGCCAGTGGCTTCCTGTTTGGCTCTGATAATAAAGGATATGGGGACAGCCTGCTTCCGAATGTTCCTGAGAAAATCACACCATCCTTGCCTCTTCACTTTGGGGCCTGTATTTCATAACATAAATAGTGGTTCAATTCAATTTGCAGTTTTTCCAACATTTGTGGAACTAATGTAATTGTACCCCCTCAGAGACCACTCCCCGTCATCTCAGGTCTTATGTATATGGGACTTTTTGAAGACATCAGCCCCAACCTAGCCCATTTTTAGACAGCTGAGCTTCAGTGGTGCAGTACCCTTACTCCAGGCTTCTAAAGTTAAATAATCCCAGCTTCTCCACTTTGTTTAGTCAGACTATCCCCTATCTAGACCTTGCTTGATAGAGAAATTGGTAATAGCAGTAGTCCTAGAGAATAGTTCCTCAAAGATGAGATTCAAGAATTGGTTTAACATTGAGTTAGGCAAACTATTTCTGTAAAAAGCATGCCATAAAGTTACTATCCTCATTACTACTGACTACTCATGAGAAAAGAAATAGCCACTATGCAAACAACTGGAGTGGTCAGGTTTGGCCCAAAGCCTATCTTTAGTGAAACCTGGTTAATAGAAAGAGATCCAGACTGAAATCTGGAGTCAGCCACTCCAGGCCTGGCTCTACTGTAAACAAGGTAGCTTCTCTGTCTATGGGGACATCACATACCGGCACTCTTCAAATTCCTCTTCTCAAAAACAGGCATATGAATTCAGAAAAGTCTCAGGTTACAAAATCAACATACAAAAATCAGTCTCACTTCTATACAACAACATTGACCAAGCTGAGAATAAAATCAAAACTTTATTCCTTTCACAACAGCTGCAAAAAAAGAAAATATCTAAAAATATACTTAACCAAGGGTAAAGAAACTTTGAAGAGAAGTAAAAAACACTGTGAAATAAATCAGAGACAACACAAATACATGAAAACATATCCCATGTTTATGGGTTGGAAGAATCAGTATCATGAAAATGACCATATTGCCCAAAGCAATCTGTAGATTCAATGAAATTCTTATTGAAATATCAATGGCTCTACTGTAAACAAGGAAGCTTCTCTGTGGGGGACATCACATACCAGCACTCTTCAAATTCCTCCTCTCAAAAACAGATACATGAATTCAGTAAAGTCTCAGGTTACAAAATCAACATACAAAAATCAGTATCACTTCTATACACCAACATTGACCAAGCTGAGAATAAAATCAAAACTTTATTCCTTTCACAACAGCTGCAAAAAAAGAAAATATCTAAAAATATGCTTAACCAAGGGTAAAGAAACCTTACAAAGAGAAGTAAAAAATGCTGCAAAATAAATCAGAGACAACACAAATACATGAAAATATATCCCATGTTTATGGGTTGGAAGAATCGGTATCATGAAAATGACCATATTGCCCAAAACAATCTGTAGATTCAATGCAATTCTTATTGAAATATCAATGCCATTTTTCAAAGAATTAGAAAACAATTCTACAATTCATATGAAAACAAAAAAGAGCCCAAATAAAGCAACACTTAATAAAACAAATCTAGAGGCATCACATTACCCAACTTCAAAGTATAATACAAGACTATTGTAACCAAAACAGCATGGTACTTGTATAAAAGTAGATACGTGGACCAATGGAACAGAATAGAGAACCCAGAAATAAAGCCAAATACTTAAAACCAACTGATTTTTGACAAAACATACAAAAACTTAAATTGAGGAAAGGACATCATATTCAATAAATGATCCTGGGAAAACTGGATGGCCATATGTAAAAGAATGAAATTGGATCCCTATCTCTTCCTATAAACAAAAAAACAACTCAAGATTGATCAAAGACTTAAATCTAAGACTGGAATCCTTAAGCATTCTGGAAGAAAACTTAGAAAAAACTATCTGGACATTGGCCTATGCAAAGAATTTATGACTAAGACCCCAAAAGCAAACGCAACCAAAACAAAAATAAATAAATGGGACATATTTAAACTAAAAAGCTTCTGCACTGCAAAATAAATAATCATCAGAGTAAACAGACAGCTTACAGAATGGGAAAAAAAGATGTTTGGAAACTATGTATCTGACAAAAGACTTATACCTGCAAGGAACTGCAAGAATCTCCAAGGATCTCAAACAAATCAGCAAAAAAATAAAAAATTAAAAAATAATCCCATTAGAAACTGGACAAATTACATGACAAGAAAGCACTCCAAAGAAGATATCCAAATGGCCAGCGAACAAGAAAAGATGTTCAACATTACTAATCATCCAGGAAATGCAAATTAAAGCCCCAATGAGATATCACCTTACTCCAGCCAGAATGGGCATTATTAAAAAGTCAAAAACAATAGATCTGGCATGGATGTGGTCAAAAGAGAATGCTTATACACAGATGTTGGGAGGGTAAATTAGTACAGCCTTTATGAAAAACGGTATGAAGATTTCTCAACCAAAAGTATCTCTACTATTTGATCTAATAATCCCACTACTGGCTATCTACCCAAAGGAAAATAAGTCATTATATCAAAAGATATGTACAGGTATGTTTACCACAGCACTATTCACAACTGCAAAGATGTGAAACAAACTTAAATACTCATCAACCAATGAATGGATAAAAAATGTGCTATGTTAATCAAAACAGTGTGATGCTGGCAAAAACATAGACATATAGAGCAATGGATAAAACTGAGAACCTAGAAATAAACTTTTACAACATATTTTGACAAAATTGCCAGGAATATTCATTGAGGAAAATAATATTATTCTCAACAAATGGTCCTGAAACAACTGAGTAGCTACATACAAATGAGTGAAATTGGACTTTTACTTTACATTATATAAAAATTAGCTCAAATGGACTAAAGAACAAAATATTAGAGCTAAAGCTATACAACTATTTGAAAAAATTATGAGGGTTAATCAACATAACCTTCATTGGGCAATGAATCCTTAGATATGAATACAAAAGCAGAAGAAACAAAAAAAAATAAATTGAACATCATCAAATTATAAACTTTGTGTTGTAAAGGATATTATCAAGGAAGATAAATCACAACACAGAATTTTTAAAAATTGCAAAATTACATATTTGATTTAAAAATCTAGAATATGTGGAAAACTCATACAACTTGTTGATCAAAAGATAATTCAACTTAAAAACATGAAAAAGATCTAAATAAGTATTTCTCCCAAGAAGAAACAAATGGCAGATAAATACAGGAAAATATGTTTGACATTATTAGTCATCAGGGAAGTACAAATAAAACCCACCAAGGAATACCACTTCACACTCACTAATGTGGCTGGAATCAATAGGTCAGATAATTATCACTCTTGGCAAGGATGTGGACAAAGCAAAACTCTTATTGCTGGTGGAAACATGAAATGGTGCAGCCATTTTTGCAAGCTGTTGGCAATGCCTCAAAAAATTAAGTATCGTTTCTATATGAGCTAGCAATTCCACTCCCAGAGAACTCTCCTCCCAAGAAAAGTAAAAACATATGTCCACACAAAAACTTTTACACAAATTGTAACGCATTATGAGTGATTGCCACAAGTTGGAAACAATCCAAATGTCCACTAAGGAATAGATTTTAAAAACATGATATGTTCATGCAATGGAATATTATTCGGCTATAAAATGATGAAGTACTGATCCATGTGACGATTGGATACACCTTGAAAATGTTATGCTACATGAAAGAAGCCAGACACAAAAAGTCACCTATTATATCATTCCATTATGTGAAATGTCCAGAATAGACCACTGTAGAGCTAAGGAAAGTACATTGGTGGTTGTTGAGTGGTAATATGGGGTGGGGTAAATGGAGTGTAGCAAAAGGGTACATTTTGAGGTGATGGAAAGTGTTTTAAATTTGACTGTGGTGATGTTTGCACATCTCTGTAAATATGCTGAATAATCATTGGATTATATACTTTAAATAGGTGAATTGTATGACATGTGAAATACATCGCAATAATGCTATTTAAAAAACAGCTGTGTGGGGATCTAGTCAGGGACCTGAGTGAATGGAGTTGTCTTAAATCACTGCACATTCGATTAGCTGATGTGGCTAGTGCACACTTTGAATTCAAGTGACTTTTTAAGTTCATAAGAATCAAAGAGGGAAGGGGTTTATAGTATCTGGGAGGTGTCGATTTGATCCACTAAAGCGGTATTTGACCTGGGTGGTGACTGATAGAGACAGAGCTTGGGCAAAGGAATGGCTCCTTTTTAACTTGCAACACTTCAAATAGCTAATAGTATGGGCTTCTTGGGTTCTGTTGCATGAAATAAAGGATGTTGGTCCATTTAACCGGGCTGCAGCCATCTGCAGGCTCAGGCACTCTTGGCTGAGGCCTGGCCAGAGGCTTTGTGACCTGCTGGAGGGCACACTGGTTGATGTTCCCATCTTTTCCTTATATTGAGAAAACTGCCAGTGCCTTTGCCCTCACACCAGCTGAACTTTATCTGTAGTTACCACCCGTCATGTTTTAATAGACTGCAGTATTTGTGAGATCTTGTGAACTGAGTTTTATTTCTCCCCAAGCATTAAATAAGCAAGACTGTCTTCTTTGCTTCCCTTTCTTATTTTTGTCTCCACTGCCCTGGACATTTCCATTAACTCTGACTTATAAGACATCAACTGCTTTCCTCCAGGCTTAAATTTTCCTATAACCTAGGAATATTTGGGCAGTGGTTCCATTCTGGAAACCTAATGGGTGCATAAAATGCACTCTGAGTTCCTTTAACCAATTTCTGAGATATAAAGCAATCTAGGAGTAGGGGTCGATAGGCCGAAGGACAGGGACTTGGCCTTAGTGATGGCCTCTGAAGTGCTCAGGAGAATTACTGGCTCATGCTAGGCTCTTAATGAATCATGAATATGGTCACCAGCAGAACTGAGATAGTATCTAATACTTGACAAGAAAGGAAGGGGGATGTTCAGAGGCAAGCAGAGCAAATGTTAGCAGGATGCTGGAGCCCCACATCACAGCTGCACCATTTCATCTCTAGGTAAATGACTGTGGAACCAACACTTGGATGTAATTACCAAACAATTTCCATGCTAAACCACTCACTGTCTTTACTTTTTCTAAAACATTGGACTTACCTGTAGCTGCAGGGATCCATATATGAGACATTCTACTTTGTGTTATATCTTAACGTGAATTTCTCTTCCTGTTGTGGAGTCTTGGATTGTATAGCTATGGTCATTTAAAAAAATCAATCCATCAATGCATAAGAATGCTGACTTTTTTTTAACCAAAATTGCTTTTATACATTCTCATTTTCAGACAACAAAGTTGTAGCACATATAGGTTCTTTAACTTGCCCAACACTACACAGTCCTCTGTGGCAGGACCACAATCACAACTTAGGCATCATACTCCACAGTGTATCCTTCTACTCACCTTGCCATTGGTGTCAATCAGGGTGAATAAGTTATGCTGCAGTAACAATTAGGCTCAAAATCTCAGTGGATTAAAGCAAAAAGTCTTTCTTGCTCATATTATATGTGAATTTTAGGGCACGCAGGGGCCTGCTCCACAGTTGCCTCACCCAAGGCCTCTACTATCTTTAACTAAATGAGAAAGGGATGTGGGAAATTGAACACTGGTTTAATGCTACCCAGATGTGCCAAATATCATGTCAGCTCACGTTTCAGTAACCCAAGCAGGTCACATGGTCATGCCTACCTTCAAGGCAGTGGCAAATATAATTCACCGTGTCTCTGGATGAGACTAACTGGAATAATGGTGAAGAACCCTACTGACTTCAACACTAGGCTTAAAACATACACATATGCATATACAAAAATATTTGCATGCATCCATAAGCACACAAACAAACCCATTCCAAAGCCCTGTGTATATTGTGCCAGCACAGAGAAGCAAGCTGAAAAGTGATGTTTCCATTCTTCCTTCCTTTCTTCCTTCCTTCCTTCCTTCCTTCCTAACAAATTGATCTTTACTGAGAAACAATTTTATGATAATGACTCTAAGGACTACATGGTAAATTACTGATACAACATGCTTTTTTTTCCCAAACATCAATTTGGACATGTAGCAGTAAAATCCCAATAGTAAGATGTAGAGTTAACTCTAACATCAAATTTTGATAGTCAAATTAGACTGTGGCCTGTCAGCCAAATCCTACTAAGGAACATTATAAATGTATTCTTCCATTTGATCTACAGATATTCAAATATACTAAAATAACTGGATACCTTTGTCCAATTTTCATCCAAATAGAATGGTTAGAATGATCTTCCTCTAAGTCATTTAGAAAGCAACATAATTATATGTAAAGTCCATGATATATCATCTTCATGTAAACCAGGTGTCAATTGCTTGATGATTCCAAGTTTTCACGCTGTCCTTTAACTTTTTTTAAATTTTTTTTTAATTTTTTTTTTGGCCAGGGGGGACAGAGTTTCACTCTCTCACACAGGCTGGAGTGCAATGGCATAATCTCGGTGTACTGCAACCTCCACCTCCAGGGTTCAAATGATTCTCATGCCTCTGCCTCCCAAGTAGCTGGGATTACAGGTGCACGCCACCACACCTGGCTAATTTTTGTATTTTTAGTAGAGAAGGGGTTTCACCATGTTGCCCAGGCTGGTTGTGGGAGTCCACCCTCCTCAGACTCCCAAAGTGCTGGGATGACAGGTGTGAGCCACCGCACCTAGCCCCTTTAACATTTTTAGAGTGTCACCTTAGGTTCTGTGAAAAATCCAGCACACCACTGAATATTTCACGGGATTTGCAGAGAAGAGATAAATTCTTACATTCCTCCAGGGAACTTCTTTTTCCAAATTTCTACTTTAGATTTTTTTTTTCTTTCTTTTGTTTCATTTTATGCATGAGAGGTCTGTAAGCCCTAAGATAGTAACTGACTCGTTTTCCACAATCCATCTCAAACTCTGCCCTTCAACACTCAGGAGAGTTCTAGACTTTTATTGAAAATTTATGTTAAAAATAAGGATTGAGGATAATCTGGGGCACATCAAAAAACAGCATTATTTTGTATTTGTTGGATTATTTTTGTTTTCATTTTTATTTTTGGCACTGGAGAGCAGAGCTCTATCAGGAAACAGAATGCATAGCTAAATCGTGGACCTCAGTGTTCTTGAGAACTTTTTGGCCATTCTAATTTCTGCGAATTCCTGTGTACTAGCCATCCTTACATGCACAGCACTGATTGACACCTAATGTCATTGGATTTCTTCTTCCTTTTTTTCCTCTCCATCTAGCTATTATCTTTAAGTCACCCCTGTCCCTTCCCAAACCCTGTCTGTGACATAAAGAAATCAAGCCCCATTTCAGTTTCAGTGTCTCCACCTGGACCGTGTGCTAAACAACCCTGACTTCCGGAAGTTCATTACATGGCTTCTCAGGGCATTTTCCTAAACAAGATCCCAAATACTTTGTAAAGGAATTAGCTCTTGCCTAGCAGATAGAAGGGGATACAGTCAACTTTGACTTTATATAGGTTTTAAATAGTTGAATGGTGATTGAAGATAATGAAACTAAGACTTAGAGCAAAGTTTTCAAAATTTTTTGAGAAACTCTGAAACATAAAGGAATATATCATATGCATAGAAACGAAACAAAATTTAACTTTTGCAATACATAATGAACTCTGATTTTTTTTTTTTTTTTTTTTGACAGAGTCTCACTCTGTCATCCAGGCTGGAGTGCAGTGGCACGATCTCGGCTCACTGCAACCTCCACCTCCCTGGTTCAAGCAATTCTCTTGCCTTAGCCTCCCGAGTAGCTGGGACTACAGGCACCTGCCATCACACCCGGCTAATTGTTTGTACTTTTTTTTTTAGTAGAGAAGGGGGGATGGTCTAGATCTCCTGACCTCACAATCCGCCTGCCTCAGCCTCCCAAAGTGCTGGGATTACAGGCATGAGCCACCGCGCCCGGCCGATATTTCTATTATATTTCAGTTTTCATATATTTCTGTGAACATTAAATTGATTCTACAACCACTAATGAGTTATGATCTGCAGTTTGGGAAACACTGGCTTTAGGAGGCTCAGTAAATTCTCTGAAATTCTAAAGCTACACTGTGTTGAACACAGAATTCCATACCTAGTTTGTCCAAATTTAAAGCTTATCCAATAACTATTAATAACATTAAAAAAAGTGTCTTCTCCGGAGGATGAACAATGTATTCATGAATCTGTAGGAGTTCTCAGGAAAGCAGTTCACAGAGAATTAAAGAGCTTTCACCATTTACCCAGAATTGTTCATGCTGGCCTGGGAGGTGACTGGATTCTCGCTGAAACGGGAATGCACAGTCAGACAGCTGGCTTTGAAGATGTTTTGCACAACTGCTGTTTTAAAGCATTTTTATGAAGCTTAACACTGTCATTAGAACTGTGATCCTTGCACCGTGGTGATACTGTAGCTCATTAGGGCCACGCAAGTTTTAATAAAAAGGGAAAGAACTACATGGTTTGCTTAATGTGGCAAGTGTAATGCTATATCAAGTACACTGAGCATTTTTTTTCTTTTTCTCCATTAGAATTATATCAATCTTGAATCAAGTTCACACACACATACACACAATTACTTCACAGTCCCTGAAATATTAGATATAGAGATATTTTATCCTAAATCTCCAAAAGCCAAATGGAAAAGTTGTGCCAAAAAATTTAAAATTGGTAAAAGAAGTAAGGCAGAAGGAGAATAAGGTGAAAGTATCTAGAAGGAAAATAACAAATAGAAAAATAGAAATAGCTTCGGTGTCTTGCCCACACTAAGAGTGCTTCCGGAGCCTGGCTCCCACACTGATGGAGGAAGCACTCGCTTATGGAGATGAATTAGGAGAAGGACTCCAGCTTCATCCAGACATCTCTCAGTGCACTGTCACTGTAATATGAAGAGCCACCTTCAGTGGCTTCCTCTCTTAGGTTGGACATTGCCTGACTGAGAGATAGGATGGTGCTGAAGTCACAACAAATGGTCTCCATTGTATCAGTTGACTCGAGGCAGCATGAGTACCAATTGGCAAGAATGGGGTAGCAGATGGTATAAGTGAGAGGATATGAAGTAAATCATATATATTCCATAATGGTTCTAATGTCAAAAGTAACCTTTTCTGTTTCCTTTTTTTCTCTTCACAATAAAACAAGAGAAACAGGCCATCTCACATGACTCCTCAAATAATGTTTGAATTTATTCTTCCACATTATTCCCAAACAAGTACTAAACTGTATGTGATGAACAACCCACAGTGTTTAAAAAATCAATCTCTTGTGGACTGATACTTTTATGAAATAAAAAAAGCCTAGATATTTTGTTCATGTCAACTTTTATAAATTTTCTAAATTATTTTCTTATGTTCTCTACTTATCTTAGACTGACAATAAAAAGGCAGAGCACTGGCATAACTTATGTTTGAATACCCTAGTGTTACTATAAAGAGTAACTACCTTGGGAAAATTGATTGAATTTTCTAAGCATTTTCTGACAGTGGAAACAGTGAGTCAGTTGTTCCGCTGGGTGATGGAGATACAAAGGTGATAGGATAGTTACTCTGGGATCTATGTGTGGAGAGGCTCTCAGCCCAGCTCAGAAATCTGAAGTCTTCCAGAAGACAGAGTCCAAAGCAGAGCCTCGAAAGGATAATTTGAACAAGTACTCAGAGAACTATGAGTAGTTTGGCATACAGAAGCTTCAAGTGTTCTTGCTCTCTCTCCCTTTTCTATCTGATACAGATCTATGTTGGTCTTTCTCTTGCTTCTCCTCATCAGTTCTAGTTATACTTGTGGAGACTAATATCAGTTAGGAACTCTGTTGTCATCAACGGACAGAAGGAAAGAAAGGAAGAAGGAAAATAAGAAAGGAGGGAAGGAAGGAAGAGAGGGAAGGAGGGAGGAAGAGAGGAAGGGAAACAGGAAAGGAAGAAGGAAGGGAAGGAAGGGGAATAGGGAAAGAAAGAAAAAGAAGGGAAAGGAAGGGAAAAAAGGAAGATAGAAAGGAAGGGGAAAGAGAAGGAAAGAGGGAGGGAGGAAGAAAGGGAAGGAAAGAATCTTAAGTTATCTTGGAAAAAAGAAAGGTAAAGAGAATTGTTTCAAATCTCAAAGAAAGGTCAATGGTTTCCATTCCCAGAGTCTCCAGCCAGCTTCTCTGGAAGCTGGGTTGGTGTCACTGGGTAGGTTCTTCTATTCAAATCCCTGAGGCAGAGCACTGTGAGCTGTCCATGCAACCAGAGCCTCTCAAATTCTACTCCTGCAGCCATGTCTCCAGGGACTTCCCCCTAAATCACATGGCTGCTAATTAGGAAGAGTAAAAATTTGAACACATCAGGGTACATTCTGCAAAAAAGAATACATTCAGGGGTGGGAGGCAGGTGGAGAACAGGTCTGTGGATGTCAGTTGGCCTCACACAATATGCTAGCCGCCTTACACATAGCAAGGTGACAAATATTCAAAGCACGCTTTGAATACTTTTGTGGGATTAAACAAACTCATTTAAAAATATATACCTGGGATACATAATTTCAGGTCCACCCAATATCTCAGTACTGTATTTGGAAAAAAAGTCAGAATATTCCATTAAAAAAAAGAAGAAAAACTGAAAAATGAAAACTCTTCAATGAATTGCCAGTGTCTCTTAGAATCAAGTTAAAAATTATAATATGAACCAAAAGGTCCCACAGGATTCAGTCCTTGCCCGCACATCCAGACCCTCCCATTACACTATCTCCCATGCCTCTAGTTCAAAATGTTATCCAAATGTCAGAGGTTCACTCTAGGTCCCATTGCTCACTGCACAGAAAGCCAATCACTGAGACAATGAGTATTGCCAAGAAAGAAGGCTGTTTATTTTCATGACAGTGGCCAGAGAGATGGGAGACAAGTCTCAAATCTGTCTCTCTCACTGACTAAAATTGAGGGTTTATATAGCAGGGAAGTAATGAGGCTACACAGGAAAACGGGACTTAGGGAGGGGCGAGGAAGCAATCATGAGGAATGAGGGGTGGCATCTCACTGTATGCATGTGGTGACCTGATAAGTTTTAATAAGTTTCAGTTCCTCACCTGAGGGTTCGTTTTCTGAGGAAGGAACTCAAGTAAGACAAACGTTAAGTTTCAAGTTTTAAGACAGGGAGGGTAAATTTCTACATTCGTACAAAACGCCATAAACATGATTTCTATGAGTCAACTGGGCTGGTTTCAAGAACATTCCCACTATGCTGACCTCAACCTCCCTCGTGGCTGAACAAATTCACCTTCTTCCCTGCCCTGGATCTTTGAACATGTATCTTTCTCTGCTTGCACACTCCTTGCTGCATCCCTTGCCCAATCAGCTCCATGCCTTCACTGCACCTAGTTCATATTTGGGGTCTCAGATTCAATGTCAGTTCTATAGATAGTGCCTCCCTATCTTCAGCCTAGGTTAAGTATTCAGAGTAAATATCAACACTGCGTCCCCTTGTTTTACTTCCTTCTTTTTTAAAGCAGTGATGAAGATTATTATAACCTAGTATGGTGATTTCTGACTTCCCTAGCAGAAGAAAAGCTGTATGAGAATAGAAAACATTTCTCTTTTGTCTTCCTGGGCACAGTGCAGTGCTTCTGCCTATTAGGTATTTAATAAATATTTACAAATGAACTTTTGAATTCTTCCACTAATATTAATAATAAGTGAAATTTCCTGGGTACTTACTACATGGTAATTTAGAACCAAATGACCATGAAAAAAGTAAGGCAGGAATAGGTTAGGTGACTTGCCCAAGGTAACACAGCTTAGCAAGGAGCAGAGCTGGGATCTGAATTTGGACAGTAGAACCATGGCATGCCACGTGTTCCTACCGTGCTCTGCTAACTCTCAGTAATTAACTGCAATGGAAACGTAACGCCATCTAAAAACTAGTGCTATTGATCTTTGCCTTCCACCTTGGACTTAAGTCTCTTTGACTCCCACGTTGTTCCAATTAACTTAAATTTTCCAGAGCCTTTACTGAGAGGGGAAGGGCTGCAGGCGGTTGGATAAGACAATTGGAAACTTATGTCTTGGAGTGCCTTGGACAATGAATTCACCTATACATACAGCAGTCTGTAATTATCTGGGATCCCAGAGCTTTGAATCTAGGATGACATCTATGAGAAAGCCAGCTCTGTGACACTCCATTTTGGGGAGAAGGGAAGCCAAGGTTGTGCCATTTCTAGCTCTGACAGTATGGAAACCTAAAGATATGATGGGCCTTTCATCTCTCAATACCACCTGATATTATCATGACTAGATTTTAGGTTGAGAACAAAATGCCCACTTGATCTCATTGGAAAAAAATGGTTCACAAGTAGTTCTGGTAGCCCCTAATGCCACAGATCAGGTGCTAAAGCTGGACTTTTTAAATCAATAAATCATTATGGAAACTAGAGAGAGACCCATGGCTGTGACAGAGGTAGCAGAGTATAAATATATGTGGGGAAGGAATGTTCAAAAATTCTCTCATCTGCAGGAAATATAATTTACCTTAGAAAAAAGAAAGGTTCAGACTGGGCAACATGGCAAAACCCCACTTCTACAAAAAAATAATTTGCTTGGTGTGGTGGTGCGTAGCCATAGTCCCAGCTACTCTGGAGGTGGAGGTGGGAGGATCACTGAGTCTGGGAAGTCAAGGCTGCAGTGAGCCATATCACACCACTGCACTCCAGCTTGGACGACAGAATGAGACTCTGTCTCAAAAGAAAAACAAGAAAAAAGAAAGGTTTTGTTTAGGAAATATCTTGGTAAGCTGACCGGGAAGAAAGGGAGAAGCCTGTAAGTGTGAATGTTGATAGGAACCAAGTAAGAATAGAGAAAGCCCAAGGGCTCTTCTGAGCAACGATGGCAGCCTTGGCTCTGCTCTGTAGCGAGACAGAGGGGCCTGAGAGACAAGGCTGAGCAAGAAGCATCTGTAAGTTGCGGGAGGGGTGGGAATTTGAAGCTGGGGACGTCGTCCATCAGAAGAAGTAAGCAAAAAAAGCCCAAGTGGAAGACTGGCCAAGGAACATTTTAAACCAGAGGATGTTTAACATTCAATTTGGAGAGATTTTGTGTGGCTGTGATGTGACTCCTGCCGCTCCTCCACTCCACCTCATCTCACTTCCAGTGGAATCTACTGCACACATATAAGCTATAGTGAGGGCTTGTTTTTACTTTTGTTTTTTCTTGTATGAAATATGAAAAGAGATATTTGCCTTCCTGGAGTGAGGTGGCGCAGGGAAGAAACAGCCCATACAAGAGAGCAAGATGTAAAGAAATTTAATCCCCAGAAAGTAGGGAGGTTGAGTCTCAGGAGACCACATTAGGTTGCCAACTGGTATTCTAAGAAATCCTGGAGAAGAGTTTAGACTTCTTCAGGACTTGAGATTGGTCCACCTGATCTTATGTAGGTCTCAAATCACTGTGATACACCCAGACTGATCTCTGCCTCTAAAAAAACATATTAATATTAAAAGTGGTTTTATGTTTGTTTACACTTAATTGTCCTATTTGCCTGAAGGTACTAAAGCTATTTTTTTTCACAAAAAGCGTTTTAAGGGCTTGGGAGGGACGCACTGTATCACTGCACTTTGATGTTCATGTGAAATGCTGAACCTTGGTGAAATCAGTAAAACTCTGTTATAAATGAAAGTGTTAACTCAGCCATTCTCTACCAATATGCTGACTACTGGAGAATATTTTTAATTATACACATTTGATTTTCATTCCTGTGTGTTTCTTCTGCTCATAATTTATTAGCTTAAAATACGCCTTAAAATAGAACATCAGTGTGTAAGTAAGACTCAAATTATGTTACTTCTCCATAATAGCTAGTATTTATAGTGTACTTACTATCTTCCTGGCACTATGCTAGTCCCTTTACACACCTTATCTGATTTAAACCTTAAATAGTCCATCCCAGTTTCCAGTTTATGGCTGAGTACTCTGGGGCTCAGTATTTTGAAGCAACTGGCAGAGTGGCAAGGCTGCTCAAAGAGATAAATAAATTTGGATCTAAGTACCTCTGTCTCTAGACACCATTTACTATTCATTAACTACATCTCAAGATAATCTAAAAATAAATTTAAAAATATGAAAACCTAAAAGCACAACTTGGGTAACTGGTCTTGAAAAAAAAAGATAAGGCTTAGTCTCATTCAGTAGCCTAAGAGGATTGGTGGCTGGGAGGTCCTCCAGATATCCAAGAGGCTAAAGTTTTTTTTTACCAACACAACTTAAAGCTAAATACACTGAGAAAGAAAAGCAACTTGAATTTTTTTCTTTTTGGGGAAAACTAGGAAGTTGGAAAATACCTCTAATTCAAGTTATTTTTTAATTACATCTACCTTCCATCTTTGTGGCAAACTTGGATAAACTTTACCATAGGCTGTTTTCATTTCTGAATACATTATGTTCTATTGTAGTAGCATGGGACTTTAAATACCATATTTTTTAGAAGGAAAAAGAATGGAAGAAAGAAAAGGAAGGAACGAATGAAGGAAGGAAGAATCAGAAAGATAATATTAAAGACAAAACACCCTTTTAATATTAATATTAAACAGTGGAATTAGCAAAGAAAGTGTTAGGCTGCCATCATGTATTCATTATAAAAAATACAAATTTCGGGCTAGGCATGGTGGCTCACGCCTATAATCCCAGAAGTTTGGGAGGCCGAGGCAGGTGAATCAAGACCATCCTGGCTAACACAGTGAAACCCCGTCTCTACTAAAAATACAAAAACAAAATTAGCTGGGTGTGGTGGTGGGTGCCTGTAGTCCCAGCTACTCGGGAGGCTGAGACGTGAACTCGGGAGGTGGAGCTTGCAGTGAGCTGAGACTGCGCCACTGCACTCCAGCCTGGGTAACAGAGCAAGACTCCATCTCAAAAAAATATATAAATTTTGGAAAATATCCAAATTATTAGGACATATTTTTGTTCAAAACTCAAATTTGGGAAACTTCTATTTGCTTTTCTAGCATAAATGCTGAGCACGTTTGTTTATTTATGTGTGTATATACACATACATATATATAAATTTAAGTAAACTAACAATATATAACATCGTGTAGTATACTACAGGAGACATATAGTGGCTATAAGGTTGGAAGGGCATACACTATGCATTACTTAACCATATGATGCAAACTGGCCTGAGGGTTTCCATTCCTGGCCTGTGGATTTGCAAGAGACAAGACCACGTCAGCAGACACAACCTTTATAAACCGTAAAACAATGCTTACCCTTATAAGAATGGCTTAAATTTCCTTTATTAAAAAAATAGCTGGTAACTAACATGGACTGAATAGAGGTATATAGAGGTATATTCTATATAGTCCATGTTGGAGGAATATTCTTCAAACTTGGAGAACAGTTTCTGGACAGAGATCCTCCTGGTCAGTCGATCATCAGATCCCTGTCTGTACCTGGCCCATGCTCTCCACCTTATAAGAACACTATGAAAATAAATTGCTGGAACATCATGTGGCGTCTAAGACACATCTTCGATGCTAATTGGAC
The DNA here is from genome assembly GCF_000001405.40 of Homo sapiens. NCBI lineage: Eukaryota > Metazoa > Chordata > Mammalia > Primates > Hominidae > Homo > Homo sapiens. The sequence goes on from NC_000002.12 coordinate 123,976,228, forward strand.
TGAAGGGGAGAAATTGCCCCTAGGGAGGCTGATTAACCAGGGCCATCAGAAAACTTCAAAAGCATCACCATAATTGAATAAAATGCATTTGCAGAATAATTTAGTTAGCATACCTCTTTTCAAAATTATACAAAGAACTGAAATGAATCATTTAAACTACAGCCATCTGACCTTTATTTCCAAATCATTGTTTTTCAGAATTGGCAAAGACATTAGGAAGCATTTAGATAACTTCACCCTAGAGGCAGCAGAGATTGTTTCTATGGCATCTGACCAGGCCACCTTCTCTCAGCCTGAAGAGTCTAGAGGCAGAGTGCTTTATGCATGGAAGCAGACCAGAGCATTATTAGATAGTTCCAATTATTAGAAAGAATATACTTATTACATACTGTCTGTCTCCCTAAAATTCCCATCCGTGAATTTTTGTCCTGGAGAAACAAAGGGAGGTCTACCCTCTTTTTATTTTTTTTCTCTCACATGACAAAACTCCTTAAGCCTTTTTTTTCTTCTTTTGTTAAAAATATCTTCAGCAATATCCCTTCTGTATTTTCTGGGATAACTTCTGAATACCTGAAATTGTGTGTATTATTCAGGGTGCTCTAGAGGGACAGAAATAATAGGATGACTGTATATATGAAGGGGAGTTTATTAAGGAGAATTGACTCACACAATCACAAGGTGAAGTCCCACAATAGGCCATCTGCAAGCTGAGGAGCAAGAAAGACAGTCCAAGTCCCCAAACCTCAGAAGCAGGGAAACTGACAGTGCAGTCCTCAGTCTGTGGCCAAATGCCTGAGAGCCCCCTGGAAAACCATTAGTGTAAGTCCAAGACTCCAAAAGCTGAAAAACTTGGAGTCTGATGTTCGAGGGCAGGAAGCCTCCAGCACGGGAGAAAGATGAAGCCTGGAAGACTCAGCAAGTCCGCTCTTTCCACTTTCTTCTGCCTCCTTTATTCTAGCCATGCTGGCAGCTGCTTCGATGGTGCCCAGGCAGATTGAGGGTGGGTCTGCCTCTCCCAGTCCAATGACTCAAATGTTAATCTCCTTTGGCAACACCCTCACAGACACACCCGGGAACAATACTTTGCATCCTTCAATCCAATTGGGTTGACACTCAATATTAACCATCACACTGTGTGATAATATCATTATTATACTAAGATTTGTAAATGTATGAGAGGTGTGAAAGCAAGAACCTGTATTTGAAATAGACTTAAGGGGGCAGAATTAGGAGGTCCTTCTGCATCTCTGGCTTTTCTCTGCAGCTGGTTAATAATAAAATACTGACCTCTAATTTCCCTAATGATCTTTAACTCTGTCTCATTTTAAAACACCCCTACTGCTTTCTTAATCTATTAGTAAAATGTAAGTTTATAGAAGAATTTTCAAATGTTGATGAGAAAAAATGGGGGATAAAAAGTATTGCACAAGTAAAGAAAGAACATGTAGATATTTCAGCATATAGCTTTTTAGCTCTATATGTATATATTTTATGTTTTGTTTTTAAAAACTGGGTCATATGAAACATATTTCCAAACCTCTTTTGAAAAGCTGTACATATTTTACCTATGACACCTCTTCTGCCCTATCCTGCTTTCCCATTATTGAGATTATTTATTTGGGTTTCAACATTCAAGTGGGCCAATGTGTAAGTTGTGGTGAGGAAAGATAATATTTTGAAGGGTTTGGTAAATGGATTTTGATCACCTTGTCTTCTTGACTCACAGTATGTTTTTATAATCTTTTAACATATTCTCTCTCTCTTTCTCTCTCCTTTGCATTTTCGTATCAAATGGTTCAGTCATTGAAGTCATCTTCTTTCATGGTCTGTTGTATTCACTTGATTAAAAAGTTGTTCTTTAAAGGGAACTTTAAAAGCTCTTAAAACTTTGGTAAAAGTTCACTTGAAAAGTTACCTAAGAACTTTAGGTGGTTGTTCTTTTAACTCTGGCTCAAATCTCACCCTCTCAAAACAGGTTGCAATTTTTCTTACTATTTCCTAGTTGCAAAAACAAACTTTGCAATCAATTTCTTATTTTACTAATGGCTTATTCTCAGTTGAGCAGGTGTTTCCCTAAGGATTGATCTTTCTGAAGTAAAGGAGGCTGGGGCTGATTGAGGAGAGAATAAACAAAATAAGTGAGCAAATTTTACAACATGTTAGAAGACACAAGTGCTAAGGTGAGAAATAGCAAAAATATCAAAAAAGAAGGCATGCTGGAGATGAAATCATTTGAAAATTTATATAGGACGGTCAGGGAAAGTCTCTTTAAGAAGGTGATCTCTGAGCAAAGATTTGAAAGTTGAGAAAAAAGTAGCTTTGTGAATATCTCCAGAAAGAACATTCTAGGCAGAGGAAAACACAGGTGCAAAGACCCTGAGGCACTGAGATATTTGGCCCACCTGCCCAGGAGCACCAGGGAGGTGAATGTAACTGCAATGGGATGAGCCAGAGAGAGAGATAGCAGAATACGTTTTTGGAGTACCAGGGCACCAGCTATATAGGAACAGGTAGGCCATCATAAGGAATTTTGTTTTACTGTGAGTGACAAGAGGATCTATTTCAGCATTTTGCACAAAAGAGTGACACCCTCTAACTTCTATTTTAAATGAATCATTTTGACTGCTATGTTATAGTGTAACAAGGATAGGAGAGCTTATTCCAATTAAGATACTTCATGGCAGTCCAGATGAGAGAAGATTGTGGTTTAGAACAACGGGGATAGCAAAGGAGATGATGAAATGTGGATGGGATCTGGATATATTTTAAAAAGAGAACAAACAGAATACCTGATGGATTGCAGGTGGAGTGTGAAGGAAAAGGAGCTATGTGGACAGAGTAGAGACAAGAAACAGAGTTGAGTCCCTTCTGGCTCACCTGACCTCTTCTGATGCATGTAAAAATCTTGATAAACTGAGTTACCAAGGTTTAAAATCAAACCCAGACAAAGCATAGAAATTAAAGAATATCAAAACCAGAATGGAATATATAGACTATTCATATCTCTTTATTTTATAGATAGAAAAACTAAAGCTTAGAGAGTCAAACCCAATTCCCCTGAATCCTTTTTGCTCCTTTGGTTCCTAGTTTTTAATGTAAACCTGTATTAAGTGGAATATCCACACAATGACAGACATAGATTATAAATGTAAAGTGAAGTGATGTCCATAACAGGTGCACACCCATGTCATCAGCACGAAGATCAAGAATGTCAACACTATATGGAAGATCTTTTCATTCAAAATTATTTTCAACATTGATATGGTTTGGCTGTGTCCCCACCCAAATCTTATCTTGAATTCCATGTGTTGTGAGAGGGACCTGATGGAAGGTAATTGAATCATGGGGGCAAGTCTTTCCTGTACTGTTCTTGTGATAGTGAATAGGTCTCACAAGATCTGATGGTTCTATAAGGGAGCGTTTCCCTGCACAAGCTCTCTTTCTGCCTGCTGCCATCCATGTAAGACATGACTTGATCCTTGTTGCCTTCCACCATGATTGTGAGGCTTGTCCAGCCACATGGAACTGTAAGTCCATTAAAGCTTTTACCTGCATAAGTTATCTAGTCCTGGGTACGTCTTTATTAGCAGCATGAAAACAGACTACTACAGTAAATTGGTACCAGTAGAGTGGGGTGCTTCTGAAAAGATACCTGAAAATGTGGAACTACATAACTGGCAGAGGTTGGAACAGTTTGGAGGGCTCAGAAGGAAACAGAAAAAGGTGGGAAAGTTTGAAACTCCCTAGAGACTGGTTATATGACTTTGAATAACATGCTGATAGTGATAGGAACAATGAAATCCAGGCTGAGGTGGTCTCAGATGGAAACAGGGAACTTGTTGGGAACTGGAGCAAAGGTCACTCACTCTTGTTATGTCTTAGCAAAAAGACTGGTGGCATCGTGCCCCTGCCCTAGAGATTTGTGGGCTTCTGAACTTAAAAGAGATGATTTAGGGTATCTGGTAGAAGAACTTTCTAAGAAAGAAAGCATTCAAGATGTGACTTGGGTGTTGTTAAAGGTATTCAGTTTTAAAAGGGAAAAAGAGCATAAAAGTTTGGAAAATTTGTAGTCTGACAATGCAATAGAAAAGAAAATACCATCTTCTGACAAGAAATTCAAGCTGGCTGCAGAAATTTGCATAAGTTACAAGAAGGTGAATGTTAATCACCAAGACAAGGAGGAAAATGTCTCCAGGGCATGTCAGAGACTTTTGTGGTAGCCCCTCCCATCACAGACCTGGAGGTTGAGGAGGATCAAATGGTTTTATGGGCCGGGCCCTGGATCTCCCTGCTGTGTAGTATAGGGACTTGTTGCCCTGCGTCCCATCTGTTCCAGCCATGACTGAAAGTGGCCAAGGTACAGCTCAGGCTGTTGCTTCAGTGGGTGGAAGCCCCATTGACAACCTGCACTGTGTGCCTGGAAAAGGTACAGACACTCAATGCCAGCCCGTGAAAGCAGCCAGGGTTGGGGGGTGGGGGTACACCCTGCAAAGCCACAGGGATGGAGCTTCCCAAGGCCTAGCTCTTGCATCAACATGACCTGGACATGAGACATGGAGTCGAAGGAGATCATTTTGGAGCTTTAAGATTTGACTGCCTCACTGGATTTCAGATATGCATGGGGCCTGTAGCCTCTTTGTTTTGGCCAATTTCTCCCAATTAGAATGGCTGTATTTACCAAACGCCTGCACCCCCATTGTATCTAAGAAGTAACTAACTTGCTTTTGATTTTACAGGCTCATAGGCAGAAGGGAATTGCCTTGTCTCAGGTGAGGCCTTGGACTCTGGACTTCTGAGTTAATGTCAAAATGAGTTAAGACTTTGGGGGACTGTTGGGAAGGCATGATTGGTTTTGAAATGTGAGGACATAAGATTTGGGAGTGGCCAGGAGCAGAATGATATGGTTTGGCTGTGTCCCCACCCAAATCTCATCTTGAATTTCTACATGTTGTGTGAGGGACCTGGTGAGATGTAACTGAATCATGGGGGCAGGTCTTTCCTGCGTTGTTCACATGATAGTGAATAAGTCTCATGAGATCTGATAGTTTTATAAGGGGGAGTTTCCTTGCACAAGCTCTTTTTTTGTCTGCTGCCATCTATGTAAGACGTGACTTGCTCCTCCTTGCCTTCCACCACGATTGTGAGGCTTCCCCAGCCACATGGAACTGTAAGTCCATTAAAGCTTTTTCCTGCATAAATTACCCACTCTTCGGTATGTCTTTATTAGCAGTGTGAAAACAAACTAATACAACTATATTTAGATGTTTTGTAAATGTGGTCATGATACATTTATTTTCATTGTAATAAATTACTCTATTGTATCAATATATAATTTATTAATCCAGGATACTGTTGACAGACATTTGAGTTGCTCTCTCTCTCTGCCCCCCTTTTTCTGTATATTATGGTTAGTACTGCTATAAATATTTTTGCACATGTTTGGTGAAGTATTTTTTATTCTCTGCATGGACTTATATGATGATATCAATAGAACTTCATCTTTTCCAGTAGCGCAATGGCTCCACAAATACATTATTATTTGATGATTTGGCTTTAGCATGTGGTCTTCAGAAAATTTGTTATCAGCTTTATTTCATGAGAAAAAAATATTTTCCTCTCAAAGATGTGATTTCTGACAACTCTCTTGTTCTTACTGATTCTCTGAAAGGTGATGGAATGCTGTTCTTATATAAGGATCATGGGCAGCTAAAGAGCTTTGAGAAAGATATGAGTCCCACAAGGAGTGATTTAGCTACTCAGGATGGTATATAAAGAACATGGAAGAACAAATGCTATGAATCCAAAGGGAGATGTTGGTTAGAAATAACAAGTTTAATATGATAATAAAAATTATACAATAATAACAATATTAATATAAACCATAATTTTATTGAGATAGGTAGCATCGCATAGTGTTTAATAGAAAAGGATATGGACCAAAACTGCTTGGGTAGAATCTCAGCTCTGCCAATTTCTGGCTATATGACCTTGTTTTGCCTTACTATTCTCAACAGTCAAGTGGGAAGCATATCATACCTATTTGAGAGGATGTAGATTTAATCAGGTAACATGTGAACGACTGAGAATCTGTGCTTGAAGCATAGTAAACACAATGCGTGTATAAAACATTATTATTACCACTTATTATTATCATTATATTTGAGTATGTACATATATTATTTTTAACGTTCTTTCTCTCAAGATAGCTATAACTATGCTTAAACTTAAAGCATCTTTTTTCTGATGTCATTTAATTTTCTACTCTTCTGCGGTAATTTGGTTTCTTTTTTTTTTTAAATGTGCACTTTGTATCATATGTCACTAAATGGCCCTTTTGAGTGCCTATATTTGCTGAGAACTTTATCTCGTCTCAGTGCATCAAGGACAAATCTCAGTGAAAATTTTTTACAACCCATTTTAGATATTCAGTTATGAATGCCTACTTAAGTTAAATAACTTACCTAAGGCTTAACAGCATATTAAATAACATATTAAGTAGTGGGTGTGTTCTTTTCTGGAAGCCCTGTAGTATTTTACTAGTTTTGCTGCCTCCTGTGGCTTAATGGATAAAATTCAATCTTCAGTGGGTTTGACTAATTCGAGCTGGTTTTAATGAAAATTTATCTGGGGTTATTTGGATACTGATGTTTTGAATCATTACTTCTGTACTACAACAATAGCAAAGCTTGCCACAAATGTCAGACCAAATTTGATTTCTAATTTTTGTCATTTTGAGATATCATAACTGGTAGAGGATTGGCTAGAGGAAAAAAAAAAAAAGCAAAATTAAAACAAAAGGATCCATATAATGGATTGGATGTTTTTGTCTCTTCTGAATAGGACTTTTAAACTGTATTGAAGCTCATTTCAGCTATAATTTTAAGATCGTTAATAGTAAATGAAAAGGGTCCAACTCTGGTAGAGATTGAGTAAGCATACACCAATATGTCTCTCCCACTAAATGCAACTAAGAACCTGGGCAGGCTGCACGCACAAGGGACCTAAGGACTTTAATAAGCAAATGATAGCAAGAATATTGGGGAAGAAAACCAGATTTGCACTACTACTAAATTGGCAGTAATTCCCCCCACATACTCATTTTTATTTTCCTTTGGTTATTCTTAGCCTGGACTCATAAAATAGCACAATATTCAGAAGTGAGCACCGGGTTTAGACAGAAAGAACTTCAAAGGAATCCCTCTGTTTCTCATAGAAGTGATAGGAAAGGGAGCATTTATGGGGCAGATATAATAGAAGAAAGTTCCTTAATTTTGTTGTTGCTATCATTATTCTCTACTAATCCTGCCCCCTAGCAATGTCACAGAAGCAGAAGCAATAGGGAAGACCCCTAAAATTTCAGGAAATAAGTATTTGTGGTCTCAAAAGTATGAGGAAATACTCCTGTTTTCCTTTCTTCCTACCTTCTTGCCATGTGGCCCCAGAGAAAGGTACAGTCATAGGAAGTTCATGATAGAACACAGAAATAAAGCCCTGGTGTTTTTTGTCAGATCAGAAAGAAGTTGGGCACAGTGATTCATGCCTGTAATTCCAATACTTTGGGAAACCAAGATGAGAGGATTGCTTGAGACCAGAGGGTGGAGGCTGCATTGAGCTATGATCGCACCACTGCACTCCAGCCTGGGTGACAGACCAAGATGTTATAAAAAAAAAAAAAAAAAAAAAAAAACCTAAGAGAATCCCTTGGGTTCAAGAAAATGTCAGGACAATTACAGAGAGAAGGGATCTCTCTGAATATAAGAAAATAATCCCATAGAGTATACATAAACTTCTGAGCTCATCCCAAATCTGTGCACGCATGGATTTAAACAGCATATCAAATACCTTGAGAACCAAACTAAAGCACTGGCCTTCACCCACATCCCATGCTGGCCGTTGAGTAGTGAACTCAGGAAAGATCTTAAAGCACAGCAAAACTTTTAAAAACTGATTGACATTGGATCCGTGGCCCTCAGGTGTGTAAAACTTGGCTGGTGAACACACTGTGGTCACTTGTCTCCTAAAACATAAAGGTCAACATTCTATTTTTTTTGTTTTGTTTTTTGTTTTTTTTTTTTTTTTGAGACGGAGTCTCGCTCTGTCACCCAGGCTGGAGTGCAGTGGCGCGATCTCGGCTCGCTGCAAGCTCCGCCTCCCGGGTTCACGCCATTCTCCCGCCTCAGCCTCCCGAGTAGCTGGGACTACAGGCGCCGGCCATCAAGCCGGGCAAAATTTTTTTTTTTTTTGTATGTTTTAGTAGAGATGGGGTTTCACCGTGTTAGCCAGGATGGTCTTCGATCTCCTGAACTCCTGATCCGCCCTCCTCGGCCTCCCAAGGTCAACATTCTTAACAAGACTCTGAGATTCATAACATAGTACCCAACATGTCCAGATATAATCTATAGCTTCTCAACATATGAAGGAGCATGAAAATCATGACATTTTATAAGCAGACAGAAAATCAATTGATGTCCATCCTGAGATAATAGAGATGTTGGTATTATCAGACACAGATTTTTAAAGCAGCTATTATTAACATGATCCAAGAACTAGGGAAAAATACTTTTGATGCAAAAGAAAAGATCTCAGAAAAAAAGATAAAAAATCTTTTTAAAATGACTTATAAATAAAAAACATAATACCAAAATTACCACACACAAAAAAAGGCACTAGGTGAGTTTGATAATAGATGGAGATAGCAGAGAAAAAACTTAAGCGTGATGAGGATACAGCAATAGGATTTATCTAATCTGGAAAAAGTAAAAAAAATAAATAAATAAAAAATAATGAAAAAGCTAAGAGGGACTCCAAGACCTATGATATGAAATGAAAGATTTAACATTCATATCATAGATTATCAGAATGAAAGAAGGAAGTCATATACAGGAAAAATAAAAGAATAATCGATGAAAAACAATTGGGGAAATATATAAGTTAAATGATTCAAGAACCGCAATGAACCCTAAACAAGACAAGTTCAAAAATATCCATGCTCTGATTCATCATAATCAAACTGCTAATGACATAATAAAAAAAGAGAGGAGAAATATATTGAAAAAAAGCTAGAGAAAAGCAAACATCACTTATAAGGGAACAATAATTCAAATTGTTATGGATTTCTCAACAAAAATCAGGAAGGGCAGAAAACAGTGAAATATAATTTATAAAGTGCTGAAAGTAAAGAACTGTCAACTGAGAATCCACCAAACTGTTCTGCAGAAATGAAGGTACAGTTAATATATTATTGGATAAAGGCAAACCAATACAATTTTTCAGCAGCAGAACTTCTCTAACAGAAATGGTAAAGGAAGTAATTGAAATAGAAGGGAAATTATATTCAGTGGATACTTGGAACTTCCAGAATGAAGCAAAGAGTGATTAAAATGTGAAATAAATATTTAAATATAAGTAGGCTAGTTTTCTCTACTTGAGTGTTTAAAAAAATATGTAAGCAAAAATTATACCATTGTCTGATGGAGTTTTCAATGTATGTAGACAATACAAATGGCAAATACACCATAAAGAGAGAAGAATAAAACAATCTCTGTAATGGTAATGTTTCTTCATTCATCTACATTTCACTTGAAGTGATAAAATATTAATTCCAAATAGATTATAAGACACTAAATATTTAAATTATAATTTTAAGAGCAACAACTTAGAAAGCACACAAAGAGATAAAATAAAAAAGTAATAGTTAAATAAAAAAGAAATGTTAAATAATGTTATAGTAATACAAAATAAGACAGATGAAAATAAGAAAAAGAAACAGAGGAAACAAAGAGAAAGCAAATAATACCATATTTTAACATCTTTTGAACCAAAGGGCAGGCATATTACTGCCTATTTTAAAAGATGTGGGTACTCTAATCTCAGATTTTCTCAACTATAAATAACCACTTCTTATGTCTAAGTCATCTTGTCTCATTCATATTTCCCTGGTAGGAATTGGGGCTTGGGAAGCTGATGCAAAAAATGCTGAGTATATAGATACTGCTATTTCTGTGAGACATAAATTGTCTTTTGTCTCAGACTCAAGAATTTAGTGTACTCCATCAACATCCATGGAACCCTGATAGGCTAACTGTTAGCTTGCATATAGAGCAAAATCTCAGACACAGAGGACATGGAGTTGCAACATTAGTGTTAAGCAAATTATACTTCAGAGTAAGGAAAAGTATAGGGATAAAAAGACATATTACATAATAATAGAAATTCAGCAAACAGGCATGCTCATCCCAAATGGCAATAAGAAGGCTTCAAAATGCATAAAGCAGAAACTAAAAGAAAAATGGACAAATTCACAAATATAGCTGGAGGCATCAATCTTCTTTCACTAATGGAGCAAGTAAACAGAATAAGAAAAAGGATCTGTAAGAACTGAAAAACTATCAAACAAATACAATGTAATTGACATTTATAAAACATTCCACAGAATTATAGCAAAACAAATTATTTCCAAGTGTACATAAAATCTTCACAAACATAAACTTTATTATTGGCTATAAAACTATCCTTAATAAGCTTAAAATATTTGAAATAATTGTTCAAGTATATTGCCTGATTATAATAAAATTAAGCTAGAAATTAATAACAGAAAGAACAATGGTAACTCTCCAAATATTTGAAAATAAAACAATACATCAGCCAAGGAGGAAGTCTGAAAGGAGATTAGAAAATATTTTGAATTGAGCAAAAATGAAAATGTAACTTACAGGTTGGGTATTCCTTACCCAAAATGCTTGGAACCAAAAGTGTTTTGGATTTCAGTGTTTGTTCGTTTGTTTGAAATATTTGCATTATACCTTCCCAGTTGATAATCTTCAATCCAAAAACCTGAAATCTAAATTGTTCCAATATGCGTTTTCTTTGAGCATCATGTTGATGCTCAAAATGTTTTGGATTTTGGAGCATTTCAGATTTTAGATTTTTTTAATTAGGCATAATCGACCTGCACTAACATTTCTCTGATGATACTAAAACAGTTCTTAGAGGGACATGTATAGTATATATTATTATATTAAAAATGAACAAGCATATAACTTTCCACCTTAGGAAATTAGAGAAAGAAGAGCAAAATGAACCCAAAGCATACAGAAGTAAGAAATAAATGAAATAACAGAAATAGGAACAAAATAATAAAAATAAAAATAAATATCAATAAAACAAAGAAAACAAAAATGGAAAGAAACAAATTACAATTTTGGGAAGAAAAATGGGAAAATTAAATGACTTTGAAATGACATTCTACTCTGCCCTAAATAGGAAAATTTATATGAAATGAACCAATTTTTTGAAAGACTTAAAAAACCATGAATTAATAAAAATAGAAAAACTAAATAATCCTATATGTATTAAAAAAAAATCTAGTAAAATTTTTCATGTAAAGAAAACTCTAGGTCTAGATGGTTTCACTGAAAAATTCTATCAATATTGAAATAATATATAATAACAATCCTTCACAATCTCTCCCAGAAAATCAGAGGAAGTAACACTCTCTAAATCATTTTAAAAGGTCACAGATTATTTGATACCGAAACCAGACAAGACAGTCTAAGAAAACGATAGACCAACACCCATCATGAACATAGATACACAAATTCACAACTAAATATTGAAAAATGGAATGCACAATATATACAATACATGGTGCCTAAATGGGGTTTACCCAGGGATTGCAAAGTTAGTTCATTATTCAAAACCACTCAGTATAAAATATCATGTTATAATAGACAAATAAGAAAAACTGTGTGGTCATATTAATTCATTCAGAAAATGTATTTGCCATTTAAAACAAGCAAAATAAAATAAAAAACTTCTTATCAAACTAGGAATATGAAGAACCTATCTCCACCTGGAAAATGTTGTCAACAAAAATCTAAAACATTTTACTGAATGATAGCAGATGGAATGTTTGCCTCCTGAGATGGAGGAAAATGATAGGATTTCAACTCTTACTATTTCTATTCACCATAATACAAAATAGTAAGTGACAACAGGCAAAAAGGAACAAGTAATTAAAAGAAGAAACACAACTGTCCCTATTTACAAACAATGTGATTGTCTAAGTGGAAAATTGTAAGGAGTCTACAAAAAGAGATGGTAGAACTAATAAATGAGTTTAACAAGGTTTCAAGATGTAAGCTATACAGAAAAATCAATTTTTATTTCTATATATTAGCAATGAAAACCTGGAAATATAAAATTTTAAAAATAATATTTAGAATAGCTTAAAAGTAAAAAATCTTTGTCATAAATCTAACAAAAAATATGAAGAACTTATATGCTAGAAACTACAAAATGCTGATGAGAGAAATCAAATAATTTATAAATAAATAGAGTTATATTGTATTCATAGATTAGAAGAAAAAATACACAAGATGTCAATTACTTCCAAATGGATCTGTAATTTTAGTACAAATACAATGAGGGTTTCAGCAGGATGTTTTTGTAGTTACAGATGAGTTGATTATAAAATGTGTTTGAAAACCGAAAGGACTAGAATAGCCAAAACAATTTTGGAAAAAATAAATGAATAAATCTTGAGGAGTTGCATTTTCTGCTTTTTAAGACTTACTATATAACCAGGGTAATGCATACAGCATGGCATTGGTGTAGAGATAAGCACATATATCAATGGGAGAGAAGGGAGAAGACAGAAGTAGATCCACATGAATAAGCCTAACTGATTTTTGACAAAGGTGCTAAAGAAATTAAATGCACAGAGCACAGTCTTTTCAACAAATGTATTGAAACAATTGGATATTTGTATGCAAAACTGAACCATACCCTAAACCTATAACTTATTCAAAAATAATTCAATAAACATCTCTATGTAAAAGGTAGAGATATACAACTTTTAGAATAAAGTATTTGAGGTAGACACAGGAAACGTCTGTGACCTTGGGTAGGCAAATAATTGTTAGCTATGATACCAAAAGCATAAGTAATAAAAGACAATATATGATATATTGAACTTTATCAAAAATGTTTTAAAAGTGATCTGTGAAAGACACTATTCAGGGTATAAAAATACAAGGTACAGGTTTGAAAACATTCTTTCTAAATATTATATCTGAGAAAGGACTAGTATCTAGAATATATAAAAAAACTCTCCATACTCAACAGTAGAAAAAGAAAAAAAATAAATTGTTCAAAAAGATCAGACATTTTATCAAAGTATATATACTGATGGCAAATAAGCACTTACAAAGAAATTCAACATCACCAGCCATTAGAAAACTGAAAAATTAGAAGTTATGCAAGATAAAAATATGATATGTCACTACATATCTATTGAAATGACTGAAAAGAAAAACAAAAAGCTGATAATAAAAAAAGTACTGGCTCTGAGGCTGTAGAATTCTCAGAATTAGAATTCTACATCCAGCTAGAATTCTCATATATTGCTGGTGGGAATGCAAAATTGTACAGCCTCTCTGGAAAATAGTTTGGCAATTTTTACAATAAAGTTAAACATATATTTACTATATAACAACAATACTATTCTTAAGAATTTTCCTATTAAAATAAAGCCTTCTGTTTACCCAAGAAAGTGCATGTGACTATTTATAGCACTTCCTTCATAATCTCTGAAGACTACAAACCAACCAAATGTGCACCAACAGTTGAATGGGTGAACATGCTGTGGGACACTCATAGTGACATACTATTCTGCAATAAAGCAAACAATTGGTTAGTGCAAAATATAGATCTCAATGAAATTGTGCAGTGTGAAAGAAAAGTTTCAAAAGATTAACTACTGTGTGAGTCCATATACATGGTAATCTTAGAAAGGTAAAACTATGGATAAGATGAGTAGCTGCCAGCATTAGAACTTGGGGGAAGATGGCAACAAAGGGGACCACAAGGAGTTCTGGAGGAGGTAGAACCATCACAATTGTGGAGGTGGTTACACAAATCTATACAATTGTTAAAACTCATGGAACTACACAGCAAAAAAAAAAACAAACAACAACATGTCAATTTTACTGTATGTTTATTTAAAAGTTTATAATGGAAAGGTTAAAACCCCACAAAACTGAGTTATAGTAGATATAGTAGACAAAGAAGCAAAATTATATCCATTAGTGAAAAACTTATTTTTAGCTAGTGATCATATCATCTTGTGTGGAAATTTGAGTATCTGTAGAGCACAGTATCAGGGTATCTGGAGATTGCCAAAGGTGCGATTTTCCAGTGCTATGATATAGTTTTAGCTGCTTCTAAGAGGGCCTGAAGGCCTAAGGTAAATTGAAAATGGCAGTCTTAACCATAAAGATATTGGCACACTGAATACACCTGTGAAAGCGCCCATAATTCTTACTGCAGAGACCCTATTGTATATAAAATAATAACAGCAAAGGCTCTGGAGAAACGACTATCTTCCTTACTAGCTGACCATCTTGAACTATTATGTAAAATCCCTGAGCCTCAGGGTCTTCATCTTTAAAAAGGAGCTGGTAGTAACAGCCTCACTGAACTGTTTGGAAGAGAACATTTAATGTAAAGTGGTTAGAACAGTGCCTGAAACACAGTAAGAATGCATGCATGTTAGCTATAGTGGTAAGCTGAATAATAGCCTGTCATATCCTAATCTCCAGCACCTATGACTATGCCACTATACCTGACAAAAGGAGTTTACAGATGTTAGGGACTTTGAGACTATCCTGGATTATCTGGATGTTCCCATGGAATGACAAGGAGCCCTCCATATAAGAAAAAGAGGGAGGCAGGAGAGTCAGTGTCAGACCCGCAGAGAATCTGGAAGCTGCTTTGCTTTTGACTTTGATGATGATGGAAGGGGCCATAAACAAAGGGATGCAGGAAGCCTCTAAAAGCTGAAAAAGCAGGAAGTGGAATCTCCCTGACAGCCCTGTTGACACCTTGATTTTAGCCCAGTGAGAGCCATTTCAGACATCTGAGTATCAGAAAAACATTTAAATACTACATTTATTTTCATAAAAATATTGTAAATTTTAATAATAATTATTTTAGAACAGTAATTTTGTGTTGTTTTAAGCCACTACGTCTGTGGTAATTTGTTGCAGTCCCAATCAGAAACTTATATAATTGTTTAAAGCAAATAAGTTAGTTTCATTCAACTCACAGCTCTGCAATTCTACCACTTTCTAATAAGTCTTTCAAATTTTCTATTATCTTTGTTAGAGAAAATAGCTGTTTTGAGATCACCCATAAATGCATTTGTGTGGTGGACAGAAATTCAGACTCTGGAGTTGGCCAAGCCTGGATTCAAATCCTGCCTCCAATACGTGCCATCCCTGAGACCTGACATCTGGCCTCACCTAGAGTGTGCTGTTTCATCCCAACCGATATGGGAGTAAATGACTGCCTGTCTCATAAGGTGGTTGTGAGAAGGGAGATATTGCCACAAATCACTTAGCACAGAATCTGGCTCTTAATCAGTGCTCATTGAAGAAGAATTAAAATTAGTAGTTCTCCAATAATCTTCACTATACAGGTAAGTAATCCATACCATTTTACTACAACACATGGACACAGAGAGGGGGACAACACACACCAGGGCCTGTTTGGGGGTGAAGGGTGAGGGGAGTTAACTTAGAGGACAGATCAATAGGTGCAGCAAACCACCATGGCACACATGTACCTATGTAACAAACCTGCACATTCTACACATGTATCCTGTTTATTTTTTTTTCCTCTAAAAAAAAGAAAATGTCTTGGGAGGTGTGATGTCATACCTTCTTTATATTTGCAAAAATAAAGCTCTCGCATTTTCTTTCCCTTTAAATATTTTGCTCTAAAGTCACAAGAGTCAAATGTGAAATGAGAACATACTATTCCCTCAGGTTTACTCCCATATTGGTTGGGAGGAAAAAGCACACTCGAAGCGAGGCCAGATGTCAGGTGTCAGGGACCACAGGTATTGGAGGTGGGATTTGAATACAGGCTTGGCCAAATCCAGCATATGAGTTTCTGTCCGCCACACAAACGCATTTATGGATGATCTCAAACAGCTTCACTTGCAGTTGATTTTTATTTGAGATTTTTAAAAAATACTTTGAAAAGAATAGTTTATCACACAATAAAAGAGATTGGAAAAGATAAATGTGAACTTCCAAGGAGAGTCCAGAACAACAATTTTTTATAAGAACTTTAGAATCCATAGCTTTCCAGCTTAAACCTCCCCTATCTCCTCAACACTTCCTAAAGAAAAAATAAAATAAATATATTAAGAAACAACTACAGGAGGAGTTGCAGGTGACTTGAAGCAATGGAGACATGGAGAGGGGCTCAGTCAAAAGGAGGCTACCAGGGTCTGTTTAAGAAAATGGAGAGACAGGCAAATGACAGAGATAATATGGGTTTTGTTTCAGAGCACCACGATAAAGAAAGTTATGTAATTTTTTTTGTTTTCCCAATCCAAATTTACACCATAATGTGTAATGTTTAGACTATAGTGTATTCCATTAAGTGTGGAGCAGCATTATGTCTAAAAGACAGTTTATATACCTTAAAAGTATTACTAAAAAATGCAGTTGAAAATTGTGCTGCCACAAACAAGCAAATACTGACAGATTTTGTCACCACCAGGCCTTCCCTGCAAGAGCTCCTGAAAGAAGTACTAAATATGGAAAGGAAAAACCAGTACCAGCAACTGCAAAAACACACCAAAATATAAAGACCAATGACACTATGAAGAAACTGCATCAACTAGTGTGCAAAATAACCAAATAGCATCATGATGACAGAATCAAATTCATACATAACAATACTAACCTTAAATGTAAATGGGCTAAATGCCCCAATTAAAAGACACAGACTGGCAAATTGGATAAGGAGTCAAGACCCATAGTGTGCTGTAATCAGCAGTCCCATCTTATGTGTAAAGACACACACAGACTCAAAATAAAGGGATGGAGGAAAATTTACGAAGCAAATGGAAAGCAAAAAATAAAAATAAAAAATAATAATAAAAAAAACCCCAGGGGTTGCAAACCTAGCCTCTGACAAAACAGACATTAAACCAACAAAAATCAAAAAAGACAAAGAAGGGCATTCCATAAAGGTAAAGGGAATGATTCAACCAGAAGAGTTAACTATTCTAAGTAGACATGCACCCAATAGAGGAGTATGCAGATTCATAAAACAAGTTCTTAGAGACCTCTAAAGAGACTTAGACTCCCACACAGTAATAGTGGGAGAGTTTATCACCCCACTGTCAGTATTAGACTGATCTATGAGACAGAAAGTTAACAAGGATATTCAGGACTTGAACTCAGCTCTGGATCAAGTGGACCTAGTAGACATCTACAGAACTCTCTACCCCAAATCAACATAATATACATTCTTCTCAAGTCCACATGGCACTTATTCTAAAATCGACCACATAATTGGAAGTAAAATACTCCTCAGCAAATGCAAAAGAACTGAAATCAAAGCAAACCATCTCTCAGACCACAGTACAATCAAATTGAAACTTAGGATTAAGAAACTCACACAAAACCACACAACTTCATGGAAATTGAACAATCTGCTCCTGAATGACTCCTGGGTAAATAATAAAATTGAGGCAGAAACCAAGAAGTTCTTTGAAACTAATGAGAACAACGAGGCAACGTACGAGAATTTCTAAGACCTTTTCACTGAGGAGACAGTAGCCTGAATAGGCAGCTGACCCAGTTGGACCAGGATCCACGGCTGTTTGCCACCTCGTGGACATTGGTGATAATTACAAGTCACTTCCAATGACTTAGAGATGCTCCTTTTGATAGCATCTCTAACCAATAACTTTAGCTCCTTGATTGTGTTTTCTGCCTGTGAGTAGAGTTCTAAGGATAAGAGGAGAGACTGGCAGCTGTAAGTGCACTACAGTATCCTTTCTTTGGAAGAAAAAAAAAATCTATAATCAGTTACCAATTACTTACCTAGCAGTTACAATGTGTGAGGTGTTCTCGAAGAGTATTTAGGTATTTAGGAGTACTACCCAATGGATCACTATCACTAAAACCTGCATTTGTCATGCCTTTAAATGAAAACGTTGCCTGTGAATTTTTATTTCAGAAACTGTTTCATATTCTCCAGTGAAGCCACGGCCTTCAGGGTCTAGATAAAGGCATGGCTTGTTTTATTGCACTTCACTTTATTGTACCTCAAAGATATTGCTTTTTTTTTTTTTTTCACAAAGTGAAGGTTTGTGACAACCATCTAAATTTAGCAATTCTGTTGGTGCCATTTTTTTCCAACGGCTTGTACTCATTTGGTGTCTGTCACATTTGGATAATTCTGGCAATATTTCAAACTTTTTCACTATTATTTTATCTGTTATGGTGATCTATAATCAGTAATCTTTGAAATTATTATTGTAATCATTTTGGGACACCGTGAACCACATGCCAATAAGATGGTGAGCTTAATTGATAAATGTTGCATGTGTCCTTATCGTTCTACTAACCAGCCATCTTCTCATCTCTCTCCCTCTCCTCAGTCCTCCCTGTAACCTGAGACACAACAATAGGGAAATTAGACCAATTAATTACCCTACAATGGCCTATAGTGTTCAAGTGAAAGGAAGAGTGGCACATTACTCACTTTAAATCAAAAGCTAGAAATGATTAAGCTTAGTGAGGAAGACATGTCAAAAGCTGAGATAAACGGAAAGTTAGGTCTCTTGTGCCAAACACCTAAGTGGTGAATGCAGAGAAAAAGTTATTGGACAAAATTAAAATTGCCACTTCCATAAACGTACAAACGATAAGAAAGCCAAATAGCCATATTGCTGAAACAGAGATAGATTTAGTGGTCTGGATAGAAGATCAAACTACCTGTATTTTCTCAAGTCAAAGCCTAATCCAGAGCAAAGCCCTAGTTCTCTTCAATTCTTTGAACACTAAGAGAGGCGAGGAAGCTGCAGAAGAAAAGTTTAAACTGGCAGAGGTTGGTTCATGAGATATAAGGAAATAAATTGGCTTCATAACATAAACGTGCAAGAGGAAGCAGAAAGTGCTGATGGAAAATCTGCAGCAAGTTACCATGTGATTAGCTAAGATAATTAACAAAGGTGGCTGCACTAAACAACAGATTGTCCATGTAGATAGAACAGCCTTTTATTGGAAGAAGATGCCATCTAAGACTTTCATAGCTAGAAAGGATAAGTAAATTCCTGGATTCAAAGCTTCAAAGGACAAGTTGACTCTCTTGTTCATGGTTAATGCAGCTGGTGAAGCAAATGATCATTTAACATTCCAAAATTCTAGGGCCCTTAAGAATTATGCTACATTTCTTCTGCTTATGCTCTATATATGGAATGGCAAAGCCTTTGGCAACTACAGCCCTTATCAGTCAGCAGCCATCAAAATTGAGTTAAGGCTCTGCCAGCCAAAGGGTTAGGACTCCACGAAGACTCAGATGATCATTAACATATTTTAGTAATACTTTTATTTATTTATTTATTTATTTTTCATATATCTCTTTCCTCTGTACCTTTCTTCATGCCTTTCCCTCTGGCCACCATGGCCTTTTCCAACCCCACTCTCTCTCAATGCCTAACCATCCTTTAAAACTTATCTCAGACATCAATTCCTCTGCACTCCATGATGCACTGTTGCGCTTACCAAATTGTAATCTTCTGATATATGATTGTTCTATTTACTAGATGATTAACTCCTTGAGGGCGAGGGCCGTGCATTACTCATCTCTGTATCTCCAGTTCCTAGAGCATTTCTTTTTTTTTGTTGTTTGTTTGTATTGGTGCATAATAATTGTACATTTTTATGTGGTGCATGTGATATTTTGATACATGCATACAATGCGTAATGATCAAATCAGGATAATCGAGATGTCTGTCACCACAAACATTTATCAGCTCTTTGTGTTAAGAAGATTTCAAATCATTATGAGATTCATGGGGAAGGGCAAACTGACCAAATATTTGATGATAGTGAGGAATTATCATTTTATTTATTTATTTTCTTTTTTCAAACTTTATATTTTATTTCAAGAGGTTTTAGGCAGCAGGTGGTGTTTGGTTACATGAATAAGTCTTTTGGTGGTGATTTCTGAGATTTTGGTGCACCCACCAACCAAGCAGTGTACACTGTACCAAATGTGTAGTCTTTTATCCCTCACCCCCTTCCTGCTTTTTCTCAAGTCCCCAAAGTCCAATGTATCATTCTTATGCCTTTGCATCCTCATAGTTTAATTCCCACTTATAAGTAAGAACATGTGATGTTTGGTTTTTCATTCCTCAGTTACTTCACTTAGAATAATAGTCTCCAATTCCATCCAGCTTGCTGTAAATGCCATTATTTCACTCCTTTTTATGGCTGAGTAGTATTCCATGGTGTGTATATATACATATACATACATACCACATTTTCTTTATCCACTCGCCGATTGAAAGATACTTGCACATGCATGTTTATAGCAACACAATTTTCAACAGCAGTTTTTAGTAATACTTTCAAATTAAGGTATATACTGCTTTTAAACATAATGCTGCTCCACGCTTAATGGACTACAGTATGGTGTAAACATCACTTAAATTTGCATTAGGAAAACAAAACATTCATGTAACTTGCTTTATTGTGGTGCTCTGAAACAAAATCCACAATATCTCTGTCATCTGCCTTTCAGTTTCCTTAAGTAGACACTAATAACCCCCTTTTGACTGAGCTCCTCTCAATGTCTCCATTTTCATCTTTCTGATATTCCTGTGTGTGTATACATCGCTCTAGCTGTAATGAATGATTTGTAATTACCTGATATAGACTGAACATTGTGACCCTAAATGCATATCTTGAAACCCTAATCCTCAACATGATGGTATTTAGAGATGGGTATTTTAGGAGGTAATTAGGTCCTGAGGGTGAGCCCTCATGATAGCATTAATGCCCTTAGAAGAGACCTGAGAGAGCATGTTTCTCTCTCTTCCCCTCTCTTCTCCACGTGAAAGTGTCTATCTACAAGCCAGGAATTGGACACTCACCAGAAACCAAAACAGCCAGCACCTTGAATCTTGGACTTCTCAGCCCTTAGAACTGTGAGAAATACGTTTCTTCTGTTTAAGCCACCAGTATCTCTGGTATGTTGTTATAGCAGCTGAGCTAAGAAATTTCTTGTATGTGCCTTGCTCTCCCACACTTCCTTTTCTTTGCATGTGCTAGTTCCTCTTCATGGGATGCTCTTGCCCCACTTTTTAAAATGTTACATTGCATTTGACCCAATATGCCCTTCCCATGTACTCAACAGACATAACAAACCAAAAAATTAGATAGCTCAAATTTGCTTTTTCAGACTAGGTTTTCAAAACTCAGTATATACTTTATAGTTTTGTCACATTACAATTCAATTAAAAATTCAGTTTCTCAGTCACATCAACCACATTTCAAATGGTCAAGAACCACATGTGGCAGAAGGCTGCTATATTGGACAGCACAATGCCATGGGATCCTGAACATTCTCACCTTGATACAAGTTATGACCTATGGAGAGATGATAACACTGCGGTAAAGAAATTAGCAATACTTGTTTCAATGTTTAAAGAATTATATAATTTGGGTTAAGCATTTACTGAGCCCCTCCCTTGGTAGACTGAGAGGGCCTCCAGAGTTAGGACAATATATTTTTCCTTTTAAAATCCCTTACTTTTATTTCAAGCCATTTTCTATGAATTTTTCCACTTAGCTCAAATTTTGCTTTTTGAGAGTAGGCATGAAGCAGACCTTGATCTCACAGTCTGACTTAAAAGGTTCCTTCCATGCCCTTACACCACTTTGTGTTATCACTTGACCCATTGCCCTGTGCTCTAATCTCCTGTGTGCTTGACAGCCTCTCTCATTTGATGGTGTGCTCTTCAAGGAAAGTGACTATACCTTTCTTCTCTGTATCCCCAATGCTGCTGTCATTCCTGGCATAGAGTTTTGCTAATGGCCATATATTGAATGAATGAATGAGTTTTTTAAAATCAGCCTTAATCAAGTATCAGTCATTAAAAGGTGTCCAGTAGAATGTGATTTGAGGACCACTGAGAAAAAATACTTCCTCCCTGCCCCCATCTGAAACTCTATCTGATTCTACCTATCCTATTTATTAAGAACACACGTTTGACACTTTATTTCACAATATGTCTTTGAGGCATTTTTGCCTCACCCATTAAAATTACAACCTCTTTTGGATAGGGTGCTCTTTGATACATTAGTCATTATTGGCACATGCACTTATAAACAGTGACAGCTAGAGAAGAGTAATTTCCTTTGGGAACAGAACAACCTAGGAGAGAAAGATTTTAATATGACAAGAACAGGATTAGCAAAAGACAGAAAAAAATAGGAGAGTGGTAAAAAAACAAGCATTTCTAACATCTCACCTATGCCTAGTATTAGATCTACCCTTTGCTCAAGGACCTAAAATAGATGTTTCGTTAAAAATATAGACATTGATTCAGTTAGATCTGAATTCACATCCAAGTTCTGCCATTTCTTCACTCTGTGACTGAGAGAAAGTTAT
Organism: Homo sapiens; assembly: GCF_000001405.40. Lineage (NCBI taxonomy): Eukaryota > Metazoa > Chordata > Mammalia > Primates > Hominidae > Homo > Homo sapiens. Next base: position 123,998,713 of record NC_000002.12, read on the forward strand.
TTATAGTCCCTGAGTTTCATCTTTCCTAGCAGAAAAAGGAGGACACAACAAATCGTGTAAGGACAGTGAAGGCCACGACACATGCATGCTGTTTGTCATATGCCATACTAGACTCCCAACAGAAACTCAATCAATATTATCATATACATCCCTTCTCTCCTATGCTCAAGGCTGTCCATGATCTGGCAGCAATCCATCTATCGGGTATTTTGTCCAACTTCTTGCCAACAGTAGGTGCCACATCAGTTCCCTAAATGTGTTCCACATGTGTGACCACTGTAACTTTTCACATGCCATTCTTATGTCCAAAGTGATGTTCAGATAACTCCCAAGCCTCCCAGGTAACATGGACTATGGGTAGATTGTAGAGAAAGCATAAGGGTTGGGATGTGTGTTGTGTTAGGTAACAGGAACATAACCATATTATTTGGATTTTGGAAACCAAATATTTTGCCAACTAAATTGTCTGCCTAAAATACATGCACAGGAAGTTGGGCATGTTTCACACTTCCTGGGTGTCTTCTATGTACTAGGCTCAGAGCTGCTTTCTCTTTCATCCATATTGTTAAAAAACAAAGCTTCAGCTGAATTAAATTTAAAGGAGTTTAATTGAGCAGTGAATAATTCACAAATTGGGCAGCCCCCAGAATCACAGCTGATTCAGAGAGACTCCAGGGGTGCCTCATGGTCAGAACAAATTTATAGACAAAAAAAAGAAAGTGATGTACAGAAATCAGAAGTGAGGTACAGAAACAGCTGGATTGGTTACAAGTTGGTGGTTGTCTTATTTGAACACAGTTTGAACACTCAGCAGTGTATGAGTGGTTGAAGTACAGCTGCTAGGATTGGCCAAGACTCAGCTATTGTTACAGGCACATACTCTTAAGCTAGACTTTTAATCTTTTCTACCTGTTAGGTTACAGTTCACCCAGAAGGACTCAAATATAGAAGTACAGAGTCCTTCTCAGGCCATATTTAGTTCGCTTTAACAGTATCCTTAGTGGGAGGAGAGTTAGCAGTTAAAAATTATACCAGGTTTTTCTAAAATACCTGTCAATCTCATCTGATTTATTCTCTGAATGCAGTTAAAGAGTATGTCCCACCTCAGCACAGGAATATAGCTTTACCCAAGAGACACAGACTACATTCCAAGAAACTCTGACATCAGCTGGCTGGAAGAGAGTGTCTCAGAAGTTGAATTACAACTGCCAGATATAAGGCTGAAGCATAGAATTCCTGCAGGGACCTTGCTTTTTTATTAAGAAATCTGCTGATGGAGTTCAGTTTGGCCTGAGCTTGAGCTCAAAGCTCATAATACCCTGTTCCACCACGAAATCAAACACAAGTCAATCAAAAATTATTTTTGGCCTGCATTGTGTGCAGTTGCTAGGGAGGCATGATGGGGATGCAGTTGAGTCAAATAACATGTCTTCCAAGCTGCCTCTATTTTCCAACACAACTGAAAAAGGGCACTTCCAAGCATAACATCTAATTATTCCCCTTTCTGGTGTTCACCTCCTTGAGACTGTCTACCACACTCATCATTCTAGGACAGCAGGCACATCTTTTCCCGTCATCAGTTATGTTAATTAGAAGAAATGTCCACTCTCAACCATGTATTTCAACTTCTACAGGATTTTGGCTACCACTGAAAAAAAGCATATCTAGGATTTACTAATGAACTTACTAGCTTCTGAGTCCTTCCTCTGTTAGTATAACAAGAAAAAAAATAATATCCTCAATTGATAGGTGAAAACAATAAAGCTCGGGGAGTTTAAGTGATAAGACATGTATCTAGAAAAGGGCAGATCTCATGTTCAAACCCTTACAAAGAAACAAATAAAACAGCTGAGGAAGTCATCAATCCAAAGTACACAATCTCTGTCTCTCCCAGAATGTACTGAGTTTGTGTGAAAATACTGAGGCATGCATTTCTAATACTTAACACACGGACACACACACATACACACACACACACACACACACACACACACACACACACACACATAGAACATACTTGAAAGTCCTGTATCTGGTACATTATAGCAATATTAGATTTACTTCTAGAAACCAACCTGAGTCCCCAGTGTGGATAAATGCCATACTCTAATGTTTCCCTAGAATTCTATTTTCTCCTCAATCAAAAGCAATACCTTATATTTAAATTATTATTTATTTTACTGTAAATCTATGTAGGCTGTTACTTTTTGAGGGCCTGCATTGTGATTCGTTCCTCTGAAGTTTCCCTCAGCAAATCATACAGGATTTGGCATATAGGTTGTGCTCAAGAAATATAAGTTAAAAAAAAAGCCAAAGTTGAATAAATGTTACAGACATTAACTGCAAGAATAAGTAGGCTATTAAGGATTTGTGGAGAATTTAAATGCACCCAGTGTCATTTTTTAATTATTAATTCATCCATTCGCTTAAACATATATATTAAGTTTATTTCCCCTACCAAGTCTCATAGTGAATTCTGGTTACAGCAATGAATAAGTGAGGCTGTTGAGGACAGAAATATGTGCTCAAAGAATGTATAAGCTAACAATTTTATCTGCTAGAAAATAACATATTAATTTAAAGAAATTTCTATTTTAAAAAGTAGGAAAAAATATTATCCTCCATTGATAGATGAGAACAATAAAGCCCAGGGAGTTTAAGTAATAAATCATATATGTAAAATGGAACATATCTGGTATTCAAACCCAAGACTGTCTCACCTGAACTCGTCCATTTTTTATACTGCGCCGTGTTGCCTTCCATAAACAGGAAGTGTTGGGTGGGTAAAGGGAACTGAACTGTATGATGGTGAAAATCATCCCCTTTCTATAATAAAGTCCATAATAGCTGGCACCAACTTGGTCTCAGGTGTGATACATTAGGAATCTACTTATTGACCACTCGGAGCAGCTCCCCCTTCCAGTGGCCAATTTAGGCGCCAAGGCAGTTAAAAATAGATTCTCTAGACATTTTCCTTTGCACTAACTCCAAAAGCTGACCGCATCACCTCGCCTCACCTCCAATTAGTTCTCAATACAAAAGCACTTTGGCTACCGGCCATTTCTAGAACCAGGGAAGCAAACTTCTGACTCAGCCTGAATATAATTCCAAAAACAATACCATAAACAGAATGATGTGGAGTGGAGAACGTGGGTCAGATGGAGAGAGGCTCTCTGTCAGCATCATCCACGGTTCATTTGCCATTAATAACAAGGCAGCTTGCTTTCCTGGGCCTGCTCCAACTTGCTAATAGGTGTTCTCTGGGGATGAACGGAGCCACAGCAGAAGCATCTGTAGGCCTGTGTATTGTTTCTAACAATCCAGAGCCCCACAGATTTCTATCCTCTGGATTCCTCATTCAAAATGGACGAATTCCCGCTTCCCGGCAGTTATGTTTTCAGCGCTTCCCACAAATGAGGGCATTTAATATGTCATAGTAGTTCTCTTCCATTTTCCACTTTAACGCTCCCTTTATTAGAGGTACAAGCCATTGATTTAATTAAAAGGTTAACACCAGAGCAATCTAATCTTTCCTCCCCACCCTTCTCATCTGATTTATCCAGGGCTGCAGCTTACATTAGAAATCACAAAAAAGGGAAAAAGCATCAGGCCAGTTTTATAACTAGATAAATCAAAGCACAGCTGGGAAGGGCTTAGGGTAGTGAATAGAACATGCATTTTGAGTTGGGATTTTTAGATTTTTAACTCAGCAAGAATTTCATCATAATGTTATTTTGGGCATGTTCCTTCTCCTCTCCAGGGCTGTTTTCTGATCTGTTGAATGACTGGGGTTTTCTCAACTTGACTGATTATGAGAATCACATGAGATATTTATCAAAAATACAGATTTCCAGGACCCATATCAGATGGAAAATCTGAATCTTCAAAGAGGATAAAGTCGCCCCTAAACATTGTTTATGCTCACAAGTTCAGCATACTCTATGTAAGTGGACCCTATGGGCTTGTCCAGCTCTGACGTCTTGTCCACCTCTGACTGTGATCTCAAAGCACTCTTATATATAAGTAGTAGATAGAAAAATAATCAAGGGCTCTGAATTTTTCTCAAAACTCTTCGGAGATACCATAATACAATAGGGTATTAGCCAGGTCACAGTGAGTGCTAGACAACATCGAGAAAGCAAATGAACTAATTTTATATCTTGGCTAGACTTCTCTTTGCATGTCCCTGCTCTGTTTCTGTTGCCCTCCTTCATTCTGCAGGTATTCTTCAGCCCAGTTCTGGCCTTTGTTTTATCCAGACTGCCCATTATATCTGCTCAAAGCACTAGAACCTCATCCATTGGTCCTCTCCTGTCCCTTACAATACTATTCCCAACCCTGTCTTGCTGGACAGTATCTGAGAAACTGTGATATTAATGTGCTAATGAGTAGTTTTGGCATAAACTTATTTCTTTAGGCAGACTATTTGCAATTTAACTAGAGATATCAACAAAACTTGAAATAATTATTTTAAAAATGTCAGAATTTTGAACACCATGTGCAGTCTAATGTGGATATATTTGGGGTCAATGTGTGACTTCCGACACACTAAATCACATCATACCATCATTGAAGAAAGAGCATTAATGGGGCTTTATTTTTAAAACTTTGATGTGCTAGAAGATTTACCTCCAAGCCTTAAAATCTTTCTGCTTCATTCACATAAAAATTTTAAAAATTTAATCAAAAATCCATTTAGCTATTTTCCAATATGACTTACCAAGTTACTCTTTTCTCCCACTTAGGAGGATCTCTACACTTAGCTTTTATTGACAATGAAGTCTGATTTCTCCCATTGCAAACCTAAGAATAAATTAGAGGCTTATCAAATATGTGCATCTTTGAAAAGTTTAGAAAAGAAATATGATGTGCCAGAACCACACCACAGGTAACTGCACTGGAAAATAATATAATGTACTTTTTAAATGTAAAGCTGAGTGGATACACTTGATTTCTGAAAATAATATTTTCCATATTGAACCAAACGCTTGAAGATTTTCCTGTATGGAGAATAGAAAACAATTGAAGGATCATATTACAGAATGAGGCAAAATTTACAACAAAATATTTTCACCAGGATTTATCTCACCAAGTTTACATAAAACCTGAATAGAGCTGGGTGCAGTAGCTCATGCATGTAATCTCGGCACTTTGGGGGGCTGAGGTAAGAGGATCCTTTGAAGCCAGGAGTTTGAGATCAGCCTGGGCAATAAAGCAAGGCCCCCTATTTACAAAAATAAAAATGAAAATATTAACCAGGCGTGGTAGCACGTGCCTGTAGTCCCAGCTACTCTAAAGGTTGAGGCGGGAGGATCACTTGAGCCCAGGAATTCAAGGCTACAGTGAGTTATGATCACACCACCGCACTATAGCCTGGTGACAGAGCAAGGCCCTGTCTCTAAAAAAATATTAATCAATAAAAAATTAAAAGATTAAAATCCTGAATAGAATAGCCAAACACTGCTCTTTGGTTCTCTAGTGAAATGCACAATGGTTTAAGATGCAGGTTCTGCATGCAGACTTCCTGGGTTGGAATGGAGGTAATACCACCTTTAAACTGGGAGTTACTGGGCACGTTAATTAATTTCCCATGCCTTATTTTCTACATGTATAAAAATAGCATAAAAGTACCAGCTACTCAATAGGATTTCTGTAAAGAGTAAATGAGATCATGCATGCAACAGCTTAGAACTAATAACTGGATACCAGTTATTAGTTAATGTTAGTGGCAAGTGCTTTTATTTTTTACCCAACATGCTTCTTACCTAGAGGAGCAATTAACTGGGAACAATACTGTGCCAATGCAAGCTCTTAATCTCTGTTTATCACTTTGGTCCAAATCCTGATGAGGATTCTTATCACATGCCAGATCCTAAAGGAGTCTCAGGGATCCTTTTCACCCCCAAGGTTTAGACCTGGCCGGAGTCATCTTGTTCAGAGCCACCTGCTCCAGGATTCCTTTTCTTTCAGCCTCAATTCAGGCTGGCAGGATCCTTCCTGGTCTTCCCTCACTGGCCGTCAGCAAGGTGAGAGAAGTCCTGAGATAAGAGCAAGAAAATGTTCTTCTCATTCACCACAGTTTCTGTCAATCAAAAGGATGGACAGATATATTCAATGGTGATTTGATTGTGACAGTTTGTTCTCCATATGTCTACTTTCATGTATTCCTTAATGATTTTAAAGTGAATGAACAAATGTGTCCCTTGATAAGTCAACAGCTTTTTATCAAGAGCCAATTTTGTGGCAAGCACCATCCTAGGGACTAAAGATTTGCTGCTGAAGGACAAACGGGGTTCTTAGTCACATGGCACTCACAGTCAAGAGAAAAAAATATGTATGCCTCAAAAATATGCCAATGATTAAATAATTACAACTGTGGTGAGTGTTACCAAAAAAGTAAATGGATTCTAATATAGTCAAGGATGTTGGGAATAGAATATAAATGGGACATGTGAAAGATACGTTGCCATCAGGCAAATTTAGTCATTCTGTTCTGAATAATATATAAAAAGTCCATATGAAAGAGGATATCAAAATCAAAATTATGATGTGTAAAAAGAATTAGGGATGAAATAAAAAAATACCAGAGAGAGAAGCAGGGTCAGCTTATTTGAGGCCTGCGAGGTCATGTTAAGGATTTGTATTTTTCATGACAGTAATAGAAAATCATTGACAAGTTTGTACTAGGTGAATTAAAAGTTCAGAATTATGTTTTCATAGATCACTATGGATGCAATATACAGAAGTACCTGGCAAGGAAAGCTACATGTAAATTATTATGTTGGGACAGACTAAGGCGTATAAGAGGAGACAAAAAATAACCAGTGGTATTTGGAAATATATAAGACTTAGAATTGAGAGAATGTTTTTGGAAAAGAGGGAGTGGAGGAGATTCTGGATTGGAAAATTCAGTAGGGCATGTTTTTTTTTTTTTTATTATTATTTTCCCCACAGTAGGCAACACCAAAGTTAAGATATTTGTGACACGCTGAGTTTCAGGTCTCCCTGCAGCATCTAAATGGAGATATTGGAAAGGCAGCTGAATATGTGTGTCTGGATCTAGAAGGAGAGGTCTTGGCTTTGAATATAATTTTCATCATTGAAACCATGGGAGTATAAGAATTCACTGAGAGAAAGACTATACAGTAAAAAACAAACAAACAAAAACTTAAAATCGAAACTTAAAATCGAATTTAAAAAACTTAAAATCGAGTTTGAAAAACTCCAAACATGAAAGTCTAAGCAGCAGAAAATAAATGATAAAAAGAAGCTGTCAATAAATCAGGAGTAAATGAATAGTCCATAGAATCCAAGAAGAAAGAATGCTTAAAAAATAATGAGAGCATGTCAAATGCTTATGAGAGCCAAGGATGCAGAGGATTAGATGTGTTCAGTGATATTACTGTCATGGAGGCATTGATGACTTCATAGGTAGAGCCACCTTTTTTGATGGCTTGCCAAGAGTTGACCTGTGAATGGGAAGTAAAGACATCTAGATGCTAAATATGGGGAGTTTCTTATGTTCTTCTATGAAGGACAGGAGAAAGGGTATCACAGTTGGACGGGGACTTGAAGACAAGGTAATACATGTTTCAGACTCTAAAGATTTAGCCATTGTAATGTGAAATAGACATGGGGTAACTACAGTAAGCACCCATGTCTCATTCAGAAAGGAGAAGAACGGAGCAGGGAGTAGCACAGGCCCACAGAAACCTGACCCCTCACTGAGTGGCTTGGGAAGGACTCTTGTCCTGGGGTCAGAGAAGATTTTTTTGACTAAACCTGATTTAAAATCTGAAAGAGAGGATCTAGGAAAAAGGGGGGGGAAGAGGCTAATCCATATGTTAAGGTTCCTGAGAAAGTGAAATGAACCAGAAAATAAGTGAAGGGATTATTTTTAAATTTAGGAAAAATACATCCTCAAATCCTTCATTTCACCAGGAGAGGAGAAGATAAGGATACATAAAAATCATTGCAAACATTTTTAGATTCTTCTCTGTAGCTTTCTTATCCCTACCTCCACTGTCGTAGTTTGAGTAAGTGTGGCTCATATAACTTTGTCTCTTTGTTTTACTGGTTTCTGAAACATCTGTGTCCATACCCAAAGTACAGACAACTGCACATGGCCCTGAGATCTGAGTTTGACTTTGATGCCCTGGCTAAATATATTTTGAGTTGTCTCACTTGATACAGATTTGAATATTTCTTCTTGAAAACAGTAGAAAGATGAAGTTTCTGGAAGTACCACTCTAGTAGCCTTCCCCTCTGTTTTTATCCTTTACACCAGATAGCCTGTGTAATAATCAAGATAGGTTAAGTGACTGCTACAAAACAGATAACCCACAGTTTATTTCTTGCTTTTGTTATTTGCCTCATTCAGGAAGACAGGGGAAGCTGGTGGGTGTTTCCAGGCTGATGGATCATTTACTGTCTTGGAGCTGCACCATCCAGACACACAACCTTCCTATACAGTGGCAGAGAGAGAAAGCTGAAAAGTTATATGCCAGCTTTTGGGCACTTCAGTCCAGAAGGAAAACTTGCTATTTCCTCCTATAGTTCCCTGGATAATTACAGAAGGGCTGGGGAGTGTGGTGTAACACATGGGGTGCTGGGCCGCAATCCACCCTTCTGCTCACTGAACATTTCTGTATTCCCTTCTTTTCACACATGTAACATGCTCATTCCTCAACAAGTGGAACAATCCTCAGTTTCCATTCATCTGAGGCATAAAGCTCAAAATCTGACATCTCCGGGTGATGTTTTGTAGTTTCTTCTTTAGATTGAAAGAGGCTTGTCTTAGAAAAGACGCGTATAATCCAAAAAGACAAATCATTTATGCCCCCAATACTCAAATTATAACGTGGGGCAGACAGAGAATAACTACAATAAGCACCCGTATCTCATTCAGAAAGGAGAGAGATGAAGCAGGGAGCTGCACAGGTCCACAGACACCTGCATGTTCGCTGAGTGGATTGGAGGGCCTCCTGTCCTGGGTCAGAGAAGATTTTTCTGACTAAACTGAATTATGACTCTGCAGCATATTTTTCTCCAAGGCGCCTGGGTTCCACCCTACGTAGGATGCTTGCTTTTCTATTTTCCTCTTTGGACATATTTGAAGTCAGTACTGAGAACTATATACTCCTTGGGTGCTATACAGCACTTAGAGAAAGTTGAAAGCTTAAGACATGTTTTTAGCCTCAAAGAGTTTATCATTTAACTCAAGTTCCAAATTTCTTTATAATTCTTCCAAAAAATGCGCAGCTTTTTTGTCTATTTAATGCCAATCAATTTAATGTCAATGCCTTCTTGAGACATTCTATGCTTTTTGACTATTCTCACAGTTCTTGAAAAGCTAGTATTATCTGATCTGTTATATTTGTTTCTTATTCCCCATTCTTTCCTATTCCCTTTTCATTGCTAGGGGCTCCCTTGAGACTAAAGCTAGTTTATTGAAACACTATAGTCTTAATTATCTTTGCCTTCTGCAGCATCTTCTTTAGCAACAGGTGTGAATGCCATACCTATCCGATCTCTATCAAGAAGCTAAGTTAAATTAGTCCCTGTATCTCAAAGCTCTCTCAATTTTATTTACTAGACTTTAGAATTTCAGGGATATCTGTTCTTCTGATATTATAAGTCTGGATCTTTCAAATAACTCTACTCTTTTTCGTTTCTGAGTGACAGCTGACTAATTCCTTCCCGAGCTTATGAATTGTAGTACCCTTTCAAATGCACCCTGTAAGTATTAGCTCCCCTCTGGTATTTATTAGCTCATGTATGGATCATTTAAAATGTCTCAACTTCTCTCCTAGCAAGAAATCTCTCCCGTGGTAATGCAGCTTTCATTTTCCTGCCAGGTTAAAATCTTGAAAGCACAGGTCTGACCCCATGTATATAATTTTTTATTTTACTTAAAAATATCTTCATATAGAATAAGAAGAACATTCATATACTGAGTATCCGTTCTCTGCCAGACATGGTTTCATGTGTTAACTCATGTAATCTACCCAGCAGTGTAATCAATAATCACCCCTTTAACTCACAAGGATATTAGACACACAAAGAGGCAACTCTTTCCAAGTTAGACAGCAATAACTAGCAGAGTTAGTCTTTTTTTTTTTCTTTTTTTCAGACGTAGTCTCACTCTGTCACCCAGGCTGGAGTGCAGTGGCGTGATCTCAGCTCACTGCAACCTCTGCCCTCTGAGTTCAAGCGATTCTCCTGCCTCAGTCTCCGGAGTAGCTGGGATTACAGGCGCCTGCCACCGCACACGGCTAACTTTTTTGTATTTTTAGTAGAGACAGGGTTTCACCATCTTGGACAGGCTGTCTTGAACTCCTGACCTCGTGATCCACCCACCTCAGCCTCCCAAAGTGCTGGGATTACAGGCATGAGCCACCGTGCCCAGCCCAGAGCTAGCCTTTTGTATATGGGCTGCCTTGATGCCAAACCATTACATCTCATTCCTTTCTATTCTTACCTGTGAAGGAGTTAAAACAATGGATGCAATCTGTAAACTGAAAGCAATTAAACCAGCTTCAGTCCCATGAATGGTTCAGATTTTACACTCTCCAGATAAGGTTTGTCTGAAATAAAATGGCTGAGCCCCAGGAACCTTGATGTCCTTAAGAAGTCACTGCAACTAAACGCATCTTCTAGATATATTTAGAATGTCAAATTGCAGGCCTCTGGGGGGAAGGGAGTCATGGTTAGTGTTTTGTTCTGTTTTTTCTTTCTTAATAGAAATTTGCAAAGGATAAGTGTGAGTGAATTTAGGGAAACCTCCAAGTGCAAAAATGACAAGAACACCACGCCTCAAACTACAATTTGGTGACCACATTATCAAAAGACTAATTGAAGGAAGTAATAAAAATAACACTGTTTGTTTGGGGGGTTGGGGCATGAAAAGCAAGACAGATAGAGGCTCTTTTGTTTTGTTTTTAATGCAGTAATTTTGTCTCACTCCTTTTTTTATTTTTTAATTCACACTGTGATACGTTTAGATTTTTTTTTAACAGGCAATGCTGTTGTTTGGCACACTCAGTTCACACTCTTTCTTTTCCAGTTCTTTCACACATTAAGAAAAAAAAGATTGCTTAAAACTGAAATAATATATCTTAGATCTTAATGTATCCCACTTGTCCTGAGAATTTTAATCTCTCACTGGCTATCCTTCTTTTAAAAATAACCCAAATGCAAATTAAAAATAATCAACCAATCTGTGCTCACAATGTCTTAAATACATTATGCACATGTAACATTTATAAAAGGAACAAATAAGATGATATGAACAGTATTTTTCTTAGTAAGTATACCACGTTGGCCATTCAGCCTTTTGGTAACTGGTGACAATTGACCCTTTCTGATTTGTTTTGAAAAATATTTTCCTGTTTATAAAATAATATATAATAATCATAGATAATATGGAAAATTCAAACTAGAAAAATCCCATCACTTAAGGACAAATGCTTACATATTTAATGTGTATATATTTTGCACAACTGTGCACATATACTGCATAGATCAGTTATGCTTTATTTTGATTTTCTTAATATAGAGAAGGATTTGTAACATCTTTGTAAATATTGTTAATGACTGTCATATTCTACTCTATCATGTCTTAATTTACTTAATCAAACTGCTATTTTTGAGCATTTGTCTGTCTTTAAAATTATTTTCATGTAAATACAACTTTGGCATGGATATGTTTCTAGTATATTTTCATTAGAATTGATCCTTGAAGTTGGTATTGCTGGGTCAAAGTTAAGTGACATTTTCAGGACTCCAAATACACATTGTGGGATTGCTTTTTAAAATGATCATACCATTTGAAATTTTCAACGGTGAACGACCGGCAGTAATCTCACTACAGCAAATGCTGAAATTGAGAGCAAATAAACCTGTTGTGTATTTAGCACTTCATTAACTGCTAGTATTTTTTAAAGGACTTACAGTACATTATTTCATTCAGGAAGCCCTGCAAAAAAAGGTGATGAAGTTATTTTTAGACTCTTCTTACAGATGGGGCATTTGAGGCCAATAGCAGGCAGATAAATTACCTAAGGACACTCAGTGGAGTTGCCAAGACTTCAGATCACATTTCTGAAACTTTCAGGCTGGTTATTTTCCCTCAGCCCCATTTGGCCCTGTCTGTATGAGGAATCCCTCTATCCACTATGCAAACAGATTCATCCTCCTCTATAGCACTAAGACAGGCCCATGACCTCCAGTTAGCTACCATGTTTTTCTGTCAAAGGCATTCATTGTGATGAAATCTACTAAATCCTTTTAGCATTATGTACAGGGCTATGCTAATATCAAATACCACTAAGAGCTGAAGTTGTCCTTTAAATTATTGAGCTAAATCCCTCATGTTATAGATGAAGGAAATTGAGGAAGCGACATGCAACATACTAGATCAGCAAGTAAAGCACTTCATGTTCACCACCGTTAGTAAATCTAGAGTGCACATGAAGGAGGCAAAGCTAAACCCACGTGTGTCTGGCACACAACAGAAAGCCAACCGTATTGGGTTTCTCATTTTTCTTCTCTTATATTCTGTCTTCCTTGGCCACGCATTGTTGCCGTGAGATTCTTCACCAGAAGCATGTGATGAAATCCCACTTCTACCTCTCAGTTCTCACAAGAGGTTATCTAATTTGTAAACTGATTTCATATCATTAACTGGTGGTAATTAGAATGTCAACATTGTAATTCATTTAGTCATCATCAGTGACTTTCTTTTGCTCTATGACCTTCATTGCTACATTTTTAAGTTATCTTTTTAAAGATGGATGTAATGGCACTAAATAAAAAAATTTTTAAAGAAAAATCCCACAATGCTTCTATACTAGCATATTTATTTAGGCATTTGTTTATTCTATTTTATTATCTTCCATGTACATATAGAACAGGTACATTTTTATTACATTTTGAATTCAGATTGTATGCTGTTTCCCTTAGCATGTCATACAATTTTTAAGTTTACATTTTATTTACAATTAGGAATGACAGCAGTTGTGTAAGATGTCATTGCACATACATACAAAATGTATTGGCCAAACTGTGATATTGAATAGAGGCTATTTATATTTTTTTTACCTTCCTCTTTCTTTCTTTCTTTCTTTCTTTCTTTCTTTCTTTCTTTCTTTCTTTCTTTCTTTCTTTCCATTCTTTCCTTCCTTCCTTCTTTCTTTCTCTCTTTTTGCTTTCTTTCTTCTTTTTCTTTCTCTCTCTTTCTTTTACTTTCTCTTTTCTTTCTTCTTTCTTCTTTCTCTTTCTTTCTTCTTTCTCTTTCTTTCTCTTTCTTTTACTCTTTCTCTTTTCTTTCTTCTTTATCTCTCTCTTTCTTTCTCTCTCTCTCTCTCGCCTTCCTTCCTTCCTTTCTTCCTTGACATGGAGTCTTGCTCTGTTGCCCAGGGTGGAGTGCCGTGGCTCACTGCAATCCCGGCTCACTGCAACCTCCACCTCCTTGGTTCAAGTGATCCTCGTGTCTCAGCCTCCCACATACCTGGATTACAGGTGCCTACCACCACACCCAGCTAATTTTTGTATTTTTAGTAGAGACGGGGTTTCACCATGTTGGCCAGGCTGGTCTCGAACTTCAAGCCTCAAGTGATTTGCCTACCTCAGATTCCCAAAGTTCTGGGATTACAAGCATAAGCCACCACATCCAGCCAATGTTTTTTTACTTTTAAAAACAAAATTGCAATGAATATCCTAGTGCACTTTTAAGATTCTATTGTTAACAAAACTTCCTTATGATAAACTCTATATTTAGAAAAATATCCCTATAATCACTTCACAAAAGTGACATAGGGTAACAAAGTATTAAAATTTTGGCAAATCTTGACATGCACGTAATAATTTCCTCCCCAGAAGACACTGATATTTCTACAGATTTTTAAACTAATTAATTGAACTTTCAAATAATAATTGTATGTATTTGTTGAGTACAAAGTGAGATTTTGCTGCAAAAGATCATATCATACTCCATAAGCATATCCAACTATTATGATACAGATATCTGAAGTTCTAGATTATAATTCATTCATTTTTTGTAGGTTTTAAAGTTGTGAGCTTTCTAGCAAAAGAAAGACAACTTATTCTTGTACCAATGAAACAAGCCCCTGTGCTGAGGTATGGTTTGGGGGAGATAGGACAGGATGTGGTTCATCTCCTTAGAACATTTTCAAGGGAGGAAGATGAGCCAACTTTGGCCTCATTTTTTTCAGGTCTGAATCGCAAAGTGAGAAAAGGTCAGACCAATCTGGAGCTTTAAGTTAGGTCAGAGCTACAGAGCCATCCCTGGTTCTGTGTTTCCCCACTCAGTGACTCTTCTGAGTCACTTCCCTAGTCTGGGAGTGACTTAGAAGAGAAAGCCACCCCAATCCACAGATTGCCCTAACCTCTCACATTTGGGACTGGAGGATACCTGATAAAGATGTAAATAAATGCTTTTATAAAACAACAGACATTCTCTTTTTAAAGATGCTAGAATCCAGAGAAAACCTCGAATCTTGCCAATTTGTTTACAATAACATGTATAGTCCATTATACTCCATAGTAGGTTTTGAAGGAGACTTTCCTGTGTATATGGTGACACTCAATATAATCCTTTAAGACGTCAATGCTCAGCCGATTTAGAACTCTTTAAGTGCATTAACTATTGTGAGGCTTTAGTAACAGCAGTGTTTAATCAGTTCTTTTGTTAAAGCATTTGTCCTAAGCCATTTCATGTCAAAAGAATGTTTTATCTAGTTGTAAGCTAAGTGGAAAGGTCTATACATTGATCTTTGGAGTTTAACATCTTTCCAAAGAAGTGACTTGATTTTTTGCAAATTCAGTCATATTTTCCCAGTCTTGCTACTTGGGTTGCTCCAGAAATTTAAGAAATTGGTCATGGGTGGAACTGCTTTGCTTGTAAGTCACTCCCTGAACTAGCCAAATATTGGGTCTTGCTCTCTTCTAGGCTACACTTACGCTTAAGTGTATTTGAAAGGGAGTAAACCAAAAATATGATGGCAAATAGTTAGAAGTTATGACACTTAAAAATATCATCATTTTTTTATTTCTATGCTTTAATAGTAATGTCTATATTCTTGTTTAAGCCTAAATATGAAAATGACCCCACTTCCGATTAACATTTTGTCTTCTGCACTCAATCCTTCCTTCTGACCCATGTAAAATATAGACAACATGGACACATTCACTAATTATTCTTCTCATTGAGTCCATAGGCTTCCCATACACACAACATTCATTCTAGTTCATTGGAAGGTTTCAATTTTCCCCAGCACATGGCACACAGATTCACAAATTTGGGCCTTTGCCTTCCCTGGAACTTCTTCCTTTGCTTCCATGCCAGATGAACTGTTATTCGTCAGCTCTGGATTCACCAAATCTTGTTGTTCTAGCTTAGTCATCTTGGTGCCTGCTTCACCATCCACATGTGGGAACATCATAAGGACAGGAAGCATGTATTGTTCATTTTCTAGCCAGAGAAACTGTATAAGTTGTTCTTGTTTGACTCTTCCTATCCACAGGCTAACCTCCACAGCAAAAGGTTTAGAACTACAACAATACAGAATCCTCGGGATTCTGTAATTCAGTATCAGCATCACAGACATCAATGGAAATTGCTCAAGGAGAAAGTAGGTGCAATGCCTTTGTCCATGTCCTCATGATCTACTGCTATACAGAAATAACTCAAGTGAACAGAAGAGGATGTGCCTGCATGCCATAATTGCAAGTCTTGCTAATAGTAGTCAACTAACCTCAATTCTTAAATCAGTCCAGGTGGAGAAATGTGATCTTCTGTGAATGAAACAGAAGTTACCAAAGTCTTTGATTTCCTTTTTGTTATAACACATTATTAAATGATGTTATCATCTTCCCACATTTGCCTCTAACCCATTTGATCTGGGAATGCTTTATTTTCTGTTTAATGGGAGAACAAATGTCAGTACAGAGTTATGCAAATGGTTCAAAAATGGTGAGCTGAAATCATTAAATTCCCCCATATAAAAAGTTTGATTAAAATTAAATTGGATACATGTTTTATTTATATATACTCTTTTCCCAAAATCTAATTGAATCCTATTCAATCCCATAAATCTGAAATTGCACACTGGTAATCCCTAGATTCATGCTGAATTTAGTTCTCATTTTTACCCAGTGAAAATCTGCTAGACAACCAGAGTATGGATTTTCAAATCAATTAATCAGATGTTCTGACAAACAAGAAAAAGGTGAAAATAACATTTTATATGTAATCCCAAGAGTATAGCCAAAAGATTTCTAAGAAACCAACTGAAGTTTCTCCATCCTCATTACTGCTATAAACAAATGCTTCCTGGGGATATACACAGGAGATGATTCTTTCCTAAACTAGAAATAATATCATACCAAAGAAAGAATGCTATTCATAGGAAGTGGGGATAGAGTCAGCAAGTTATAAATATAGAATTTCCTTGATAAATATTTGTCTGGTAAATTTAGCACTAAACTTTGAAATTCAGCACCTACAATTCTGATCTTCCTCCATCTCTAATCATTTAACAAAAATCAGAGCTACAACATTTTGCTTTTTTTCTAAAGTCTTCTTTAAATAAATAAGTGCTCCATCTTTTTCCCCTGATAAATTTTTATGGCTTTATTGTGCCTATTCTTTTTGGTTGTATTGACAAAAAATTGTCTTTACTGTGAGGCATTGCAGTTTAGTTTCTGAAACTTGCTATTAATTTTTTCAGAAAATACATCATCATTGTCCACTAGAAACAAGTTTCCAGACACATGTGAAACATGTAGAAAATGTGCACTGGTCACATTCTAAATATCTTGTTTCCCCAAGGGAGTGTGATTTTTTAGTTCGTTTGTTTGTTTTTATTTTTTTTAGAGACAAGTTCTCCCTCTGTCTTGAGGCTGAAGGGCAGTGGCGTGATCATAGCTAACTTCAACCTCGGGATCCTGTGCTCAAGTGATCCTCCCACCTCAGCCTCCAGAGTAGCTGGGACTACAGGTGTGTGCCACGTCACCTGGCTAATTATTTTTATTATTATTATTTTGTATAGACAAGGTCTTGCTATATTGCCCAGCCTGGTCTCAAACTCCTGGCTTCAAGTGATGCCCCCACCTCTGCTTCTCAAGGTGTTGTGATTACAGGCATGAGCTACCGTGCCCTGCCCATAATTATCATCAATAGAGACAATGACTATATGATCTTGCCACACTTACAAAGCTTTGCTATGAGAGAGGCAACAAAATATTCCCGACGAAGGCTTGCTGGGTGTTAAGGTGTCATATTTAGTGCCACCTAATTATCAGTAACAGTAACTATTTAATGAGTGCTGCAGGCACTAGGCATTGCATTTCATTTACCTCACCTCTGATTTTCACAACACTTTGTGATTTCCTGCCATCCCATTTTACAGATACAAATAATTTATATAATTTGCCTTCTATATCATATATGTCAAGTGAGGTGAAAAGCATGTGCCCAATACTCTGAATACGAAATCTCAAATCCATAAGTTTCTTTGAGTAAAGTGTTAGAAACACCTAAAGAAAAAACATACGTTGAATGGAGAAGCAACACATTATCTCACTGTAATTACTAACGCATCTATAAGAATTTGTTTATCTGATTAGAAATGACCTGACTGACTTTTGGAGCCAAACAACTATGAAATATAAAACCACTAGCCACTCCCCTCCTTAAAACAAACAAATTCTCCAATACCAGTTTCTTCTTCAACAATAAACACAATATCAAACCCTTCACACTTACATAGTCTGGCTCTTAGCTAAATCACCTATCCACTTGGTGGTCACAGTAATTCTGGTTGTCTTCCTTCTAGTCATTCTGTTTCCATCCTGAAGTCAACTAACCACACAAGCACACCATCCTCCTCCCGTCTCTCAGCCCACCACATAAGTCATTTTTTCTGGGAATCTTTCCTGACCCCAAGATGAGGTGGAGTCCTCTTTGAGGTGTGATCACATTCCTACTGCACTGGAGTTGTTCTCCTTGTCATGTAATGTAATTGTAATTAGTTGTGTTACAGGGACAAAACTTACTAAATCATGAGTTTTCATGAGCCTTCATAGTTGTTCTCCTTCTGTTTGTCCACTTTCTGTGCTTTCGTTGTGTTGATCCAGGTATTGGGCGAGTTGGAGACCTGGATAAACTGTAGAGATTTTTGGTCAGAGAGAGAGAGAGACAGAGAGACAGATTGATAAATATTAAGAAAATAGGAAAAAATGTTTAAAAAATGCTAAAAGTGGCCAGGCGCGGTGGCTCACGCCTGTAATCCCAACACTTTGGGAGACCAAGGCAGGCGGATCATGAGGTCAGGAAATCGAGACCATCCTGGCTAACACAATGAAACCCCGTCTGTACTAAAAATACAAAAAATTAGCCAGGCATGGTGGTGGGCGCCCGTAGTCCCAGCTACTCAGGAGGCTGAGGTAGGAGAACAGCATGAACCCAGGAGGTGGAGGTTACAGTGAGCCGAGATCGCGCCACTGCACTCCAGCCTGGGCAACAGAGCGAGACTCCATCTAGGAAAAAAAAAAAAAAAAAGAAAAGCTAAAAGTAAAATGACAACGGGAGTTCTTTATACTATTTTTGCAACTTTTCTGTAAGTTTGAAAATATGTCACAATACTAAAATATAAGTATTCACAAAAACATGCAGTGATACTGAGCTGTCAGAATTTTTTGGAAGGTAATAAAGACTGATCGATAATCACTAATCCTAAGATATCAGAGAAGTGATAAGCACTGCATGATATTTATTCTATATTTTTAAGGGAAGTGAGATGGGTAATAATTTGAAGTCTCAAATGCAACTTGGTGAGCAGAAATGGTTTCAACCCCCTGTAATAGGCATCACTAAATCTACATATACAGCCTGTATTTTCTAAGATTTCAGAGATAGTGTTGTTAGTCTTATCCCACAGTATCTGGCACATCAAAAGGTCTTGATAAAAATAAAAAATAATAATAATCCTGAATGGATGAATGAACCATCATGCCCCCTAATGTATAGTCCTTCTATACGTTGTATCCTATTCTAGTAGGATACACTTACTAGACTCTATCAGAGGTCAACAAACCTTTTCTGGGGAGTCAGATAGTAACTAATTTAGGCTTTGTAGGTCAGATCTTTTTTTTTTTTTTTTTTTTTTTTTCGGAGACAGTCTCATTCTATCACCTAGGCTGGAGTGCAGCGCTGCCATCTCGATCTAGGCTGACTGCAACCTCCACCTCCTGCAACCTCTGCCTCCCAGGTTCAAGCGATTCTCTGCAGATCACATAGATTCTGTGGTAACTTCTGAACTTCACAATTGTGGTGCAAAAGCAGCTGTAGATTAAATAACACAAACAAATTAGCATGGTAATGTTAAAAAAAACACACAATTTATGGTGGATTTGAATTTGAATTTGAATTTTATGTAATTTGCATGTGTCACAGATGTTATTCTTTTCTTGATTCTCTTCAACTATTAAAAAATGTAGTGATCATTCAAGCTTACGAACTTACAAAAGTAAGCAGCCGACCAGTTTGGGCTTGTAGGACAGGGTTTGCTGACTTCTTGAGTATGTCATGTTTTTCTTTTTTTCTTGTATACCAATCCTCTTTCTTAAATTGAATGAAGCTTGAGCACAGGTACGTGTACTCCTAGCATTTAGTTATACATTGCCAGATTTACAAAAAATCTTGTGCAAATTGAATCAATATATGCTCCACTTAAATGATATCATATAACTGACTCTTGAAAACCTCCCTATTTTAGCCATTTTTAATTAAAGATGTATTAGGTCATTTTATATATTACTTACCCTTTAAAATAAATTTTCCTTCATGCAAAAGGAAAAATAAAAGTATATTGACCGCACAGCAAGTTTCTCTGCTGTTTGAATGCCTTTTGTTTTCAGTGCTACATCATGATCTACTAATAATATGCACAGCCTAAGTCCAATTAAACTAGTATGTTTGCAGTGCCTCCAACAGGGCTAAAATCGAGAAGTTTTCCATTGAAAGAGGCAGGTGGCATATTTAAAAAATAACAGTAAAAATAAGATGACAATTTGTATTCAATATTTTGGGTTATAAATAATTATTATTCTAGGTCTTGTGTGATTTCTTAGTAGATGTAACATCAAAGATATAAACAACAATTTTAAAAACATCATCAGCAGATTTGTTTTTCTGTTTTTGATTTGTTTTTGTGCTTTGGTGCCTTCTCCTGCATCCTTTCCCCACTTTCCCACAAATAAACAAGAATTCAGCAGCCTTCAAAGTTTTTCACAGGGCTGCTTCAAATCTGCTCTACATTTTTTTCTTCCTACTAGTCAGCACACCCCCTGCTGGCTCTAGGCTAACATTCTTTCCACCTTATTAAAAATGCCAATAAAAAGCAAATTATAAATGTTTTTACTGTGCTTTGTGTGCTGATTTAAATTCAAAAGGGATAAAAGGACATAAATACTAGGGATTAGGTTATATAATAAGATAATCTTTTGAAATCAGCTCCTTCTTCTTCCAAATAATTTATTCCCTGAAAAATACATCCTTGGAAAATTTTGTAAAAGAGTTTTCCTAGTAGTGGCTATCACAGATCATATGTTTAGATGTCAGCTTGACTTAAAAATCAGATGTGCACCTAGGATAGAACAGATACCTGCTGTTCTTCATTAATTGCCTTTAAAAAACTGAGTAATAGCACATTGGCTGTGAAGCAAGCTATTCCCTGAGAGACAGAAACAAGGCCTTTGTAACACTAAAAATAATTTTTATAGAAGTCAAATTGTCAATCATATGTGGACTCAAATGATCAGATTAATTACACACACACATACACACATACTCTACAAACACACAGAAGATTTAGTACATTTATTTCATTTGTGAACACTTGTGGCACCGAGCAATGACGTGATAACCCAAAAATCTGGTATCAGAAAACACAGGTTCAGATCCTTGCACTTCTAAATAATAGCTTTGTGTTTTGGACAATGTTACTTAAATTTCAGGAGTCTTAAAAATATCTTTATATGCCAAATGTAGCTAATGATACTGACTTCAGAATTTTGCCATGAATTCTAAATGAAAAAACAAAGTCAAAATGCCTACTGCAGGTTGATATTTAATGAACACTGTTTCATTTTCTTCTAGAGAAATTAACAAGTAGTAGCTTAAAGGGTATAAATATTTATGGTTTTTGAGTAGAAATAATTTAATGTTGTGATAAAGATTCAGGAAATGTCCATCTTTTTTTTTTTTTCTCATCTTGTAGTCTTGGCCAACTCTTTAGGTTCCTAAATTGGCTATTGTCATTACAAACCTCATCCCCTCACAAGATATTGTACATGCTATGGGGAAAACTGCAGGAGCAATGACCTTTTTATTCCCACTCTTCTCCTTTTCACTAAGAAGATCTCTTTTTCCTCTTGAGTTTTTTTGGTCAGAACTGAGTCACACAGCAAGCACCAGATAATCACTCTGAAAGGGGTATGCAATTGCTATGGTAGGCTTACTCCAATTGTGATTTCTTTACCAGCCTGTTTTGGAACCAAGGAAAAAGTTGGAATTGGCTGTTGACCAGGACCTCAATGTCTGCCACTTGGATGGACTTGAAAGATACAGGATTAAATTGTTCCTCTCCTATAAGCACTTATTACTTGTGTTTGTACATGTCAACTTCCCAGCTAGAAATTGTGGAAAGTATAAAAAACTTCAGATAGGACCAGGTCATTGATGACATCTATTTGACCAAAAAAAAAAAAAAATTATACAAGGCTAGGCACATTAGTGTTGCTCAATAAGTTAATGTTGAGTTAATTAAATTATTGTGATTATTTTGAGAAAAAATCTTGCAGGTTTCCACTGGAATGAGTAATTTTTAGATGTTTGCACTTATTTTTTAGATGTTTGCACTTACTTGAACTGGCAAATAAAATGCATTAGAAATCCTGTGATTATGGACTGAATAAATTGTCTTCTCCAGGCTAGGACACAGCATTTACAACTTGTGTCCATATAACAAAAGTATTTTTAAATGTATGATTCCTTTGAATATGCACAAATACCAAAGCCAGGGATTATCATAATTCACAATTCACAGGAATGGAAATGGAATCTCAAAGAGACCAAGTTATATACTCCAGGCCTCGTAATAGTAAGCTGCAAACCAAGGCTAATACTTAGAATTTCCTATTTTAAGCTCTGAATTATTTTTATTTAATTATCCCAAACAAGTTTCTCCTGAAATGTTATATATATCAAAATGACTTCTTGGTGATTATAGGCAGGAGTTCTTTTAGAGAGAGACAGAAATAAATGAAAAAGAAAAACTATTTTTGACATATGTTTCTGGATGTGGCATGGCTAGATTTGTATCAATGCAATTATATAGATACTTTAGAGGGTAAATTCCTTCAGAGAAATGAATCTAAATATTGGAGAAATATGTGACTAGGAAAATAAACTATCAGGATATTAACCCTAAACTGCATTTTCAGTTTTTTTTTTTAATATAGTTGACATCTTGATTTTAAGGTAAATAAGGATAAATGTCCTTAAAGGAGCCTCTGCATTCTGGTGCAAGGAGTGGATTGGGGGATCGTTATAACCCCTGAAATAACCGACAAGGACTTTTTGTAGCTAACATTATCAGACATCAACTATTCCTTGAAAATCTACTATGTGTGCTGAAAACTCAAAGTTAAATATTCTTCAGGGAACTATTCTTGAGAAATTACTGAGTTCAGGAAACAGAGAATTGTTAGTGGAGTTTGGACTTGAACATTTGCCAGTGGGAATGAAAAGTCCAGGAAAAGAGGAAAGAGCAGTATATGCAAAGAGCACAGCATCTTACCAGCTGAAAAGCATGCACACCCGGCAAAGGCATCTAAGAGCAATGGCCGTTGTACTGGCAGGAGGCAGATGACAGAAGATAACTATTTTTGATAGAATAGGGGAGGGGGGGAACCTTCATTTTCTGTGCCCCTATGGGTTGGAGCCATTAATTCTGTGTGACATTTATCATGTCAATATCCATCTCCTCTTAGTATCCTATCCATAAAATGGAGATGACCAAACGTGCCTTCTATATGCCTCACAGGAGAATTATAAAATCAATGAGATGAACCACTTGTTGAATATTCCAATGCTAAGATTCCATTTGATGAATGATTCTTTCCCTTCTGTCCATAAGGAAGAATAGGTGGAAGTGCTCAAGGGAAAATCAAAGAAGCAATGAAATGCCATCCTACCCATTTCATTTCCTTTTTTAAGATTTCAAATATAAGTTTGTCTTGAGAAGATGGTCAGATTTATCATCTTGAAAATATAGACATTTTCCAGTTTCAAAATTGTCCATTTTTTCCCCATTTTCTGTTAGTATTCAACCTGCTCCATCCATGCAGAACTTTTAAGCCTCTTCAAAGCAGAGTGCTCTGCAAAAACGAGTTATTTTTCTATATGGAGAAACATGGGGGAGAAAAGGGAGTTTACTCAGCTTCTACTTCACCATTTGGAAAGTGGATTTATCAGACTAAAAGCTTTACAAAATAGTTTCAATAGGTAAATATCAATCTGGCTGAAAACAGTTTTTATAGTGATTAATATTCTACTGCTAATAAATACTTGCTGGCAAAATGCCCCCAGAAGATGGCATTGTTTACACTATTGTCTGAGAGGAACAGCTGTTTACCCCTCACTACATTCAGAGCTGCAGTATTCTTACTAAAATGTTAACAAATATTAGACAAATGTCTCACATTTAAGGCTCAACTTGCTCTGAGAACAGGTGTGTTTGAGGGAGAGGAAAAAAAAGCTACAACTATAAATAGGAGTTTAAATTAGGTGAAATTTATACACTGTGTCTGCATATAGACATATAAATGCAGAGTTTCAATATTTACTAATAACTTGAATACCATTCACAGTTCGAGGGCTTCATGGCAAAAAATTTCCTAATTGCCTGTTAATATCTATCTTAAGCACATTTTACTGGCACAGATAATTAATTTAAAGCCATTCTGCTGGAAGACAAAGCCAACATATTCTATAACTTTTGAAATGTTATATTAAACTAAGCATTTTTGGGGGGTGATGTATAGAAGGTGGAATTATATAGTGGAACATTAAACTCAGTGACAAAAGATCTGTGTTGTCTATCATATTCCTATTCATAAAGAGAGGGGTCTTGAAGTGTTGTTAGGGATGTGGAACTAGGGGAAATCTCACACACTGCTAGCGGGGGAGGAGACTTATAAATTGGTACCATCATTTTAAGAATAACAGAAAATACCTGGTAAAGCTGAAAACAAGCATTTCCTATGGTCCAGAAATTCTACTCTTCAGTATATGAGCAAGAAAAACTAAGAGGCAGGTACAAGATTGTACTTTTTTAAGGGAAAAATCAACAACCCTGGAAACAATCTGTAGATTCATACATAAAAGAATTAATGAATATATTTTGGCATATTTATGAAATGAAATACAATACAGTAGTTGTAATAAAATAACTAGGACTTTATGCAGCTGGATGCATACATTTCAAAATTATAATATTAAGTAAATTGCAAGGTGCAAAATGAAAGAACATGACACCGTTTATGTATTGGTTAAAGACAAAGCACTCTTACATATTGTTCAGGGAGATAAATACGTGTGGTAAAAGTTTAAAAACATTATGTATAGGAATGATATACACCAGATAAGTAAAGTGTTTACTTCTAGGTATGATGGCAGATGAATGGGATCAGAGAAGAATGCAAAAGGAGCTTAAGTTATATCTCTAATATTCTACTTTTAAAAATGTCTAAGTGTTTGCATACAATTACAACATACCAAGCTGTAATGGCTCAGTGTATTCCTCTAGATTTCTTAGTATGATTAATAGCCAGATAGATGTTTTTCACCATGGGATCCTCAAAGGCTAGGGGTTGGGTGGCAAATCCTGAGGACCCTAGGTAGAAGGAAAAAAGAAGCCCATGCAGCTCAACTTTGAACCCCAGCCCTCTCCTCTCTTCAGACCCCTTCCAGCTGCCAACAGGGCAGCTCCTTAGGTCACCTCAGCCTGGATATGTTGACATTCACCATCTTCTGGGTGTGGTCCTCCACTGCACCCTACCATGCACCCCAAGTAAAGCTCCAGCTGGGAAAGTCTTTCAGTTTGCTCAGGAATCTAGTGACTTACATAATTATCTTTAGTTAGAAGCTTAGAGAGAAGAGGATCATTTATGTATAAGTGATAGGACCCTCAGAATTCTTTCTTCTCTAATAAAATAATGAGGTCACTAATCCAGTTGTCATTCAACTGTCTCTTAATATTTCAATGATGTGAGTCTAGCTGTAACCAAAAAACACAAGGTTAACCTCAGGATTCATGCAGAAGCTGCTTGAAACCTAGTCCCATCTATAGTCGTGCAGCCAGGATTGTCAGGAGTCTGCAGTGTCAAATAAGGCAGTATAATTGCTTCTGTTGAAGGTAAGAGGAGGGTGGGGAGAGAGGAAGACATCAAATTCCTCTGAAGCAGGTAGAGTTCATCAACCCTAACTTAATTGTAAGCTTCAAATAGGATAAATCATTATGGTCCCTCATTTTGTTAAGGTTTGACAGCTTTCTGACAGCTTCCAATAAAAACAAAATAAGTTGATTTATGATAAAGCAGGAGAGTTTCCAGATATATACTAGAAGCCAAAAACAGAAACAAAATTTGTAAGCGGGGGTGTCTAGAAAGAAACCAAAATCATTCTTTCCCTTTTTCAAAATTCAAATCCCTCCAGCAGAGCCCTTATATTTTGGATTCTTACGAGCTAACCCGGGCTTCCACCCTGACTCTCATCACTACCACACCCATGTGTCTTTCCTCTCTCCGTCTCCCTGAGACGCCAGTGAACCACCTGGGCTTGGAATCCAGAGCCCCGGAACACCTTGCAGTACTTGCCCGAAGCAACGCGCCAACAGCGGGAGGGAGACGCAGACGCGAAGACCGGCGAGAGGATGTGCGGTGGGAGTAGCTGCGGGGTCTGCAAGCAGGGGAGCGCGCACAACGTTAAACCTTGAAACCAGAAATCCCGATCCTATCGAGACCCATCAGCTTTTCCCATTTGGGAACGAGCGCAGGGGAAATTAAATGCGTAATTCAAGCTCTGTTTTCCCCTCCCCTCCAAAGGTGAGGTGGGGGAACGCGTCTCGTTAGCTCATTACAAAGCTTTCCGTGGGAAATTCCCTCTTCCTAATGCGTCTGTCTTGCAACTCCTATTAGCATCCTTCGACAGCGGCCTTTGAAAATCTCCTTTAAATTTCAATACCTCTACTCGTTTCCCAAATGGGGGGAAGGGAAGAGAAAGCCGGGGGGTAGAGAGAATTTCCTTCCCCTTTCCCTCCCAGGTAGCCAAAGCGCACCGCAGCGGCTTGGCTTCCTGGAGGAAAAGCGCCCGAGCGGGGCAAAGACCCGCCCAGGCTGCTCTTATAGGCGAGCGCGGGGCGGGCCTGGCTGGGGGCGGTGCCGCGCGGCCCCGCTCGCCTATAAGGAGCTGTCCGCCACCCGGGTGCTGATTCCAGCTCTCGCGCCCGACGAGGTGGATTTGGCTGTCCACCGAGCTCCGGCGCCTGTCGTTCTAATTGGGTTTGGATTTGCACCGTTAAGGAGGGGGGAAGAGAAGGAAGAGGCGGGCGAGGAAGGCGAGTCCAGCTAGCGGCTGTTGCGGGGACCGTAGCCCCAGCTGCAGCTCCGAAGAATCCCCCGCCACGGTTTCGGTGGAGCGTCTGGGCACGGGATGGAGTGAAAGAGCGAGTGCCTCTCCAAGCGGGGGTGGGAGGGGGTCAGGCTGTGCAGAGGAGAGAGACAGCGAGAAGAAGCCGCGGCTGGCTACTGCGAATTTGGGATTCGATTGGGAGGGACCGCTCACTCGGGGGAAATGGATTCTTTACCACGGCTGACCAGCGTTTTGACTTTGCTGTTCTCTGGCTTGTGGCATTTAGGATTAACAGCGACAAACTGTGAGTACGAGGAGCTGGGGGCGGGAAGGTGAGGTGGAAAACGATCGCATTCAGAAAGACAATCAACTATCTAAGCGTACTCGATTGTGTCTGCTTTGGGCAAAGGAAACGGAAAAAAAATGCTGATCAGTGTGGTTCCATCACTCCAACCATCCCAAAAGTTAGTAGAGCTCAAATGAGCCAACCGTGCTGGATTTCCTCCCTTCTTCCGTTATCGCAAAGTTCAAGGGATAAGGAAAGGTTTCTCTTCCCTTAACCTCCTGCTAGCTCCGCGTTCCATGCCTGCCTGATCTCAGCCAGTGCTTTTTCCGGAGAAGGGCCCCTGGTTCAGACAGAATGCACTGGGAGCTGAGCTTCCTGGGATGGAGATGCTCCCAGCCACCGTGCTCGGTGACAGTGGCTCATCTCTGAATGCAGTGCCTCGGATTTGCAGTATACCAAGCACCCCACGATACGTGGCTCTGCGTTCTGCCCTAGGCAGAAGGCTCCAGTTGGGGTATCTTGCAACCAATGGGCACCGGTTTAACAGGATTGGGAGTTTTGGCCTAAGAGTCATGGACCAATGTTGTTAACCACAAGATCAATGGCTGCCCCTATTACAGGAGGAAGAGCTTTGATGCATACCCCACCCCAAAAATCTTTGTGCCTGTGAACACTAATGAGTATGCACTAAGTGTACACTCTGTCGTCCAAGCTCTAACCTCGGCAAGTGTAGGACATTTAATTTAATAGGCAAGAAGCCTGGGCTCCCGGGGATCCACCAACTGCACTATATATTTAAAGAATCCAGTCCGTCAAACTTGAATAAATCTCTGGAGCTATGAGAGGTTCAGGCTCAATTCCTCAGCTGCCTCTCTAGGCAGAGAAAGGGAAGTTTTTCCAGCTCTGGGACTTCCTAAATGAGAAAGAATGCAATTAAGCCATCTGTGTTGTTTCCAAAGATGGTTTATCAAGGTCCCTCAAGTTTCTGGGCTTGCTCCCATATCCCTTATCCCTGTCATGAAGCTCAGAAATATTACCCATATTGGAACAGTTTTACTTTTTAGTTTTTGTAATTTGCACTATCATGGTTGGTTAGAGAACAGTAGGAAGATTACTTACCACATAGGGACCTTTCTACCTCACTCTCCACCCAGTTAGGTCCTAGAGGACCCTGTGCATTTATCCCCGGAGTTATGTCTCAAGGGAAGACAATTGGACAAATGTGGTGTATAGAAAAATGTTCACAACTGAGCCAGTGTTTCTGTCTGTGGTCGGAAGTTTTGGAGGGCCAGCATCTATAGTTAGTCATAATGCCTTATACCGATTGTATTAAAGTTTGTGTTCTACAGGAAGGCTAAAGGGATCATCCTCTCTAAGGGAGTATCCAAAGGGCCCTGGTTTAGAAATTATTTCAGAGAATATGTAGGAGCCGTTGGAATCTGAGTTTTTTTCTTTTACTTCTTCATCTCATTCTCTTCCACCTCCTTCTTTTTCTTCTTCTGTGGAATTGTTCCCGTGGTGCTTTAGAAAAAGATCTAAGTGGTTAGTAAGAGGAGGTAAGGCACAGCGCTGGGCTATTTTTCTCCACCTTCTAGAACACTAGAGGTCAGTATTGTCCTAATGATACAAAGGCGTGGCAGCAAGCTAGCTGTGTTTTCCCTTCAGCACAGCTGCCTATCTGAGAAGAGTGAATACTTTGAAAAGCCACAAAGGTGGGGGTGAGAGATAAGGATAAAAAAGACAGAACATACTCCACACGCATATGGCTGTGGACTTTCTAATGCAACACCTTTTCTTAAGAGCCAATAAAACAAATATTTTAGAATAGCATTTTTTGTAAATTAATTGAATTATGGTTAATGTGTTTTAAAAATGCTCATAAAACCTAAATGACATGGATTTAAGACTCATGCTTATCATTACCGATGTAGTAATAAAGCTAATTCTGAACATTTAAAATGAAACTTTGTGATAATGAGCTTTAGTATTTTATCAGTGACAGTTTAATTTCCCTATTTCCAATCAACATTTTAATTGAATGCTCACTGCTTGCTAAATATTTTGAAGTCAGCGTTCTTAAGGAATAATTATTAATGATCATTATGCTGTACAAAATCTATTAATTGAATAATAGAACAGCAGAAAAAAATTAGCTCTGAACTTGATATATTTTGGTGTCTTCATAACCTATGATGCAGAAGCTCTAAGAAATATGCATTAAAATTCCACAATTCCTTTAGATTTCTACTGACCACACTCTTTATTCATTAAATATAGGACTTGGGTTTATTTTTATCTATAATCAATTAATATTTGTATACATATACTGAACATTAGCAATTTATTTTCAAATAGTCACTTTATAAAAGTTTATTTGGAAATTTTTTTACAAGATTATTCTTCCTATATTTTGAAGTAATATGTCGTGACATTTGTGACAGTAGCCTTGAAAATGGATTTACTAACCCAATATTTTCCATAGTATATAGTTGCACTGTGGACTTTGTTCAGGTATACATAACTTCTAATTGTTTTTATTATTCTTATAATAATATGTTGTTGGTGGTTGTTACTATGGTGTGGTGTGTATGTGTGTGTTTTGTGTGTGTGTGTGCACATGCATTTACATTTCTCATAATCTGACCGAAACCTGGGCTTTTAACTTCAAAGGAAAGATGAATGCTTGCCCAATTATAGATTTTATAAGTTTCTAATTAAACAAAATTAAAATAAAGTCAGGTTAGAAGGGCCAGCTTCAGTACAGATATTATGAATCTGTGCAGAGAACATAATTACTTACCAGTAATAAAAACTGCAGAAATTCCCTCATTTCAGATTTTCAGGATATTAAATAGCTACAATTCCTCCTCTGGGTTTATCCTGAGGGAATTAGTTAACATCAAATGTAGATATAGTAGGCCAATGTTTAATGAAAAATCATTTTACATATAATATTAACTCTTTTGACATAAGAAGAAGTGATATGACTTGATAGTTGGTTAAAGTGAAACTGGGAGTTAGAAGAGCTGAGGAGTTCTAGCCCTAGTTATGCCACAGCTAAGCGTTCAAATACCTATTATGTTATTCAACCTTATAGTGCTCACAGGCTTGAGTATAAAACAGCAATTGAGGTATGCGTCTACTCCAAAACAGAACAGCAGGTAAATATGTTACTGAGAAAATTATTTAAATATTAAGTATGGTAAGAGATGATTGCACTGATAAAATGTGCATTCAGAAGATAGCAGGAATACATGGAGCACATATGGGGTCACTATTAACTATTTTTAACAATAAGTATAAGTTGTGCGATTATAAAGAGCTTTAATTTTGAGCAATACATCACTTTGAATGATTTCCATGTGCAGTATCTAAGTTTGTTGCTACATATTAGGGTCACACAAATACAGCATTGAGAGAGGGATCAAAAACTCTTCATTCTAGCTCATTCATCATATGTAGAATTTCAACTAAGATATATGAGGACTTCAATCAGATTCATAAAGCTCTTCAAATAAGGAGATGAACTATACTTTGAGTTATCCGAAGCTTATGCACAAACTCAATCAATAGATAATATTAAAAATAAACAATCACGCTGGTTTTTTCAGCAGCAACTTTTTGTGGCATTTACAGTCACCACAAGTAAAGGAAGCACTCCAATGCTCATTTGGAAGAGTCCTAAAGATTTTCCTTTTGTTGAATTGGCTTATCTTTGACAGTACCTATGAGCTCTTTTTCCTTTCTCTTCCCATAGTCCCCCATCTCAAAACTAAATTGATATTTCTGCAATTGGGAAATGTATACCAAACCCTGGACTAGCGATTTCCACACAAGTTCAAAATTATGAAAAAATTAGTTTTATTACGAAAACCTTACTCTCTCCTTGCTTTATTTTTGTTCTAATGAATGACTATCCTCTAAATTGCAGTTTTCTTTCTTTTTCCTTTGTTCCTCTGCCCAATTTCATTGCTTTCTTTACTGGATCTCGGTTTCCCTTTACTGAATCACTTTATTTCTTAATGCCCATTTGTTAAAAAAACAAAGTAATGCGATATCATTTGAAATGCCCCTGAAACCTTCAGTTGGTGATTCAGAGTCTTCGAGTTGATAAGCCAGAACTTCACTCAAATATTTCCTGTGTATACAATGATAATTATCCCCCTTAGATGAGAAGGTGGAGAAAAGATCTAGTTACCTAAAATCCCAGAGGACAATTGGAATTCACTCAATAGGACTTTATTGAAAGGTTGCAGTGTACATATTTGGAGCCAATAATGACATTTTTAATTCATAAGGGAAGGTTTCTTCATTCATCAAAACTCTGCCACTTTCTGGATGGTGACCTTGTAGAGGTTACTTAGTTACCCCAATGATCTTGCTGTATGCAACGAAGAAAATGGATTAGATCATTATTATTAACATCCTATTTACTTTTAATGTAATTTGTCTTTAAATGCTGATATTGCCTACTGGTCATTTTATTTGGATATTTCTGGGATGATTATATTCTAACATTGTAAAGCAATTATAATTAGAATAACAATATAGTAGGGTTTTAATTCTTACCAACTTCTATACACTTATCTCTCACCTCATATTGTGTCCACATAAATTACCAAGGCAGTACAGCTAGGTATACTTACAGATCCAGTTTACAGATGAGCATATTCAAGGTTAGTAGAAGTTAATGATTTCCTCAAGATCACAGATCTAAACAATAAAAAATCAACATCTGGACCTATATTTATCTATTATCAAACACCAAACTCTTTGCAAGATATGAAACTTACTCCAAAACATTCACTTTGACACTGTGTATATACATATCTGTGGAAACTTGACATGGGTTCTTTATGGTTAATTTCTGTAGCTCTACCCATGGCAAAGGGCATGAGAGTAGCAGTTAGCACCACAGCCAACTCCAGAGTCACATCTAAAAGAAAAAAAAAATGGAGATCTAGATTTGATGCAAAATGCTAAACATCACAATGACCAAAGATAAGAGCCTCATCTGGATGAGCACTTGATGCTTTATTTTTTATGAGCTTTGATTTAAAAAGTTGATAGGGAAAGGACATAGCCTTGATGAGGACTTGTGAATCCCTTTCCTACACATACAGAAACACACAGTACCATGAAAGGCACATGTTGACATGACGGGTTGTAAGTCTACAGATGTCAGACCAACAAGTATTAATTAACTAGTAGTTATGAATTCCTTGTCCTAGCACAGGACTGGCCCTGATCTGGCTCTGCTAAACCTCATCTTCACCACTCCTCCAACACAAAGTTATGAAACTCCTTCACATTCCACAAACAAGCTATGTTGTTTCAAATCTTGCATTTATTTTCATAGACTGCCTGCTTGGTCTAGAATACCCTTTTTCTTTGTTATCTTCTCTCACTCTCTCCCCGCTATACATACACACACACACACACACATGCCCAGAAATATTTTTCTCAGGCATATCAAGTGTCCCTATATATTACATTTCCATAGTATTAACAATCCTTGTCTCCTCAACTAGGATGCAAAGTTCTCTGATGGTCATATTTTATTTGAAAGTCTATATTCAATGCGTAAAACATTGGGCAAGTGAAAGGATGAGAGAATAAATGATTGGTTTCCTGCTAAGAATGCTTATTTCTAAACTAAAATTCTCTCTTGGCTCTATTGCTAGAGTATTACTTTTAAAATTTGTTTTATGTTTATTTTTGAAACAAGTACAACTCATTACTGTTTTGGAAATACCAAGAAGCGGTTAGCTATTAAAGGAAAGAACAGAAGTTCAGATCACCTGATTGGATGCGGGAGCTGAAAAATGAGCCCCTGCAGCTATAGAAGCTTTCATATTTCCATGACTTCATTGCTATGATGGTCTTATTTATGTATCACATGGCCATTTGTTCCTAACAGAGGAAGCCTCTCCATCCACTGACTTCAGTATCAAGTTGGAGCCAATTTTATTAACTTGCTTTATGGAATTTTAATGAGTGTTGCTTATAGAATCTAAAAAAAATACATAATCACATTGCTATAAAAACTATTTTATAGCCCAAGGATCAGTATAAAAAGGAGAAGTTTGGGTTATACTCAATGGGGCTTTATTAATAAATTATTGAAAAGATCTCTCTTTTTTTATTGCAAGCCTACACCATTACCCTGATAACATGATTCCATGAATCCTATGTCATCTTTTTAAGCTGTGGTCAAGAGCAGATTTAAATGTTAATAGTTTTTTTGTGTGTTATGCATTTGAAAACATTATTTTAGAACTACAGTTTCTCTTTGCTAAACTCAAGTTTGTCTATGAATCTGGAGAAATAATAATGAATAAGAAAATATAGTCCATAACCTCAAGAAACTTTGAACACTTGGTAGTTAGAAAAATAAACCTTTAGTCATGTCAGAGTGATAAATGCTATGATAAAGGTAAACACGGCATGCACTTTAAGGCACAAAATGAGCATCTCATACTGGCTGGGGCATCAAAGTATGCTCTTTGAGGAAAAACAAATTCATCTAAGATTTCAACTGTCAGATTTTGCTAGCTGGAGAAATGGGAGGGGGGCAGTTATTACTTGGTAGAAGGATAGAAGAAAAAATTAGAGTTGTAGGTAAGCATGAGAGTCTTTTATTTTTAAAGCTATGGAGATTCATTGAATGTTTTTATACAGGTAATGATTATAGTCAGATTTTTTTGCTTTAAAAAAATTACTCTGTGAAGGATAGACTGGAATAGACCAAGACTGGTGGCAAGAAAACCAGTTAAGAGATGATTACAATAACTCAAGTGACAATTAGTAAGACCTTAAATAAAGAAGGATAGATATATCTGAATCTACAAAAGTTACACAGCATTGGAAAAAAAAATAATGGCCAAGTAAATTTAAGACCTAGGCATATATGAGCTAGTAAACTCACAGAAGGTACAGATTTGTATTCTGCATAATGTATAGAATACATTTTACATTTGTAAAATGTATTCTATAGCTGTTTCGATTGTTTTTGACAAATGAGAGGGATAGATGCTAGAAAAGGTACTCAGTTCTCTGAAATGAAGTTCTTCTCTGGGAATACCAAACGACCATATTCTCAGTGCAGTATATTTCATATTTGCATGACATTGTATAGCACATGCTGTCTCTATCCATCATCCTGATGCATCTTCTAGTCTGTAAATTATGCTGGTTTTTGTCAGCAGAGTGAGAACTAGTCATTAAGGAATGTGTAATTAAACCTCAACATCCCAGTTCTCATTCCCCCTCTGACAGGGGGATAAACCAGGGATCATTACTGCTATCAGGGGCTGCTCAGTGGAAAGAGAAACAAGGGGAAGTTGGGTGTGCTACGCTGATGTGCTATCATTGGTAATTGATTTGCTGGCGTAAATTCCATGTCTCTACATTTCTAATTGCTTTTGTGCATATTCTTGGGGGTTGATTAATGCCATCTGTTCACAGGATCAGCTGAATTGATAGAGTTTTAAAGGATGACAACAGTAATGTTGAAGATAGAAAGAAAGTGAAGGGAAATGCCAAAACACTGCTTGTGAGTTATATTATTTTTAACTATCCACCTTTAGAAGCAGAAATATCCTTCTAAAGG
This sequence comes from Homo sapiens, assembly GCF_000001405.40. NCBI lineage: Eukaryota > Metazoa > Chordata > Mammalia > Primates > Hominidae > Homo > Homo sapiens. The sequence goes on from NC_000002.12 coordinate 124,033,327, forward strand.
CAATCCAAAGCAAATAGCAGTCTAAAGAAATGTGCCAAACAGACTGATGTTATGTAGGTATTAGTCTAGGCCACTATTTACTGAATAGGTGGGTTCAGTTGTATCTCTGTTTTCCCCTCCCTCCCTTCTTCTCACACTTTCTTCTTCTCTTCCCCATTCCTTTTCTTCTATCTTGTGACCATGTGGTTTGTGTATTACCATTGACTTTTCCCTGAGGAGATGATTCTCTTTCAGATGTACGATAAAAGGGTAAGAAGTCTTTGAGATTCCAGTGCTGCCTTGCTAAACAACATGGGCATAGTCATCAAAAGTGAAACTTCCAGACAAGACCTGTTACTGATGCAGGCCAGACATGGGCCTGGTGCCACAGGGAACCTGGGAAGGCCCCTTGATTGCAATGCTCCATCCAACTCTGTCCCCAAACAACCCTTCTGCTAACTCCATTAATCTCCTGAATCTGTAAATATGGGTAGAGTTGTGTGGGGAAGGGAGCCTTCCAATTCATATAGATAAGCTTTAAGACACAGAACCCCACTGAGTATAGGAAAGCAAATCTATACTGTACTTGACAGAGAAACAGACCTTTTCCAGAAAAAAAAAAAAGTGTGTGAAAGAGATAGTACTGGGTATCTGGAAAAGGGAGGATAATGTTTTGAATCTGGAAGGAGAAAGAACAGGGATGTTCTAGGTGTGCAAAACAAGTGTTGCTGCTTTCCTATTTTTGCCCAGGCTGAAACCCTCCCTCATATTACATGGCCAAAAGTACAGTAGATGGCCAATGGGGAGATGAAAAAGGACAGTGAGAAGGGCATATGTCACACAGTTTGGGATTGATTTAATTCTCATTCTGTGAATATGTTCTGTGTATACTAACATGCACCTTGCAAAGTCTGTAAGTATGAGTGGCTCTGCATAAAATACATATAATGTGGACATCCAATCATTATACCTGTTATAATTATTAATGAAACTCAGCATGGATTTTCTCATAATAACTAATAATACAGTGTAGGGCAAGGACAGCTACATTTCCATTTTCAAACAAAGTCTGGCCCACTTCCCCTTCATCTGGGTAATCGGATGGGTGAGTCACTGCTAAGACAAATACAAATTTGTTCTCATTTTATCTCCCATGTAAACAGACAATGAGTAGAGTCTACCTTCACCTGGCAGAGAAATATCACCGTTCTGGATCCCTCACTTAGTTCCTGGGTTGGGTCATAGCATAATCACTGCTTCTAGGCCTTGGCCAGTGAAACTGCTAGCTGAGAAACTCACAAAAGGAGCCCCATAAGAGTGGGGGAAACAAGCTTCATCTAGAGAAGTGAGGAGCACAGCCCCTCCAAAAAACTGAAGAGGGCAATGGAGAAGATGTCAGCATTATGGCAGAAAGATCCTTAAACAGACCTTAGGTAAACCCATGATCCTGGGAAGGAGTGTGTGTGACAATGTTCTCAGCTCCCTAAGACCACCATTTGCAGGAGATTCAGGCAGATGGACCTAGAATTGGAAAGTTGAGAGAGCCACATTACCCTCCTGTGTACTACTGAAGTCTGTTTCTGGTGAATAAATGGCATTAAGTATTCCTATTTTCCTGTTGATTTTGGGTTAAAAATCAGGTACTGCATCATGATGAGTTATTAAGACATGTTATCCACAAGTCCTCCCTCCCCTCCCCTCCCCTCCCCTCCCTCCCTTCCTTCCTTCCTTCTTCAGATATTTATGAAATGCCTAGTGCCCATCCATTTATCTGTACACTTCTGAAATATTTTTGTTCATGACAAAACACTTGATAAGAAGAAAGATTAGAATTGCCATCCACATAGCTCCAGAGAAAACCAAAACAAAAGGTAACTGTACCATCTCAAAGGAAGGTCATAGCACTGTGACTCACCCTTCCATCATTCCTTTACTCTTGCTCCATGTATGAAGTATCTCTTATTTTTTAAGTCTTTTCCCCCTGCTCCTTTATTTTCAATATTCTTCCCCAAGTTGCTGATCTGCTTTCTTTCTAATCCTCTTTTCTTCCTTCTCTTTCCTCTCGTCTCTCTTCCCCATGTTCTTCTACTCCTTTCCTTTCTATCTTCTTCCTCTCCATCTCTTCCTTCTACCTCCCTTCCCTCACTCTTCCTGTTGCAATTAACTTTTACTAAATGTCTTGTTTTTATGTTTTATGGCATAAGTTAATGCTTTTCAAACTTTCCACTGAAGTGCTGCTCACCGGGAAATAGAGTGCACGGGAACCCAGGGGATTCTATGAGCTCAGCTTCAAATGGCCACTGAAGCATGTAATTTCTTAAATTTTATCTTCAACACTCAGGCAAATTTGCATTCAGCTCCATATTATATCCATGTTTATACTATAATAAAATATTTTCCCCAAATCCCCAATTAAAATTGATGACCCAAGTTTATTAGCTTAACCCATAGCAGAGGGCTGCATAATCCCAGGGGCAAAGGCTTCAGTTTTTTGGCTCTTTCTCCACATTTATGTTTTCCAGTATTCCTGTGTCACAGAGTCCTACTTCGTGGTCTCTCTCCTCATCTCAGAACAACAGGTTGCTGCATTTCCCAGGATGAACTCTTTTTTTTTTTTTTTTTTTTTTTTTGAGACGGAGTCTCGCTCTGTCGCCCAGGCCGGACTGCGGACTGCAGTGGCGCAATCTCGGCTCACTGCAAGCTCCGCTTCCCGGGTTCACGCCATTCTCCTGCCTCAGCCTCCCGAGTAGCTGGGACTACAGGCGCCCGCCACCGCGCCCGGCTAATTTTTTGTATTTTTAGTAGAGACGGGGTTTCACCTTGTTAGCCAGGATGGTCTCGATCTCCTGACCTCATGATCCACCCGCCTCGGCCTCCCAAAGTGCTGGGATTACAGGCGTGAGCCACCGCGCCCGGCCTCCCAGGATGAACTCTTAATCTGTGAACCGCATATTATCATTAATCAATAATGGGGAGTAAGAAGGACTTATTAATTCACAAGGGAAAAGGAAACCCACAGACTGGCTTAGTGAACAGAAACTGTTCACTAAGTTTTGGATGAGCTGTGGGTTACAAGAAACCCCAGTCCCACCCCAAGTCTTCAGATACTGCTCGCCCCTGTTACGGTCACCTGGGACTATGCTGCCACATCCATGAGTTGTACCTTTGAGTGAATGTGCTCTGTCAGTTGACAGTAATGGGGTCAACCAGGGCAGATGCTTTCTGATAGGCTGAAACCACCAGGATATTAAAAGATTAATGCCTCTGATTCTGCAACAATCAGGAACCCTTTGACACAATCCAAAGAAATGAAACCAAGCAGATTGGAATGCTGGAACACTGGAGATTAGAGATAAAGTTAAGTAATGTGCTTCTTTCTCGGCAGGGTTTCAAACCTACACTCTGTGCCAAGGTTGGTACTTGGTAAGATTTTACTCTATTTGTTACCAACAGTCCTAAGAGACAGTTGTTCTTTTCCCCATTCTAGGCTGAGGATATACTGGCTTGGATGGTGTGGTAATTTACCCAAGATTATATAGCTATAGGTGGTCACACTGGGATTTTAACCCACTTTTCCTTGGCTCCAAAACTCATACTTTGAAAAATTTTATCTGCTGTTTCAGTGAACTCAACACAAAGACTTAGCTATTGTTAAACTCCAGCAGATAATTCGTCCTAGCAAAGACAGTCTTTCCCTATAATCCAGGGTGAGAAAACCCTCATGTGTCTAGACCCACAGATTCTGCCCCAATCTTCAGGCCATCTTATTCCAGTCTTGCAGAAGGCTCCTTCCCCATATCTAGAAGTCACTATGTCAACCAGTTCCTGTAGGTTAGCTGTTTATAAAAGTTGCTTGTATTGCTCACTAAAGCTTTTCACCAACTTTTTGTGGCCAGGCTTCATGCTTTCACTGATGGCCTTGTGGATTCCATGATCACTGCCCACTATTAGTGTCTGTTCCTGAGACTCCTCCTGTCACTAAGTGCAGTATTTTTATCACTACATAATATTTCACCCCTAAAGAATACTGCAGCCCTAGAATTTGTTTCATGGATTTTATCTTTAAATTCTGCTCTCCCATGTTCATTGCAGCATTATCTACAATAGTCAAGTCATGAAACTAACCTAAGTGTTCATTAGCAGATTAATGGATAAAAAGTGCACAGTATAAAAACACAACAGAATCTAGTCAACCTTGAAAAAGAAGGAAATTCTGTCATTTGTGACAACATAGATTAACCTGGAGGACATTATGTCAAGTGAAACAAGCCAGTCACAGAAAGACAAATGCTACACAAACTCACTTATATGTGGAATCTAAAAAATTCAAATTCCTAGAAGCAGGAGGTAGGATGGTTGTTGCCAGGAGCTGTAGGTGTGGGGAGGGATGGGAGATGTTGGTCAAAGGGTACAAAGTTTCACTTAGAAAGGCGGAATAAGTTCTAGAGATCTTTTGTACAGCAAGGTGACTATACTTAACAATAATGTATTATATACTTGAGAATTGCTGAGAGTAAGATTTAAATATTTTTACCATTTCACACTGTATACATATATCAAAACATTATGTTGTACTCCACAAATACATACAATTTATATAGACCAATTAAATAAACAATAAAATTTTGTACTAATTAGAAAAACCTTATTCCTGACACTAAGATAATAGTTTCAAACAAGGTAATTATTGGATGCATTCAGATCTGTTCTTTGTCTTCACGCTGCAAGATTCATCCCCAAATCCAGACTGTAAGCTCTTTTTACCCAATAGGGATAGACAGAAGGTTAGGTTTGACAAGTGTATACCCAATTCCATTATTTTTCACCACTGATTATCACTGACTAGTGCTCAGTGATGGGACCCTGTCCGACTGGCTTCGGAGGATCCCGTTGGTAGGCAAGGACCAGTGCTTGTACATACCTGCTTTCATTGTCAGCTGTATAGAAAACCACAGTAGTAAATGCTTTGTTTTATTCTCAAGTTCTCATGAGTTTGAGAACTTAGGCCTGCTGCTTGGCTTGGTTGTGAGGCCTGTCTTTGGGTCTCCTGTATCTTCTATTTCAGCTATTGTCTTGACTCAGAGGACCTGCTTGCTTGGGTTTAGAGAGGCAAAATAATTTGTTCAATGTCCAGTGCCTTACAGTCTTGCCTCTCTTCTGCATCAACAACGGGAGCTATCAAAAAAGGACACAGAGTATTCTGAGGCTTTTCACACTGAGGCAATTAATCAATGTAGTGTTCTAGCTCTCAAAAATAATTAGCCTTTCAAGGAATGAAGCCTTAAATATTTAAATTTTGTTTTAAAAGCAGAACTTTTGGTTTACTAAATGAAATCTTACATATGATTTTAATATGTAAAATAAATTACAAGAGCGGCTTTGAAGAAAATAGAATGAAGGGCCTAGAATCCTACCATCCAGCCTGCCCTTCTTCTGATTCTTCATGTAGGTACCGTGTGAAGACTTCTGCCTTATTCTTAATTGCAGGAATCTCTAAGCCTACAATTTCACGCAAAAGCAACTAGGTACAAGAACATTTGAGGAAGAGTGGGGATGGAATCCCACCTCAGTCATGGTCCATGCCTGGCTGGTGCACAGCAGCAGAGCCACACTGGGTGTGCCCCACCTGCCTCTGCTTGTATTGGTCCGGGAGCTGATGTCCAGGCTGGGAAATACTTCAAATATGATCTCTGCCCTAAGTTACACTAAATAAGCAGACGCTTTATTCTAAACCATTGTAAATCTGATATATCTTGCTACCATTCATATGAGTGTCAGGGCAAGACAATCTTATTGGAATTTACTGATTTGAAAAGATGGTAGCTTGTCAAATACTTGTGTCCTTATCTTGATATCCTTAGTTTGTGGTTAATAGCTGTTTGTATTTTAAATAACTGTTTTGTGAAAGCGCTTGCATTATCTACCTGCATTCCAGGCATTCCCTTGGGACCTCCTCCAAAAAAGGAATCTCATGTTAGCTGTGATTAAATTGCCCATATATAGCACAGTAAATGGCAAAATAACTACTTAATAAATTGAATTGAAGCACAACAGGTTAGGTGAAACCCAAGCATAGACAGAAAGCCTGGATGAGGGATAATACGGGGCAAACCCCTGAGTGTTGGCTTATAGTGCAGTGCTCCCTCCACCGCTTCAAGCCTCTGTCTCCCAACATCTGTGAAATAAATGGACCTTTGGGCTCCATCAGCGAGGCTATCTCAGTGCTCCCTGATGTTAAGTAATGTGAGTAGAAGTGATGAAAGTATACAAATTAAATAAAATTGTCACACACCTGGATTCAGTCTTCATTTCTGATTCTGGTCAGAATATTAATTTTAAACACATCCTTGAGTGTTTACTTCGGGTGCCATTCATCACAAAATCCTTTTATTTAGGTCTACACTGCGCTCTCTCCTCCCCCCAGTGAATCCCAAATGTCCCTGCTTTGTATGGGTAATAAAATTTAATATGAGCAATAATTAAATATAGGATGGTATATTTAATGGATTACTCAAAATAATTTACTAATATTAAATAGTATGCACACATATATATGCATGCTCAGATTTTTAATGATTTATTTTTAGTTTTTTTTCATGGTTAGTGCACCTGGTGGAATTGTACATGTGCATATCCGCTATGTAAACCACTTGTTCTGGTAACTGTCAAGATTTATTATCCCCCAAGGTCAATATTGACTTAGGTGTCACCTTTGTGAATATTTACCTCTCTAGATGATGAATTGAAATGGTCATTTGGATGGAAATTAATATCTACTTATTTTCTGAAATCAAATGCTGTTGGGAGGTGTGCAGACATGCTCCACCGTGTCTGCTTGTTTCAGGGTGGCGTTCAATAATCATTCTTTGCATTCTGATTTACTGTGGTTATTTTTATACCTCTTTCACATGGTTCTTTTGCCTAACAGATAGACTGTGAACTTCAAATGTATTCGGCTTGACATTTCAATACCACAATCAGGAGATCGTGATATTTGATCATATGGATAGTAAGTACACATTGGATTAGTGAGCACCTTGGCCTTGGAGTTTATTTAGGGCAAGATACTGTTACCTGAAAAACACAAAGCTCCTTCAACAATTATCTAATTATATAAAGAATACAGGAAGAGACATAAAATTACACAGTAGTTCCTTTGGTTTTGAGGTATTGATTCGTCGTTTTCAGATAACCTTACAGTATGCCATGTGTTTTGTAAATATAATGTGTTTGTACATATATATATGTATGTTCATACAAATATAATATGTTCAATTCTGTGTGCCTGTGTGTGCCTGTGTGCCTCTGTATGCCTCTGTGTGTGTGTGTGTGTGTGTGTGTGTGTGTGTGTAACAGTGCTTACTTCTTTACTGGCAGAAGACAGAGACATCTTTGGTAGAGAGCTTTTAATATATCAAACCACAAATTCTAAAATTGTGAGACTACAATAGAAATATTTCCTGTTGTTCTTATTATAACTGTTGCATTAATTTTGCGTACTGGGTCACAATATATATACTGAGAAATGTTCAACCTTAAAATAAGGCATTTAAATACAAGTATAATGGTGACAGTTGCTGTATTTTGTTGTATATGAGTGGAATTCATCTATGCTTTTCTATACAAATATTCATAGGCAGTGCATTCTTGGTTTTGTCCTTTACAAACAAGGAGTATTAGTTTGTCATCCCCACAAATCTTTCCTAGCCATGAATGGTCTGAGAAAAGACCTGGACTTAGGCAAACATATCATAATTAAGCACAGACTGTGGCTTAGTAGTCAAGGGAATCAACCACTGTAAAAATTCATTAGTAAAGTTAATCCAAAAAACATCTGAGCAACTGAAACAAAATCAATCCTAGGGGAGAATGCATAACTCTATTGATGTTCTCACCCTTGTTGATACATTGTTTAGAGTAAAGATTTCTATGTCTTCTGCATAAATATCAATTTTTGTTGGCAAATTCAATTTGACTTATTGGGTTCCTATAGCTAAGTGTTTTGTGGTTCATCAGGAAATGATGTCATTTTGTGTATGAGGAAATAAAAATACCTCACTTGATGGCCAATGAAAGTCTCATTTTACACACCATCCACTGCTTTTATGTGCTGGGAAGGTTTGAGTCCTAGAAGAAGCCAAAGACATTGGGTGGTTTCTTCATGCATTATTTGCATGTGTATAGGCACACATCCTACACATAGCAAACATATACACTTACTGTCAATTAGTTTAGTTTGTGCTTCTTTTTTTAAAAAGGAATTAACGTGGAGTCAGATTAGTGGTTTTCAATCAGATGTAACTTTGCCCCAGGGGACATATGGTAGGGTCTGGAGACATTTTTGGTTGTCACAGCTTGGGGGTTTCTATTGGCATATAGTGAATAGAGATCAGAGATATTGGAAAGGAACATTCTACAACACACATTGTATTATATGTTGTCTTTTGTCTCCCACAACAGATAATTATGTAGCTCAAAATGTGAAGATAATCAAGGGTTGAGAGACTAGTTTAGATCTATTAGTGATTTATGCATCATGATGTGTCAAATTACATATATATATATATATAATTTGAGACAGAGTCTCACTCTGTTGCCCAGGCTGGAGTGCAGTGGGGCCATCTCACCTCACTGCAACCACCATCTCCTGGGTTCAAGTGATTCTTCTGCCTCAGCCTCCGAATAGCTGGGATTACAGGTGTGAGACACCATGCCCAACTAATTTCTGTATTTTCAGTAGAGAAGGGTTTTCACCATGTTGGCCAGGCTGGTCTTACACTCCTGACATTAGGTGACCCACCTGCCTCGGCCCCGCAAAGTGCTGGGATTACCGGCATGAGCCACCATGCCCAGCCAATTAAAAATTTTTAAAAGAGGTTTTCTTCCAGCATTTAGACTTATAGAGAGATATATAAAATAGAAGAGAAATATGATGACATATACTTTCATCCTGGTTCTGCTTACTGGCTATATAAATTCCTTTTCATTATTTCACACCTTTTCCCAAAAAAGGTGATGATACCCTCCCCAACTATTTTCTATTGTGAATAACATGAGATAAAGAATATTTTTAAGAAGGTGTAACCATGATTTTGCTGAAATCATATTTATTATACTTTTCATTATTTGGAGGAGTAATGGCCTGGCTGTACTGTCCTCATAGGCTTTAGACAGACAAGGATAACATGGAGGACATGGGCACAGTGCAAAGAGGGACTGAGGGTACATATCCTGGACTTGGGGTACGTATCCTGGACTAGGAACTGCAAAGGTAAATTTTATACCAGTTTTAGGTTTTCAAAGCATTTTTAAGGTTGGTTTAAATTTCTACCTCTGTTTAAAAATTATCTGGTCAGGACATCTTTTGGCAGGGTGCATGTGCTATAATGCAATCACTGAAGTCTGTTTATAGTAAAGCACATTCTGTCAAATTTTTTCTTTTTGTAGACCCCCTCTTGCATAAGCGTAACTCTCTATCATCTATCTATCTATCTATCTATCTATCTATCTATCTATCTATCTATCATCTATGTTTGAAAAATGGGATAAAAACTAAAGGTGCCGAAGTTGCCTATGCTTTGGAGGTGACGTAACTACGTGACTCAGGAAAGGCCATGAACCAATCTATTTAGATGACACTCTCTACCTTATTTAGAGCTCAAAGATCAGTTAGATAATAATCCTGGCTTTGATTGCTTATCTTCTCCAGTCCAATATTCAATTTTTAACATCAATTACATTAGAAATAGTCTTTAATTTGTCTTTTCAATGGAAAGAAGATGGATGGCCTTGGTCTCTACTGGATGTCTGCCTTTTGAAAAAGGAAAGTGATAAAATCAGAAGTAAGAGACTGCTGGGTTGGGAAAAGGACCTTGGAAGTGATGTAGTCCAGCCTACCCTGCATAATGTATATAGATCACCACATTCCCTAAAACATTCCAGATAGTTGACTATTCTATTTTACTTAACCTCCTAAGTGAAGAGGTGGGACCTCACAAGACAGCTCAGTTCCTCAACAAAAATTATAGTTGGTAGGACATTCTTTCTTCCACTGTACATAAGTCTGCTTCAAGTACCACCAAACCACTCTCCTTAGCTCTACTCACTGGACATCTCAAACCAAGCCTTCTTTGTCTTCATCATAATTATTCCACAAATACCTAACGATAGCCACCACACTTCTCTCAATCTTTTCAATCTTTTTATATCTTCTTTTACTTAATTTTTTCTATGACATGATTCCTTTCCCTTGGACTTCCCATCATCATGTTCTCCTATTTGTAGTGTATTCCATTTTGCCAATGTTTTCTTTAAAATATGATGTCTGGAATAGAATGCAATCCTGATTTGTGCTTACCAACCTGTGTGGGCTACAATGTGATGGTCATAAGGAATCCTGGGTGGGAGAGAAGATTCAGTGAAGTTTACAACAACATAAACCTCAAAGTCTAAAATGAAAGTACCAAAAAATTGTGTTGTGGAAAGGACATTGTCTCTACTTTCTCTCACTCACTCTTTCACTTACTTGGCCCTCAACTAATGTAAATCAGTCTCTTTACTTTTTTCAGGGATAACTGGTACAATTTTGGGTTTCTCCCAAATTAAGTGAACTTTGAACTCACATCTTACCTTTATCTGCCCAGATCTTCCCCATGGGCCAGTTCTTGTCCTCTCTTCTCTAGTCTTAATTAGTATGACTGTCCTCTAAATCCTTAATGCTTGTACAGTATACATTACATCTTTAAGCCCTGTATTATATGCTGTCTTTTATTGGCTTCCACTTCTATTTTCATTCAGAGTACATTGAACTGCAATCAATGAGAAGAATTACATTTAATATAGCCTCTGTCTATAGCAATAGGAGTACTGCTTACGGTGTGCCAGATCTTATCATTGACATACATTACTACTAATCTGGCTCATGACCCTATATGGTTAATACCATTATTCTTACTTTTTAGATGAATAAATTTATGTTTAGAGTGTCCAAGTAACTTTCTTAACTTTATACAATTATTAAATAGTTTGCCTGAAATCCAGCCCTGGTCTCTGAACCCAAAGTACTGTGTCCTTTACGCTGGAGAAAAGATTTCACAACCCAGGTAGGATGTGAGCTCCTAGCAGTTTGTCAATATATCATTCTAATTAATTGGGGGAAATTGTATTCATTTTACAAATATTTTTAGAACACCAATTCTAAACCAGGAACTGGTCTTAGATATTGGTAAAGAAAGACATTCAATTTCTGAATATAAACCATGGCTATTTTTTTTCAAACTGTGGACTACAGAGAGTCCCACAGGTCTTGGGTTCCACCTTCCCACGGCCACCCTTATGGAGGTGATGATTTATATTGGCTCTTTTCTGATAGTTCCCCAGTGTGCTTTTTCTCTTGCTTAAATATTTCATAAAGCCATATGGTTGCTTATATCTCCTCAACTGTCATGATGGTGGATGCTGTGAAATGATCTTGGCATGTTTGAGGACACATATCCTTCAGGTTGACCTTATCTCAGAAACTAAACTTCTTAATTGTAGCTGTAATCCCAACCCCGCCACAGACGGAAGCAATGGTAGTGAGGAAACACACACACACACACACACACACACACACACACACACACACATGAATAAGTGAGGCCCATCTTCCTGGAATGTCAATTTCATCCAAAGAGTAAGAAATACACATTATGTGTATATCTTAAAAAATACAAATATGTTCTGGAGTAGAATACAAAATTTCAGGAAACTTTCAAATAAAACATGAGATTTCAAATATGTCTCTGGCTCCAAAATGTGTTCACAGAAACTTGATATCAATGAATTCACTGTTTTCCCACTTCAAGATGCCTCAGGGAAAAAGCAAACAAGCAAGCTTAATAACAAATACCCCTGATTCAATTTCTGTGGGTCTAGGTAAGTCTTCCACATTGGCCTTCATTTGAAAATAAATGTCTTTCGCCAAACTTTGATTTTCTTTTCTTTTCCTTTTTTTTTTTTTTTTAAATTTTGAGATGGAATCTAGCTCTGTCACACAGGCTGGAGAGCAATGGTGCAATCTCGTTCACTGTAAACTCCACCTCCCAGGTTCAAGTGATTCTCCTGCCTCAGCCTCCCAAGTAGCTGGGATTACAGGTGCCCACCACCAGGCCTGGCAAATTTTTATATTTTTAGTAGAGATGGGGACTCACCATGTTGGTCAGGCTGGTCTTGAACTCCTGACCTCAAAGATCCACCCGACTTGGCCTCCCAAAGTGCCACCGCACCAGGCCTGGTTTTCTTTAAGCCAGAGTTACTAGATAGTGTTACAACACAGAATGATGTTATAGTTGTATGTAATGTCTTATCTCTTAACACCCTCCGATTTTAAAAATGCACTGTGTAGACAATAATAATATTAATAACCTTCTTTTTATTCTAATGACAGTTTTTAGACAATCTCTATTACTGGCTTTATGTGTTGGGGAAGAAGGTAGAATGAAGTAATATTGACAGAAAGGCCATTCCTCCACTTCCCCCTTGGCAGGCCTCTCACAGAGAGTCTTGCTATGGGTGCCACATTAGGACCCTTAAAAATTCACATTCTTTGTTTAAGAGGTGTTGTGAATCCCCTGAAATTGTGCACTCATCACTGTGTGTATATCTGCATATTTGCATTTTTCTTGGATAAAGGTATTTATATTTCACCCAATTTCCAAAACGCATCCATGACCCAGAAAAGATGAAGAAAGAAAGGCTCTGAGATCCTCATTACCCTGAACATCCTCAGGGAGGGGAGGAGGGGACAGCTTTATTCTAGATGCTGGAAATTTAACCTAAATGTGCCTGAGTGGTGTGCCCTTTTCTAGCACCTGACGGAGTGAGTGTGAGCTCTGGGGTGCTGAAGAGAGTGGGAAAGAGCCCCCCAAAAGGGAAAAAGTCTTCTAGAAGATAAAAGACAATGACAGAAAAGGAAAACTTCAGAGATGTCACAATTTGCCAGTGGCAAAGTAGGCACATTGCAAACAATCTGGAATTAATAGGAATGAACATTTTTAATACAAAGAATACAGATTTTGAAGAAATTACTCAGAGCCTTTCCCTTTGTCCTTTCCTCCACCTCCCCTGAGATCTGCTCACAAAAGAGAGAAAAAAAAAAAAAAAACAGAGAATAACAGGTTAATATCTAGAATTTGCAAGGCTCTGAATAGCCACCTGACAACAGCCGCCTCCTGCTGAGAAACCACTGAAGCTTAATCATTTTCCTTTGCATCAGAAAGAAGGTGGCTGAAGTATTCATTTTTTCCTTGAAATGTCAGGTGCCCACAGCAATTAACTAATCATGTTCCTACCAGGTCAAGTTGCAAGAAAAGAAGACGATTGGGTTTTTAATGCTAAGGGGACATTTTAGACATTTTCGTACAAGAAAAGAAGACAATTGGGTTTTTAATGCCAAGGGGACATTTTAGACATAGGGATTAAAAAATGGTTTCATAATGACAAAAGCTCCACTGACATGCCTCAACATCCCCTGAGTGATACCATGCCTTGTACAGAGGAAGTGAAGAAAGGCTGAGGCTGGACTGGGAAAGGAGATGTAGCCTTGGGCACACATTTTTTTCTTGAGTGAAAACATGGCCTTGAATGGCCATTAAGGTCTCCAATTGTAAGAAATTTCTTTGATACAGAAATCTGAGAAATTCCTAGAACAGCTTTGAGAGAGCGGCTTGTTCAAATGATCCATCTTAAGTATCAATCACAGCCTAAGAATCGAGTGTTTACTAGATAACAGCAAAAATAAGACCAAGACAAGTGATGAGGATGGCCTAACATTTATCCAACACTTACTACAGACTAGAAACAATACCGAGCTATTTACATCTATTAGTGCCTTAATCTTCATAATAACCCCACATGGTAAAATATGCTGAATGTTTACAGGTAAGGAAATAGAGGCACCGAAGGGTAGTCACATAGCTGGAAAGTGAAATGTCCACTCAGGGAGACTGCCTCTAGGACTTACAGTCTTCAAGTCAGAAGGTCAGTGTTTAGATCCTTATTTTACAGAGGAGAAAGTGAAACTGGGACAGGTGAAGTATCTTACCCAAGGCTTATCACTGGTACACAGAGAGCTTGGACGGATCTGGCCAAAGCCAAGTTCTGTCCGACTTCACATACATTTTCCCATTCAACATCACTTCACATGACCTGCATATTGTGTATAATCATATTGGAATTCATCCCTAGGAGAGATACTGGATTCTAACACTGGTGCCTAAACCCAATCAAGTAGTAAGGCTGCAGCCCAACTGAACCTCATTAATTCTGTTGCTCTGGAAGCACTCCACGCCTCCTGCGATGACCTCCATGTTATCTAGGTTTTCTCTGTGTCCCTGGTGCATGAAAAAGTGCAGTCAGTGACTCAGCTGTAAATGGTTCAAGGTACAGACTCCTTACTCAGCCCTCCTCTCTTTTTTCAGCTCTATCGTTCCTTGCACTCCATGGTATTTATTGAGTGTCTGTTGTGTGTAGACAGTGTTCAATAGTGGTAAAGAGCTAGTACCTGCCTTCATGCCACTTAGACCCAGGATCAGGGAAGCCCAGAGCATTGTTTCTGGTGCTCTCAGTGTCTTTATACTGCTCCTCTAGCACAAGCATGCACATGTGCATACACACACTCAGGCACATGCACACGCACACACACAGGACTTCTTTGCTTAGCTCCGTCATAAACATTTCCAAGCTACACTGAAACATTCATTTCTTTATTTTATTTAGCACGATTTCTCTGTGTCTCTAACACATTCTGCCTGTTTTACTAGTATTCTTGTCATATGCATATCTTTAATCTTCCCCAAATAAATTGCTCCTTGAAGCTAGAGACACTTGCTACCCATCTATGTTGTTCTGTTTAAACTGGCAGCATGGTGTCATGGGGGAATGCTTTCCAGAATCAAACAGAACTGGAGTTAACCAGCTCTACTCTAGGAATGTCAGCTTGAGTAACCTCTTAACTATCCTATTTCCTGTCAGTAAAATGTGAGTTCTTTTCTTCCTCGTATATTTTGAGCACATTCTTGACAGTTAATACTGATATGCCATTTAATGGTTGCTCTTTCCTTTGCGTCTCCATTTAGTAAGTGTCCATGAAAGAGTTTTATTGGTTTCTCCCAAGATATTACCTGATAACATTTTGTTTGTTTCTAATTTCTGTTTAGAGATTTGTTAACTTGGTTGGAGTGGTCCATTGGACATTTGAGGGCTCTCTATACACTTTCTTAAATTGTTTGCCAAATTGTTTTTGTGCCCTGTTGCATTCATCATACTTTCAAAGGAATACAAATTCAAAAATGAAAAGATTAATGAGTATCTTTTTTGTTGGTAAATATGCTTTCTTTTTAGGCAGTCTTTTATTCCCCCTTTAACCTGATTCACCTAGATGGAAGTATTGACAGTGTGCATGCTCAGACAGGGAGCTAGTGATAAACGGGGTCATCCAAGGTTATTTGAGTCCCCAAGAATGCTAACCATTTTGGATGTCCTCATAAGTATACAGCAGAAATTGGACACAGTGTCCTTGAAGAATATCACTAAGGCAAATATTTACACACATTTATTTTTATGAGTGTTATGCAATACGTTAGGTTACATCAAATGCAAGTTTGTTTTTCTTTCTTTAATGGCAATTTTCTCCAATGCTTTTGATATATCAATGTGCAAGGGAGGATGTCTAAAACTGGGATAGTATAGTGCTTCCCCCATTTGCTTAGCCAAATATCTCATCTCACGACCCAGGCTTGCTGCTCTGCAGAGGTCACTTTGAGAAACGCTGATTTCAGGGCTTTTTGCTTTATCACTGTTAACGTCCCTATGATCTCCTTCATTTGGTACCACAACAAGACTCTGAGTTTTTGTCCTTTTATTCCCTTTGAATGTCTGCGGCAACAAGGAAATGAGGTGGGAAACTATTCATTGCCATCAGGAAGGCTTCATGTTGCTCTGTGTCTCTGGAGGCTGCAATACGAATGCCTCAGAAAGGCACACCGCTTACTCACATCCCAAGAGACATGCAGAGGTGGCAGTAGTTCCTGTCTAAGTCTTAAAGATGATGTTCTTGCTAGGAATGATTCTGGTGTTGATTTTCAACCTGAACAGTCAAAACTTTTATGTATAACTTAGACTTTTCAGTATACAGAACTATATTTTTTAAACCATAATAAAATTATCAGGCCTACTTTACTTCCTATTAGAGGAAAACAAAATAATAAAAATTACCAGTTTAAGGGTCAATGCATCTGAATTTAAACACAGGCTCTATCACTCATTAGCCTTGTTACCTTCTGAGCTTCAGTTTCTTTACTGTAACATGAAGGTAATGATACCTACCCCGATGATTAAGGAGAGGGCTAAAGAAGCTAACAATTGCATTATACCTAAATTAATATGTTTTGGCTTCTATAATAAAATACCATAGCCTAGGTGATTTATATACAACAGAAATGTATTTTTTACAGTTGTAAAGCCTGGAGAATCCTAATCAAACTCTGAGTCAGGCAGATTCAATGTCTAATGAGGGCCTGCTTGCTTCTTGGTTTATAGATAGAAACTTCTTACTGTAATCTCACATGGTGGAGGGAGCGAGAAAGCTCTCTGGGGTTTCTTTCTTAAGAACACTAATCCCATTCATGAGGGCTCTGCCCTCATGATCTAATCACCTCTCATAGTTTCTACTTCCTAATAGTGTCACCATGGGGATGAGGATTTTAATATGAATTTTGGGGTACACAAATATTCAAACCATAGCAATACCTTAAGCATACTACTTAATATCTAGTAGCTGTTCACTCATTGATAGATATTCTTAATACAATTGTTATTATTAAGAATAAAGAAATGGGCTGGGCATGGTGGCTTATGCCTGTAATCCCAGTAATTTGGGAGGCCAAGGCAGGTGGCCTCACTTGAGCCCAGGAGTTTGAGGTCAGCCCCGGCAACGTGGCAAAACCCCATCTCTACGAAAATACAAAACATTAGCTGGGTGTGGTGGTACGTGCCTGTAGTCTCAGCTACTCAGAAGGCTAAGGTGGGAGGATTGCTTGAGTCCGGGAGGTGGAGGTTGCAGTGAGCCAAGATCTCAACAGTGCACTACAGCCTGGGAGACAGAGCGAGGCCCTGTCTCAAAAAATAATAAAAAAAGAATAAAGAAATAACTAGATTTTGTTAGCAAGATCTTAGAAAGAGAAAGGAAGGTCGGGATAAGGGGCATATCTACTCCACTTCTGCACTTTCCGGGGTGCTCCAGATTTCAAAATTCCCTCATGCCTGCCATCCTGTTGACTCTGCCCCTGCCTCTGTGTGCTGCAGTCCCTCCTTACATGGTACCTTTGACACACTGGCAGGTGAGCTGAGCAGTTTGGGCACCTGGTTCCTCTAGGATCCCAGAATATAGCTTTGTACTTTGATGAAGAATACTTCTGACTGTATTTCAATTGATCTGAAATATCAGTCTCACACACTGTTTGCAGCTGGGATTGCACTTTGCATACTCTGCTCAGGGCACTGGCAAGTCCTGAAACAAAATTTATAGTAGGGACCAGCCCAGAGACATCCTTTCTTCAAAGTGTGTTAGTCCTGAATGAAATAGGCACCAGGATAACATCTAGAGTGCTTAATCTCGGATGTGTAGAGAATTTTCCTGGACTGTAGCATGTTAAATGTCCACAGTTAAAACCTGAAACAGAAGTATATTCAATCATTCGGTTAATCTAATATTACAGATGGCTGAGGTGGGATAGGATCAGAGATAATGACATGTGACAAAGTGTTTCTTGGTGATCTTCCAGCCTATTTGAACATCTGCAATAGTTTGAGGCCTTAAAAATAAATAAACTTAGTTTTCTTTCCATCTCTTTCCTCAAAAAAAAAATACACACAAACAGTTCTCAGAGATAAAAAGAAAATGTCTCATCAGTTCAACAGGTGGTCTAAGGTTTGCTTGTTTTTAGATAATGATCTGATGCAGGCTCCACTCTAATTGACAGCATGGCCTGCTTATGAGAAGGTCTGCACTTGTTTTTCCCAGAGTATTTGATGCTGCTGTTTACCTCTAAGGAAGCATGTTAATAACAAGGGCACTCTAGGGTGTTGCCAATCATGCACCACATACTGGAAATCAATGTTGTGTCTAGTGCTGTGCTAGGAATTATAGACATTAAAAATGGCATATGACAGGAATCCTGATGTTAATACAATGTCCATCTCTTCGTGATGCCAAGCCTAATTTCAGCACTAAATTATACGCTTTGTAGCAGAGAAGCAGGAAGTATTAAGAAGAGCATTGATGGTGGTGGTGGTGGGGGCTTACATAGATTTGAAGTTGATTCCAACCCAGATAACCTGCACACATTCTCCTAGCCCCAGTTTGTTCACTTGCAAAATGGCTATAGTGGTGTCCATCTCACAGAGCTTTGGTGAATGTCAAGTGAGACATACAGTTTACCTGCTTGACACAGCGTAGTCACTCAAAACTGCTAGGGTGATTTTGCTTGATTTCCTTCTGCTACAGCATTCCTTTTGCCACATGAAGTAGAACAAGGTGTCTCAAACTATCTGTGATAAAGGACCAACCCCTCCCAAATCTCTCTTTCTGGCTCCATCCAGCACAGACTAATATTTTTGTAAAACACAAAAAGATGAACTACTAGAAAAGTAGAATAAAGAAAATAACAAAGTCAAAGAAAATACAAGCCAACTTTTTACTACTAGATTCCACATAGATGAAATGATGCATCTGGATTGTGACAGGTTTCTAAGTGCTTATCCTCACATTCTGTACCTATTTTATCCTGGAGTGGTGACAAAAGTCCCTGGGCCCACACTGGTCTGCAGATAACATCTGGAGTAGCATGAACTGGAAGACAGTGATATGATCCTTAAATTTCATCAGATTAAGATTAGAAATCACCTAGTTACTTTATTGAAAGTCTTTACTTCAAGCTAGTATTGACTGAAAGACCAACCTTCATCTGCAAATGATAGTAAAAACTCTGACCCAGGGGAGTAGTCATACAAACAGACATCAAGGACAGGAGCGAGGAAATGCTCAGATGTGAGTTAACAGGACACAGCACCAGAGTTGAAGGAATGAGAGGCAGCCTGGATGTTTACGTTATTCCCTCTCAACCAAGGGTCCCAGGATTTAAAGCAGAGAGGAAGGGTAAATTAATGCAAGCATTTGCAGTGCAGAACTTTCAGTGTTTGATAGATTTCCATTCCAAAGTTCCCATTCAACAATTATTACTAACCCTTTTGCTTTCTTGAGGGGGTGGAGATAATTGGACTTGTGTTCTGAGCTTTCAGCTCCTACCTCTTACTGCATCTTCCCCCTGAGTTCAGAATGATCTATATAAAATGGATACCTGTGCGCGTCTCTCCTCTCATGCAGCAAATAAGAACCTAAGTAGCCTGGTTTTGGCTGACCTCTCTGAACTCAGCCCTCCTTTGCAGCTCTGAAATTAGGTCTGCATTTTGTATTCCAATTATTCTGAACTCTTGGCAGTTCCCTGCCCACATGTCATTTTTCCATATCTTTGTGCCCTCCTTTGCTAATGCCATTTTCTCTGCTTAGCCCAGTATCAACCCCTCCTTGCCTGGCTGACTTCTATTTATCCTTCAAGACATGGTTCAGAAAGTCGTCCAGAAAGTCTTCCCTGGCCCTCCCTCCCCCGTCCCTGCTCTGTGGGCCCATACCTTCCTCTGCGTACCTTGATCACTGAACCAGCCACATTATTCGGAAACCATCTGTTTGTCCTCATTTATTATTCATCAGCAAATGCCCAATAAATGTTTGAGAACTGTCTATAACTGAGGTAGATGTCCTGGCTGCGTTGAGAGGCACTCAAGAACAAACTGTTAAGGACAAGCAGAAAACTAAATTTATTGTGCAAATTTGGCTGAGGTGAAGCAGAACCAAAAATCATCAGATTCAGCCACTAGAAAAGTGAGAAATTCATAAACAAGGTAATCTCTGTATTCACCTCTTTCTATTTATTTGTTCTGCTTCCTTTTTCTGATAGAAACTAAATACTTGTACATACATTTTAAGTGCAGCCATTTGAGCACCAGCCCAGAGAGCATCAACCACGAGGACAAAGGTTTCTGTCTTGAGACAGGTAAAGAACATGAGAGACATGAGGCCCCATCTGGGGGCAGAATACCTGGCTTAAATTGGAGTTTTGGCCTTGCTATGGATAAACTCAATGAACATTTGACCTTTCTGAGTCTCTGAGTCTCTATTTCTTCAGCTGAGAAAACCATGGCAATAACGTATGTCACAGGATTACTTTGAGAGTTAAATGGCATGGTTTACATAAACACCTAGTACAGTGTCAGGTACAATACATGGTAGCTATTATGATCAGAGGTAGCTATTTATGTTCTGTTTGAAAGCTTGCTCAGTGTTACTCTGCTATGCAATTTCTCACATCCTAATGTTGCATTACTAGGAGATTTGGGGCAATATAATCCAGAAGGCCCATGAAAGCATATCTCTACTCAATGTAAAACCAGCCCTAGAAATTATAACAAGCATCTGATCTTAGGAAATGTTTCTTAGCCTGCCGCTTTTAAAGATGCTGGAAAATTCTAGTTTCTCCAAGTTGTGGCAGGCCTTGGAACCCATGCTGAGGAATTGGAATGAAACAAAGTGAAGAGAAAGAAAGATGTCAACATGATTTACTGGAACAAAGTGGCATCGTATTGGCACTCAATCAAGAGCATGTAGATTAGACAAGGATCGACTTATCACAGTTACAGATCCTGAAACAATTTGACTTGAAGAACACCAAGAAGCAAACAGAGGCCAAAAAATCCCTCAATTCAAGCATAAAAGAGACATGTGTTCTTTGCCCTCTTCTGAGAAACTATGTGCACTTGGCTTTTTGTCTGGATGTTTGGGTTGGTTGTCTTTTTAAACTGTATATTTGGGTGAGGGGAGATATGGGCATTTGGGCAGTGGGAAAATGCTTATGGCTTTTAAAGGAATATGATGGAAAAAATAGCAGTGTTAAAAATGTATTTTTTAAAAATTAGAGCTGATGCACTCGGATCCCTAGGCTCCTAGGGTCCTATACCCTCACTCTCGACAAGGGTGGACCTAAGTCATACTTCAAAAGAAGCAGGAGCCTCAGGGACTTGTCTACTGAGAGCAGCTGTCAATGTCACCACTCCACTTCCAGCAGCCTGGTTGAAAGTTGCCCGAGGCAAGACCTGCAGAAAAAGGAGTCAAAAAGCATGAGGAGAGAGGGAAGTAAAAAAGAAATTAAGTTCTGTGGGATGTTATTGCTGTTCAAATCCCAAGTTTACTATAGCAGATCTCAGCCCCGTGGATCTTGGTAACCCATGATTACTCTTTTCATAATTCCAAAAGATATGGAAACTATATAACTCACAGCACTCAAGCCCCTTCCTGCTGTTCGTTAGTAAAATTGCCTACCCTCACCTGCTCTGGGTGAAAGAAATACTTGCCTTTTCTATTTCCCTTCCTGCAACAGCCCTAGAACTTTTTTGATTTTCAAAAATTATTCCAGCTAGCAGGGCAAAAAGAGAAGCTCTCTCTACTGTACACAGAGGAGCTCTGGTTGGGAAGTTCATATTGATGTACTTCCATGAATTGTGTCCCTAACAGAGTTTTGAACTGGAGCCAAATGGGTGGGAGTCTGGGCTCTCACCCCTCTGCTTCCTATCTGAGTTTCCTTAGCCAAAATGGGCATAATACCCATCTTGCAGAGTGTGTTGAAGATTACACATACTGTATGTAAATATATCTGCAACACAGACAAGAAGCCAACCAAATGTTTCCTTTTTCCTGACATCATGAGATACAGCTGGATGTGAACATCTGTAAGCCTAAGAAAGGATGCTTGTGAAGCCAATGGTGACATTTTACTTTTAAAACTGTTATCAAGAGATAAAGTCCAACTTCTTCATCTGGTGTGGAGTTCTTTCCAGAAACTAAGACTCATTTAACTCTACTTTCCAACATTCCCTGGAAGGATCCCTGTCCTCCTCCTCATCTCCTCCAACCCCTTCCGCTGCTAAGTTACAGCATGTGGGGAATGCTTTTTTATGTTCTCTGGTTACTCCTTCTTCTTGGATAGCTTTCTTCCCCTTCTCTGCCAGCCTATATCCTGTTCAACTTTCACAGTTCACCCCAAGCCTCACATCTTTCATGAATACTCCCCAGAATGTTCTCGTCCAGTGACTCCTTACCAGTGGGATATGATCACAGGGGCTGTCAACAGTGGCTGTCAGTTGCTGAGAGTTACCTGACCATGGAAACTGAGAGAATCCCAAGTCTTTGTCCCCATCCTGACCTGGACCTCATAAGTTGCCCAGCCAGGTTTCTATGACCTTGACCACCTACAATCCAATATCCTCTGAGGGATTACTCCAACTTTCATTTCCTCGTGTTTAAGCCCTTCTTTTTAGCACCAGACTCCATTATTTTCAGACTCCATATTTTTCCTAAGTCATCAAGAAGACAGAAGCCATTTGCCTGGCAGGACCTTCGTCATCTTCCCCCCATTTAACAACATACTTATTTCTATCCTCAATTCCCTCTCCCGCACCATCCATGTCCACTGCCATGGCTCTGATTTTGACTCCCTCTGTGACTGTAAAAGTAAAACACCTATGCCTCTTTCCCTTGCACCTTCATCTCCCTCTCTGCTGGCTCTTTCCCATTTGAATTAAAGCATACTTCTTTCCCTTCTCAATTTCACATCCCTTCATCTCATGTTACATTTCTTTTGCTTTCAGAGACAAGGTTTTAGAAAAAATCATTTACATGCAGTGCTGTTATTCTACCTCTCTTATATACTCTTCCACTTATTGGATACAAGTTCGCTGATTATTTCATCCACTCAAGTTTCTAGAAAGGCTTCCAAATTAGAGAGAAGCTGGTCGGAAATTGACCATCTCCTCTCACTAGCCATGTGAACTTGGGCAATTACAAAAATCTCTTTTCTGTCTCAGCATCTTCTATACAACTGGAGTGATGGCCAGGCACGGTGGCTCACGCCTGTAATCCCAGCACTTTGGGAGGCCGAGGCGAGCAGATCACGAGGTCAGGAGATCCAGAACATCCTGCCTAACACGGTGAAACCCCGTCTATACTAAAAATACAAAAAAAAAGAAAAAAAGAAAGGAAAAATTAGCCGGCTGTGGTGGTGGGCTCCTGTAATCCCAGCTACTCAGGCGGCTGAGGCAGGAGAATGGTGTGAACATGGGAGGCGGAGCTTGCAATGAGCCGAGATCATGCCACTGCACTCCAGCCTGGGTGACAGAGCGAGACTCCATCTCAAAAACAACAAGAACAACAACAACAACAACAAAAACTGGAGTGACTACTCCTGCCATGTGGTCATGATGAGAATGCAAAGTGATAACATACATGGAGCAGAATGTGGAGGTCACTGGACACATCGAGTCATTGTGAATCAGTCATCTCAGCAGTATTTTATCCTATGGGCCAGTCCACTTTTCTTGGAATTCACTTTTGCTTTTGCCTTCAGTGATTCATCTCTATCGTAGTTTTCTTCCTCTGCTTTTCTGGTTACCCATTCTCAGCATTTTCTCCAAGTTACTGTTTTCTATCAAAAGCTATGTTCTCCAAAATTCAGTTGTTGTTTGTTTCCTTTATTTTTTAATGTTTTTTACTTACCTAGGCTGTGAAATTAGCTAGCATTAATTGATTGATAATTACTCAATGGCCATGTCCAATACTAATCTCATGAGCCCCATTAAACCAACCGACATCACAATTGGGAAGGACCCAGGTATGGAATGCCCGTTTTGGGCTCAGTTCTTTACCCAATTAAGCCCATTCATTTTCCTGTGCACCCTCACTGTGTAACACCACCATTTTCTGGTAGTTATACCTTTATACCTGACTCTTTCTTTCTCCTTGTCCCCTACATCGAATAAATTAACAAGTCCATTTTTTTTTTTTTTTTTGAGGTGGAGTCTTACTCTGTCACCCAGGCTGGAGTGCAGTGGCGTGATCTCGGCTCACTGCAAACTCTGCCTCCCCGGTTCACACCATTCTCCTGCCTCACCCTCCCGAGTAGCTGGGACTGCAGGCACCCACCAGCACGGCCAGCTAATTTTTTTTTTTTTTTTTTTTTTTAGTAGAGATGGGGTTTCACCGTGTTAGCCAGGATGGTCTGGATCTCCTGACCTCGTGATCCGCCCGCCTTGGACTCCCAAAGTGCTGGGATTACAGGCATGAGCCACCGCTCCTGGCCAACAAGTCCATTCTTAATTCATAGATATATTACTTCTTACCCAGGTTGTGGAAATAGCCTAGTGAGGAGCCACTGTGCCTCCTTTTTTGAGCTGCAATCCAATCTACAAATTACTTTACCAGAATGAATCTTTTAATGGATAAACAAGAAGGATGGTAACAGAGGCTGGGAAGGTAATGAGAGGGCAGTGTGTGGAGAGGTAGAAAATGGGGATGATTAATGGGTACAAAAAGTAGTTAATTGTTTGTAATACAAAGGAGAAATGCTTGAGGGGGCGGATACCCCATTACCCCATTCACCCTGCTGGGATCATTATGCACTATATGCTTGTATCAAAGTATCTCATATAACCCGTAAATATATACACCTACTATGTAACCACAAAAATTAGATTTAAATTATTTTTTTAAAAATTAAAAAATAAGTTAATAAGCATAGCTAACTCTCCAAGTTGAAATTATTTTAGTAGTTCCTGGTCAGCAGTGTCTTTTGGGATTGTGATCCTGAAACTACATGGAAGTGAATGACCTACAGGGATTGTTAAATATGCAAATTCCTAGACATCAACACAGATCCCCTAAGTAAGAATTTCCTGGTTGGATCATGCTTAAGCACACTAAAATTTGGGAACGTGTAACAATAGAATAAAGACAAAATTTTATGGAATGTTATATAAGGTTTTGCATAATCCAGCTTTTGACTGTCTCTCCAGCCCCCTTGAAAACCATCCTGTCATATGATTCTCATGCCTGTTGCAGGGTCTGGTCCATCATGCCATCATGCCTTTGCCTAGTATCAAAGTCCTTCCACTCCCGATTCACCTATCACACTTGTTTATCCTTCTAAGAATAGCCCACATCAATCATCTCTCCCTTAGTAAGAGTTTGCTGAGATTCCTAATTTGCACCCCTCTGATCTTAGATAAGTCCATTTTCCATGCTTTCAAAAATTCAAGTGTATCAATCCCTCTCCTCCCTGTACTATCCCCAAGTCTAGTATACCATTGTATATATCTCACTGCATTTAAATGTTTGGTAATTTGCCTGTCGTTGTCATCAGCCTAAAAGCTTCCTAACACTTGAAAAAAATGCATGGCACATATTAGGTGCTCAAATTTTATTTGTTAATTGAAGAACTCTCTCTTTAAATCATGATGTCTACCAGTTGTCTTCTACCACTCTTATGAGCCAAATTTTGTCCATCAATGACCTTCTGAAAATCCAGTCCTTGCATGGGAGGTTTTTATCCCCATGTTGAGTCCTGCTACATCTGAGCAAGTGCTTTTTCAAGTTGCTTCCTGCTGATCCAATCTGCCAGGGATATTTAATTGGCCATGTGCCTATTCCCCTGGTACTCTTTAAAGTAAGCTATTGTATCACCAACTCTGGTGATGGAATTATTTTTTATCTCACAGGGTATTTTTTTTAAGTTACAGAAGTAAACTTATTATCAACAATATAATTAACAGCAATGTTATTGGAATTTCTTCCACTAATATTTTATTGTTACTTCTTCATATTTTAAGTCCTAGACGTAAAATGTGTTTTCAACAGCACTAACGCATTTTAAAGTTTATTGTATTTATTATTTTCTCTTACTTAGGTAGTAAAAGTTATCCTTAACAGTATTATTAAAATTTCCAAAAACTAATGGCCTCACTAGATTTGTTTGTATTTTAAAGTCGTAACTATAAAATGAATTCACCATTTATTGAATTGGCAAAGATATCACATTTCTGTGAACATCGAATAAAGTAAATAAGGTCTCCCTCTAATCACATAAATGTCTACAAAAAAGCTGTGTTTTTGCTTTTTCTGCCCAAAGGAAAACTAAATGCTGAATGGGCTCAGCATTTCAAGTCAAACTGAGCCAGCCAGTTTGTGTCCTCTTCTGTAATCTACTACCTGTGTGGTTGTGATGCACAGGATGTCATTCCTGACCCTCAGATTTTCCTGTCAAAATAACCTGTAGCAGCCTTTGTCATACACGGCACATATTAGGCACTCAATAACTGCATTTTCTTTTTTTTTTAAATTGATTTTCTAGCATGGTAGCTAGTATACTTGTTTTTCATAGGGCTGTTAAGAAGGAGTTGGGGACACTCCTGCCATTTCCCTGGCATGTTGCTGTCAGCCTTGATTGTCTTCTGTTTGGCATCAGCGTAGAGTTTTTCAATATCTGTGTGGCTCTGGTCTTCTGAACAAGATGGCGAGTTCCTCAAGGGCAAGAGCCTGTGAATTCCAAGCACAGAGTGTATGCTCAGTATATAAAAATGTCTCATGGATTCTAGTTTTAGAATTGCCAACATGATATTATGAAAGGAAAGCAATGTTATGCTGGAAAGAATAATTTTTCTTCTCACAAACATGGTTTTCTTAAAATGATGAGGTGAAAAATGAAAATACTTCAAATATTTTCCAACTGTAATAGTCGATGATTTGTAAGATGTTTTCTCTAGTTGGCTGGTGTCCATAACCTCTAAGGCTTGACACTTATGAGAAGTTTAAGAAATTCTATTTTAGTGTGTTCAGGGTGGCCCCTTTACCTTTCCAAGACTTGCTACTTTGGAATCGATGACTCCACAGAGCGTAAAGTGGAATTAAAGCTGAGAGATGCCTATACCCACTTGTATCAGAAATCCGTCCACTATGAAGATATCTGTCATGATTAATAAGGCTAGGCAGTTCTCAATAAAGAAAGCATGAGTGAGTTTGTTTTACTGCACAGGCTTGCCCTGATCATATTAATTTGAAAAACAGCTGGAGGTGGCAACTTACCAGGTAAAAACAGATTGGGGGACCGATAAAATTATTCAGATGCTCATGGGCAGCTCCTCTGTAATTCACAGGAAAGCCTACACTTACGTCTGAGAAGCAGCATTACGGAAAAGTCCCAGCAGAATTTGCAAACTCAGGTAGTCAACAGTTTGAACTACAAGTATTCTATTTGTGGGTATACCCGTATGGGCCTTTATGGACCTCCTTAGGTGGAGAAGGGCCTGCCAGTGGGTATACAAAGAGCAAGAAATCTGACATTGGGCAGGCTTTAGTTTGGACCACATGGGAATACTTCTAAGCGTCTTTGCATTATTAGCAGAACAAGCATTTCTTACAGAAGACAAAATCCATACCTGGAGATTCAGAAATACACTTAAGATAAAATGGGGCTTTCTAGTCAAGCTCTCTTAAGTCTCCCAGGATGTCTGTCAGTCTCTCAGAGCTGTGATTTCTGAAGACTTTGACCTCATTCAAATTAGGTGAACAACCAAGTTAAACTTGTCATGGTGTTTTTTTGACTGGAAATTTTATGACAGAAAAAACATGCAGATACAGTTGACCCAACAGTGGATGGACTCAGCCAATGTCATTTAAGTCTGTCTTTCTGAGTAGACCCTGTGAAAGGTCTGGGGCTGCCAGTGCCATTTACTGCATCAACCAAGATCTGAGCACATTCCCCTTCCGTTTTTTTTCTGGAAATCAAGTGCCGTCTCCATTAGAAATGCATGTTCCTGAAGGCCAGGGAAGCCTAGAGCGAAGCCATGTCAGCCATAACACATCATGAGATCCTCCCTGTGCCCCATTAAACAAAGCCTCGGTATTTGCCTTGTTACTGCATTTCACCTTTCAGTGTGGAAGAGGGTTCTCTAAAGCAGCGAAGCTTAACTATTGTCTTTAATCTATCACTTGATCTACCTTTTCTTTTTTTCTTTTTTGCCTACATAAATCATTCAAAATTTGTTTTTGTGTTTAACCAAAGTTTCAGTAATCCTCTAAATTTATATTAGATGTCTGACTAGTGGTATTCATCATTTCACTTTTTCTAATAGAAGCTACTCTGACCTTAAATCTATGAGAAAAGGAAAATGTGAAGGACATGGACTTTGGAAAAGCTTGTTAGTCTCTGTACCGACAGGTCATGTCACTGGCCACTTTCCTAAAAGAAAGAAGACCATGGGGAGGACATTCTAGTAGGTGCTTTTCTTTTCCAGCTGATAATACAAAAAAAAGTGGAATACATTTCATGACTGTAAGAGTTTGTAATTAGGTTGTATATCTAAGACACACACACACATCATTGACAAATAAGAAAAAAATAGCACAGTTAAAAAATTAGTTCAAGGCTACCTAACTAAATAATAACAGAATTGGGTTTAATACTTAATCTCTGAATTCAGCCTTCCCAGTTGGCCCAAATTTAAGTCAATATCTCCTCTTCTCAACCTGCTATTTCTTTTCCTGAGTTTTATCTTAAGGATTAGCACTATTGTCCTGGATGGAGGGAATGCAATAATTCAAAGCCATCCTTTGCCCTCCCTCTTCATGATCCTACTATCCAATGAGCAGGAATCTGGCTGATTTTACCTCCGCAATGCCATCCACATCCATGCCTTCTTCTACACGCTGCTGGATATTCCAGGGATTTTTCATCTCTTACTTGGGCTGTTTCCACAGCCTCCGAGAGGTCTTGTTATCTTCAGGGCTACCTATCAACTAAATCCAGCCACCACATGGCCAATACTTGCTTTTATTACAGAATTAATTCTGTTTTTGTTTGTTTAGCACCTCTAATTTTGTCCATTATTTGCTATAGTTTATATCACAAAACCTTTGTCCTACATGCAAAACTCTTCATGATTTGGCTTATATGAACTGCTCCTATTATTATAACCATCCTTTCCATATATTCCTTGCTACCTCTCTCCTCCCTCACAATCTACTCCTCTGCATCTTTATTGTACCATTTTCTTTGGCTCAGAATGCTCTTCTTTAATTCTGCTTAACTCAATCCTGTTATTATACTTCCTACAATTGTACTCAGTTGTTTTCTCCTTGAGGAAGTTGCCTCTGACCCCAGCATGGGCTATACCACTGTGATTCCTTAGATTTGCATATGCAATGTGTGGAACTGTTTTGCCTTCTATGTTACTCTCTGTTAAACCATTACCTCACTGAAAGCTGAGACCCCATTTTAATCTCCCTCCCCTACTCTAGTACCTATTACGGGCTCCAGAGCATAGTAGATGCTCAATAAATGCTTTATATACACAGTGAAAGAACTCTTATGACAGGTGTCATAAGAAGTTTAAGGATAGAGTGGTGCCTGTGGATTTAGAACCAGTGGTAAGAAAGCTCTAAGTTGTCTGTGTGGGGAAATCCTATCAGTCGAGGCCGTGAAGCAGGACACACAAAGTTAGGGTCCCTTTCTCCTTGGGAGTTTTTTTGGTGTGGTTTGTTTGTTTGTTTAACAGGAAAGAAAGACACAAAGGGTCCTTTTGGCATTTTTTCATGGAGGACACAGCAGTCATATTTATCTCTGCATCGGTAGTAGAGTCTGGGAGAGTATATCACATTCATTCATTAGAGAATGTATCTAACTGAAGACTAGAAAATCTTCTAATATTAGTGATAAAAGATGTGAGTTATTATTGGATTTGTTGTTTTGTTATGTTTTTGTTTCTTTTCCTGTCCTTACTGATTCTCTCAAATTGGTTATGTTGTTCCAGCAAAAAGATCAAGGGAATATTGGGGGCAGTAAAATCTGTTTTGTTTTTTAATTCCCCACCGAAACGGAAAAACTAATACAGCCAAATAATGAGCTCATAAATACTAATTTATGAGCAGGTAACAATCATGACACCTAACAAAAAGTCATTCAACACTGAACTTGAAGTTAGAAAATCATGTTTTAATTTCCATCTCTGTCCATCTAGTTATGTCATCTTAAGCTAATTTGTACATAGTTCTACGTGCCACTTTCCTCTTTCATGAAATAGGAACGTTGATGTAGATATCTTTTAATTCTATGACTTCAAATCCTACAACTCTGATTTAAATGATTTCAAAAACATTTATTGAAACCTTCTCATGCTTAGGAATGCCAGCCATAAAATAAGAAGGTCTGGTTCTTGTTCTTACTGAGTTATAATTTAGAAGGAGAAGTTTAAGGTATAAGGAGCATTAAATGACAATTATGGAAGTACTTAAACTCTGTTTAACATCCAGGACGCAACACGTATTTCTTACATTCAGCAAATATAATACTTCTCAAGTCCTTCTATATGTCTGGCACTAAAATAAGTGCCCAGAATGAAAAGAAAAAGAGACCAAAGCCTCTGCCCAAATCCTGTAAGGCAAACCATTTCCAGGCCTGATAATGAACGTGGAGATGGAGTAAGATTCACAAGACAGAAATGATGTCATCAAAGTAGTGGAATAAAGGTGGGCACAGGACATTCCACATTAGATGATTACTTTAAGGCAGCATAGTATGTCCATTCTTGGTGCTAGATATTTGTCAGCTTATGCCCATTTAACCAATGAGATGAAAAGCAAAATCTGCTATACTTTCTGAGAAAGAGAAGTCAGGCACTTTCTATTGCTGAAAATCCTAAGAAAACATATTGCTCCCGTTGCTGCAGACAACTATGTTATGAACACACAGACAGCCAGACTTAGGATGAAGCCGTTGTTTGTAAAAAGAGGAGAAGTATGGAGAGAAACTCAATCTCTGATGACACAATGCAGTAGCTAAATTAGCGACTTCGAAGGCCTATTCTTCCTTTAGATTCCTGATATCTGAGATCAAATCCCCCTGTATTAAGTGCATCTGAATCAGGATTTCTACCACTTAGAGTAGAAAGAATATAACTGATACTGGAAATTGGCCTGTTACATGCTTTAAAGGCTTAGAATAAAGAGCACTATCTGATGGAGGTCACTCGCTATAGGGTTCCCATAGTTTGTTTTTCAGGCATGGTGAGAAAGGTTCAGACAAGGATCCATTGCCTTTTTTCCCCTCATTAGCCATGTCTAATCAATCCCCAATCCTGTCAATTCCATGACCTTTATACATCTTACCTGCTTCTCTCCATTTCTATTAACACCAACACAGTCCAAACCAGGGTCTTTGCATACCTGGATCACTATTGTGGATTTCTAACTGGTCTCCTGCATCCATCAATTTTCACTCCTCTATTTTATTCTCTATCATGCGAATCTTATAATTTCTTGACTTACAGAGCATCTTTAATGGTAGCTCATTGCTTTTTGATAAAGTCAAAACTTCATAAAATGTCTTATGACTGTATCAATAATGTCTACCTCTCCCATGTCATTATTCAGTGTTCCACCACCCTCCCGTGACTACCACTGGGCTTCAGCTATTCTGAATCTCCTTCAAATCTTGCTAATGCATGTGTGTTCTCCCATGGGGTAAAGCATGTGGTTTTCCCACCACCGGGAATGCCATTTTCTCATGTCAGTCTGATTCCTATCATCTTTCAGGTTTCATATACAATGTTACTTCATGTGGAAAGTGGGTTTTGACCCTAGTGTAGATTGCTCCTTTCTGCTAAAGGCTCCCGTGACCCCTCTGTACTTACATTATCTCACTCTAGTATAATTATTTGTTGGATTAATTCTTTTTATTTTTGTAGGTCCTCGTTTGTGTTGTTCACTGTTGTAATCCCCCAGTACCTCTCTATAGTGGATACGCCACATATATTGAAGAGCTGAATGGTTTGAGTACATGGAGAATTATGCAGACTACCTTTTAAAAAGCAGCCAGGGAAGGGGAAAGTACAGACACTGAGGATAAATAAAAGCAGTTAGAATTCAGGCAGAAAAACAGCAGTTACTGAATGTTCTGTTTTAGAGTTGAACAAATAAATGGCCAGAGATTGAAGTAGACAGTTAAGAAGCTGATAAACAAGATAAACATTAAAAAATATATACACATAACACTGGTATCATACCTGATTCAGACCTTGAGCCATTCAGCTAATTCTGACTGATTCCAATTGGTCTGGCCAGTTTTCTGTGTGATGCAAAGGTAATTTATTTAATGTATTCTGTGGGTATAAAAAACCCCCCAGCAGCTCTGCCCACCACTAAAGATGAGCTACAGTATCAGTAGAGACATGAATGAGTCACACAGGGTCAGATGCCAGCTCTACCAAGTTCAAGCATCTTAACTTGAAACTGATAATAATTCGTTAAACAGTTGTACAAATCCAGACTCTGTATGCAGAGCAGCAGCTATAATGTCCCCAAAACTGAAACTTATCATTATAATAACACAAAGGATCCAAATTTAGAACCCTGGAAGAATGGCTGTACCAACCAACAGAAATAGGAATTCAAGTGCTGAGCAATGTAGCCACCTCCTCTCATGGTTGGTGTTCTCAGTTTAACACGGTTGAGCTACAATCCACAAACTGGATGACTCAAAATCAAAAGTAAAAAATCCAATTTAGTTCACAGTATTGATACTAATGTTAGTCTCCGTCTGGAGGTTTATCAGCTTAAAGTCCATCTGCTTTATAAAGCTAAAAAAGGACGATGTATTCACAGTCTGGTTTTGGTTTCAAATGGAGAAATATATTCTGAAGCTATTAACAGTGAGTGGATATGCTCTCGAGGTAGAGTATCAGAGCAGCCAGCACAACAATCCAAGGAACTTCCCACTGCAGTCTGCCTGAGTGCTTAGGTTCAGGAAATCTCCACTTAGCTGACACTGGGTATTGGTTCAGCAACATCTCTAACTGGGTGTGGGGTAAGAAAGTAGGGTTAATGGGTAGGGTGCCACCTGAGAGAGACAGTTTTTTTCTTTCCCCACATCTTGAAAAGCATTATGGATACTCACACTAAAACTCTGGACTGTTTCTGTTTAATCCAAATGATTTCAGTTTAGTCTTGATCAGAACAAAAGCCAGATTACTTTTTGAAAAAGATCATATTTTCTTAAATCTAATGTAGACTTCATTTCACATTGTACATTTGGAGATTAGGATATACGTAGTTAATCTAGTGATGAGTTTTTTCCCCTCTGAAACTGTTTTTAAATTAGTAATATCCCATTAGATCAATGGCATCTGAGCATTGGATAAATATGGCATACATTCTTCTATGTGGCAAAGTTTCCTGTCCTGCAGGAGAAGATATCTATTATTGTGCTTGGGACCTTCGATGTGAAGACCCCACCTGGTCAGACACTTGATTTCTCCTTGGTGTTACTTTTACATCCTGAAAGTGCTTCTAACTGGCACTGAATCCAGACAATTTTTAACAAAAAAAAAATAGTTTATCTTATTATTTAAAAAAATCAGGACACTGGAAAACACTTAAGAAAACAGAGATTAAATAGACATCATAAACCCACTACCTATGGAAAACTATGAAGAATGCCCCAATCATATGCTTCCTGATCATTTTTGTGCACTGTAAAAATTATTTAATGGTACTGTCCTTTTAATATATCTATACATGTCAACATAGCTCCATGTCAGTATGTTTGTTTACAACCTTGTTTTAAATGGCCAAATGGTATCCTACTACACAAATATGCTGCTGTTTGTAATCAAGTGCAGGAATTTGAAGAATTCAAGACTACATTGTACTCTTCAAGACCACATTGCAACTCTATTTACCTCTTTGTTTAGACTACAAGTACCTAGAAGACAGGAGCCTTGTTCCATTCAAACTGTCTTCTAGATGCTTTGCACTTGATATATATTCAATAAATGTGGATTTGGATTAATCCCACAAACAAAAAGATACTTGGGTGAACACACAAAATCTGGAAGTATAGTCTATTGGTTTCCTGTGGCTTCAGCATAACAAACTGCCACCAACTTCATGGCTCAAAGCAGCAGAAATTTATTCTCTCATAGTTCTGGAGAGTCAGAAGTCTGGAATCAGTACCATGGGTCAGAATCAGGGTGTTGGCAAGAACATGCTTCTTCTGGAGGCTCTAGAGGACAATCTGTTTCTTGCCCCTTCTGGCTCTGGAAGCTGCCAGCATTCCTTGATCTGTGGCTGCATCACCCCAATCCCTGCCTCTATGGCTACATTGCCACCTCCTCTTCTGTTTAAAATCTCCCTCTGCCTCTATCCTATAAGATAAGTGTAATTGCCTTTAGATCCCCACAGATAACCCTGGATAATCTTCCCATCTCAATATCTTGCAATCGCATCTGCAAAGGTCCATTTTGCCATAGGGGATAAATTTACAGGTTCAAGAAATTAGAGCATGAGTAACTTTTTTTTTGAAGGTTGGGGGACATGGCATTTTCTGCCAATAAGTAAGATACATAATTTCAACTATACTTTTTAATCGTTGTGTTTTCAGAAAAAGTGTTAAGGCTTGAGAAAAGTGGGAATGGAGAACACACTGTTCAATTATCTTTTTCTTGAGAAAGCTTTGGTGTTTGCCGAAGTTAGAACTTGTATTTTCCATAGTTAGACTATACTTTCCTATCATTTAAAAGCCTAAGTGACTTGATATTACTCAATTCTATTAATTGAAATAACAGTATTACATTTACTTTTAACTATAAATAAAATTAGTGCATATAGCCTGGATATATACAGTCATATTGGAGAAGGAGGAATAAACAATAAAACCAAAGAAAAAGGGAGTACACAAGTGGAGCAAGGAGGCAGAATAGAAAGCTCTACCAATTGTCCTCCCACCCTCCCCACCCTCTTCAAGAACGCTTTTAACTATCTGCATACACAAACGCACATTTACAAGAACCAAACATCAGGCGAGAATCACACTACCTATATCTTTCTTCATATGGTTGGAAGAGGCATTGAAGAGACTAGGAGAGTCAGTCTTGAATCATTGGCACTACCCCTTTCTACCCCCTGGCAGTGGCTGTGTGGCACCAAGAGAGAATCTGTATACCTCAGGGAGACAGAGCGCAGCAACTGGTGGACTTTGCATTGAACTCAGTGCTGCCTTGTCATAGCAAAGAGCAAAGCCATCTTCGACTCAGCCAGCACTCATCCAGGGCCCACAGAAGGAGCATTTGGACCAGGCCTAGCCAGAGGAGAATTACTCAGCCCTGAGGCTGCAACTTGAGTTTCTTAGAAGCCTCACCTTTGTGGACTGAAATGCTCTATGGTCCTAGGTGAATCTGAAAGGCAAACTAGGACACAGGAATGGCATTTCTTAGGCACGTCCTGATGCTGTGCTGGTCTTAGAGCCAATGGACTGGGGTGGTGCATGACCTAGTGAAACACCAGACATGACTGCTAAGAGAGTGCTTGCACCACCCCTCCTTCAACACCAGGTAGCACAACTCACGGCAGTGAAAGTGACTCCTTCCTTCTGCTTGAGGAGAAGAGAGAGAAAAGTAAGGAGTACTTTGTCTTACATTTTGAATAACAGCCCAGCCACAGTAGGATACAACACCAGGCAGAGTTCTGAGGCCCCTATCCCAGGCCCTAGCTCCCAGACAACATTTCTAGATATACCGTAGGCCAGAAAGGAACGATCTGGTCCTGGAGGGATTCATCACCTGCTGATTAAAGAACTCTTGGGCCCTGAATTATCAACAGTGATACCCAGGTAGTATACCATGGGCCTTGGGAGAAATTCTGAGACATACTCACTTCAAGTACCAGCTTGGCTACAGTGTAGTAGAGCACCAAGTGGGATCTTGGGGTACCCAAGTCCAGGCCTAGGCTCTTGGATAACATTACTGGACCTGTCTTGAGCCAGAGGGGAGCCCATTGCCATGAAGGGTGAGTCCCAGGCCTGTCAGCATTCACAAGGGCCTTAAGTGAAGAGCCCTTGAACCCTGAGTGAACATTAGCAGTGGCCTAGCAGAACTCCCTGTGGGCCAGTGGTTATGGTGGCCACGATGAGACTCCTCTGACTGTGGAAGGGGGAAGGAAGAGCAGGAAGGACTTTGTCCTGTGGTTTGAGTGTCAGCTTAGCTGCAGTAGAATAGAATACCAGGTATATTTCAAAGGATTTTAACTTGAATACGTGGCTCCAAGTCAGCATCTCTGGCCCTGCTTAGGGTCTGGGGGAACTTGCCACCCTGAATGGAAAGGCACAAACCTGGCTGACTTCACTATCTGCTGATTGTAGATCCCTAGGGACTTGAATAAACATAGGTGGTAGCCAGGTAGTGATTACAGCAGGACTCAAGTGAGACCCAGTGCTGTGCTGGCTTCAGGTCTGAACCAGGATAATTTCAGTGGTGGTGGCCATAGGAGTGCATGCATCACCCTACCCCTAGCTCCAGGCAGCTCATCACAGAGGGACATGCTATTTGTTTAGGAGAAAGTAAGGAAGAGAACAAGATCCTGTGCCTGATAATCCAGAGAATTCTTTCAGATCTTATCCAAGATCACCAAGCTGTGGGATTTCTTCAACACCAGAACTGTTCTACAAGAAATGCTAAAGGGAGTTCCTCAATCTGAAAGAAAAGGATGTTAATGAGTGATAAGAAATTATTTGAGGTACAAAACTAACTGGGAATAGTAAGCGCACAGAGAAACACAGAATATTATAACAGTGTAATTGTCGTATATAAACTATTCTTAAGTAGAACGACTAAAGTATGAACCAATCAAAAATACTAATGGCAACAACATTTTAAAACATATATAGTGCCATAAGATATAAAGAGAAACAATAAAAAGTTAAAAAGTGGGTGGGTAAAGTTAAAATGCTCAGTTTTTATTAGTTTTCTTTTTGTTTACGCAATTAGTGTTAAGTTGTCATCTCTTTAAAATCATGGATTACAAGATAGTATTTGTAAGTCTCATGATAATCTTAAATCAAAAACATACAACAAATACATAAAATATAAAAAGCAAGAAATTATACCATCAGAAAAATATCACTTTCATTTAAAGGAAGATAAGAAGGAAAGAAAGAAGCAAAACCACAAAACCACCAGAAAACAGATAACAAAATGGTAGGAGTAAGTCCTCACTTATCAATAATAACATTGAATGTGAATGGACTAAACTCTCCAATAAAGAGAAACAGAGTGGCTGAATGGGGAAAAAAAAAAAAAAAAAAAAAAAGCAAGACCCAAGTGATCTGTTGCCTTTAAGAAACACACCTCACATATAAAGATACAGACTGAAAATGAAGGAATGAAAAATAGATATTCTATGCTAATGGAAACCAATAAAAAGAGCAGGAGTAGCTATACTGGCATCAGACAGAAGAGATTTCAATAAAAAACTGAAAATAGAGACAAAGAAGGGCATTATATAATGATAACAAAGTAAATACAGGAAAAGAATGATGATTGTAAATATATATTCACCCACCCAACACTAGAGCATTCAGATATATAAAGCAAATATTATTAACACTAAAGAGAAAGATAGACTTCAATACAATAAGAGATGGGGAATTCAGTACTCCATTTTCAGGATTAGACAGAACTTCCAGATAGAAAATCAAGAAAGAAACATCAGATTTAATCTGCACTGTACAGCAAATGGATCTAAGAAATATTACAGAGCATTTCATCCAATACCTCCAGAAAATACATTCTTCTCCTCAGCACACAGATTATTCTCAAGGATAGACCATATAGTAGACCTCAATACAAGTCTTAAGATATTCAAAAAATGGAAATAATATCGAGCATATTTTCTGATGGACTAAAAGCAGAAAGCAATAACAAGAGGAATTTTGAAAACTATACAAACACATGGAAGTAAAACAATATACTCCTGAATTACCAGAGGGTCAATGAAGAAAATAAGAAGGCAATTGAAAATTTTTTTGAAGCAAATGATAATGAATACACAGCATATCAAAACCTATGGAATACAGTGAAACCATATTATTTCTTCATACTGAAGAGGGAAGTTTATAGCTATAAGTGCATAAATAAAAAAAATAAGGGAAGCTTCAAATAAACAACCTAACAATGCATGTTAGAGAACTAGAAAAGCAGAAACAAACCAAACCCAAAATTAGTAAAATAAATAATAAAGATTGGGGCACAAATAAATAAAATTAAAATGAAAACAATGCAAAAAATTAACAAAATGAAAAGTTTGTTTTTTGAAAAGATAAACAACATTGGCAAACATTTAGCCAGACTGACTAAGAAAAAAAGAGAGAAGACCCAGATAAATAAAATTGGAGATGAAAAATAAGAAATTCCAACTGATACTGCAGAAACTCAAAAAATCATTAGTGGCTACTATGAGCATTATGAGTGACTATACATCAATAAATTGTAAAATCTAGAAGAAATGGATAAATTCCTAGACATACACAGCCTGCCAAGATTGAACCATGAAGGAATCCAAAATCTGAAAATCTGAACAGACCAATAACAAGTAATGAGATAGAAGCCATAATAAAAAGTCTCCCAGTAAAGAAAATCCTGAGACCCAATAGCCTCACTGCTGAATTCTACCAAACATTTGAAGAAGAACTGATACCAAATCCTACTCAAACTATTTCAAAAAAATAGAGGAAAAGAGAATACTTTCAAATTAATTCTAAGAGGCCAATTTATGAGGCTTCTCTTACCCTGATACCAAACCCAGACAAAGACACATCAAAAAAGAAAACTACAGGCCAATATTCAAGATGAATATTGATGCAAAAACTCTCAACAAAATACTAGCAAACCGAATTCCACAACAGATTAAAAAGATTATTTGTTATGAATAAGTGGGATTTATCCCCATGATGCAAGCATGGTTCAACATATGAAAATCAATCAGTGTGATACATCTTATCAGCAGAATGAAAGACATATTATCATTTCAACTGATGCTGAAAAAGCATTAGATAAAATTCAACACTGATTCATGATAAAATTCCTCAGGAACTGGGAATAGAAAGAACATACCTCAACATAATAAATGCCATGTATGACAGACCCACAGCTGGTATTAT
The DNA here is from genome assembly GCF_000001405.40 of Homo sapiens. Lineage (NCBI taxonomy): Eukaryota > Metazoa > Chordata > Mammalia > Primates > Hominidae > Homo > Homo sapiens. The sequence goes on from NC_000002.12 coordinate 124,072,269, forward strand.
ACTGAATAATGGAAAAAAAAATGGAAGCCTTTCCTCTAAGATGTGGGAAAAAAATACAAGGATACCCACTTTTACCACTGTTATTGAATATGGTACTGGTAGTCCTAGCTAGAACAATCAAACAAGGGAAAGAAATAGAACATTCAAATTATAAAGAAAGAAATCAAAGTACTTTGTTTGCAGACAATATGATCTTATATCCAGAAAAACAAGGATTTCACCAAGAAAATTATTAGAACTGATAAACAAATTCAGTAAAATTGCAGCGTGCAAAATCAACATACAAAAATCAGTAGCATTTCTATATGCCAGCACGGAACAATCTGAAAAAGAAATAAAATAATCTCATTTATAATAGCAACAAATAAAATTGAATATCTAGGAATCAACCAGAAAATGAAAAATCTCTACAATGAATATTACAAAATATTGATGAAAAAAAGAGGACACCAAAAAGTGGATAGTCCATATTCATGCATCAGGTGAATCAATATTATTAAAATGTCCACATTACCCAAAACAATCTACAGATTCAATGCAATCCTTATCAAAATACCAATGACATCCTTCACAGAAATAGAAAAAAGAATTCTAAAACTTACATATAATTACAAAAGACCCAGAATAGCCAAAGCTATCTCAGCAAAAAGAACAAAACTGGAGGAATCACATTACAGGACTTCAAATAATACTACAGAACTATAGTAACCAAAACCAGCATGGTACTGGAATAAAAGCAGACACATAGACCAATGGAACAGAATAGAGAACCCAGAAATGAATTCATACATCTATAGTGAACTCATTTTTTACAAAGTTGCCAAGGACATACATTGGAGAAAAGCCAGTCTCTTCAATAAATGGTGCTGGGAAAACTGGACATCCACATGCAGAAAAGTGAAACTAGATCTCTATCCCTCACCATACGCAAAAAATCCAATCAAAATGAATTAAAGCCTTAACTTAAAGACCTCATACTATGAAACTCCTACAAGAAAACATTGGAGAAACTCCCCAGGATATTGGTCTGGGCAAAGATTTCTATAGTAATACTTCACAAACACAGGGAACCAAAGCAAAAATGAACAAATGGTATCATATCATGTTTAAAAGCTTCTACACAGCAAATGAAACAATTAACAAAGTGAAGAGACAACCCTCAAAGTGTGACAACATATTTGCAAACTACCCATCTGACAAGGGATTAATAACCAGTACATATAAGGAGCTCAAACAATCCCATAGGAAAGATTGACTGAGATCTGAATAGACTTTTCTCAGATAAGACATAAAAATAGCAAACAGGCATATGAAAAGGTGCTCAGCATAACTGATCATCAGATAAATGCAAAGGAAAACTACAAGGAAGTATCATCTCACCCCAGTTAAAATTGCTTTTATCCAAATGTCAGGCAATAACCAATGCTGGCAAGGATGTGGAGAAAAGGGAACGCTTATATACGATTCATGGAAATGTTAATTAGTACAACCACTATGGAGAAGGTTTGAAGGTTCTTAAAAAAACTAAAAATAGAGCAACTATATGATTCAGCAATTCCACTGCTGGGTATATACTCAAAAGAAAGGAAATCAGTATATTGAATAGGTATCTGCATTTCCATGTTTATTACAGCACTATTCACAAGGGCCAAGATTTGGAAGCAACCTAAGTGTCTATCAACAGATGAATAGATGAAGAAAATGTGGTACATATACACAATGGAGTACTATTTATACATAAAAAAGAATGAGATTCTGTCATTTGCAACAATATGGATAGAACTGAAAGTCATTATGTTAAGTGAAATAAGCCAGGCACAGAAAGACAGACTTTGCATATTTTCACTTATCTGTGGGAGCTAAAAATTAAAACAATTGAACTTATGGATATAGAGAGTAGAAGGATGATTATCAGAGGCTGGGAAGGGTAGTGGGGATAGTGGAAGGCATGTGCTGGTTAATGGGTACAAAAAGTAGTTGGAAAGAATGAATGAGACCTAGTATTTGGCAGTATAACAGGGTGACTGTGGTCAATAGTAATTTGATTGTATATTTTTAAATAACTAAAAGAATATAATTGGATTATTTGTAACACATAGAATAGATGCTTGAAGGGATGGCTGCCTCAGTTACCATGATGTGATTATTACACATTCCATGCCTATATCAAAGTATCTCATGTACCCCATAAATATATACACGTACTATGTATCCACAAAAATTAAAAAACCATTATTTTAAAGGGAGCAAGTGAGAACAAGGAGAGGAATAATGTCATGGCGAGGCTGTTGCATATGGAGAACAGTGCAGAAACACCAAATGGGACCAGGGGAACCCTTGCCCTCTCCCTTTGGCATTTATCAGTGTCATGGGTATTGACTCCTAGACAGCACTTACCAGCCTGTGATCTATATTTCTGAGTGGAGAATGTGGAATGGAGGGAATGGGTAAAGCAGGATCTATAAATTTGATCATCTTGTGTCTACCATCTCCAGCAAAAACATTGACATCAGATCTATTCATCATCATCATCATTATCATCATCATCTATTGTCATTATTATTATGATTTTATGCAACTGCCAATATTACTCCTATTGTTATTTGATTCCTAAGCCTCATTTACTGTGAGCAAAGCATGGTGCTATTCCATTTTACGTAGTTTGATTTAATCTTCTGGCAATGCAGGCAGTGTTCCTTGTGTCTGTGAAAGCTGAAATTGCATCAAACACAATAATCAACATGAAAAAGTGCAGTTTTCTGTGACTTTTAAAAAATTGATGTCAAACATTAAAAATGTACTTTTTTTACAATTGGGGATAAATGAATAGGGATATGAAAAAATATAACTTATACGTATTTAGTACACCCTAATTTAAAAATATTAGAAACACTGATAACTAAAGTGTTTCATTTCTTTATTAAAATAATTTACCTAAGACAGCTAGATTAGCTTGCCTCCTTTTTGTCATACAACTTACTACACAAAGCAGGCATCTTTTCTAATCCTTGGTGACCTGTCATACTCCTTTCTAAGTTGAGATCCACTTCTAACATTTTATCCTCTGCACTTTCGATGCCATGAAAGATCTCTGATAATCCCTTTCATGTGAAGTTTTTTGCCATCATCAGTAAGTCTGGGACATTTTCAACCTTTTTGTCACAATCACTTTTCTCATTTATGTTGATAAGTTCATCTTTGCTAAGTTCTTAGCCTGCATGTCTACAGTCCCTTGAATGGCAAAATGTCAAGGTTTCTAAGGTCAGCTGTTTGGTCTCCATTTGGCTTCCATTTAAATCTTAATCCCAGTGTTATCATTTTTCATTTCTTTGCTGCACTTTCATCTCTGTTTCCCAGTTCTGCATTTCAATTACCAATTTTTGTAAATGTCACATCGATTTACCACCGGGAGAGAAGGAAGCAACACAACTACACATTTTGCTGTCTGTGTGTGGACTGATTAGCAGATACCCAGTCAGCAATCACTGAAAGACTTTGGAAGAAGTGATGTGACTGGCCACTGGTCATGCTGTGCATCTCTTATGTATGTGGTGATTTGTGAACTAAAGAGCTAGCAGCAAAGTTTGTACTTTATGCCTTTACTCAAAATTCATATACCATAGTAATTAAACATTGAGCCATGTTTTTGGAGGGCTTTGTCATTTACCTAAACTGTGATAAGTAAAACTTGTGCATCTCAGAAATGTGCACAAAGTGAGGACTGCCTATACTCTGAAGTAGGAATTATGAGTTTGCCCATGATATGGAAAAGAAAATTGAGTCAGACCAAGATTATATGATTAACCCAATGATTATATGTATTAAGTGGTAAAGGCTGATTTAGATTTTAAAATTCAGGTAGCCTCATTACAGATATTATAGCTTAACTTCACATTGTTTGGCATCAGATTGAATCTCAAACCCTGACTTCACATTCTTTGTCTCGACTCGAACCCTGACTGTGATCTCTGTCAATTAAGCTTCCTGGAAATATAGTTGATTTTGCAGCAGCTCTGGTTAATCAAGAACTCTACCTCCTGCTAATGACAGAGTCTCCAGCTTCTCAAATTTCTTGAAACTGTTTCTCAAGAATCAATTTACTTAAGACTGTTTTCAAAGACTATAGTCTATTACGATTATAATATTACAGTGTACTACAGGTACTATAGTGTTCACATTTGAAGCTTTTTCTTGTATCCTTCAACTCCCTGATTATGGCAATTTGGTTGACACTTTGAAGCTTTCCTTCTTTCTCAACTGTCCTCCTGTCCTGGGCTTTTACCACAAACACTCTCTTGGTGTCTTTAAAGTTTTTTTCTCAGTAATATCTGCCAGCAAAGGAGGACTATATGACACCCCTATTTTCTTCCCAGGTTGTCCCTTTGCATTTGTATATTTTCAGGAGAGTGCATTAACCCTGTTTTGGAAAGGCAAGAATTCCTTTCTAATCTGTAGTCATTTCAGTTTGTTATTCACTCTGAAAAATGGTAATGAAAGTGGAGAAGACAGTGGTCAAATTGGCACTATGCAAAGCTGAGATGCTAGCTAGTGACAGCTCCAGAATGATGGTCCTGGAGCTGCAGCCAGCATAATATAAAAGCAATCAGCCCAAGTATAAGACCTATAATCTCCCTATAAAAAACAGCTCCATCATCTGCCATCTCTGTGACTTAGGGCAAGGAGCATTTCAGAACCTCAGTGTCCTCCTTTATAACATAAAGAAAAGCTTGAACTCTCATTACCAACATCAGTGAAGATTAAAATATTGTTACTATTAAGTGGCTGATACATGTAAAAGTCACGCAAAAGTTAGATTTTATTATTAGGGCTTGAAAGAGTGAGGCACAGTGGCATATACAATTATACACAAAGATGATTGATTGATTGAATGATAGCATCCAGAAGTCTTTTGCAGTGTCTCCCAAAATCTGTTCTCTAATCATTGTTGTGAAGGCCACTTTATAACTACACCGTGGATAACATACCTCTAAATACGTCTCGGTGTATCCTCCTTAATTTTACAGGTATAACCAGATAATTGCAATCAGTATTGTAAGCCTTATTTGAGAAAAGATACTTGCTAATAGGTCATTCTCCTAAACTAAGCTGTGTGATAAACTAGAGATAACTCCCAAATTCAAAGTCCAGCTCTACTTTTCTGACATTTGTGTTGTCACAAATTATTGGGAGTCCTCACTTAAAAACAATCTGTCTACCTGTGGCCCCATAGCAGTGTCTGATGAACCAAGCACATAGAAAAGTATATGTTGACATAGGCCATCTCTTGCTCCAGAAGTGTTCACTACAGGAAGCCTAACCATTTGTCACACAGGGTCAGATCTCAAAGTCCTTTCCCTTATTCTTCGAGTTTTAATTTTTATTTAGTTTTCTCTCAATGCCATCATGCCTGTGTTTAGGCTGGTCCTCCTGATTCTTTGTCCTCAATTAAAATATGGATAAATAAGATGGTCTCTAATACCAGCTTTATAGAAAGTAGGTAGAATCAGGCAAGATTCTCTCTAGTTTGTCATACAACTTGACTTGAATCAGCTTTGTGAGTTAGGAGTTTGACTGTACTCCAAAGAGATTCAAACTGAGAACTATTCCTTTGGGCTCCTTTGTTGTAAGGTCCATTAAACACAATGAGGGCATATGGACATGGTTTACCATTTCTTCACAAAATCCACTGCAGAGTTTCTAGTGAAGTTGCAAGAAAAATGACAATGAAGTCAAATGTGTTATTTGTTGAGTTAACTTAAGCAATATATGTTGACTCAGGAAATAAAATATTACAAAAGATAGAGACAAAACCCAGAAGAAAATGCCAAGCAAAACCTCAGATTCAATCCTTGAAAGGACAACAATTCTACAAATTGTAGCATATAATCATCAAATTCTGTTTTCTTATGAATATATGTACATTTTCCCATGAAGATAATATGTTTACAACTAGAATTGTGGTCTACATATTGAATAGAAGACTGTTATTTTTATTTAACAATATGTTCTGAACATCTTTCTACATCTGTAAATGTATTTTGTTATGCACTTGTAATAGCTTATTGTATATAGGCACAATGATTTCTTTTGTACACATCCTGAATTATACCCTTCAAATAAAGCCTCAGAAAAAATAATTCTGGGTTGAAGTCTATAAACATATTCCTAGTTGCTGGTACCTATGGACTGACCTGAGTTTGAATTCCAGTTCTTGCATATACTAGTGGTATGATATTAGCTCTTAATTTCAAATTATGACTTGGCCTAAATACATTGGTTTTATTCCTCAAAAGATCACCTTCAAACTGTGATGGAATCTTCAGTTTTGAACAATTTACAATTTTTGCCAGCTCTGATGCAATATGCATCCACTAGAGATAGAATATACTTTCTGTCACCTAATCCTCAAAACCACTGTTATGTCAGTTTTGTTTCTTTTAATTCATGCTATTCTGATAGCAAACATTGAGACAAGGAATTGGGTGCAGGTATTTTATTTGTGAGATTGTCCCAGGAAGTAGGAGGAAGAGTGTCTGGAGAGGGATGCAGGGAAGGAGGAAACGTCAATATATGGGGCATGGCCGAGCAGATTCTGAAGGCAACAGGGACTCAGTTGTGTGGGACCTCTGTGAAAGGTAGAGAGGAATCTCCAGGTTTGTCCTGTTTCTGACATAGGAAGCAGGGGTGATTACATCTAAACGAAAACCACCTCCCTGTGTAATAATTCCTCAAAATGCATGGTGTTGGATCTAGCAATTCCAAGTGCTTCAGAAAAGACACAGGGCTAGATGCAGAAACAGGACTGTCAGGGTGAGTCTGGGCTTAAGTGAAACTGTTCACTGGAACTGTGGCTGAAGTCATAAGTAGGACAAAGATGCATGATTTGGGGCAGCAAAAACACCTGTTACGTTAGTCCAGTGTAATAGGCAGAAAATTTGATCTCAAAGAGATTAATTAATTTGCTTGAGAGCACTCAGCCAGTAATTGGCAGAAACAGCCTTCAAACTCTGGTTTTCTGGCTCCAACCCCCATGTTCTTCCCATCACACCACGCCTCCTCCAAGAAAGCCCAGCACTTTGTGCTTGTATGGAAGCTCCAGGCACTCTGCTCTGGGCCACAGCTGTTTGGGCATAGCACAGTGGTGTGCCCTGCTGTATACCACCCATTCAACCTCTAAATCCCCTACAGCCTCAGTGTTCAGACATAAGGGCTCTATCCTTTTTATCTATCTGAACCCCTGATTTTTCCCTTCACAGAATCAGTGAACTTGTACAAATCGTTTCAAACAGTGCATTGCAATAAATTGATGGGTTGTGAAATCAGTTTAGTGAGACTTGACTAGCATTTTAAAAATAAAATAGATGAAAATATCAGAAGTGTGTGGTTTCTGTCACTTTATCAAAGGAAAAAATGTTTATTCATGTGTATGTGCGTGTGTATGAGCATGCGTGTGTATGTATACGTGTGTGTGTGCTGAGTCTCTACAAGGAATTTATTTCATATGATGGGACATGGATAAGAAACTTGGAAAGCCACTGACAAATAGGTTCAAAATGCAGGCTCAATAATGCTCAAAATGCATGGGTTCAAGTCCCAACTCCACCACATACTAGCCAGATATGTTTCAGTCTTCCTATCCATAAAACATGGCTAACCTCAAGGGCTGTTGAAGAATAAATGAATTGCTACTCATAGAAAGTTGAGAAGAGTGCCTAGCACATTAGGATTACTCAGTCATTGTTACTTTTCATTGTAAAAGTATAATCAATATATGAAGTACAAAGTTGGCATGTAATTTTTGTTTAATATGGAACAAGGGAAAAGAAAATCATCAAGTATTTTCAATTATTTGGAAAGACATACTATGGAGATTGAGTTAAAATAGCATTTTCCTTACATTTATTTTGTGCTCTCTCCCAACTGCCCCTCACTACCCAGTGTTCTAGCCCTATAAACACAGTATCTATCAACTTAAACAATGCAGGTCTTAGGAAAATTAATGTAAAATATTTAGTAAGCTAAAATTTCATTCAAAAATATGCATTTTTCTAGTTTTCAGGAGGATAAATGAACTGTATAAGACGGTCTTGTTCCATAAATAGTCTTGCAGTCTAAACAAATGACTCTTAAATTGCCATAAACTAAGACAGGATTATTATACCTTCCGGCTCAGAAAGAACACTGTAACTCAGGCTTTGTGAAAGAGCCAGTGACTTTGAACCGCTGCATGAATGTGGGTGTGTTCTGTTTATGTAATCTAGAGTAGTCATTTCTGAATTGATTGCACACAAAATTCATCCGAGGGAACACTGAAAATCATTTCCAATTGCATTGGGCCAATTGCATAGAAAACACTGAGAGTGTCCCCAAATCCATTCTATAAAAAATGCTCCTAGAAAGTGACAGTGGATTGAAAGATAAGCAGTTTTGAAAATACCTTGACTGAAATTTGCTGACTGCTCATTCTTGGCTTGAAATAATGCCATTATAATTATTTTTAGTGTATCTATCTGAAGCAATTATACAATACATTGATTTTCACTGCCTCTTCAAGAACAACCTTAAAAACCATAGACACGGAGATTCTGAAATATCAGGAGAAGATCAAGAGAATGCTTTTTCCAGGGCCCCAGTCACGATAAGAACCCTTTCCCTAGCATCCTTGACATGTTTGTTAGAGGTGATTGAAGGATTCTAGTGATAAGTAGTCATTTGTCTCCAATAAAACTTTACAGTTGCAATCATAAACAGGCTTCAAAGTTCTTGTAGTCATAAATCATCTGGACTTTTATTTGCTTATATTTTTCTTTGAAAACTGTCTTATAAAAATTAGGTGTATGTTAATGGAGAGTATATATGCCTTACTATAAGTAAAAATTTTGTGTTACTAGATGTACTGGTTTTTTTTTTCTAATACACACTTAAATGAGAAAATAACAATTAACATGAAATATGTTAGTTCTTACACCGTCTAAAATCATCTATTAGAACCACCCTTTGGGAAACACTCTTTATGACTAAGAGGAAATAAGCCTCCTATTTGTCTCACCTAACAGCCCTTCAAATGCATAGATCTGTGAACATTTTTCTTCCTCAGGGGAAATATCTATAACTTCCTTAACTGTTTCTTATGTGAAACAATTTCCTAACTGCTCACCATCCTAGCAACCTTCTTTTAGGTGCTCTCTGCTTTGTCTAAGTAGCTTTTAAATTGTGGAAGCTTCTCTAAGGTGATAATTTCTTATCTCTGGAAAATGTAGGCATTCCTCTATAGCTTCCTTTTCTGAGTCATAGGCCTGAGGAACTCACTTCTAGAAAATGTGAATGAATCAGCAGAATTTCTTATGGCTCTTGAGCATTATCTTTGTGTTTCTTTGATAGGGGATGTGGTAGCAAGTGAGTGCCTTTATATGAAGATATTGGGCAAAATATCAAAGTTTTTTACAAGGAGGACTAGCATAAGGCAAAGGATCCACTCATTCCTTATTTTAATTGACCTGTTCATTTTGAGATAGTTGTAGATTCACACGCGGTTGTAAGAAATAGTGAGAGATCCTGTGTTTCCATTACCAGTTTCTCCCAGTGTCAACATCTTGCACTGTCCTGTAGTACAATATCACAACCATGATGATGACATTAATGTTGTCAAAGTATGAGAATTTTATATCAATACAAAATCCCCTATATTGCCCTTTTATAGTCAGTTTCTTCTCAACCTCAACATCTGGCAATCACTAAACTGTTCTACATCCTGTAATTTTTGTCCTATTATGAATGTTATATAAAAGGACTCACACAGGGCCAGGCGCAGTGGCTCATGCCTATAATCCCAGCACTTTGGGAGGCCGAGGCGGGTGGATCACGAGGTCAGGAGATTGAGACCATCCTGGCTAACACGGTGAAACCCCGTCTCTACTAAAAATACAAAAAATTAGCCAGGCGTGGTGGCAGGCGCCTGTAGTCCCAGTTACTCGGGAGGCTGAGGCAGGAGAATGGCATGAACCCGGGAGGCGGAGGTTGCAGTGAGCCGAGACTGTGCCACTGCACTCTAGCCTGGGCAACAGAGTGAGACTCTCTCTCAAAAAAAAAAAAAAAAAAAAAAAAAGGACTCATACAGAATCCAACCTTTGAGATTGGCTTTTATCATTTAACTTAATTCTCTAGAGATCCATGGAGTTGCAAGTATCAACTATTTATTTTTCTTTTCTTTCCCATTTACTTATTTCTTTTCCTTGCTGAGTAGTTTTCTGTGGTGTGGATGTACCACAGTTTGTTTAACCATTCACCTATCAAAAGATAATACATTGTTTCCAGTTTTGAGCCATTACAAACAAGACTGTGAAAATTGTGTACAAAGCTTTGTATAATCATAATTTTTTATTTCTCTGAATCAGTGTCAAGAAGTACAATTGTTGGGCCATATGGCAGTGGCATGTATACTTTTTAAATAATCTGTCAAACTGTATTCCAAGTATCTCTACCATTTTATATTCCTACCAGCAATGTATGAATGATCCACATTCTGGAGAGCATTTGGTGTTGTCACTATTTTTTACTTTAGACATTCTGATAGCTCTATAGTTACATCTCATTGTGGTTTTAATTTGCATTTATCTACTGGCTGATGGTGTTGGACATCTTTAATGTGTTTATTTGCCATCTGAATATCCTGTTTGGTGAAATTTCTCTTTATGTCATTTGCCCAGTTGTAACTGGATCATTTACTTACTGTTGTTTTAAGAGTTATATATACTGGATACTACCCCTTGGTTAGATATGTGGCTTGAAAATACTTTCTCAGGCTGGGCGCAGTGGCTCATGCCTGCAATCCCAGCACTTTGGGAGGCTAAGAGGGCAGATCATGAGGCCAAGAGTTCAAGACCAGTCTGACCAACATGACGAAACCCCGTCTCTACTAAAAATACAAAAATTGACTGGGTGTGGTGATGCGTGCCTGTAATCTCAGCTAGTCAGGAGGCTGAGGCAGGAGAATTGCTTGAACCCGAGAGGTGAGGTTGCAGTGCAGTGAGCTGAGACTGTGCCACTGCACTCCAGCCCTGGGCAACAGAGTAAGAGTGAGAGTCCATCTCAAAAAATAAATAAATAAATAAATAAAATATTTTCTCTCATTCTGTAACTTGTTTTTCATTCCCATGTTTAGGGTCTTTTGTAGAATTAAAGTTTTTTATTTGGTAAAGTCAAATCTGACTTTATGGATTATGCACTCTTTGTCTAGTATTATAGATACCAAATAGTTTTTACTGTTTTTTTCTAAAAGTTTTAGAGTTTTAAAAAGTTATCTTTTCTCTACTGAATTGCTTTTGAGTTGTCAAAAATCAATTGTCCATATTTTTGTGGGTTTATTTCCAAGTTCTCTTTCTTTTTCATTGATTTATGTGTCCCTCTTTCTACCACGTTCACAGTCTTGATTGCTGTAGACATAAGTTTTAAAATTGAGTAGACTAATTTATCCTTTTATTTTTTCTTCCTTCTTTGTTGTTTTCCTTCTTTCCAGCTTTCCTTCTTTCTTTCTCATTTTTTTTCAAAAATTGTTTCAGCTATTCTTTTTTTGCCTTTCTATAGAAATTTTAAAATAATAGTAATATAACAATTAATTACAGTTTTTGTAAGTGAAATAATTGAATACAAAAATATCTTGCTGGGAATTTGATCGGACTTGTGTTAAACCTGTAAATCAGGTTTGGGGACAACTGACATCTGTACTATATTGAATTTTCTAATTCATGGACACTGTGTATCTGTCCATTTATATAGATGTTTGGCTTTTTATCAGTGTTTTGTAGTTTTTAGCATAAAAGCCCTGGTCATGTTTTCTTTAGATTTAATTACTAACTTTCTGAGTGATTGCAAATGATATTTTATTTTATTTTTATATGTGTTCATTGCTAGTATATAGAAATACAATTTATAGTTTTATTTTTATCTTGAATTCTGCAACCTTTTTGATCTCATTTATTAATTCCAGAAGTCATTTTGTAGAGGTTTTTTTTTTTTCCTCACAGCGTCTCGCTTTGTTACCCAGGCTGGAGTGCAGTGGCTCAATCTTGCCTCACTTCAGCCTGGACTTCCTGGGTTCCAGCGATTCTCCTGCCTCAGTCCCCCAAGTAGCTGGGACTACAGATGCATGCCATCATGCCAGGCTAATTTTTGTATTTTCGGTAGACATGGGGTTTGTTTCATCATGTTGCCTGGTCTGGTCTCAAACTCCTGGACTCAAGATCCATCCACCTCAGCCTCTCAAAGTGCTGGGATTACAAGCCTGAGCCACCGTGCCTGCCCTGTAGATTCTTGACTTATTGCATTGGCTATACATACATGTATGTGTGTGTATAGTATGTGTCTATATATGTGTGTGTATATATACATATGTGCTTGCATATATGTGTTTACATATACTTAATGAAGGTATATGTATATATATTCATTAAATACAAAAAAATACATTCATGTGTATATATCTTCATTAAATAAACGGTGACATATTCCACCTTTCCTATTTCTCTGTTTTCCAGAAGAGATAGTTTAGAATTGATGTTAATTTATCTTGAATTGTTTTGTATAATACTCCAGTGAAACTATCTGTGTCTAGAGATTTTTTTGGGGATGTTTTAAAAATTATGAATTCAAGTTTCCTGTTTTTTTTTTTTTTTGAGACGGAGTCTCGCTTTGTTGCCCAGGCTGGAGTGCAGTGGCGTGATCTCGGCTCACCGCAAACTCTGCCTCCCGGGTTGAAGCAATTCTCCTGCCTCAGCCTCCTAAGTAGCTGGGATTACAGGCACCCACCACCACGCCCAGCTAATTTTTGTATTTTTAGTAGAGACGGGGTTTCACCATGTTGGTCAGGCTGGTCTTGAACCCCTGACCTCGTGATCCACCTGCCTCGGCCTCTCAAAGTGCTGGGATTATAGGCATGAGCCACCACGTCTGGCCGAATTCAAGTTTCTTAATCGTTACAGGACTATCCAAATGATATATTTCATGTTTGGTTGTGATATTTTGTATTTCTTTAAAGACTCACTCATTTCGTCAAAGTTTCAGATTTATGAGATACAGCTGTTTGTGGCAGTCCTTTATTATCATTTTGATGCCCGTAGTGACATACACTGCTTCATTCCTGATATTGGTTTTTCTCTCTTTCCTTTGTCAGTTTTGCCAGAGTTTTGTCAATTTTATTGATTTTTTTTCAAAGAAGTAGCTCTTTACTTCATTAATTTTCCTTTGTTATTTTTTAATTTCATTGATTTCTGCTCTCTTCCCTCTTCCTTCTGCTACCTTTGCTTTCCTTTTTCTAAGTTCTTGAGCTTGCAGCTTGGATGATTGACTTGAACTCTTTTCTAGTGCATGCAGTTAGTCCTGTAAATTTCACTTAGCATTATTTTAGACATATGTAACAAATTTTAATAGGTTGTATCTTCACTGTCAATCAGTTTGATGTATTTTTTATTACACCTGAGCCTTCATGTTTGATCCAATTTATTATTTAAAAGTGTGTCGTTTTCAAGTGTTTGAAAATTTTCCTACTACTTTCTGTTATTGAGAATCTGTGATATTCTATTTCCGTCAAATAATACACGCTACTTGATTTCAATTATTTTTAACTTGTTGAGGTTTGTTTAGTGGCCCACAATATGGTCTGTCTTGACATACATTCAATGAAAACTTGAAAAGAATGTACATTTGGCTGCGATTGAAGACTGTTGGTTAATGGTGTTGAGTTCTTCTGTAAACTTGCTGATATTCTGTCTCCTTGTTGTATCAATCATGTAGAGAATGATGTGGACGTCTCAAACTACACTTGTGAATTTGTCTATTTCTCCTTTCAGTTCTATCGATAGAACTGTTTTATCAGTTCTATCAGTTATTTCACATATTTTGCAGCTTTGTTTTTGGTGTACACACTTTTTTTTTTTTTTTTTTTTTTTTTTGAAACCGAGTCTTGCTCTGTCGCCCAGGCTGGAGTGCAGTGGCGCCATCTCGGCTCATTGCAAGCTCCGCCTCCCGGCTCCCGGGTTCACTCCATTCTCCTGCCTCAGCCTCCCGAGTAGCTGGGACTGCAGGTGCCTGCCACCACGCCCGGCTAATTTCTTGTATTTTTAGTAGAAACGGGGTTTCATCGTGTTAGCCAGGATGGTCTCGATCTCCTGACCTCGTGATCTGCCTGCCTTGGCCTCTCTAACTGCTGGGATTACAAGCGTGAGCCACTGTACCTGGCCTGGTGTACACACTTTTATAATTGCTACAACTTCTTGGTGTATTGACCCTTTTATCAGTATATAATACATCTCTCTGGTTCTGGTAATTTTTTTTGCTCTGAAGATAAGATATATTATCTATATCTTATCTTCTAAGTTTCCTTTGATTAATACTTCCATGAGATATCTTTTTCCATCCTCTTAATTTCAGCCCATTTTGTCATATTTATAGTAAGTTTTTTGTAAACAACATAGTTGGGTCATGGCTTATAATCCTATCTGATAATCCCTGTCTTTTAAGTGGTAACCTTAGGCCATTTATATTTTATTTTATTTTAATATATTAGAATTTAACATTTAATATTTTGTTTTCTGTGTGCTGTTTGTCTCTTCTCTGCTTTCTTTTTCTTAACTTATTGTGGATTACTTGAACATTTATTTAAAATTCCATTTTGCTTTATTCATAGTGCTTTTGAATACATCTTTTTATATAGCTTTATTAGTAACTGCTAGGTATTACACCCTATTTTATATAGGTAACTTGTCACAGTTTACTGGTGTCATCATTTTATCAGTCTGAATAAAATACAGAAACCTTACTTCTTTTTGTGCCCCTTTATCCTTCGCCTTTGGTCATATAATTGTTTTAATTATTTCCTCTGCATACACTTAGACTTAGAAGCACATTATACGACATTACAATGTTTGCTTCAAGTGTCCCAAACATAATTTAGAAAACTCAAGACAAAAACGAAAGCTTACTGAATCTACCCACATTTTTTGTTTACTGTGTTCCTTCTACCTTCTTGATGTTCCAAAGTTCCTTCTTTTATTTTTTCTTTCTATTTAGATAATAGAGTATAGTCATTATTTTAGGATAGGCCTGCTGGTGACAAGTTTTCTTAGATTTCTTCATCTGAGGTTTTTAAAATTCCCTCTTTACACTTAAAGAATATTTTTGGCTGGGCGTAGTTGCTCACGTCTGTAATCCCAGCACTTTGGGAGGCCAAGGGGGGCAGATCATGAGGTCAAGAGATTGAGGCCATCCTAGGCAATATGGTGAAACCCCATTTCTACTAAAAATACAAAAATTAGCTGGGCGTGGTGGCGTGGGCCTGTAGTCCTAGCTACTAGGGAGGCTGAGGCAGGAGAATTGCTTGAATCTGGGAGGCGGAGGTTACAGTGAGCTGAGATGGTGCCACTGTACTCCAGCCTGGGCGACAGAGCGAGATTCCATCTCCAAAAACAAAAAATATATTTTCTTAACCACACTAAAAGTATTGTGCTCCCTTTTTTCTGAACTCCATGGTTTCTGATGGGAAACCTATTGTCACTTGATTTGTTTTGTTTTGTTTTCATTATGGGTAAGATGTCATTTTTCTCAGGTGGCTTTCAAGATGTTTTTCTTTGTTTTTAAAAGTTTAATTATGATGGGTCTTGCTATGGATTCATTGGGGTCGATCCTATCTTTGGTTTCCTCAGCTCCTTGAATCTGCAGGTTTATGTCTTCCATTGAATGTGGGAAGTTTTCAGCCATTATTCAAGTTATTTTAGCCCCACCCTCTTTCTTCTGGAACTCTGATGACACAAATTTTAAAACTTGTTACTGACCCCCAGTCACTGAAGTTCTATTAATTATTCTTCAGTCTACTTTCTGTTTTTCAGATTGGATAAGTTTTATTGTTTAATCTTCCAGTTTTCTGATTCTTTCCTCTATCTCCTTTTCTGCTATTAAGACTATCAAGCCTGTCCTCTGAGGATTTTATTACATTTCTATTTTTTTAGTTTTAATATTATCATCTCGTTTTTTATCTTCTGTTTATTTGCTGATACTTTTCTTTGGTGAGGCTCTTTTCCAGTTTTTCATTTGTTTCCAGCGTGTTCATAATTGATTACTGAAACATTTTATCATGGTTGTTTTTAAATTTTTGTCAGCTTATTCTATCTTTCATTTTGATGTATGCATTTATTGTTTTTGTCATACTATTTAAGATCTTAGGTTCTTAATATGATGAGTAATTTTGAATTCAAACTTGGATATTTTCATATTATGTTATGAGATCACTAAATTTATTTAAACCTTCTGTTTTAACTGGCTTTTTTTTTTTACACTGTGCTAGCAGTCAAAGTGGGAAGTAAAATTCATAATTGCCTTGTGTATATAAAAATCCAAGCATTCTATTCAGTCTCCATTGGTACCTGACTGGTGGGTTCCTCATTACTGCCAAGCATGGATGAAAATTCTGGCTCTCCATGGAGTCTGCCCTGGAACTGTCTGTAGGGAGCATATTCCTGCCAGTGAGTTCAAAGTCCTGGCTCCCTACTTGGCTTTATTTGACACCACTCAAGTGCATCTTGATAATCTCATGGACGTGGAAGTGCAGGTTCACCACTCGGCCTTTGCATGAGTAAAGATAGAGCCACAATATTTTCTGGGTGTTTAACCAGTCACAGTAGTTATTTTTAAGTTTTCTGACTTGTTAGATTGCTATTTCCCTGGCCAACTTCCTAGAGAGAACAGGCTTGTTTTGGGGCACTTTTCATCTACCTCATTTGTAATTCCAGATTCTAGCTTCGTCAACTCAGAGATAAATGAGGGAAAAACAAAACTCAAGGCATGCACCACTGTGTCCTTTCTGAAATTCCCTAGACAATCAGCTTTGTTCTCTACAATTTTCAGTCTTCATATGCTTATTTTTATTAGAATGTCCAGGATTCTCCATTGTAATTACTAGGCGAAAGAGGGAAAAGTCTATTTTCTCCACCTTCTCAAAGGCTGAAGACCCCACCTATTTTTTTTTTTTAAGTACAAAAGAAGAAAAATATTTCGTTGGACTACTCTGTACTGGGCGTTTGACTTGTAGCATCTCATTTCAAATTTTTACTACACTCTTGGTGTTTTTCCAGTTGTACAAATGAGGTACCCAGGTCACAGGAAGGTTAGGAAACTTGCCCCAGCTCATACAGATGGAAAAGGAGAGAGCTGGAATTTTGAGCCCACATGTGGCTCACTTACCAGCTCCATTATGTTTTGTACTCTCCATTCATTAATTTCTCTAATACTTTCAAGGTAGCAAAAGTTTTGAGAATTATTTTCTCAAGTGTTAGAATACTTGTGTGAGGTTACTTAAAGGAGAAATTATTTATCAAAATTACAGAATTTAAGAATTAGAAAATTATTTGATTTACAGATCTTGCTCCCAGTCCAGATCTTACTCTATGCTGCATTTTCTGCTCCCATAAAAGGACTATGAGTTCACTTATTTATCATTGAGTTGCACACATCTTAGTTGATCATAGCTCTGAAGTGAGAACAGAGTGTTTACAAGGGCAATGGATGCCTGGAATTTCCTGGCCTCACTATTATCCTAGCTGTTCTAGCCCTTTCATGCACATGCTTCAAATCTCAGCCTTTGGGTTGTGAAGCACTTCAGAGCTAAGAGTGCACATATGTCATTATGACCATCACCTAATGCTGAGATGGCTTCTCTGTTAGTCTGTCTTTCCCCCACGGAGTGGGAAAGCACTGAATCTTTCCATCTTTATATTCCTGGCACCAGAATTGACCATTATATCATAGGACCTCAAGAGACAATATTGAGTAAATGTATGGATGGATGAGGAAAATAAAGTAAAATCAGCAAAAATATCCTGCATGTGAGAAGGTAAGTTCTGATTGAATAATCCTTTATTTAGCAAAGTCATATGGCCTACTTTGAAAAATAATTTAGGATGATTATAAAATTACACAAATTAATCAGTTTCGGCATGTTCTATTTTTTCTGACCTTTCTCAAAATAAAAAAAGAACCAATTACTCTTTGGGGGAGGATATTGCTTTTCTTTAATAAAAATAGGAATAAATAAAACTTGCAAAGCACTTCCTGAGGGCAAATATTTTCATGGGATTATATTGATTACTTTAGCTGCTGCTGAAGATAAGACCATTGATTTTTCTCATTATCTATGAGACTCTAATCAATACCAAGTATTTATTGACTAGCTCTTTTATGTTTTATAAGATTCTAAAGGCTAAGGTAACTAAAGAAGAAACAAACATATGCTTCCTTCTTTTATGTTACTTACCTTGTGTTTGAACACACGGTTTTCATGGAAGAAGTAATGATAAATAATATAAGACAATGGGATTGGAGCACTGGCTTGCATTAGACATATTACATAATCACAAATGATAGCTTTAAAAAAAGAAGAAGGAAGTAGGTATTGATTGTCTACCATTGTATTAGCCATGATACGAGAAACTTTTTTGTTATCTTTAAGGAAAACTTTTTCAAACCATTATTATCAGCCATAATTTTTACCTGTTAGAAATCTGAGACTTTGAGAAGCTGAACAACTAGATTAATGCTGCACAGTAACTGAAATAAGTAGGATTCAAACAGAGTTGGAAAGAAAACCTGTGCTCTGTTCAATACATTAAGCCCATTGAGCTAAATAACTAGTAAGTGTTTAATAAGTGTGTTTCAAAAGTAAAAGAAAAAGAGTAAGAATGAGACAGAAGTGAAGAAATCCACCTGGGGGAAGTGTGGAGATTAAAGATGTGTAGGGTTTGGATGCATGAGGAAGCGAAAATGCAGGGCCTGGAAAGAGTCACAAAGAGTCCCCCAAACAGCGGAGTACAGACCAGTCTGATCAGGAAAGAGACACAGTGGGAAACAAATAAGACCTCACCTGGTAGGGTGAAATAGTGAGCAGGGAGTGTACATCGCACCTGATAGGAAGAAGAACGGATCAGTATAAAAGTGTGGTTTCAGTAAAAGAGAGCAATTTAGGGTGGGGGCAGGTTGTCCAGGCCTGAATTTAGTTAACTACGGTGAGAAAGGAGTACTTGGTTCCCTGAGGGATTGCTTCTCAGATTTGGATGATGGACAGATGTGAGAGAAGGAGAGAGAAATGACTTGCAAAATTCAAACTGGGGTGATTGCTAGAACCTGGTAAGCTACATGGCAAAGAAGCTTGCAGTCGTGATCTCATCACTTATTAGTTTTTATCACTTTGAACCTCAGTTTTAATGTCATGAATATGGGGTTGCCAGGCAAATTCAGTGAAATAAAATATGTAAAGAACCTAGTCCACAGTAGCTTTCCAATAACTGTGAGTTTATATCCCTGGGTGAATGGCAGTGTTTTTCAAAAGGAAAAGAAAGCACAGGTGACTGGAATGATTGAGTTTACCTTGGGAGCTCTAACGTTTTCCTGGAGAGACCCCACACACGTTTATAGAAATAAATTTGATCTGGACCCTGAAATAGGTCAGAGGTCCTCAATCCATGAAATCAGATAACAAGCTCTGTGCCCTGAGATTCTTAGGTAAAAACGGCTAGGAGCTGTCGGTGCCTGTGATAGTGCAGATGGCTTCTGCTGAGCCAGCTGGCTGAATTGAAAACCCCAAGTAGGTCAAATACACATTACCTGAAATTTCTGGGGAATGTGGAGCCTTCTGCTTTGCATAAGGCAGGTCCTCGGCTTCTGTGCCTTCTTTGTGTCGATCTGGGCTGGTGCACTTTTGAACTCAGAGGAATGGTAATTCTCCACACCACTTCTGGTGGCCCCTATCTTTTTATCGTATTATCCTTTCTGAGTACCCTTCCTTTTTCCTTTAACTCTACAATCTCTTTCTGGGCTTTAGAACTGTCCTGTTACAAGGTTATCTTACATTATACCCATTATACAAGGGGATAAACTAAGAGACAGAAAGGTTAAGGGATTTATTTGCGATAGCCTATTAGAGTAAAGCCAGAGTTACATTTCTGTGGGGAAGATGAGGTCTTAAAAAGACGATAGCCATCAAGTAGTCCAGGGGTTGGCAAACTTTGTAAAGGATTGGATAGTAAATATTTTAGGCTTTGTAGGCTACATATCATCCCCATTACTGTTGTTGCTGCTGCTTTTCCTCCTCCACCTTTAAAAGAGTAAACAAACATTCTCAGCCCGCAGGCTGTACACATATAGTCCATGGGCCAAATTTGGACCAAAGTTTGCCAACCCTGAAGTACTTTAATCCTTTCAATGTATAGATGAGGTGACAAAAAGACAGATGAGTTTAGTGAGGCACCCAGGTGTCACCAAGTCTAGAGAGTGGTGGAGCTGGGCTAGACCTCAAGTTTCCTCAACATTTTTCTCTTTGCCGTAGTTCAATTTCTCAGACACTTGCCAATTGTAGGAAGTAGTTATTTACCTATTTAAATTCCAAAATGGGCCATTTGAAAGGCCATGGAGACTGAGGTACCAAAGTTGGTCTCCTCACCTCTGTATCTATGCTTGTCTCTTGCTTTTTAATGTAATTTTCACTGCCTAAGTCCAAAGATTGTTTGAGGTGGTGTAAAAAAGTACAAATAGTTCACAATAATAAATACATGATAAAAATCACGTGATACAAACAATGAAACAGGGAAATAGTAATGCTAACAGAAAGATTAGCAGTAAGTATTGAACTTTGCCTCTGGCTTCCTGATGCCTATAACAAAGAGAAGTTCATGGTCAGTCACAAAAGTCAGCGTTCACACATTTAAAATGAATCAGTTGTTTGTTGGAGCACATATTTTGTGATTTTAAGAACAAGTAGTCATTTCTCCAGGGGCTCTGTGTGAACAGTGCACTATATAAAGCCATGTTCAGGTTTTATGTCTCACAATTAGTACATATCAGGCTGCACTGTTTATTGGTTAGACCATGGCTTGTGGAGCTGACAACCTGTGTTGGAATCTCATTCTGGTACATTCTTGCAATATGAAATTGGCAAGTCCTTTGGCTTTTCTTATCCTCCATGTCCTTATCTGTGAAATGGGAACTAAGAATAGCTACCTGAGAGCTTGTGGTGAGGAATGGTAAATATACATAAAGCCTCTAGAAGAGACTGGCACATGATCAATTCAATGAGCAGTTACTATTATGATTGCTGCCTGTAGATTCTTGACTTGCATTTTGAAGGAGTGATGATTGTTAAAGCACAGACAACTCAGAACTGATTTGCTATTAGATGAATGCTTAATGATTCTTGGTAAATGCCTGAATATGAATGATTTGATGCTAGATGTTTCAAGTTTATGTATGAGACGATGGGATCTTATTTTTTTAGGAGGAATGGGCACCCATAGTCATATTAAAAAATAAAGCACATTTGATGTTGTTAAGGTAAAGCCCAACAAAGCCACAGCTGATATTTCATCTTGCAAATCTCGACCTTGAACTTATTTGTTCACTCTCTCTAATCTTCATACTTGGGTATAAGATAGAGAAAATACTCATGGAATAAGGACAACAATAATAAAAGCATTGCATTTGCATGTCAGCTTGATAGAGGTGAAAATAAAGAAGCTTATTTCAACTCAGTATTATCTTGCATGATTTGTATTAATGATATCGCAGCCTCAGTGTTTAAAGCCAAGTTTGGAAATTTGCAGATGCTACTAAATTATGAGAAAACAACAAATAATGAGGCACAACGTATTCTGATGGAGGAGAAATTTGCTCATTTGGGCACCTCAGGCTAATAGAGAGCTAATGGATGGCAAATACAGTTTGTTTAGATAAATGTCGAATAATGAGTTTTGAAACACAGACTAAAGGGAGGGAATGCCTAATGAACTGAAAGTGCTTTAGCACAATAAATCAAAGAATGTTGGTGTGTGAATAAAGGGGATGGTCTAAACGTGCAAACTCAAATTGTTTTTTCTTTTCAGCAAAGGGCAGAAATGGTCACCAGAAGTAAATAACACTTTTAACATGCAGTAATCAGCATTTCAGAGTGCAGAAATAGGAGGAACTTTGAAATCTGTCCTATGTGCATTTAATTTCTGCTCCTTTTCCAAAATTATACGATTTGGAGTAATTCTGTTGATCTACCTGAACTCCATTTTCTTCATCTGAAAATGAGAATAGTAGTATTTGTCAGGGCTATTGATATGGTGTTGTCAGGTGAACTGCATAAGGGTCTCTGGGCTGAGAGGCCATCACCCACATTGCAAATGTCATAGATTTGTCTAATACATTTATAGATTTGTCTAATACATATATATGTCTAATACATTTATAAAATACATTTGTCTAATACATTTAAGCACCATGCTCTTTATAGATAGACTCAAAGTTTCATGTTTGTTCATTTTGTTTGTTTTAATCAATATATACATAATAAAAACACTGCTGTATAGAGGCAAAATATGTTGAGGAAGGGGTACTTTTTTTCTTTTCTAAATTGCTAAAGGCACAACAGCAACTGGTGTGGGGGCTAAAGATTTCCTGGTTGGAGGCATGCACAGCCCCAGGGGGATGAGTTTTTGGGTGAGATGGGCACCAGCTGTGAAGGCACCTCTCTCCAGATTGGTGCTGCTCACTGATAAGAGATGACTGCTTTGCCAGGGGTCAGTGTGAGACTATGGAACAGTACAGGGAAAATCAAAACACTGGGAGCCACAGAAAGAATCCACCATGGTGGGCACTGCTGCCCTCAGTGCTCCTGTAGGATTTTACCTTTAAAAAGCTGCACTGCGTGTGTCTTTATAGTAGAATGATTTACAATCCCTTGGGTAAGACACATGCACACTTATGTTTATTGCAGCACTAGTACAATAGCAAAGACTTGGAATCAACCCAAATGTCCATCAATGATAGACTGGATAAAGAAAATGTGGCACACATACACCATGGAATACCATGCAGCCATGAAAAAGGATGAGTTCATGTCCTTTGCAGGGACATGGATGAAGCTGGAAACCATCCTTCTCAGCAAACTAACACATGAACAGAAAGCCAAGCACTGCATGTTCTCAGTCATAAGCGGGAGTTGAACAACGAGAACACATGGACATGAGGAGGGAAACATCACACACTGGGGCCTGTCATGGGGTGACGGGCTAGGGGAGGGAGAGCATTAGGACAAATATCTAATGCATGCGGGTCTTAAAAGCTAGATGACAGGTTGATAGGTGCAGCAAACCACCATGGCAGATGTATACCTATGTAACAAAGCTGCACATTCTGCACATGTATCCCAGAACTTAAAGTTAAAAAAAAAGCTGCACTGCAATTGCCAATTTCCTTATCTGGCTCTTTCCCTTTCCTGTGAGCTCCTTGGAAGGCTGGAAGCTAACCCTACTATCCCTCCTTCCACAGGAAAGTTCCTGAAGCCTGTGTGACACTTGGTACATTGTTTCTGAAAAAGTGAGGAATGAGTCTCTCTTCTGTTGCCTCCCATGGAGGTCAGTGTCATATTTCTAGGCTTAGTTATTTTAAATTGCCTTGATTTTTTGATTTTAATATGCATCTTTTTTTTTCTTCTATTCTGAATTTTTGGTTTGTGTCAGCCAACATTTATTGAATGCACAATGTATGACAATCATTTTCATGCTTTATTTTAATCTTTAGTTAATCTTTAACACTCTTATGAGATAAACATCGTTAGCCCCATTTTCTAGATGAATAAGTTGAGGCTTAGATAGAAAAATAGTAAATTGCTCAACATTGCATAGTGAGCAGATTGCAGAGGAGAGATTCAAAACTAAGTCCCCCTGTCTTCAAACTGCTCTTAAAGATTTTTCTCAGTGGGTCCCTGAACATTCTTTCCCGTGCTAGTCTCAAAAGTTATTCTAATATTTTCTTATTTTGCTCGACATACACAAACATGAAGTAATTACACCCCACTATTGCCTCATGTAGCTCCAAACATTCCAGTATCCTTGCCCTGTAAGTAAATCAACATTCACTATTTGTCTTTAGTTCCCATTTGTGCTTAGATGAATAACCTACTCTATTAGCCTGAATTTTTTTCATATTTTATATCTATTTTTCAAATCTCATTTATAGAAACATATGGGAGCCCTGCTGAAAGGATTATAGAAAAATCCCTTTGGGCAAGAGGTGTGCATGAAAAAATACAGTTTTATTTCATCACTCTCATGCAAAAATTTTCAATAGCTCCTTCTTGCCAATTTAATCAACTCAATTGCTGGCAACTTAGTATCCATTCTTTAGGGGACTAGACATTCATTTCTAAATGCACTTCCTTCATATTCTATGACACAAACTCCCTCACATGACCTTCACATGTCTAGCTCCCCAAGTAGCCTGTATGCTCTTCACAGATAGGAGGCATATCATATATATTCCAATGAACTATTTGGGGAACTGTATTCCCTAGCTCTGGGAAAATTGTTTTCCTCTCTGTGGCCCAGAGAAGCCAAATCTTCTTTTATTATTATTATTATTTATTTATTTATTATAGAGACAGAGTCTCGCTCTGTCACCCAGGCTAGAGTGCAGTGGCATGATCTTGACTCACTGCAACCTCCATCTCCCGGGTTCTAGCAATTCCCCTGCCTCAACCTCCCGAGTAGCTGGGACTACAGGAGCACACCACCATGCCGGGCTAATTTTTGATATTTTAGTAGAGACGGGGTTTCACCGTGTTCCCCAGGCTAGTCTCAAACTCCTGAACTCAGGCAATCCACCTGCCTCAGCCTCCCAAAGTGCTAGGATTACAGGTGTGAGCCAGTGTGTCCGGCCCCAAATCTTTTAACGTACTATTTTCTTTGTTGAACTGGACCATCTACTCATCTGCCATCCAAACATGACCTATTCCTAGTAATAACTCGAATTTGGGTATTCTTTTAGAGCTTGGAAAGCATGTTTACATATATTATCTCCTCAGATTCTCACCGTATCCCTATGAGAAAAATATTTTAAGCATTTTTATTTTTCAGATGAGAAAGGTAGAGGTTACCTGATGTGTCCAGGGACTGCCAAACTAATGAAGGCTTTGGATGGGATCCTGACACAGACGTTGTGATTCTAAAGTCCACATTCTAAAGCACTGTCACACTATCCTACCCCAATTCCATCCACCACAGAGATGTTGCTTTCTAATCGTCCTCTCAACCTCTATACACTTTGATAGCATCAAGAAGTTTTTATCATATTAACAACCAAATAAATGCACAAAGTGAAACAGTATGCATATTCTGAAAATACAGATTAAGACAAATCTTTTCCTCTCCCATTCCCCTCGCCACTCTCACCTTGGAACCAAGCCCCACTGTAAGGACATGCTGGCGCCCCAGAGCCTGTGTGGTCCTTAGCATGCACCACCTTGCAGGAATGAGCTGGCCCTTTGTCCATTGTTTCCCTATGCTCTACTTGAAGAACAGTAAAGACAGCCTCTGAAGCACATTCAGTTGACCCTTGGACATCGCAGGGTTTGGGGGACTGCCCCAACCCGGTCAAAAATTCACACATAAATTTTGACTTCCGGCCAGGCGCAGTGGCTCACGCCTGTAATCCCAGCACTTTGGGCGGCCGAGGCGGGAGGATCACGAGGTCAGGAGATCGAGACCATCCTGGCTAACACGGTGAAACCCCGTCTCTACTAAAAATACAAAAAATTAGCCAAGCATGGTGACGTGCACCTGTAGTCCCAGCTACTTGGGAGGCTGAGGCAGGAGAATGGCATGAACCCGGGAGGCGGAGCTTGCCGTGGGCCGAGATGGCGCCACTGCACTCCAGCCTGGGCGACAGAGCGAGACTCCGTCTCAAAAAAAATAAATAAATAGATAAAAAAACAAAAAAGCCTTTGACTCCCGAAAAACTTAACTACTATTAATAATAGCCTATTATCGGCCAGAAGCCTCAGTGATCACGTAAACAGTTGATTAACACATATTTGTGTTATATGTATTATTTGCTCTATTCTTACAATAAAGAAGGTTACAGTAAAGAAAATGATACTAAGGAAATCAAAAGGAAGACAACATATATTTATTATTTATTACCTGGAAGTAGGACATCATAAAGGTCCTCATCCTCATTGTTTTCATGCTGAGTAGGCTTAGAAGGAAGAGGGGGGAATTGGTCTTGATATGCAGGGGTGGCAGAAGTGGAAGAAAATCTGGGTATAAGTAGATCCATGCAGTTCTGACCTGTGTTGTTCAAGGGTGAACTGTACTCACAGTGCGGGTGGAAGGATCAACACAACTTAGGACATAACAGCTAATTGCTTTACTGAACATATACTATGGGCTAGAGATGGTTCTGATGATATTACGTGTAGTAAATCATAATCCTGAAGACAACCCTAAGAAGTAGTGTCCCATTATTTCCCCCATTTTACAGATGAGGAAACTGAGGCACAGGTAAAAAAAATTCCAGGGGCACAACTAGTGTTAGATTTGGGTTATATCTTCAGGCAAGCCCACCAGAGCCTGAGCCGTACTCTCTGTGTCTGGCGTTGAGAAAAAACAAACAAACAAACAAACAACTGATAAGATGCCAGCTTGAGAAATGGCGTAGAGCTTCAGTCTGACTTTATGCCTCTGGGAAACATCAGAAAGGGGGATAAAGTGTCAGGAACTCCACTGCAGTGATATCACCTACATGAGGAAATTGATCCTGTGGACGCAGCATCACTTACCAGCCTGAAGACACTGCACCAACTGCCTGATTAACAGCAATAATGATAATAATACTAACATCCACCATTTATTGACAAATTCCTATTACTGTCAATGTCTCCCTATTGTTATAAATTAAGCCCAAGCTCCTTTGTGCAGTGCTCAAGGACCTTCGTAACACAAGATCTGCCTATTTCTTCAGACTCATGCCGCATATATCCATCCTCACACTGTAAGCTCCAGTGATATTGATGGGTTCATTGCTCCTCTGCACCCTTCAATTTCAGGGCTTCACTTACACTCTTCTCCCATCTTGAACGTCCTTTATGCTCTCTACACCTACGCAACTCTTTCAGCCTTGATTCAACTATTCCCATATCCAGGAAGACTCCGCATAGCACACAGCTTAGGTGAAATACCACTCCTCTGGGTCTCTAGAGCAGGAAGGGTTTACATCTGTCTTCATATTTACTGACTATAATAACTACCTCAGTTTGTACATCTAACATTCACCAAGTATTGAAATTCTGAGGGCAAAATCTGTCATATTCACCTGTACCCTATTGTCCAGCACAGCACCTGCACAGGCTGTGTCAAAAAGTGACAGTTGGCATTGTGTATCAGACCCTGGGTATGGCACCTTGAATCCAGTTCTAATCTCAGTATAACCTACGAGTTTGAGATTATCGAGCCGTATGTACTAGTTCATTCTCGCATTGCCATAAAGAAATATCTGAAACTGGGCAATTTATGAAGAAAAGAGGTTTGATTGGCTCACAGTTCTGCAGGCTGTATAGGAAGAATGGCAGCATCTGCTTCCAGTGAGACCTAAGGGAGCTTTTACTCATGGAGGGAGGCAGAAGAGGGGCAGGCACCTTACGTGGCAGGAACAGGACCAAGAGAACAAGGCGGGGGGCAGGGGGTGCCACACACTTTTCAAAAACCAGATCTCATGAAAACTCTATCACAAGAACAGGACCAAATGGTTGGTGCTAAGTCATTAATGAGACCTCCATCCATCTGATCCAATCACTTCCCACAAAGCCCACTTCCAACACTGGAGATGACAGTTTGACATGAGATTAGGTGGGGACATAGATCCAAACCATATCACTGTATTAGGTCATTTTTGCATTGCTATAAAGAAATAACTGAGACTGGGTAATTTATAAGAAAAGAAGTTTAATTTTTCTCACCGTTATGCAGCTTCTGCTTTTGGGGAGGCCTCAGGAAGCTTCCAATCATGGTGGAAGGAAAAGCAGGAGCAGGCACTTCACATGGCAAAAGCAGGGATACGAGGGGCGGAGGGGCGACACATTTTTAAACAACCAGAGCACATGATAAGTCACTATCTCAGGGACAGCACCAAGAAGATGGTGCTAAACTGCTCATGAGAGTTCACCCCTGTGACTCAAACTCCTCCCACAAGGCTCTACCTCCAACATTGAGGACTACAATTCAACATGGCATTTGGGCGAGGACAAATATACAAACTATATCACAAACCTACTTTGCTTGTGAAAAAATATGAGCTCAGAAAAATAAAGTAATATACTCAAAACTGCATATAATAACTAATACGTATAATAAGAAGTGTTCAATTCAGGATTCAAATCTAGCATTGTTCAGAGTCTGGAATTTTTTTTCTAGGTCTGTATTCTCTATCACACTAACTGTCTCCTTAAGAATAAAGTAAAGTTGGCTGAGCACAGTGGCTCACGCTCATAATTCCCGAACTTTGGGAGGTTGAGGCAGGTGGATCATTTGAGGCCAGAAGTTTGAGACCAGCCTAGCCAACATAGCAAAGCCTCGTCTCTACAAAAATACAAAAATTAGCCAGGCATGGTGGCATGTGCCTGTAATCCCAGCTACTGGGGAGGCTGAGGCACTAGAATCATTTGAACCTGGGAGGCAGAGATTGCAGTGAACTGAGATCACACCACTGTACTACAGCCTGGGCAAAAAAGTGAGACTCTGTCTCAAAAAAAAAAAAAAAAAAAAAGAATAAGATAAAGTTGATGTTTGGGAAACTGAGCAGAAAAAGCAACAATCAAGATTCTCAATTCTTAATTCATGATTCCTGAATCGATGCACTTGAAAAAGAGAAAAAAGGATCAGCTTTGGGAATGTGTTAAACACTCACTTCTGAACACCCATGGTTTATCTAGAAAGTGAAAGGACCCATAGAACTTGGTCAACCCTTGATCACGACAGATATTGAGGAGATATGCGAATGCTTGGAAGATTCACAATAATCATGTTGCTCAGGAACATGAAAATAATTATAGGTGACATTTTTAATCACTTACATAAGATGTAGATGGCTTTATGTGATTTACTATATAATATATTCCTTATAACAAAATATGCCATCATCATTTTTAGATGAAAAAGCTAAGATAAATTAAATAATTTCTGCAAGTTTGTCTTCTGCTCACTAAGTAGAAGACCTCAGACTCAAGCCCAGTCTGATTTCAGATCCCACGCTCATTAATAAGAATCCTTCCTTGTCTGGCTACTGTTGACCTCTAATTAGGTGCTCACCTACATTAACCTGGAGGAACAAAGCTGGAAAGGGGCACAAGAATCCTAGGCAAGAGTAGGGAAGGGACGGTGCAACCAGACAAGGCAGGCATATTTGAAGGTGGTTTAGGAATTTACATCACGAATCCCAAACATCCATGGAGACCTCCTTTTAACACATGACTTGGCCCAGAGGTAGGCAGTAAAGAGCAAGTTCAGATAAGGCTTTTTCCCTGCTTATAAAAAACATCTGCAAGTTAAAAGTTGAAAAGTTATTTATTTCAGCTATTCACTCACTTCAGCCCCAATCAGCACATGCCTCAGAATATCTGGAGACTGTGCTAATACACTCTTGACATTTGGACTAAGACAGAGACTGCAATTCAATGTTAACAACCTGGGGTACCTAAATGGCCATTCCACATTGATCACTTATTTCAGGCATTTCTCCAAATAGAAAAGGTTGATTTTATCAGACATTCACTCTTCTTAATGTGGATCAGTAGTTCTGTCTCATACCAGCCGTAGCCGCCTGGTGCCTGACTTGCCCCTCTCACAGGCTGGTGGGGTTGCTGACAGCGTATCACTGATTTTCCACAACCAGCTCCAGAGACACTTGCCCACACATCTTCTAGGAACCATTGCAGATGTGGCTCTATGACCTCCCCATAAACTGAACTCCTAAATGCTGAGGCTTCCAGATTCCCTCCACCACCCCCTGAACCAGAATTAAATATTAAAGAAGTAAAATACATTGTATTTTTTAAAGCAACCTTTGCGTTGTCCTTTGCAAATATTAAAAGCAATGCCACTGGCACAGGAACTAATCCAAGTCCCTGGGGCCACTTTTCAAAGAAAGAAAAGAGTAATAGTAAGTAAACCTCTAAATGAAATAAAGGAAGAAACTCCAGCTAAAATTGCTGAATAATAAAATAAAGACATGTAAATCATCCTCGGGGGATAATTTTCTCCTCGATCCTGGCTGATTTTGCAGATGAAAGGAACACAGCGCCAGAAGTTCAGCGACCAGGCTCTTCATCCCACTCTGCCCATTCATTGGCTTTGTAGCCTCACTTCAGGCAAGTCACTCAATCTCTTTGGAGCTCAGTTTATGCTTCTGCTGTAGAGAAATGATAACACCAACAGAAGTCACAGAGGCGGACCTGGAAGCAATGAGAAAGCTAACTATTTTCTGCCTTTCTCTCTGCCCTCATCACATAAATTCAAATAAGCCCCGTGCTCCAGTTCCAATAAAGGAGTCTCCTCCTCCCGGGAAAGCTGGTTTCTCCATCTGCGCTTGTGAACCCACCTCCCGTTCCTGTGGGGGCATCTGGCCTGAGCTTCGGTCTATATCTATGAAGTGGGATTAAAAATAATGCCTGCCTCACAGCGATGTTGTGAGGATAAATGAGCTGAATCAGGTAAAGCACTTAAGACAGTGGTTGGTACATGCAAAGTACACAATAAATATTAGCTCTTCTTATGTGTGGCTCTTATTTATCCACATATAAGAAATTTTCAAGTGTCTTTCATCTGAAATACCTGAATATCTAAACATAGTTCAGTCATGCACCACATCACAACATTACAGCGAATGGACCACATATACAACGGTGTTTCTGCAAGATTATAACAGAGCTGGAAAATTCCTCCTGCCTAATGACATCTTGATGATCCTAACCCGTGTGTGTGTTTGTATCTTAGTTTGTAACAAGAATGTTTCAAAAGTTAAAAAAAATTAACAGTTAGTTAAAAATAGAAAAAAGTCTTACAAAATAAGAATTATAAAATATTTTGTATAGTGGGGCAATGTGTCTGTGTTTTAAGCTCAGTGCCGTTACAAAAGAATCAAAAAGTGAAATAAAATTAAAAACTGTGTAAAGTAAACATGTTATAGTAAGCTGCAGTTAATTTATGATTGAAGAATAATTTTTTAAAATAAGTGTAGGGTAGGCTAAGTGTACAGTGTTTATAAGGCCTACAGCAGTGTAGAGTGATGTCCTAGGCCTTCACATTCACTCTCCCATCACTCACTGAGTCACCGAGAGCAACTTCTAGCCCTATAAGCTCCATTCATGGTAAATGCCCAATACAAGTGTACCATTTTTTATTTTATGCTCTATTGTTACTATACCTTTTCCATGTTTAGCTATGTTAAAATACACAAATGCCATTGTGTTACAATTGACTATAGTATTCAGTCCAGCAACATGGTGTATAGGTTTGTAGCCTAGGAGCAATAAGCTGTGCCATAAAGCCTAGGTCTGTAGTAGGCTATACTGTCTAGATGCGTGTAAGGACACACTGATGTTCAATTACAAAATCACCTAATGTCACACTTCTTAGAACAGATCTCCGTTGTTAAGTGAGGCATGACTGTATATTAAGTTATATTATATATAACTTAACCATTATATATGTTATTAAAATATAGTTAATAATAGATATATATAAATAAATTTATATAATATAAATATAATTTATATATTACATATGAATCTGTATTTCTATATAGATTATATATTATATAATTTAAGCATTATATATGTTATTAAAATATAGTTAATCATAATAATATATGTACTGCATATGAATTATATATTTATATATTATAAATATATGTATACATTATACATAAATCTATATTATATATAGATTATGTATATAGTTCTCTCTTAACCTCTTCTGACTTGTATCCTCCTCTAGATACTACCTCATTTCTCAACTTTCCTATACAACCAAACTTCTTGACCAAGTGATCAACATTTACAATCTTTATTTTTCTTTCATTTTTGAAGGAAAAAATAAAAGTATCATAAACTCCATGTATGTATCACACATTCCATCATCAACTCCATACCTCACCAACTTTCTGTTCTCTACATTATTTTGAGGCAAATTATTGACATATTATTTTTCCATAAATATCAGTAAGTGTCATTGAGAAATTTTTTTCTCCTCTATTTTTTGAATTTCCACTCACTCTTGAACATGTAGACACACATCTATTCTAGACACCAATTAGATAGATAGAGCAGTGATCATCTGGGCAATACTGAATGCCCTCCCTTAACACTCCATATTCTGCCTCATTTTCCCCATTTATGAAAAGGTTTTTTTGTTTTGCTTTGTTTTTGTTTTCAGGTAAGTTTGCTAATGATTTCCCGACTGTCAAATCCAATGAACATTTTTTAGTCCTATATCGTATAGTGTTACTTATATGGCAAAGTAAAGCACTTTCCTATAATTTTATTGTCTCCTCCCACCCCACTCTGAACACTTGCAGAACGCATTACCATGAGTGGACTCTGATGGTTGATATAAATAACAGAAGCTTTAGAACTTACACACAATTCTCCTGGCCCAGCACTAGTTCCACTCCATGACTTTCCCATTCAAAACAGCATAGGAGCCTATCATGCTGACAGCTTTGGTAGCTGGTACTCGGGTTGCTGTTGTCCTTGTTTTTATTTGTTTTTGAGTAATTAATACATTTATATTATACACAGTTAGAAATGTGCATAATCATATACAGTTAAAGTTTCCTGACATCTTGTCCCTTAGAAAACCAAGTCCCCTCCCTCGGACCAACCACTTTTCAGGCTGCTGTATGTCCTTCAGAGCTGCTCTACACATATATAAGCATATAAAGACCTCCTCCCTCCTTTTTAATACACACCTATTAGCATACAAATGCACTGTTCTGCACCTTGCTTTTCCACTTAGCAATAAATCTTACTGATCTCTTCAGATCAGTGCATGAAACACTTCATTCCTTTTGAGGATGCACAGTATTAAATTGTGTGGGTGTATCATAATCTCTTCAGCCAATCTTCCACTAATAGACATTTAGACTGTGACTAATCACTGCCATTAAAAACAATGTTGCAGTAAATAACTTTGCATACCTGACATTTTGCAAATGTTTGAATACATGTATAAGAAATTTCTAGAAGTGTTATTGCTGAATTAAAACATATGAAAACTTGTCATTTTTTGAGAGATAGTGCCATATTGTCCAACAGAGAATTTGCACCGATGTACACTCCAATCAGTGAAAAGAGTGGCATTTTCCTAATACTTTCATGTAAATACTGCTTATTAATTTTTCTGACCTACTCAAGTCCAATTAATAAAAAACAATATCTTGGACTAATTATTTAGCATTATCTATCAGCCTTGCTTTATCTAGATTTTTAAAATTTTAACTGTTATTGTTCATTGTTGCCATTTTTCTAGATATTATGCATATTTTTGGTATTCATTATTTATACTTTAACCTGGTGGTTGTTTTAACATATTGTGGTAGTTTTGTTTTTGTTGTTATTTAATTTCCAGGTAGTAGAATAAATGGATTTTCTGGCTTTTATATTGATTTTAGTTTTACCCCACCGTGACCAGATAATGTTGTCTGCATTATTTCCATGTTTGAGAACATATTGATGCTTTCCTAGTGATTATTTTTTTGAGAATTTTCAATGGATCATCTGAAAAATGTTTAATCTCACCTATTAGTCTACGGAGGGTAACTATATATCTATTACATCTCATTTTTAAACCATATTGCTTAAATCTTTTGTATATGTTTTTTATTCATTTAATCTTTCATGAAATGGAAAAGGAGAATTGAAATCTACGATTACTTTATTTCTGTGTATTTCTCCAGATACTGCTTTTTTTTTTCTTTATACAAGTTATCATTGCAGGAATTAGGCCTACACAAAAG
Source organism: Homo sapiens (assembly GCF_000001405.40). Lineage (NCBI taxonomy): Eukaryota > Metazoa > Chordata > Mammalia > Primates > Hominidae > Homo > Homo sapiens. The sequence continues at coordinate 124,106,133 of NC_000002.12, forward strand.
TGCAAGAGGTGGGGAAGTGAAGGTCTAGAAGTAGACTAAGGATTCGAGAAGGTGTCCTCACTAACCACTTGTGATAAAAAATTAAATAAATATGTGGGCTTTGTCTCTAGTTCCTGACATACAGCTCCTAAAGTCCTTAGAATCTGCAGAGTTCTGTGCCTTTGGTGTGCCAACAAGTTACTGGTGGCTGGAGCACCCTGGATAGATGCAGGATGGAGGCTGGGCACCAGCAAGTCCTAGGCATGGTTGGAATTATAGCACTTTAAGCCCGACCTCCCAACCTCTGGGCAGAGGAAAGAGGGTAGAGATTGAGTTAACCATTAATGGCCAATGAACTGATCAAGGATGCCTATGAAATTAAACCTCCATTAAAGCCTGTAAAGGGGTTTGGAAAGCATCTGTGTCAGTGAGCGCTTTGGGGTGCTGAGAGGTGGCATATCCCAAAAAGCCATGAAGACTCTACCCCTTCACCCATTCTTTTCCGAATGCAGCTCCTCCATTTGGATGTTCCTCAGCTATGTCCTTGAACATAAATCAGTTACATTAAGTAAAGTGCTTACTTGAGTTCTGTGAGCCATTCTGGCAAATTATAGAAACTGAGGAGGGGTTTGTGGAAACCCCCATATATATAGCTGGTCAGTCAGAATTGCTAGTGACAACCTGAGGCTTGGGGCTGGCACTTGAAGCTGGAGCCATCGTATGGGACTGAGTCCTTAACCTGTGGGATCTGACACTGACTCCAGGTAGATACTGTCAGAATTGAGTTGAATTGTTCAACAACCATTGGTGCCTAGAGACTTGAAAATTGATTGGTGTGAGGGAAAAAAAACCCAGACATTTGGTGTCAGAAGCGTTGTGAATAAAACAGTTCAGATCAGTGCTCCTGAAGCACCAGTGTGGTGGACAAGTGGGAGCTTTCAGGCATGTCTGAGAAGCCAGCACATCCAACCACGTAGGCAGGACTGTGAAATGAGAGCTCAGGGAGAAAGAGAGCTGGTGCTGTTGTGCAGTGATTACCTTTGTGGGTCTGAAACTAACCTCTGATGATGGGCTTGGGACCACTATGCTCTCAGGGCTGGCAGTGAGGAAGAAAAGCTGGACCTGGAATTGAGAACAATGAGGGCTATTGGAAACCACTGCGTCTATCTTTGTCCCTGACCATGAAGACCTTCCAGAGGCATCCAGACCACATTTTGAATCTTCTTCAAGTGAACTTTTTGTCTCCCAGAACCATATAGGAAAGGGAAATCTGGAAAATGAATTTTCTAGCTTAACAAGGTTGACTCAGTACAACACAACTCACCTTTGCTCATTATGATATTCCAAACTTTCTGAATCACTTGTTATAGATGTGTCTCCTACATACAGTATAGAGTTTAGATTTGATTTTGTCTAATCTTGGATTTTTTAAATTTTAATAGGTGAGTTCAGTTATATTGATTAGATTGTGTAGTAGAAAGTTATGCTTTTAGTTAATCAAATTTTTTGTTACAGTATTTCCTCTGGTGACTGTATCAAAATAATTCAAGTAGACTGTATGTTCTTGGCTTTGTGCTAGCAATGTGTGTGAACCCAAAATATCTGAGACAGGTCTTTACCAATTTAGAAAGTTTATTTTGTCAAGGTTAAGGATGCACATGCATGACACAGCCTCAGGAAGCCCTGATGACCTGTGCCCAAGGTGACTGAGGTACAGCTTGCTTTTATACATTTTAGGAATATATGAGGTATCAATCAATATATGTAAGATGTGCATTGGTTCTGTCTGGTAGCTGGGACAACTTGTAGTGGTTGGGGACTTCCAGGTCATAGCTAGATAAAAGACAAAAGGTTGCATTATTTTGAGTCCTTGATCTACCTTTCACTGAATACACAATTTAGTTGAGCATAGTGAATCTGCATTTTTACATAAACAGTGGGGCAGAAGAAACAGTCAGATATGCATTTGTCTCAGGTGAGCAGAGCGATGGCTGTCTGTCCTGCACCTGTGAAGATTAGCTGCTGGTTTACATTGCCAGGGTGAAATTGCACAAAAGTATTTTAGGGTAAAAATCTTGAGGCCCACAAGGAATTTTAACCTTAGAGCTCTAACTTCATATAATATCCTTAATCCTCTCTCTCTTTAAACATTATCTGTTGACTTCTGGTTATGAGCAATGATTAAATTAATAGCTTTCCTCTCACTTGCAACTGTCACCTGATCTTATTTTATTATGTTCTCTTTCTCAGTGTTTACCTTTGTAATATTAAATAGGCTTACCCTTCTACTACTTCAAATGTTATTGCTTAGGGACCATCAATAGAAGACGAGCAGCCCGGAAGACACTTCCTCCCACTTCTCACCCCTTTGCCCTCTCAGGCCATCTCTCTGTCTCGTTAATATTTGTAACAGAGTTTGCACGTATGATACTGTTGCTCCCGTGCTCTGTGCCATGTCTCAGAAAAGGAAGGTAAAATGCCTACGTTCCTCTCTCATGTGCACATTAGAAGTATATGGGAAGCTTTGAATGTGTTCAAAGTTAATGATTTCCAAATTTAGTCACTTAGATAATATTATTTTCTAACGTTTATTTGCCACACAGCAAGATAATTTTAGCCACCCACTGGTTTGTAGAAACCCTTCACTGGAGAACCACTTGTCCAGTACAGATATAACAGCAACTTCCTTAAGACATTTCAGAAACCAGAAAGTGATCAATTATTTTTTATCTAACTTGAGTTTATAAGGCTCATGTGTGCTCCTTACAGGGGATATTCTTAGACTGTCATTCATGCCCCTATCCTCATCATATTCCCACAATTCTAGTAAACCACAGCTTATTACTGAGACACTATCACATTGAAACCCTAACATAAGAGCTTTCCAGAGATAAATTAAGTAGGAGCATACATCCTGGGAGCAAGCAAGTGGATCCCAAAAAGCACAGAGATGTGAGGTCTTCAATCACGGGCAGCTTCCTGAGCCGGCAGCCAGTGAGGTCACATAAGGCCCCTTGCTCCAAAGGGTCCCTGATTGAAAATCTTTGAAATAATTAATTTTGTATTTAAATTTGTGCTTTTTAACTGATGTCCCAGGGGAAAAAGGGGCACACACTGAGGCCTCAAACCCTTGCCTCACAGGTAGATTTTAGGCTCCCAGCTTCTCTGCCTCTGGATGCCCCAAACCCCACTCAGCCCTCACCTCACACAGTGATAGCTGCCATCCTGTACTCGAGGCGAGGCCCAGGCACACACACAGGTAGAGTTGGGGATGGTTACACATCCCCATAGCATCTTCATGTGGGGCATGACAGAGCTGTCCCTTGCCAGGCTGGAAATACCAGGACACATGAGGTAGGCGCATCAGTAGTGGCAAGCCTCTTGCCCACCCTTGGTTCAGATAACAAGCGTATCCTGGAACAAAAGTTGTGGTCCTTCAGGGAATACCCATCCTTCTTGGACTGGGAAGCTGGTACCTGGAAACCAGAGACCGATTTCCCTGCCTGGGGACAGGGCATCTGTCAGGTAGCTCACAGAAGGGATAAACAGACAGCTGGTGAGCCACAGGTGTGGCTGGCTACATCACAGGGCTGACCCCCATGCACCTTGGTAGCCCCTTGCCTGATAGGGTATAATGTTAAATAGCAGGTAAATAACACCATGACAAGTCAACAGAGATACCAGGAAGAAAGTAAAATATGTGCATATGGAATTTTGCACTATTAACGGCACTTTATTCTGGTTTTTGAACAAAGGATCTGCATTTTTATCTTACATTGAGCTCCTCAAATAAAGTGGTTAGTCCTAGAAGTAATTTAAGTACAAGACAATCTTACCAATGGCTCTAGCTATTAGGGCATAACTTCACAAAATTACAACAAGTGCTCACAAGTACTATTGTAGGCTATTCTAAGTAGGCCACACATGTGTTCAGTCCTACTTAGGGATTAAAGGCATATCAACCACTTTTTTGGGGTATTTACTTGCTTCAGGAGGTCCAATCATTTGCAGATTTGCAGAATACTTCTCCAGGTTGTGATTCTTTTGCTGTGAGCTCAGTGGAAGCCTCTGTAAACCTGACTGTGACATCTTCCCTTTAAATCATCTGTTGTTATGTATGGACTGCTCCTTTTGTACTGAGCACCGGGATTCAGATTTGTGAATGGGGAAGTATATACAAAGATAAGCAAAACACTGACTGTAGATTCCATATTCAAGCCTATCTGGACTCATATAATCGATGAATTCACATGCATATATTTTGGCTGTTTGGCCCTGGAAGGGAGGGAAGTTAAAACAATAAAAAAAGGCCGGTTTTTCAAGAGCTTAGAATGAAATTGGCAGCAAAACACATATTCATATTAAAGAGAAATAAACAATCAAAATTAATAATAATTATTATGGCTGTCAGATGAACAGTGTCTTCAAAGAGTTATAGGAAAGATAAGACTGTTTATTGACTATTTACCATAGGTGAAGCAGTGTGCTAGCATTTTATGTATGTGATTTCTTCCTTCCACCTCTCCTGAGAGAGGGCTATTGGTATCCTCATTTTATAGACAATAAAACTGAGGCTCAAGTAGCTTAGGTAGTTTCCGAGGGCCACACAACCTGTTGTCATTTAAAGGCAGGTCTATGTGACCCCAGAGTATTCTACTGTAAAATGTACCTTCCAAGGATAACTGTCTCATCTCTATTTATTCAGTACATTTGCCATTCAAAGGACTTTCACATCTATTACCTCATTTGATCTGCACAAAGGCCCTTGATAGAAAGCTCACCACCAGAACGGGGAGCTGAGGCACAGAGCAGGTGAAGAGCCCAAGTTCATTATCGATTCACAAGTGAGGCTCCTCTGATCTCCCATGATCTCTACTTGTCTGGTAAATGAATGGACTGAAAAATGAGTGTATAATCAAAGTGCGATTTGTCCAGGGTGGTATTGTATGAATAATTTATGTAGCATAAATACTGCTGGATGGAGCACTTAACTAAACCCTTGATCAGATGCCTGTTATTATCTGGCTGGAAGACAATCAAAAAATGAAATGAAATTTGGGCAAATTCCATACACACTTGGGAAAGGCCACAGAGAGCAAAGGAAGAACACAAAAAGAGAGGAGGAACTCTTGAGAGTTTAGAGTGCATTTGGATTCCCAAGACTGCTGGAAGTCCATGATGAAAACGTGCTAAAGTGTAGCTGCATATCTAGGGGAGAAATTACATGTAGCCACTGTGATTGCAATTAAACTGGAGGCTCCTTTCTGGCTATGATACGGTGGGTGGGTTGTTTCATACATTTGTAGCTTGGCATGACTGATTCTGACATTGCTAATGATCTTAATATCACTCGTACACTGATGCATATGAGCCTGTATCAGTGTGTATTTTAAAATTCATGGAATATAAAATTATTGATCTCTCCTCAAAATCCAAATCACCATACCACAGGCTTCATCACTGATGTCAGTAACTAAAAACAGCTCTCATGAAGAAGCCACAGTACAACTGAAACAAAACCAGAAGGGTGGTCACAAAAGGGAATATCAAACTTTCAAAACTCGAAGGCCCAAGGCAAATGATTTATTGGGAGTTGGCATAAAAATTTCTATGACATCCCCTTGTCTTCTTTCCGGTCCTTCTTCACGTTAATCATACAGTGGGCCTTTATTCCAAATAATAACTTTTATTCCTGTCCTTACAATTTCTCCAAACTCAAAGCTTTGTGTCACTACACTGTATCTATTCAGGTTTTTTTAAGAAATCAATTCATAATTCAGCATGCACACTGCTACGGTACTGGTCCAGTCTTTCTCACTTCTGTCCTGGAAGACATTATCTGATGGGCAAGAACACTGAATGACTTGTCCCTAGCTAGCCATGGGAGTACCCCATCTATGCAAGTTTGCTGGAATCTTGTGCTGCTCAGAATATAATACTGGAGTTTCATGTGTTCTCCCAAGCAAATTTGAAACTCCCTGAAGGCAAACATAGAGATTTCTGCTCCATTCAGGCTTGTATAGAAATCTGGCTGGCTTTTTAAGTATTCACAGGGATTACCTTCCTGACTATTAATTTTAGCTTGTCCTTCCTTGGCATCACTTTATTTAGTTTCCAAAGACATTGATTTCCCACTTTTGCTGTGAATACTTCCCTCAGGTTCCCCCTGAGTTGACTATTTGGACAAGAATGTCTAGAACTCTGTCTCACACCTAAAATATGGCTCTAGCTCTGATTGGAAGCATCATATTTTCATATAAGAGATGTTCTGGCCTCCTGCCTTGCTTGAAAGGTCCATGCTTGCTGAGCCAACTTGTCACACTCCTCTTAGATAGGATGGCTGTTAGTTTCTGTTCTGTTTCTCTTATAGGCTTCTCACACAGTTAGACATAGACTTCCTTGTATGTATCAACTGAGCTCTCATGTTGAGTTTAGTGTTTTATTTTTTAATCTTTATAAAATTTTGTGCTCCTAAAGATAAACTCATGAAACAAAAATATTTAGCATGATGATTTGTTGCAAAGTGATTGCTTGTGTAGGCACCAATCATGTTGAGAATGAAAACATCACAAGCATTCAAAAGTCCCCATTATCACCTCCCTCCTCCCAAAAAAAACCCCATTTGTACTTCTTGTTTTTCTTTATAGTATTTATTACCTCTGCAGCAAGCATCCTTAAACACTCCGTATTTTTCAACTCTATAAACAGAATGTATCATTTTGTGTTTCATTTCTTGTGTATAATATTATGTCCCCTTAAGGTTCTTTCAAGTTGTTTGCAGCAATACAGATATTTCATTATTTTCATTAGCAATCAGGAAAATCCACACAAAACCAAAATAAGATTTCATACACAATAGAAAGAATACCTAAGGTTAAAATGAAATTTTAAATGGACAATTTCAAGAGTTAGCAGAGAGCTGATACACTGCCTGTGAATGTAAGTATATCCAGATAATCTGGAGAACAATTTGTTATTATCTACTAAAATTTAAATGTGTATACCCACATCCCGTGGCTCAACAATTCCACTTCTACATATGTATCCCTCTGAATCACATGCACATCATCCTAACAGCATGATTCATAGTAGCTAGAAGCTGGAAACACTCCAAATGAATGTCAGAAGTAAAAGGATAAATTATTTCATAATCTTACAATTAATTCTGATGTGGGATAATTCCTTTAAAGTTTTTTGTACACCTTTCTTTATAGGTGTTATATGTCTCACTCAAAAAGAAAACGTTAAAAAATTCTTTATTGTACAAATTTAAATAGAAGTACTCTATACCTCTATGCTGGGTAAATGAAATACTAGGTCTGTTCAAGTCTTTCGCCCACTTTTTTCTATTTGAATGTCTATATTGTATATATCTATTCAACTGATACATATATATGTGTGTGTGTGTGTGTGTGTGTGTGTGTGTGTATTATTTGTAGTAATTTTTTAATATCCTGGATTGGAGCCCTAGTTCTCTCTTGTGTTATAAATATGTCATCTCATCTTACTGTGTGTTTGTTCATTTTCTTAATTAAATGAAAAGATAAGTTCTTAATTTTACTAATCTAATTCAGCAATGTTTTTCCTTATAGCCTCTTGCATCTTGTTTTAAAAATGTATAATATATTCTATCATCTAGAAGCCTTATTGTTTTACCTTTCACATCCGTATTTATAATCCTTTTGAAATTATTTTTGTGGATTATGTGGAGTAAGGTCACACTTTATTTTTTCCAATTGTCCACATCATTGAAAAGATCATTTTTTCACTGCTCTACAGCATCACCTTTGCTATATATCAAGTGTCTCTCTCTCTATATATATATATATGTCTATTACTAAGTTTCCAATTATATCCCCCTGATCTATTTGCCTAACCTTGTGCCAATATCGCATGTCCTAATTACTGTAGTTATAATGATTTGTGGTAGATACAAGGGAAAAAAGTCCCTCACCTCATTCAAGAGCATCATTAGCTATACTTCTTATTTTTAATTTTTTATACAACTCTTAGAATAAGCTTGCCAAGCTTCTAAACAAAATGTATTGCGATATCAATTGGCATTGCATTGAATCAGTAGATCAGGATTAGTTCAGGAATAACTCACATTGTTACAACATTAAGTCATGAATCAATGAAACTGGTCCATCTCTCTCTTCATTTATTTAGTTCTTCTTGTATATTTCACTCAATGATGTTTTAAAATTTTCTAAATACAAGGCTGTGCTTCTCTAGTTACATTTATTCTTAGATATTAATATTTTTATGATACATTATAAATTGTATCTTATTTAAAAATAGGATCTTCTAATTGTTTATTACTGGTATACGGAAGTAAATTTATTTTACTAAATTGACCTTGATTCATCAGCCTTGCTAACCTCATGAATCCTAATAATTTATTTATGAATTTTATCACATTTTTTGTGTATATAATCAAACCATCCATGATTAATGGCATTTATATATTTTCCTTTCTGGTCCTAATATTTAAATCATTATCTTGCCTTATTACATTGAAAAGGACCTTCAGTACAATGCTCAGTAGAAGTAAGAATTATAGACAAGCTTCTTCATTCATAATCTTAGTAAAAATATTTCAAAATTTCATCAATAAATACGATATCTGATTGAATATGTTTGTAGATAACACTTTACTAACTTAAATAATTTCATTTAATATTTGCAATATACCAAACATATGGATATATATATTATATGTACATATATTTATAATATTGAAGGTGGATTTTTCAAATGCTTTTTCTGCATCTAAGATTTTATTTTTATGTCATTAATATAATGAATTACACTGGTTAATTTTTAAATCTTAAACAAACCTCACCTTTTAAAAATAAATCCAAATTAATTACTGTATTTAGCTCTATATATCTAGAGATCTAAATATCTGTAGATACTATAATGATGTTATGATAATAGCACATTATTATGATTAGCATATTATTATGTCATGATATATAAAATCAAGGATTCTACATATCTTTTTTACATATTACTAGAATCATTTGACTATTATATTTTATTTTTTAAGGATGACATATATAGAAATGTGCAAAAATCATAGATGTACAATTCAAATAATCATCATAAAATGAACACCCTTTCATAACTAAGTTGGCTAACACTTTGCTACAGGTTTTATTAGATCATAGCAATCTCATAAACCATGGACACATTAAGAGTTTTTTTAATTTACTTTTTATTAATCACCAGGCTTAGGAATTTCGGACTGAAACTCAGGGTATTGGAAATAAATATTTGGGGCATAAAGATTATTGACATTCTAACCAAGTAAGGGCTAGCCAGGCCCTCAGTTTTTGGAAAACATTGAAAAGAGTAATACGTTTTGAAAACAAAATCGAGTGGGCTGCTGGCAGAGCTATAGGCAAAGGCCTTAAGGTAGGAAAAGATCAAGGATTCTGAAGTCAGATAGACCTGGGTGTAACACGATGAAACTAGGATTTCTCTTCTGTAAAACCAAGAAATGATTGAATTATTGCTTTCCGTATAATAGTCTTTTTTTTTTTTTTTTTTGAGACGATGTCTTACTCTGTCTCCCAGGTTGACGTGAGGTGGTACGATCAAGGCTTGCTTCAGCCTTGATGCCTCAGCCTCCTGAGTAGCTGGGACTACAGGCAGATGCCACCACGCCTGGCTAATTGTGTGTGTGTGTGTGTGTGTGTGTGTGTGTGTGTAGAGATGAGGTTTCACATTTGTGCAGGCTGGTCTCAAACTTCTGGCCTCAAGCTATTCTTCTGCCTCAGTCTCTCAAGGTGCTGGGATTACAGGCATCAGCCACCATGCTTATTTTAAGAGTCCTGAGACCAAACTGTGCTGGTTGGTAAAGCTCAATGCTTGGCACTCAGTCAACGCTCAGTCAATGTTAATTTCTTTCTTTCTACATCTTCCTTCAGTTAACACAAACTTACAACAATGAAGAAATAAACATTAAATGCTCTACAGGGCCAGTTTTTGTTTTCTTTTGTTCTTTAGGTATAAACAAGGAACTAATAAGAGGAAAAACATAGCAGCACTTACAGCAGAAGGAAAATCCAGACTGGATAGTAGCTGAGGTTGTGGTCCCTCCCTCCCACTTAGTACAGAGATAAAGTGGGTACCAGGTGTTCAAACTATAAATGCTGAGTTAGGAGGGATGTATACAAGGGTGTGAATCCTGCTATCACAGTCCCCATAGCATGAGCACATGACCTATTACTTTCTGTAGGAAGTGAAGAAGGGTATCGGGTAAAACTCTCTTCTGTGCAATTATTCACACAAAGGAATCAAAGAGAAGGGAAGAGATGGCAGTAGCAGGGCTAGCAGCTGGACATCCATAGTTTTATTTCACTGTATCCATGTACTTAGTCCCCTGAGGTGAGCTTCGTTGTTTCCTTTCCCTTTGGTGACTCAACACAGACTCCCCACCTGTGCATGAAGCACTGCACATACATTGAGCTGGGCCATGGTGATTGGGCTTTTCCTAGAAGATAAACTCTTCCATTTTTACATAAATTTAAATGTGTAGCACAGATCTCCTAGAAATGTGGGTCATGTTTTTATTGAAAATTTTGTATTTGTCTATTAGTAATTTCCATACACCAGAACTTCTGTTAAGATTGCATTAAAGGAGTGGACATCCTTCATGAGGAAGATCCTCTGTGACATTCCTCCTACATCATCTTTTGGAGGCCACCTTTCAGAGTGGCATGCATTTCACTAACTGGGTCCTTCATCCCAATACAGCTTACTGCCAGTGAGCTAGAATCCAGGCTGAAATAAAGCAAGCCAGGACTTTTAAGAAAATGAAACGTGATTACAATTTTAAGCACAGATATCTGAGTGGGTCCTTGGCATGTTTTGCCATTATTTCCATAGCTTTGCCCTTGAAATGTGAGACAGCACTGAAACACTCTCCTATCCTCCTCTCCTAACAGAGTAGCACACACTGATATTGTCAGCATTATTCTCAAAGTGTTACTTCAGCTTAAGTTTCCCTTATTTTCATTTGATTTTCTGGTTTTGCTTTCAGAAAATATAAACCGAGCCAAGAATTTGCATCTTCCTAGGGCAGAAACCTGAGGTCTATTCTGGAGGCTTTATCTGAATTTCACCTCTCCTCACATTTCCTAATCCCACTTTTCCATTTGATATTATTCTATCACTGTCTGACATATTATATATCTTACTTGATTGACTTGTCTCTTACTTGTCTCACTTAGCACAATACAAACTCTGTGGAGGCAGAGACTTTATTATGAGTCCTTAATACCTAGAGCAGTACAAGGCATATAGCATATGCTCCATACATTTGTGTAGAGATAATTCATTATCTCAATTTATAACAAGAAGCACTGCATCCTAAATTATCCAAGTTGATTTGGGGTAAAAAGTTAGGTTGGGAAACGAAGGAAAAGAATATTTAAACAATCTATAATGAAATATATTAATTTAATGAGTACTTAACACTGTATTTTCTAATCAAATAGTACTCAGTAAAAAAAGCCTTGTTCAGCATAAGTGAATTTCTTTCCATAGCACCGACTTCTTAAAAAACCAGTACTTACCTACTCTCCTGTTCTGCACTCAAGCACGAAATTGATTAAATCACTTAATTAAATACCAATTTAAATTACCAATTCTGAGGCTCCACTTCCAGAATTTGTTAAAATGTAACATCTCTGTGCCTCACTCTCAGAGTTTCTGATTTAGTCAGAAATTAAGTGGGAGGATTGCTTGAGCCCAGGAGCTCAAGACCAGCCTGGGTAACATGGCAAAATCCGGTCTCTACAAAAAAATACAAAACATTAGCTAGGTATGGTGGCATGAACCTGTAGTCCCAGCTACATGGAACTATATTTAGTCAGAAACACAGAAGCATACATTTAAAAAAATTTTCAGGGAATTCTTACATGCAGTAAAGCTTGCAAACCATTGGTCTAGGTATTTTTTTTTAAATGACACTATTCTTTTAAAATCATTTTTCTTTCAGTCCTTCTGAAATAAGGTTTGTTCATGATCATGCAACAGATACTTTAGAATATATGTATATATCTTTTTATATATTTGTGTTTAAAATACATACACACACACACCCATGTTATACACACACATATACAAAGCCTATAAAGCCAAATGTATATCCTTAAATGTTTTGATAACTGAAGGACCTGAAAAGCCACAGCACCCACCTTGGATTGTCATTTGTGCAAACTATAAGTCTTGCATTCAACTTCAAACAGTCGACAAGTCATTCTCAGACCTGTCCCTTTCAGAGGACATCTCTGTCACTGGGCAGATTGAAGGGATAGTAAAGAGGATTCAAAAGCACTGAGCCTTGTTTTCCAGTAAGAAACTGACATGACAGTAAGCTAGTTCACTGTGTACACCATCATGACCCAATCTGCGTGTGGGAATTCTGAGCTCTTGAGAGAACATGAAGAGTGTTTTGGGAGGAAATAAGGGTAGTGGAAGGTCAAGGAGAAATAGTTCTTTGATAGCAGCTCACACTTCTTAATGAAAGCTGCCTGCTACAGGACTTGTGGAGAGCTGCTATGTGACAGAGAGAGACACGTAAGGGAGAGGAGGAGGACCAACATTTGCGAAGGCCCTCTGTGGGCTGGGAATTAACATGCGTATCTCATTTAGTCTTCGTAATAACCCACATGCTAAAAAAAGTCCATTTGTATTTTAGACAGTTCAGTTTTACCTTCAGTTTCCTGTACCACATAATTTGTCCAGAATCATAGATCTAGTAAATGGGACCCAGGTCTATCTGGCTCCAAATACTCTTTCATGTATACAATGCTGCTAGGCCCTGGGAGGAGGCAGAGTGTCAGAATTACTCCCATCTTACTAGTGGATATGGTGAATTCACACTGGCTTTCTTTCTGTTGGTGGATCAGACCAAGCTCTTTAGGGCCGTTGCACTTAGTGTTCTCTTTGCCTGGAACACTCTCACAAGCGAGTCTTTGTGAGGCTGACTTTTCCTGCCATTTCTGTGTCAGTTCTAATGAATTCTATCCCGAGTTTCCTGACTACCTAGAAAGAAGGAACTTCCCCACTCACTCTCATCGCGTCACTGCTTCATTGTCCTCTTGGCACTTATCAGCTGAAATTTCTGTGCATTGTTTATGCCTTTGATCACTCATTTATTGTTCTATTTTTTTAATTAGAATGAACATTTCTCTTTTTTTCTCTTTTTAGAATGAACATTTCTTAAGAGCAGGAAGCTTTTTTTTTTTTTTAATGCCTGTTGTATACTTGATCCTTAGAGCAATTCATGGTAATTACTAGGCACTTAGTATGTACTGGATATTTTAATAGAATGGGTAAATCTTGTTCTCACCAGTAAAAACAAAACACTTTCAATTTTTAAAAATTTTGTCTATAGCACTGTGGGACTGACCGATAGTAATTTTTGAGCAAAACGAGCTCACCAAATTCCATATGGGTGATGTCATGTTATGTACAAAAATAATTTGAGATAGAATAGGGGCCGGGCATAGTGGCTCATGCCTGAGATCCCACCACTTTGAGAGACCTAGGAGGGATGATCATTTGAAGCCAGGAGTTAGAGACCAGCCTGGGCAACACAGCAAAATCCCACCCCTTAAAGACAAGATATAAGATAGACTATGATATAACATTTTATTTAATAAAGTCTAAACCTCAAAGTGATAGTCAAAAGCTGCAGTGAACAGAAAGGAAAGGAAGAAACCACTGCAGGCTCTTTACATCAGGGAATAGTGTATTCATTTATTAATATTAATTTAGTGTTGGACACTGTAAAGCAGTGGTTCTCAAACTTGGAACCACCTTGAGGACCTAAAAAGTGCTCTTATGACTGGGTTCCACCTCAGAGTATCTGATTTAATTGTTCTGTGGAGTGACCTGGGCTTTGGGATATTTAAAGTCTCCCAAGATCACTCTACTGTGCAGACAGGTTTGAGGACCACTGTTCTGGGGATAGAGCACCAGCCATTGTGGTTGTCAGAGTCTGATGCAAGTGACAGATTCAGCAATTACGGTATAGGGCTGGAAGTTATGTCTTGTGATAACCATGACTGTAGGTTACTATGGAAGCACAAAGTAGATGCTCCCCAACCGAGGTCCTCCCATCACCTCCCAGAGCCTAGGCTGAGCTGCAAAGGATAGAGAGACAAAAAAGGAAGGCCATTGAGGGCAGAAATAGAGAGAATTCAATTGGCAGGGAGCAAAGGTGAGCCAGAGAGAACTTTTGCATCTTTGGTGCATGAAGTAGCAAGTAAAAGGAAGAAAAAAGCCAGGTCTGGACAAGTACTCTTTGACTCAGGACATAAACTCTGTCTTAAGAGATGAATAGAACATGAATAGGCTCAGAGAAAAGGAAGTTAATCTTGGAGAAAACAAGAGTTATAACAGGTTTAGAAACTATCTGGTGTAATCAGCTAATTTTATAGATGTCTTAACTAGGGTGCAGAACAGTTATTCAACCTGTCCCAACCAACCAACCAAACCACGTAAGGACAGAACCTCGACTGCAATGTAGGCTTGGCGATTTACAGGCAAGTTTTCAAGCACTGCAGTGCAGTCATAGGGGAAAGGCATGAATGGAAGCAAAAAGAGTGTAGTGTGCTTGAAAGAGTCACAATACTGGTCTTACAAGAAAGTAAAATAGATATCAACTAAATGAAGACATGTCATTTTTCTCGTTATATGACCTCAATGAAGTGCCTGGGTATGCAATCACCCATACCTGAGTCTTGGTTCAAAAGATGCTCTTCTTTTTAAGTTGAGGAAGGCATGTGAGGGGTCTCTGTTGGATCTATTTTTTTGATGTTGTTTGAGGATAAATTTTGGTGTAAGAAAGGTGCTGGTGTTAACAATAGTGCCATAATAACTGTTCATCTGTATAACAGATTTGGATCACTCAGGAGGTTCAGTGTGTTCCCTGCCTTGGCCATCTCCATCTTACTGACAGCATTTCTGTATCTTAAAAGCATGGAAGCTTTTGGTCTTATTGCCATACACACACACACACACACACACACACAAACACACATGCACACACGCATACAGATGCATACAATTTGTGGCCTTTGCTTTGAATGAAATAAGTGAACACCCTTACTACCTCCTCTAAGTGTCTTAACTTCAATTTATTAGGTACAGACTGACCCTTTAAATCACACTTCATCAGTGCGAACCCTGACCAAAAACACAAGGCTTCCTCTCCAGCTGCTCTGTGGCACACACGTGTGCATTTTCCTTCCTGCTTAGCATGCTTGTGTTCCTGAAATATTTTGGAGGCTTTCTCCTTTTTCTGTATTTTGGTTTCACCGACATCAGCACACCCAAGGCAGTGGCGCTGCAGGAGAGACTGCTGTGCATGATTGGTGTGTCTGCACAGTCAACACAATTATTGCCTATGTCTGACTTCCAGGACTTTTATCATCATTGGGGAGAGATTCACAAGTAATAGCAAATGTCGCTGTGGTCAAATGGTAAATTAGGCTTTAAGAGGCTACAAATGGGAAAATTATGAGGTATTTTAAGACACGAGACGTACCTGAGGGAACTCCTTGCCCCATCCCCCAATCATTCCTAAACTATCCCATGCACCCAGTTTTTACAACCCTCATCAAGACCTGAAGTTTCCCTACCACTGCAGCCCACATTGATCTTTCCCTTATATGAACATCAGCTGAGTTTTATAGTGTGTATCAAACAATTTAGCACTTAACGCTAATTAAATGAGGTTAAATAAAATCACTTCTGCAGAAGTGCCTGCTGTGAACTGTACAAGACAGATGCATGGAACTATTACCACCATTAATTAGATTAATTGGCTTTTGTATGTTCATTTTTCCTCCTCAGCTCTTTAGCAAGCATTCTACTGGAGGTTTCATACCAGCTAATTCATGATGGGGAGAAAGGAGATGCTAAATAGCTGTGGATTTATTAAAGATGGGATTACGTGGTGGGCCAGATTCATGGCTCGTTATGCACAGTGGTCTTATTTCTTCCTGCCACCATTTTCTCCTTGAAAATTTCCCCTCATCTTTGCAAAGGGAACAATGCCAGAACCCTATCCAGCTATATTTAGACAGCCAGAAATGAAATAACTGTAACATGATTGATAACCTTAAGTCCAGGGAAATGATATTACTAATTAAATCGTGAAACATTAGGCAGGCTGTCAGGCACAGATATATTTAAAGTCATAACAGCCCTTGCTTATTTTTAAAGTGTTTGCATATTGAATGATTCTGGTAAAATTGTTTCTATTTATCAGACCAAGTATAAAGTGCTCATCTCCATGGTATCTGCAAGCATAGCAGTCAATCTAAGATAAATCCAGGCCCAAGAGAGCAATTTCTCCTTTATCTCACATTCTCTCCTTCTCTGTAACCCTTTTATGAGGTTCACTAAAATGAGTTTCATTCAACTTTGGAATTAGCACATTCCACACTTTACAATTTCTAGAAGCACAAGCATGTGATGAGCTGAGATAGAAGGAAAAGGCACAAGTCACAGAGCTTCGATTTACTGGATGCTTATTGTGTGCCAGATCCCTTAGATCTTTGAGTTGCTAATCTTCCTGTCCCAATTTTACAGATGCAAAACCAAACCACAGAGGTGGTAAAAGACACACACACACACACACACACACACACACACACCCACACCTTTTCCCAGCTAACAGGGAGCAGATTGCTTTTGGAACTGAGGGCTCTTTGACACCCATGTCAGTGCCCCTTCAAGGTCTAGTGATAAGAAAAAAAATATATGTATATATATATATATCTCACATTAAGAAGCAGATGAGTTTTTTTCAGTCCAAGATGGCCAAATAGGAACAGCTGCAGTCTACAGCTCCCAGCGTGAGTGATGCAGAAGACGGGTGATTTCTGCATTTCCAACTGAGGTACCGGGTTCATCTCACTGGGGCTTGTCGGACACTGGGTGCAGCCCATGGAGTAGGGTGAGGCATCACCTCACCCAGGAAGTGCAAGGGGTCGGGGAATTCCCTTTCATAACCAAGGGAAGGCATGACAGACAGTACCTGGAAAATCAGGACACTCCCACCCTAATACTGCACATTTCCAAAGGTCTTAGCAAATGGCACACCAGGAGATTATATCCCATGCCTGGCTCGGAGGGTCCCACGCCCACGGAGCCTCACTCATTGCTAGCACAGCAGTCTGAGATCGAACTGCAAAAAGGTGGCAGCGAGGCTGGGGGAGGGGCGTCCACCATTGCTGAGGCTTGAGTAGGTAAACAAAGCAGCTGGAAAGCTTGAACTGGGTGGAGTCCACCGCAGCTCAAGGAGGCCTGCCTGCCTCTGTAGACTCCACCTCTGGGGACAGGGCATAGTTGAACAAAAGGCAGCAGAAACTTCAGCAGACTTAAACGTCCCTGTCTGACAGCTTTGAAGAGAGTAGTGGTTCTCCCAACATGGAGTTTGAGATATGAGAACGGACAGAATGCCTCCTCAAGTGGGTCCCTGACCCCCGAGTAGCCTAACTGGGAGACACCTCCCAGTAGGGGCCGACTGACACCTCATATGGCCAGGTGCCCCTCTGAGACGAAGCTTCCAGAAGGACGATCTGACAGCAACATTTGCCATTCTGCAATATTTGCGGTTCTGCAGCCTCCGCTAGTGATACCCAGGCAAATAGTGTCTGGAGTGGACCTCCAGCAAACTCCAACAGACCTGCAGCTGAGGGTTCTGACTGTTAGAAGGAAAACTAACAAACAGAAAGGACATCCACACCAAAATCCCATCTGTGTGTCACCATCATCAAAGACCAAAGGTAGTTAAAACCACAAAGATGGAGAGAAACCAGAGAAGAAAAGCTGAAAATACTAAAAATCAGAGCACCTCTCCTCCTCCAAAGTAATGCAACTCTTCTCCAGCAACGGAACAAAGCTGGATGGAGAATGATTTTGACAAGTTGAGAGAAGGAGGCTTCAGACGATTGGTAATAACAAACTTCTCTGAGCTAAAGGAAGGTGTTCGAACCCACTGCAAAGAAGCTAAAATACTTGAAAAAAGATTAGATGAATGGCTAACTAAAATAAACAGTGTAGAGAAGACCTTAAATGACCTGATGGAGCTGAAAATCATGGCACGAGAACTATGTGACGCATGTGCAAGCTTCAGTAGATGATTTGATCAAGTGGAAGAAAGGGTATCAGTGATGGAAGATCAAATGAATGAAATGAAGTGAAAAGAGAAGTTTAGAGAAAAAAAGAGTAAGAAGAAATGAACAAAGCCTCCAAGAAATATGGGACTATGTGAAAAGACCAAATCTACGTCTGATTGGTGTACCTAAAAGAGACGGGGAGAATGGAACCAAGTTGGAAAACACTCTGCAGCATATTATCCTGGAGAACTTCCCCAATCTAGCAAGGCAGGCCTACGTTCAAATTCAGGAAACAGAGAGAATGCCACAGAGATACTCCTCAAGAAGAGCAACTCCAAGACACATAATTGTCAGATTCACCAAAGTTGAAATGAAGGAAAAAATCTTAAGGGCAGCCAGAGAGAAAGGTCGGGTTACCCACAAAGGGAAGCCCATCAGACTAACAGCAGATCTCTCAGAAGAAACTCTACAAGCCAGAAGAGAGTGGGGGCCAATATTCAACATTCTTAAAGAAAAGAATTTTCAACCCAGAATTTCATATCCAGCCAAACTAAGCTTCACAAGTGGAGGAGAAATAAAATCCTTTACAGACAAACAAATGCTGAGAGATTATGTCACCACCAGGCCTGCCCTACAAGAGCTTCTGAAGGAAGCACTAAACATAGAAAGGAACAACCAGTATGAGCCACTGCAAAAACATGCCAAATTGTAAAGACCATCAATGCTAGGAAGAAACTGCATCAACTAATGAGCAAAACAACCAGCTAAATCAAAATAACGGGATCAAATTCACACATAACAATATTAACCTTACATGTAAATGGGCTAAATGCACCAATTAAAAGACACAGACTGGCAAAATGGATAAAGAGTCAAGACCCATCAGTGTGCTGTATTCAGGAGACCCCTCTCACATGCAGAGGCACATGTAGGCTCAAAATAAAGGGATGGAGGAAGATCTACCAAGCAAATGGAGAACAAAAAAAAGCAAGGGTTGCAATCCTAGTCTCTGATAAAACAGACTTTAAACCAACAAAGATCAAAAGAGACAAAGAAGGCCATTACATAATGGTAAAGGGATCAATTCAACAAGAAGAGCTAACTATCCTAAATATATATGCACCCAATACAGGAGCACCCAGATTCATAAAGCAAGCCCTTAGAGACCTACAAAGAGACTTAGACTCCCATGCAATAACAATGGGAGACGTTAACAGCCCACTGTCAACATTAGACAGATCAACGAGACAGAAAGTTAACAAGGCTATCCAGGAATTGAACTCAGATCTGCACCAAGTGGACCTAATAGACATCTACAGAACTCTCCACCCCAAATCAACAGAATACACATTCTTCTCAGTACCACATCACACTTATTCCAAAATTGACCACATAGTTGGAAGTAAAGCACTCCTCAGTAAATGTAAAAGAACAGAAATTATAACAAACTGTCTCTCAGATCACAGTGCAATGAAACTAGAACTCAGGATTAAGAAACTCACTCAAAACCGCTCAACTATATGGAAACTGAACAACATTCTCCTGAATGACTACTGGGTACATAACAAAATGAAGGCAGAAACAAAGATGTTCTTTGAAACCCGTGAGAAAAAAGACACAACATACCAGAATCTCTGGGACACATTTAAAGCAGTATGTAGAGGGAAATTTATAGCACTAAATGTCCACAAGGGAAAGCAGGAAAGATCTAAAATTGACACCCTAACATCACAATTAAAAGAACTGCAGAAGCAAGAGCAAACACATTCAAAAGCTAGCAGAAGGCAAGAAATAACTAAGATCAGAGCAGAACTGAAGGAGATAGAGACACAAAAAACCCTTCAAAAAAATCAATGAATTCAGGAGCTGGTTTTTTGAAAAGATCAACAAAATTGATAGACTGCTAGCAAGACTAATAAAGAAGAAAAGACAGAAGAATCAAATAGACGCAATAAAAAAATGATAAAGGGGATATCACCACTGATCCCACAGAAGTACAAACTAACGTCAGAGAAGCACCTCTATGCAAATAAACTAGAAAATCTAGAAGAAATGGATAAATTCCTCGACACATACACCCTCCCAAGACTAAATCAGGAAGAAGTTGAATCTCTGAATAGACCAATAATGGGCTCTGAAATTGAGCCAATAATTAATAGCTTACCAACCAAAAAAAAGTCCAGGACCTGATGGAGTCACAGCCAAATTCTACCAGAGGTACAAAGAGGAGCTGGTACCATTCCTTCTGAAACTATTCCACTCAATAGAAAAAGAGGGAATCCTTCTTAACTCATTTTATGAGGCCAGCAGCATCCTGATACCAAAGCCTGGCAGAGACACAACAAAAAAAGAGAATTTTAGTCCAATATCCCTGATGAACATCAACGCAAAATTCCTTAATAAAATACTGGCAAACCGAATCCAGCAGCACATCAAAAAGCTTATCCACCATGATCAAGTTGGCCTCATCCCTGGGATACAACGCTGGTTCAACATACACAAATCAATAAATGTAATCCATCATATAAACAGAACCAAAGACAAAAACCACATGATTGTCTCAATAGATGCAGAAAAGGCCTTTGACAAAATTCAACAATCCTTCATGCTAAAAACTCTCAATAAACTAGGTATTGATGGGACGTATCTCAAAATAATAAGAGCTATTTATGACAAACCCACAGCCAATATCATACTGAATGGGCAAAAACTGGGAGCATTCCCTTTGAAAACTGGCACAAGACAGGGATGCCCTCTCTCACCACTCTTATTCAACATACTGTTGGAAGTTCTGGCCGGAGCAATCTGGAAGGAGAAAGAAATAAAGGGTTTTCAACTAGGAAAAGAAGCAGTCAAATTGTCCCTGTTTGCAGATGACATATTGTATATTTAGAAATCCCTATCGTCTCAGCCCAAAATCTCCTTAAGCTGATAAGCAACTTCAGCAAAGTCTCAGGATACAAAATCAATGTGCAAAAATCACAAGCATTTCTATACACCAATAACAGACAAACAGAGAGCCATATCATGAGTGAACTCACATTCACAATTGCTTCAAAGAGAATAAAATACCTAGGAATCCAACTTACAAGGGATGTGAAGGACCTTTTCAAGGAGAACTACAGACCACTCCTCAACAAAGTAAAAGAGGACACAAACAAATGGAAGAACATTCCATGCTCATGGATAGGAAGAATCAATATCATGAAAATGGCCATACTGCCCAAGGTAATTTATAGATTTAATGCCATCCCCATCAAGCTACTAATGAATTTCTTCACAGAATTGGAAAAAACTACTTTAAAGTTCATATGGAACCAAAAAAGAGCCTACATTGCCAAGAAAATCCTAAGCCAAAAGAACAAAGCTGGAGGCATCACGCTACCTGACTTCAAGCTATAGTACAAGGCTACAGTAACCAAAACAGCATGGTACTGGTACCAAAACAGAGATATAGACCAATGGAACACAACAGAGCCCTCAGAAATAATACCACACACCTACAACCATTTGACCTTTGACAAATCTGTCAAAACTAAGAAATGGGGAAAAGATTCCCTATTTAATAAATGTTGCTGGGAAAACTGGCTAGCCATATGTAGAAAGCTGAAACTGGATCCCTTCCTTACACCTTATACAAAAATTAATTCAAGATGGAGTAAAGACTTAAATGTCAGACCTAAAACCATAAAAACCCTAGAAGAAAACCTAGGCAATACCATTCAGGACATAGGCTTGGGCAAGGTCTTCATGACTAAAACACCAAAAGCAATGGCAGCAAAAGCCAAAATTGACAAATGGGATCTAATTAAACTAAAGAGCTTCTGCACAGCAAAAGAAACTACCATCAGAGTGAACAGGCAACCTACAGAATGGGAGAAAATTTTTACAATCTACCCATCTGACAAAGGACTAGTATCAAGAATCTACAAAGAACTTCAACAAATTTACAAGAAAAAAATCAAACAATCCCATCAAAAAGTGGGCAAAGGATATGAACAGACACTACCCCAAAGAAGACATTTATGCAGCCAACAGACACACGAAAAAATGCTCATCATCACTGGCCGTCAGAGAAATGCAAATCAAAACCACAATGAGATACCATCTCATACCAGTTAGAATGGCCATCATTAAAAAGTCAGGAAAGAACAATGCTGGAGAGGATATGGAGAAATAGGAACACTTTTACACTGTTGGTGGGACTGTAAACTAGTTAAACCATTGTGGAAGACAGTGTGGCGATTCCTCAAGGATCTAGAACTAGAAATACCATTTGACCCAGCCATCCCATTACTGGGTATATACCCAAAGAATGATAAATCATGCTACTATAAAGACACATGCACACGTATGTTTATTGCGGCACTATTCACAATAGAAAAGACTTGGAACCAACCCAAATGTCCATCAATGATATACTGGATTAAGAAAATGTGTCACGTATACACCATGGAATACTATGCAGCCATAAAAAAGGGTGAGTTCATGTCCTTTGTAGGGACATGGATGAAGCTGGAAACCATCATTCTGAGCAAACTATCGCAAGGGCAGAAAACCAAACACTGCATATTCTCACTCATAGGTGGGAATTGAACAATGAGAATACTTGAACACAGGGTGGGGAACATCACACACTGGAGCCTGTCATGGGGTATGGGGAGGGGAGAGGGATAGCACTAGGAGATAAACCTAATGTAAATGACGAGTTGATGGGTACAGCACACCAATATGGCACATGTATACATATGTAACAAACCTGCACATTGTGCACATGTACCCTAGAACTTAAAGTATAATAAAAATAAATAAATAAATAAAAAATACCCATCAGAACAGAAAAAAAAAGAAAGAAAGAAATGGAAGCAATGTACAACAAAATATTTGCGTTTAATACAACTAGATGGTGGTTGCATCATACATTTGTACCTTGTGATGTATTTAATTCATAATAAAAAGAGATAAAGTTATAAGCATATTACTTAGAAAAAAAAGTAGATGAAGGTGTAATTCTTCTCCAGAGGTAGTCACACTTGTGAGTGAAGTTCTTTTAAAGACAGTTCTCTAAAGCCAGTGGGATGAAGAGAACTCTATGGGCTTCGAGGTTAAGCATATCTTTGCCCCACAGCCAGGCTGGGCTAAGAACTGTGTGGCCAAGATCACATAACTTCTCTTTCCCAGGCATCCTCATCCCCTTCTGTAACATGCAGCAATGATACCCACTTTGCTAGTATTTAAGAAGATTAAGTGGGAATAATTTAAAAAAAAACTACAAGAAGACAAAGGGCAAGGAAGAGGGGTGAGTGTAGGACTTCCTGACATTTCCAGAATTGCATTCATGCAGGGGTTTTCTTATTCTCTGTTAAAGATGGTATTAAATATTTCCTAGTGCACAAATTTTGGCAAACATAATAGGCACATCTTGCCCCAACACAAGGTATTAGATTGAGCACAATAAAATTGTGAGGAAAGGCTGGAAAATCATGTTAAATAGTATTAAGAAAGCCTTAATTGAGGCTCCAAAATGATTGCTTTAAAATCTCTTTATCTTGGTTTGTTATTTTCCTGACGGATGTTGGAGGGAAGGGTGCCTTCAGCTGACCTGTGTTGCATTCTAAAAGGCTTTCTGTTAGGATTGCAAATGAGTAAACAGATACTGTCCCTAATCCTGAAAGCACTGAAGACATCATGGTAAATTACATGCACAGAAGGAAAGAAGGATCTTTTGGCATTAAATCCCGGTCTGGGATCTCATCTTCATTCTATATGGATTGTCAATTTGCCAAATTCAAAGCCTCAAGCTATTGTAATTAGACTTTGAAAATCTCTCTCTGATTTCCTTTTCACCATTGACAAGGATTTGCTACTGAAAATTACAAATTGCAAATATATTGTCAGGGCCTGCAACTGGTCATATTTCATTTCACTCTTAAGTTCCAAGAAATTACCTTTGTTTTAGTGTTTAATTTAGTTGGCTTCAAAGTACTAACTCTGATATGAGTGAACAGGAGAAGGAATGAGAAGGAATCACAGACTCCTATATCTTGGTGGTCAGGATCCTTCCCAAACACAGTGCCCTGTTGCCAAATCTCTGGGCCCACCGACTCAGGCTCAATTCCCACTGTGCTTGTTCAGTCTTTTGCCTGTATACCTGCCCCCTCCTCCATCCAAGCTAAATCTTGCAGGTGGAATGAGTGCCCTTTAGCCTATTCATGGGCTGACCATACAACTTTTGAGAGTGGAAAAAAGAAAATGATCATTCCTGAAAAAGTTTCAAAAAATGAGGCTTGGCTGGGCCAGACAGGTTGTCTGGTCACCCCATCTATGCAAAGCTATCTTCTTTATAGGTGCAGTCCAGGGGTCCTCCATGGAAGTTTCACTGGTGGCGACAGCATCCTATTAGCTCTTCCAACACTAACTGTGAGCCCCAAACTCATTTTTATATTTAATTATTTCAAGGCTTATATAATTTTTTATCATACTTTGAATATATGCCATACTAGGCCACCAACCCTAATCCTAACCCTAAACTGTCATAGAGAATCTTCTCCTTTAGTGCTCGGTAATGTACTGTGGTCAGAGCAGACATTCAGACATTGAATGAATATATACAGAATATGCATTCATTAAAATTATTTGTATGCTTTTCCTCTCTTTTATAATTAAGAAAGAAAGAAGGTGATACTGTAATAATAGTACCAGCCCCAGAAGTATAAAGACTCTGAGAAGAATATTCACATAAATATTATAGTAATAGCCATTTGTGGAGTTTGATTTTTCTGAGAAATTTAAACATTAGGGCAATCTAGTTAGCCAGTTTTCATTAATGTGAATAGCTGTGTTTTAGTTGATGTATCCTTCACCTAAGACTTGGGTTATTGTACTGACCCTGATGAAATAGCTATGCAATCTTAAGTGCATTATTTAAAGCTGATGGAGCCCCACTTTTCTGATTTATAAATTTTAGTGAAGATTATCTCTGCCTTAGAGCCATACTGTAGTAATGCATTTGAAACCATGCCCTCGTTAAGATCACACATTCTATATGCAAAAGGCACCTTGTTGTTTATCTTGTGAAGAAATGCCATGAGATGCTTCCCCCAGGATCATTCAGTCCTGCCAACAATCTTATATCGTAAGTATTACTAACTGCATTTGCAGATGAGGAAATGGAGAAGGGTTAAGTAAATTGACCACATTAGTGACTGCCAGATGTGGGATTCAATCTCAAGTTTATCTGACTCTCCAGTCAGGAATTGGATTGTATCATTGTTTCAGCAAATTCAATGATGTGCTGATAGGTGACTGATCGGGGGTAATAGATTAGGAATTAATCTCAGGATTCATTTAGTTCTGGCGGCTCCATGCAGATTCAACCCAAATGTGTTTGCGTAGTGCAGCTGCAAGACATTGATAGTATTTCTCCATTGAGGAGAGTGGATGGTTTCTATACAAGAGCTAAATAAAAGATTTTATAGGAAAAAAAGCCCCACAGGCATGTTATAAGCATTCTTCTATTTGTGTATTTTTTCATCCCACTATGGAAGCTTTAGAAAGAAATAGGCCCCTTCTCTTATGAACAGCTCTTTTTAGTTGAGTGGGGATAAGGACAATGTTTCATTTTGCTGTGTGTCTTGGCATTGTGCCTCAGGCATGAGCGTGCAATGGGTGTGTGTGAAGAGTGGATGAAAACCAAGGGCTTCGTCCTCTCCTGGAAAAACCATCAAAGAGACCTAAGGAGACATGTATTAATAATAATCTACAGAGACGGTCCTTTGAATATGCTCACACTCTCCTGAGATAAAGGATTTCACAGGCAGGTCCTGTTCTGCTTTGGCAGGAAGAAAGGAGATTATTCAAAGGCCCTGTACCGACAGTGCCATTGGGTTTCATAAGGGCCCATTTTCAGACTACACTTGAGTGGAAAGGTCTGGAGATCTGAGCAGAACCTATCGCTTCTCCTTGACAGTTTGCTGAGTATAAGAATACACAAGGTTCCTCATAGCGCTCACTGGTGAATGGTCATTCTCACCAAATCCTTTTGTTGGCTTCATAAAGTGCAGAGTTAATGGTCTGTATTATTGTAGTTTGATATTTAAGTGAGCTGAACTGTGCTGAACTATTAGAGTTAAGATTTTCTTGCACAGATAAATATTTCCTATAAAATATGGTATTATGGTGGTTTCCATTAATCTGGTTGTATTATGCTTCCAAATGAGCTATCTGATTTTATCGTTAGAATAATTTTGTGAGACAACGAGGATCAACTTCATCCCATTTTACAGATCAGCAATTTAGTTAACAAGTGGTCATTATTGTTCCTGAGGCTATCCAAATATTCAAGCTATATAAGCATCCAATAATTGTGATATAATATTACTAACACTAATATAACAATATTATCAATAGCTAATATTTCATGAGGACTCACTATGTGTTAAGCACTCAGCTAAGAATCATTTCAATTTTCTCACCTGCCAATTGGAGATATAATTACTGTTCTGTCCACTGCAGGGGGTGTGTACAGATTAGATGCAGTAATGTGTGTTTGAGTACCTTGGCATGTTCAATACTGTTCAATCTATGTGTCCATTTCTCAGCTTACCAACTGTACTAATGAATTCTTCTCTCTAGCTCACTGAACTGCCTACTCCTCGCACCTCTGTCTAAGCTGCTTTTGTCATGCAGCTCTATTCACATTTCTCTCTTTAATTCCTTAAAAGCAATACTAATAACCACAATAATAATAGGAATAATAATTACAGTGCATGTCTTCCATTGTAGAAGCCTGCCTGGTTTACAAAGATGGCATGTAATTGATCAGCAAAATATCCCTGAGAAGAAAATAGGCTAGTTATCATAATGCTCATTTTTCATTTGAAAATGCAAAAAAGGTAGTTGAGATTCAGAAAGACTGACAATTCTAACTCAACCTGGTGACAAAGTGAAATTCACACTCAGATATTTCCATTCCGCTCCATAGCTCCTTCTGTTTTAAGTGAGTGTCCCTCTCCCTTCCAAGGCCCTTTGGTCCTTAAAAAAAACAAAACAAAAAAAAAGGTCTATGAGAGTCCCTATAGCTTCTTCAAAGCTTCTTATATCAACACCTTTTGCAAAGTGACTTGCCTTCCTTGGATGATCTAAGCTTCCGTACAGTCTGAAGGAGTTCTATGGTGATCATCTCTAGTTCTATTTCTCTTTAAAGGGCCTGGTCACACAGTTGGGGCAAGGGCATGTGTCATTCTTTCTATAGGAAATGCTTTCCCTCTGCTTATCTGGCTGGAGTTGTAGAAGATTCCACCCACATGTCTCCTCTCCTGTGAAGCCTTTGCCAACACCTCTCCACAGAGCACTGCTCTCTTTGTGTCTCTTCTGTATCCAGCACTGACTTTCTGTGGAGCACCAGTAGTGCTTTTTTTCCCTCTGCAGTTGGAACAGATCTGTGATTATGTCAGGGATCAGCTATCAGACCCCTGACATGGTGACAGATCTGTTCTAACTGCAGACTGTGTGACTCCTGACAGCTGAGACCACACCTTGGTCATATTTGTGTGTCCATGTCCTAGCACAGCAAATGGCAAACAAAAACCCCATAGTGTATATTTTATTGTTTTCTACAGTAAATTTTTGAATGAATGAATAACTTTAACAAAACAACACCTGCATCTGTTAAAGGGCAGTGTGTCTACCACTTCTGTGAAGCAGCTGTGGTCTGATGGAAGTTGAAGTGGCTAAAGTAGCCTCCTCTTTTTCTGTGAGTCCTTAATTGCTGTTCTTTCCTGCAACATTATCAGTGTAATGTGCTAACTCATCCTACGTGTCACCCAAGCACATTTTGTAGATGTGTGTGGGACCCAATTCTGGTGTCACTCATTTGTAAAGGCCAAAGTTGAGGTGTTGTCAATGTCTAAACTCCGTTTGTCAGTGAGCTTCTCAGGGGTTCGTTCCACTGGACCATTAGTTGCCTAATCCTACCCTCATTTTCTTCCTGGAGTAAAAGAAAAGAAAATTACAAGAACGATGAAACTGTGTATATTAAAGGGAAATAGGGCTGACACAATTGAGAAATACTCCTCCACACTAGTTAGCCCTTGAAAAAGAAAAAAAAAAAATGGTAAAGCCAAGGCAAGCCATTTATATTAACACACCTGGGTTCCAGACAGAAACTATGGAGTCTATTAATTAAAATTAGTTTGGAAACAACATTCTATTATAAGATAATCTTTTCTTCAGAAAGCTTGCTATTAGTAAATTAACCTCAGCCAGTGTTCTGGCACAATGAATGCTCTATCTCATAAAATCCATATTGTCTGCTTCTAGTCAATAAAACACACAATCTAATAAAACCCAATTGTGCATGGTCCTGGGGCCCAGAAATCATGCAGATAATTGAAATGAAAGACACACAAATATAAATAATTGGCTGCAGTCAATAGTCCTAATGATCTTTCCCACCTAGTTTTTTACATGTACTTGGATTCCCCATCTTCGCAGCCACCATTTCCCAATATTCTTCTGACCTGTCCATTCCCCAAGACTCTATCCTCCCAGAAGAAAGGTTACATTGTAGAATGATTGCTGAGGTTTATACTTGAATAAACTAGGCTTCAAATTGTGATTTTACCTCTTCCTGGCTGTGTGACCTGAATTATATTGCCAGGATTTTGGTTTCTTTATTTGTGTAACTGTATAAAAATATCTACTATACAGATTGTTGGGAGAATTACATTGAAATGAAAGGGATAAGGTATGCCCATGTGGCTAGCAGAGTTCCATATTCATTCCCATTTCTTTCCTTTACAAGCAGTGAGGCTCTTAATAGAATGGCAAGAAGAACAAGAAGTAAGAAAGCCTGGAGAACAAGAAGTAAGAAAGCCTGAAAGACTCAAACACTGTATAATTTTTCTCTGAATAAGCTAATGAACGGCCAAGGTTTTCACCTTTTATGAAGCGTTATCATTTGCAATATTTCTGAGAACTCATATCTGCTGGAGAACAGGATATTTCCCCAGCCAGCTCCCACTGAGGGCCAGGCGTGTTTCCAGAAAGCAACATGACATTGCAATCAGTTTTCCACCAAAGCCAGACACAGGCAAGCAAAGGGACCTTGGGCTGGCCCGTACTTCTTTGGACCTCAGTCATTCCACCTCTATAAGGAAGATGTAAGCTTGTTTTCTTTATTTCCTCTGCGTTTCTGTTATACATGTCTGCCCTGGATTAGTAAGAATGGGCTTCAAGAAAGACTAGGAAAAAAAAATTAGAAAAGGAACAGGCAACTCAAGTGCTCATAAGAAGAACTTACATTAATCAAACAAGTGTCTGTATCCCTCTGACACTGCAAATACTCTGCCTCCCCTTGTGGAGTCTATAAGCTTGTCTCATCCTCTAGCTATTTCCACTCCTATTCCTTTCTCCACAGAAACTATACACCAGTGTCTACACATCCCTGTCAAATATTTCTCACCACCAAAAATCTAGGTGTGAAGATCCAGGCTTCGTTTGTTCATTTGGGGTTTTGTGTTTTGTGTGTGTGTATTTACACAAACTGTGATACTTGCCAGTGTCTTTTAATTCATGGTGCTGCCATATAAACTGCGTTTATTCCTTTCTGTCCTCCAAGCTAGGACAATCACAATCTCCTTCACGAAGACTTATTGATGGCCTGCTTTTTTCATCATGCCATTATCTGAACTCCTGTACAATGGAGTCTTGTGGTGGCGTTGAACCTTAAATCTAGGTGAACTGTCTAACAGCAGATGAGGAATGTTGAAGTTGTGCCATGCAGCTAATCTACGGCATGTGGTTTTCATACTTAAAGGCTGTGATGTCCAATTTCCAATTAAATAGAGACACCTATTTTTTCCCTGAGAATGTAATCTTGTCTTGTAATCACCTGACCCTCTCAAGGATATAGTCTATGTCTTTTCCAATGTATAAATCCCCAGAGCTGTAAGTGAATCAGAGAAAGCTTGAGAAATGGCTTCATGCTTTCATATTTTGAGCTTTCTCACTGCTGCAGCCATAGGGTAACAAATATGAGAAGAATAACTAACAATAGAGGGGAGAAGTGAAACAGCTACAGAACTTACAGACTTTCAAGGGGGTTATGCTCCAATTGGCCCATCGTAAGTTAAAAAAATCATAGATTGAAACACACTTTGTATACTTTACCTACTCAACATCAAAGCTTAACCTAGTCCACCTTAAATGGGATCAGTTTGACACTTATTATACATTAGCCTACAGTTGGGCAA
Organism: Homo sapiens; assembly: GCF_000001405.40. Lineage (NCBI taxonomy): Eukaryota > Metazoa > Chordata > Mammalia > Primates > Hominidae > Homo > Homo sapiens. Next base: position 124,136,515 of record NC_000002.12, read on the forward strand.
AATCATCTAGCACAAAGCCTATTTTATAATAAAATATTGAGCATCTCATGTAATTTACAGAATACAGTACTGAGAGTGAAAAACAGAATGTTTGTTCAGGTACTTGACGTACAGTTTCTACTGAATGTGTTTCACCTTAGAGTTACTGTGAAAGTCAAAAATCATAAATAGAACCATCATAAGTCAGGGACTGTCTGTAGAGTTAACAAGACTAGGGAACGTGTAAGCAAAATCAAGTTTATACTGAAACTGGATGGCTGAAAGCAATGCACCTCTTTTCTGCACATTGCTTAGACTGTCACCTCCTCTTGGAAGTGGCCCTTCATCAGAAAAGCTCTGGTGAGTGAAAGCAACATGCTCCCCCTTCACAATGCTCTTTTGTCATTGTATATGCAGTCTTGTCTTTTTGGGATGTCCTGTCACAATTCCTTTGGAGTTTTAGACAGAACAACCTCTAAGAAGTGTGACCTCTCTAACCTAGGCTGGAGGAGAAATTCCTCCCCTGAGTTCTCCTGCCTCACACTCTTTCCTTCAGCATGACTTATATTGTGCTGAGTTCTGTGCTCATGCCTGTCTTCTCCTCCAGCCTATGAGCTCCTCAAGGGCTAGATGACCCTTTCTATCACCACCTCGTACTGCCTAGAACATGGTCTGACTGGCTACTGGCCTGCTGTCCGTGTGTTAACATAGGGTGTGTGAGGGAGTCAATTTGTGAATGAATGAATGAATATATGAAAAAAAAATAAAGCTGCCTTTGACACTTTTATAATGTCTCTTTTCCTCTGTAGTTTTTTTTTCAAATTTGTTCTCCATGTTAATCCAAACTTTATTTGCATATAAATGAAAAAGGAGGAAATACAAGGAAAAAAATCCTCAATTTTGTCTGGATCCACATAGGACTTGGTGTAGAGAAAACTTCAGTGAAGTCTTTTGACTTTGAATTCTAAAATAAACTATGAGCCCATTTACCCAGATTTAATAGCTTAAAACCACTGCAGCATAGAGAAGTTCAATTTTAGAGATTTTTTTTCAGTCACAAATACACATGTATTTAACACACAAAAAAAATTCTACTTTGGGCGCTTTAGGGGAATAAAAATTGAAATTAAAACCAGTCTAATACTAAGGGGCTTACATTCTGGTGAGGAGTATGTGACACATAGATATATCAATGCTGTTGCGAGGTGCAGAAACTGTGTCAGGAATCTGGAGAGAAAATGGTGGACTTGTACTTGCCATTGAAGAGATACCAAGATGTGAACATGTGGAGAAGTCGGTGGTCGCTGTGGAGAGATAGTAGCATGCAGAGGGCCATGAGCCTAGAGACTAACATTGTTTGGCTGAAGTCAACAGCATCAGAGGAGGTTCCAGGTTCTAAATTCAGAAGAAAAGCCAAGGAGATGCCCTGCACATGCCTTCATTACCCACTATGATTCATATTCAGGAGCAACTCAATTTTGTGGGATTTCGTAGATTTCAGCAGGGAGCATAATCTTACCAAAATTAGATTTCCTCAATGAAAAAATGGAGAACTGAAAAATGTTACCTCAAAGAGAAAGTTAGAGATGATCCTTTACCGATGAGGAAGTGTGGGCAAAAGCCTGGCAGTTGAGGCCGACCTCCTCTCCCTCCTCTCTGTCAGCATCTCACTAGTGTATGTGATGAGACTCAGGTGAGGCCCCAGCACTGATGAGACACTAAGTGTACATGAGCTCTCTGTTTCTTGTCACATGGCCTCCCCTATACAGCAACAACAAGCAAATGAGAAAAGAGGGCAGGCATAAGCCAAAGTCCACCTGCTCTTAAACACATTCGTACCATGATTTCCTAAGGAACTGTTATCAATATCCTGTTTTCATTCAGGGACTTTGACAATACTGTCTGAGGGAGCCTTGTACTCTTAATGGAGCAGCATGCAGAGAAGTTAGATTTCATGCCTCATTACAAATATTAAGAGATGGACTTTCAGTGATATGTATGTATGCCTTTTCATGAAGACCTTAAAGTTTGTTTGTTTATTTTTTTCACCTGAGAGTTTCTCTACACTTCATTACTCTATAACTGTACCACCATACATTGGGCTTCAACTGTTCTAGCATGGCCAGAGCATCTGGAGCTGGAGAGAAGCTGTATTCTGCATGCAAAGCCAAATTGGAGAATTGGTCCCCGAGTTTGAGAGAAAATCTATTTAATTTGATTATTGACAGAAAAATAAATGGCTCTATTATTTGTCTAGAATCTCCGAAATACGGCATGTAAGAACCTACATGATCTGAATTCCAGGAGTTCCAGCTGATCCTTCCCCTACAAACACACACACACACCACATATCATATATATATATCAGCCCTCTAGATTTACTTATAATTCTAGAAGAAGCCATGTCCTGCCCATCAGTAGCAGCCTTTGCATAATAAACGTTTCCTCTCTAGAACACTCTTGGCCTAACTATTATTAGCCCTTCAGTACTCTACTAGGGTGCTATATATTGAGTCCTGAGTCTACAGGAGGTTCCCTTCCACCACATCCCTGCAGCTGTTCAATCTTCTTTTCATCCTGGAAATGAACCTGTGGGAATTATCCATTGTTTTATTTTGTTGGAGTTTTTTTTTCCCCCATAAGACTATGAGCCACTCGAAAACAAAGGTCAAGCTTTCTAATCTTTGATCAATAAATCTAAATATATTCCTAACAAAATAAATGGTGTAAAATGAAGTATTTAATATAAAATCCTCTTATTTCTACCCCAACACACACACACACACACACACACACACACAATGCTGTTTCAAGAGACAAAAAAGCTCTCAAGATGTTATCTGATCACCTTCATACCATTGAATAAAGAATTGTTCCCATTTGAAAAATACTAAAGACAAGAGAAGTTCAATGACGCTCCCTAAAGCAAGTCCGGCCCCTTGAAAAGCAGGAGAGTAGTTCGCACCATGATCTGCCCTCTCTTGGTGTAGACTTCTCCCAGTTCCCCTTCACCTGGTAGTTTACTTCAGAGGAGGAACAAGAGAGTCTCGGGAAAGAGGACTCTCAGAAGCAGGATACTTGCCACGTGAGGCAGGTGCCTGTTTCTCCTGTGCAGTGGTCTCCAGAGACCGGCGAAGGAGACTCTGATCTGTAATTATATCCTTCCTTCGGTCTCTCATTAGTGCACACTGTTGCTGAATACAGATAAGCCTGTATTTGAGAATTCTGTGCCCGATCATTGTTATTAATTATAGGGAAGATTTGATATTTTAAAATATATTTGAGGAAGGAGCCAAGATGGCCGAATAGGAACAGCTCCGGTCTACAGCTCCCAGCGTGAGCGACGCAGAAGACGGGTGATTTCTGCATTTCCATCTGAGGTACCGGGTTCATCGCACTAGGGAGTGCCAGACAGTGGGCGCAGGCCAGTGTGTGCGCGCACCGTGCACGAGCCGAAGCAGGGCGAGGCATTGCCTCACTCGGGAAGCGCAAGGGGTCAGGGAGTTCCCTTTCCGAGTCAAAGAAAGGGGTGACAGACGCACCTGGAAAATCGGGTCACTCCCACCCGAATATTGCGCTTTTCAGACCGGCTTAAAAAACGGCGCACCACGAGACTATATCCCACACCTGGCTCAGAGGGTCCTACACCCACGGAATCTCGCTGATTGCTAGCACAGCAGTCTGAGATCAAACTGCAAGGCGGCAACGAGGCTGGGGGAGGGGCGCCCGCCATTGCCCAGGCTTGCTTAGGTAAACAAAGCAGCCGGGAAGCTCCAACTGGGTGGAGCCCACCACAGCTCAAGGAGGCCTGCCTGCCTCTGTAGGCTCCACCTCTGGGGGCAGGGCACAGTCAAACAAAAAAACAGCAGTAACCTCTGCAGACTTAAGTGTCCCTGTCTGACAGCTTTGAAGAGAGCAGTGGTTCTCCCAGCACGCAGCTGGAGATCTGAGAACGGGCAGACTGCCTCCTCAAGTGGGTCCCTGACCCCTGACCCCCGAGCAGCCTAACTGGGAGGCACCCCCCAGCAGGGGCACACTGACACCTCACACGGCAGGGTATTCCAACAGACCTGCAGCTGAGGGTCCTGTCTGTTAGAAGGAAAACTAACAACCAGAAAGGACATCTACACCGAAAACCTATCTGTACATCACCATCATCAAAGACCAAAAGTAGATAAAACCACAAAGATGGGGAAAAAACAGAACAGAAAAACTGGAAACTCTAAAACGCAGAGCACCTCTCCTCCTCCAAAGGAACGCAGTTCCTCACCAGCAATGGAACAAAGCTGGATGGAGAATGATTTTGACGAGCTGAGAGAAGAAGGCTTCAGACGATCAAATTACTCTGAGCTACGGGAGGACATTCAAACCAAAGGCAAAGAAGTTGAAAACTTTGAAAAAAATTTAGAAGAATGTATAACTAGAATAACCAATACAGAGAAGTGCTTAAAGGAGCTGATGGAGCTGAAACCCAAGGCTCGAGAACTATGTGAAGAATGCAGAAGCCTCAGGAGCCGATGCGATCAACTGGAAGAAAGGGTATCAGCAATGGAAGATGAAATGAATGAAATGAAGCGAGAAGGGAAGTTTAGAGAAAAAAGAATAAAAAGAAATGAGCAAAGCCTCCAAGAAATATGGGACTATGTGAAAAGACCAAATCTACGTCTGATTGGTGTACCTGAAAGTGATGTGGAGAATGGAACCAAGTTGGAAAACACTCTGCAGGATATTATCCAGGAGAACTTCCCCAATCTAGCAAGGCAGGCCAACGTTCAGATTCAGGAAATACAGAGAACGCCACAAAGATACTCCTCGAGAAGAGCAACTCCAAGACACATAATTGTCAGATTCACCAAAGTTGAAATGAAGGAAAAAATGTTAAGGGCAGCCAGAGAGAAAGGTCGGGTTACCCTCAAAGGAAAGCCCATCAGACTAACAGCGGATCTCTCGGCAGAAACCCTACAAGCCAGAAGAGAGTGGGGGCCAATATTCAACATTCTTAAAGAAAAGAATTTTCAACCCAGAATTTCATATCCAGCCAAACTAAGCTTCATAAGTGAAGGAGAAATAAAATACTTTATAGACAAGCAAATGCTGAGAGATTTTGTCACCACCAGGCCTGCCCTAAAAGAGCTCCTGAAGGAAGCGCTAAACATGGAAAGGAACAACCGGTACCAGCCGCTGCAAAATCAAGCCAAAATGTAAAGACCATCGAGACTAGGAAGAAACTGCATCAACTAATGAGCAAAATCACCAGCTAACATCATAATGACAGGATCAAATTCACACATAACAATATTAACTTTAAATATAAATGGACTAAATTCTGCAATTAAAAGACACAGACTGGCAAGTTGGATAAAGAGTCAAGACCCATCAGTGTGCTGTATTCAGGAAACCCATCTCACGTGCAGAGACACACATAGGCTCAAAATAAAAGGATGGAGGAAGATCTACCAAGCAAATGGAAAACAAAAAAAGGCAGGGGTTGCAATCCTAGTCTCTGATAAAATAGACTTTAAACCAACAAAGATCAAAAGAGACAAAGAAGGCCATTACATAATGGTAAAGGGATCAATTCAACAAGAGGCGCTAACTATCCTAAATATTTATGCACCCAATACAGGAGCACCCAGATTCATAAAGCAAGTCCTGAGTGACCTACAAAGAGACTTAGACTCCCACACATTAATAATGGGAGACTTTAACACCCCACTGTCAACATTAGACAGATCAACGAGACAGAAAGTCAACAAGGATACCCAGGAATTGAACTCAGCTCTGCACCAAGCGGACCTAATAGACATCTACAGAACTCTCCACCCCAAATCAACAGAATATACATTTTTTTCAGCACCACACCACACCTATTCCAAAATTGACCACATAGTTGGAAGTAAAGCTCTCCTCAGCAAATCTAAAGAACAGAAATTATAACAAACTATCTCTCAGACCACAGTGCAATCAAACTAGAACTCAGGATTAAGAATCTCACTCAAAGCCGCTCAACTACATGGAAACTGAACAACCTGCTCCTGAATGACTACTGGATACATAACGAAATGAAGGCAGAAATAAAGATGTTCTTTGAAACCAACGAGAACAAAGACACCACATACCAGAATCTCTGGGACGCATTCAAAGCAGTGTGTAGAGGGAAATTTATAGCACTAAATGCCTACAAGAGAAAGCAGGAAAGATCCAAAATTGACACCCTAACATCACAATTAAAAGAACTAGAAAAGCAAGAGCAAACACATTCAAAAGCTAGCAGAAGGCAAGAAATAACTAAAATCAGAGCAGAACTGAAGGAAATAGAGACACAAAAAACCCTTCAAAAAAATCAATAAATCCAGGAGCTGGTTTTTTGAAAGGATCAACAAAATTGATAGACCGCTAGCAAGACTAATAAAGCAAAAAAGAGAGAAGAATCAAATAGACACAATAAAAAATGATAAAGGGGATATCACCACCAATCCCACAGAAATACAAACTACCATCAGAGAATACTACAAACACCTCTACGCAAATAAACTAGAAAATCTAGAAGAAATGGATACATTCCTCGACACATACACTCTCCCAAGACTAAACCAGGAAGAAGTTGAATCTCTGAATAGACCAATAACAGGAGCTGAAATTGTGGCAATAATCAATAGTTTACCAACCAAAAAGAGTCCAGGACCAGATGGATTCACAGCCGAATTCTACCAGAGGTACAAGGAGGAACTGGTACCATTCCTTCTGAAACTATTCCAATCAATAGAAAAAGAGGGAATCCTCCCTAACTCATTTTATGAGGCCAGCATCATTCTGATACCAAAGCCGGGCAGAGACACAACCAAAAAAGAGAATTTTAGACCAATATCCTTGATGAACATTGATGCAAAAATCCTCAATAAAATACTGGCAAACCGAATCCAGCAGCACATCAAAAAGCTTATCCACCATGATCAAGTGGGCTTCATCCCTGGGATGCAAGGCTGGTTCAATATATGCAAATCAATAAATGTAATCCATCATATAAACAGAGCCAAAGACAAAAACCACATGATTATCTCAATAGATGCAGAAAAAGCCTTTGACAAAATTCAACAACCCTTCATGCTACAAACTCTCAATAAATTAGGTATTGATGGGACGTATTTCAAAATAATAAGAGCTATCTATGACAAACCCACAGCCAATATCATACTGAATGGGCAAAAACTGGAAGCATTCCCTTTGAAAACTGGCACAAGACAGGGATGTCCTCTCTCACTGCTCCTATTCAACATAGTGTTGGAAGTTCTGGCCAGGGCAATCAGGCAGGAGAAGGAAATAAAGGGTATTCAATTAGGAAAAGAGGAAGTCAAATTGTCCCTGTTTGCAGATGACATGATTGTTTATCTAGAAAACCCCATCATCTCAGCCCAAAATCTCCTTAAGCTGATAAGCAACTTCAGCAAAGTCTCAGGATACAAAATCAATGTACAAAAATCACAAACATTCTTATACAACAACAACAGACAAACAGAGAGCCAAATCATGAGTGAACTCCCATTCACAATTGCTTTAAAGAGAATAAAATACCTAGGAATCCAACTTACAAGGGATGTGAAGGACCTCTTCAAGGAGAACTACAAACCACTGCTCAAGGAAATAAAAGAGGACACAAACAAATGGAAGAACATTCCATGCTCATGGGTAGGAAGAATCAATATCGTGAAAATGGCCATACTGCCCAAGGTAATTTACAGATTCAATGCCATCCCCATCAAGCTACCAATGACTTTCTTCACAGAATTGGAAAAAACTACTTTAAAGTTCATATGGAACCAAAAAAGAGCCCGCATCGCCAAGTCAATCCTAAGCCAAAAGAACAAAGCTGGAGGCATCACACTACCTGACTTCAAACTATACTACAAGGCTACAGTAACCAAAACAGCATGGTACTGGTACCAAAACAGAGATATAGATCAATGGAACAGAACAGAGCCCTCAGAAATAATGCCGCATATCTACAACTATCTGATCTTTGACAAACCTGAGAAAAACAAGCAATGGGGAAAGGATTCCCTATTTAATAAATGGTGCTGGGAAAACTGGCTAGCCATATGTAGAAAGCTGAAACTGGATCCCTTCCTTACACGTTATACAAAAATCAATTCAAGATGGATTAAAGATTTAAATGTTAGACCTAAAACCATAAAAACCCTAGAAGAAAACCTAGGCATTACCATTCAGGACATAGGCGTGGGCAAGGACTTCATGTCCAAAACACCAAAAGCAATGGCAGCAAAAGCCAAAATTGACAAATGGGATCTAATTAAACTAAAGAGCTTCTGCACAGCAAAAGAAACTACCATCAGAGTGAACAGGCAACCTACAACATGGGAGAAAATTTTCGCAACCTACTCATCTGACAAAGGGCTAATATCCAGAATCTACAATGAACTCCAACAAATTTACAAGAAAAAAACAAACAACCCCATCAAAAAGTGGGCGAAGGACATGAACAGACACTTCTCAAAAGAAGACATTTATGCAGCCAAAAAACACATGAAAAAATGCTCATCATCACTGGCCATCAGAGAAATGCAAATCAAAACCACTATGAGATATCATCTCACACCAGTTAGAATGGCAATCATTAAAAAGTCAGGAAACAACAGGTGCTGGAGAGGATGTGGAGAAATAGGAACACTTTTACACTGTTGGTGGGACTGTAAACTAGTTCAACCATTGTGGAAGTCAGTGTGGCGATTCCTCAGGGATCTAGAACTAGAAATACCATTTGACCCAGCCATTCCATTACTGGGTATATACCCAAATGACTATAAATCATGCTGCTATAAAGACACATGCACACGTATGTTTATTGTGGCATTATTCACAATAGCAAAGACTTGGAACCAACCCAAATGTCCAACAATGATAGACTGGATTAAGAAAATGTGGCACATATACACCATGGAATACTATGCAGCCATAAAAAATGATGAGTTCATGTCCTTTGTAGGGACATGGATGAAATTGGAAACCATCATTCTCAGTAAACTATCGCAAGAACAAAAAACCAAACACCGCATATTCTCACTCATAGGTGGGAATTGAACAATGAGATCACATGGACACAGGAAGGGGAATATCACACTCTGGGGACTGTGGTGGGGTCGGGGGAGGGGGGAGGGATAGCATTGGGAGATATACCTAATGCTAGATCACACGTTAGTGGGTGCAGTGCACCAGCATGGCACATGTATACATATGTAACTAACCTGCACAATGTGCACATGTACCCTAAAACTTAAAGTATAATAAAAAAAAAAAAAACATTAAAAAAAAAAAAAAAAGAAGAAAAAAAAAAAAAATAAAATATATTTAATGGGATTTGGAGCTTTGAAGTTCATGGGAAGGATTGAAATGTGATACATGTTGATAGTGACTGTAAATGATACACAGCTAATGAAAATTTCCATTGCTGGGGTGTTGAATTAATAGCACTTGGCATTTGTACAGCAATTTTTATTTTAAAAAGCATTTTGTGAGCAATATTTTGTCTTATTCTCAGAAGAGCCCACTTAAAGCAGATAGGACAAAGGTCACCATACCTGCTAACAAAGAGAAAGGGAGATGGAGGCACAGAGAGGAGCAGGCAGGTGTTTGAGGCCAGGAGCTGGCGGCAGTCGTCCTGACACTGGGCAGGTGTCTTTACCACCGGAAGCTGCCACCTCAGCTCAGACCCGAGCTGTTAAATGCCTAGATGCCTAACTGTGCCAAAAGCCACTCATGCTGCTAAACTTAGTTCCCAAAACAAAACATACACAAACACAAAACCCTCCCTTCCCAAATTTCCTGAGAGGGGTAGGACACAGGAATATGAGAAAATTTTCAAATCATATTAAATTTCTTTCAGTGCTAAGAACCTTGACACTCTGGACCTTTCACCTGTGATTTTCACTTCTGGGAATCTATCCTAAATAAAGAGAGAGAAATGTTCACAGATTTTTTTTTTTTGAATAAGGATGCTCATCTCAGAATTATGAAAGTAAACATTTGAAAATGAACCAGTTCTTCAACATCAGAATACTTAAATAATTTATATTATATGTGGGGATCTTATGAAGCTGTTAAAATTTCTACTTCCAAAGAATATTTAACAAGGTAGGAAATTCCTGTGACTTAACCTTAAGTAAATAAAGAGTAGATAAGAAATTAAAGTTATGTCAAATTATTAATAGTAGTTATGTTTATTATTTTTATTCTATCTCTTTGTTGTTTTAGTTTAAAAGTTTCACAATAAACATTATTTGAGTAACAGAAAGGAAGACATTTTAAGTTTTATTTGTAAAAGTGATATTCTAAATTAATGTATTATCTCATTAAATGTGGTTTCCTCAGCTTCTCTTATGGCCAGACACTCTTCTTAGGAGCCAAATATGCCAGTCTCTTCCCTTGGGGAGCTCACATTTGAGTGTGGATGTTGGCTGGGGTTGGGGGGAGACAAAACAGAAAATAAACAATAAACATACAAAGTACATGACATAGCATTTATAACAAGTACTCTATGATGCTTTCTCGAAGTAATCCAAAGATGATACAAAAAGGGGAAAAATGTGCAGGATACAGAGCTTGGAGAAAGACGGAGAGTTGCCATTTGAAGGAGATGATGAAAGTTGGGCTTTTGAGGAGTGTAGCATTTGAATAAAGTCTTGAAGGAGATGAGAGCCTCAGCCAGAACATAACTTCTTCTTTAATACTTTGGGCAAGGTTTGTTTTCAGTTTTTTTTCAAAATTCAGAGAAGTAATTCAATGCATGTACTATATATCAGCTAACACACTATATATTAGCTAACACACAGTGGGATTTGAGACAGTGCCCTTAAGCAAACACATTAATATTTCTGCAGGGAAACATGAATATTCATACAAAGCGGAATAAAGAGAGTATTAGCCCACCTGAGTTCTGGCTAGGGTTCTCCACCAAATGAATTTTGGGAAAAACATATTTGATTACACATCTTTATGGATTTCAGGAAGAGAGATAAAGAGTTGTAAAATTGTAAGACACACAGAGGTTGAGTGAAGTGATGCAATCAGAAATAACATTTCATATTTATTGCTGTTAGCATTTACACATTTTGCTCCAGATGTCCTTCTGACAGCGCTACAGCTCTGGAGTGGGTTTGAAACAGCTCCATTGAGGGGATGGAACGGCTCTAACTAGCTCTGTTGGGAGCCTCCTGTCACCAAGAGGCAAGTGGCCTGGGCGGCTTCTCTCAGAGGGAACTCCTGCAGGGCATAGAGGCTTGGGCTCGGGCACCCTTCAGTGTTCCTCTTCTCCAAGATAATGCACGTCCTTAAATTCATCAATGCATCTAGGTGGATATCTTCAACAGTGACTTTTCCAAAGGGAGAGTAGTGAGGCAGAAATGTTTCTGAGATGCCGAATAAAGCCGGCCGTTAGCCTTTGCGAACACGATGCTGATTCATGTGGGAGGTTTAATAAATCTGTGCAGAAGGAATGTTTGGTTGATGGCCACGCTGGCTGCGGGCACTTTCACTCACACTGCCCATGCCTTGCCTCACACCAAGGTTTCACAGGATAACTGTCTCAGGTTGTCAAGGCTTATAAGCTACTTTATTATATTTTTATTTAGTTTTTAACTAAATTACTTTGGTGAACATAATTTCTAAAATTTACAGGACATCTCATGATTGAAAATATTCTCACTACCGCGTGAACCCAGGAGGCAGAGCTTGCAGTGAGCCAAGATTGCGCCACTGCATTCCAGCCTGGGCAACAGAGCGAGACCCCCTCTAAAAAAAAAAAGAAAGAAAAAAAAGAAAATATTCTCATTTAGTTTTGGTTTCCACATTCCAAAAACTAATTGAGAAAACATTTTACTATGGAAATGCAGATTGTCATGAGCCAGGGACTAGTGGTGGTTTTGTTTCCTGCCGTATCGTCATGTTTCTAAACTCTGCCTATAACAAAGCAGGCATAATGCATCTATGGAGAGAGAGGTATATATATATATAATATATACATATTATATATATACATATTATATATAATATGTATATATATAATATATGTTAGGGCCTATTCAGTACATTCAAGTAATTCAGTACATTCAAGGAAACTATTGATAATGCTCATTTATCTCATATATATATATCCACTAATGCATATTATATGAGATATATATATGCACTATTGCATATATATCAAACTATTGATAATGCTCTTTTATCTCATATATATGCACATATTGTATATATATTTGCGTGTGCACATATGTGTGTATACATATATGTGTGTATACATGTGTGTATATAAACACACAAATATACACACAGACACTATGCATCTATAGAGAGAGAGGTGTATATATATACACACACACATATATGTATGTATATATACACATGTATACACACATATATGTATGTATATATACACATATATAGGCACACACACTCAAATATATATACATGTATGTGCATATATAAGATGAGTGAATGAGCATTATCAATAGTTTTCCTTGAATGTACTGAATTCCTACAAAATGATCAGCAGCTGTTCTTTTTCAGTTGTATTCCAGGTTAATCACATATGTTACCTGTTTCCTTGCAATGCTTCAAGGCTGTGGGTGTTTCGTTAAGTTCTTCTTCACTTCCAACCATCCAGATCTGCTCCAGTTAGTCTGTTCATAGCCCTCACTCTACTCTCATTATCCTTCCAGTCATTACATTTTGGGTCCCTATATCTTATATTTAATTTTGATAAATGAGTAAAGAGAGGAAGTGGCCTGTTCAGACATTAAATCTTGGTGCATATTATTACAAAAAAAGGATCACTAGATCAAGAGGAAGGAACATGCATTTGCTAGCATACCATGTGTTCCAAGATGGCGTCAATTGCAAAAAAAAAAAAAAAAAAAAAAACTCAGGAAAACTCAACTTCATTCTGAGATCAGTTGAAATGGGGGCTAATATCACAAACACACTGGCTTTACAGTTGCATTATCTGTATTCAGAGCTCTCTGAGATGTGCAACCAGGGCAAATAACACAATTTTCTGCATTACTTCTCTTTAGCTAAGAAATTTTCTTCAAACAGAAGGGAAAAGAAAAAGACAGACTAAACTCTTTTGTAAAGGCTATCACCAGGTCTGAGAGCAGTAGTGGAGTGAGCAGCGCCAATCCGAGTGAGAATAGCAACAGTCAGGCTGCTGCTGCTTCTTCCTCTCCTATGGCCCTGACTATAAAAATAAAACTCCTCCCATTTTTACAGGGCCAGCAAACACTGAACAGCTCGCAGCTGGCCGGGCCAACTGTGTGTCTTCTGTTGCCGCCAAAACAATCCCCTTGGCATCCGTGAACAGTGCAGAAGCAGGTTCTTCACCCTCTCAGACCATTCCTGATGGAGATGAGGAGATTCTGGCTTTTCACCTTCTGGCCAACACTGCTGCTTTTTGTTAACATCTATCCTGGTGGTTAGAACCTAGATCTCTGTCTCTTGTACCCTCTCTGCTTTACTCAAAAAAATCTGGAACAATGGTGAAGTGGGAAAGCCCTTAATTCTGTACTCTTTAAAAACTACTGTGGAAAGTAAAGGGATGAAATCCTAATCAGAATTTTTTTTTCTACAAGAGCGTGTGGATTTATTTCCGATTAAAAAAGGAACAGCACCAGAAAGTATTCATTTGCTGTTATATCAAAACATTTAGATTTGTTTGCCCTACTATATTTAAATTAGTGTGTTAAGTAACTGAGAATTGAAATGCAGCAACATATAGTTCCAAACATGCCCAAGGTGTATATCCCAGCCTCTGTTTATCGATTTTGTGCATTCATTGACTAACTTACCTCATGGAGGTTGTAGTTACAACCCCAAATCTAGGCTGGTAACTTATAAACTGGCTATAGATATGGATTATGGGAACAGATAATTTAGAGATATTGGATAATGGATTCTTAGTCAGTTTCAGCTGCTATAACAAAAATACCATAGACTTGTGTGGCTTAAAAAACAGACATTAACTTCTCACAATTCTGGAGGCTGGAAGTCCATGATGAGGGTACCAGCAGATTCAATGTCTAGTGAGGACCCATTTCCTGGTTTGCAGATGACTGTCTTCTCCTTGTACCCTCACATGGTGGGGAGAGAGAAAGAAAGAGAAAAAGAAAAAGAAAGAGAAAGAGAGAAAAAGAGAACAAGCTGTCTCTTGTCTCTTCTTATCAGGATACTAATTTCTTCATGAGAGGTCTACCCTGGTGACCTAATCACCTCCTAAAGGTCCCATCTTTACATACCATCACATTGGGAATTAAGGCTTCAATATGTGCATTTGTGGGGGGCACAAACATTTAGTCCGTAGTATGGATATTAGAGATTGTTACTCAGCCCCCTGTCCCTTCTGAAGAGTAGCGTGTGCTTTTGGCATATCCAAGTAAATGCAGTCATTTTTTAAAATGCCTATTTAACACCTACTACATATCTATGGGTCAAGCTCAGTGCTAGAGATACATATGTGAATAACAGGGACACGGTATGCTGGAAGTGTCTGCTAGGGGTAGCAGGAAGTTCTAAGCAGAAGACCTAACACGGTCTAGGATTTGACTTCCCAACTTAGACCCCAGAGTGGGGCAGAGAAAGGAGGTGCACGTGTCCAATGAGTACAAGGGAGAAACAGTCCATGATATGGGGTGAATTGGGCCGGAGCTCCCAGTGGGAACCTTGTGGCCAGTGTCAGCAATTTAGGCTGAATCCTAAGAACAATGCCAAGCCCTGAGAGGTTTCTAAACAGAGGAGAGAGATGAACGCATTGGTCCCCTCTTTTCCGCTAGGTTCATTTTGCACTGCCAGATCTCCACAGTGACTCTCCCTTCTCTACGCTTCCTCATGAGCTTGCTTTCAGGACTTGGTAAGTGCTGCTGACTTTGTCAAGAGCACTTGGAAGTCGGATGAACCAGGTTTAAAAATCAGCTCTGCCACTTACCAGTTGTGTGATTTTAGACATTGTGTTACCGAGATGTTCTTCCTCATTTGTACCTCCTAGTGGGTTACTAATTAAATCTCTGTTTCAGCACTTAAAAAATGTTCTTCTCTGTTGTCTTTGTCATATGAATTTCAATTAAATGTCTTAACTCACTGGCCTAAGGCCCTTAAGAATATGTATGTACCACGTCTGACAGATAACGCAGGACCTAGCTCTATGGAGTTGTCTCGTGTAAAGATAATTCACCCCTGTCTCCCTAGCCTAGATAATCCCTGTTTATCCTTCTTCCCAGGTGAACAAGGATCTCAGACCCAGGAATCAATAACAACTACTATTAGTTTAGCCCGGACATACACTGCATGTGATTATACCAAATGTACATGTGTCCTCAGGCATATAACCAAGAACTAATTATCTCGTGACTGCCAGGCACTGTTACTTAAGGAAATTACAACTTCTTAAGGGGTGGCTGAGAGGATAAGTGAGAATAGGAAAATAAGTTTATAGGACACCCACTGAAATACATTAACACGCACTTGCCATATGGTGACTCATTAAATTAAACTTGACTGAAACTATGGGAAGTGGATGGTGGCAAATGCATTTTTTTAGAAAAGAAAGTGCAGTCTGAGAGAGGTAAAGCAACTTGCTGACTGCGCTCTACCTCAGGTAAGCCAGCGCACATACAGGAGAAGGGTAAAACAGGGCTTGTCTGACTTTCCTGTCTAAGTACCTTACCTGAGGATTCCCCCAAGAAGTGAAGCAACACAAAAACTGATATGATTTAACTATTATTGACTAAATGCATACTATATGCTAGGCACCATTCTAAGTGCATTATATCCACGTCCCATTGAATTTCTTATATGGTAGATTGTACTATCATCCGGATTTTGCAAATGAGAAAACTGAGATTCAAGCAGGTTATGCAAGTAGCCCAAAGCCTGTGAACAAATACGTGGCAGAGCTGGAGTCGCAGATCTCCCTTTTGCTCATTCCTTTGTTCTTAAGTATTCCTCTTACGCACCAGAATGGAATCATTATATATGCTGTATGAAATTAAAATTGATATATTTTTCAGGGTTGAGATCAGTTAATAAGGACTGGAGGAGGTTTTGTGGAGGGAGAGAGCATGTGGAGGGACATGGGCTGAGAGCTGGAGAGAATTCAGAAGGTAGAGAGGAATGAGGAGGGCATTCCAAGCAAGGCGATGTCACAGCCAGTGTGTTGGAGAGGAACATGACAGATTGGAGGGACCACGGACAGAACAGACAAGCAAGCATCTAAATTTCAATTCTGAAGGAAATAGCCAGTGATTCTGTCTTATTATAGCATATACTTCTCCGCTTGGCAATCATAATTCTCCTCTAGTTTCCTATTAAAAGAAAGTTGTAACTGGGAGACAGGCAAATGAAAATCATCCTCATTCATCAATGTTGGTTTCTATAGAAACTACTGGTGCGGCTCCATACAGAATCCTGGAATCAAGGTCAGCTAGACCATCCCTAGGGTTAGTTCTGCTTTGAATATTCCAGGAGTGATTAACCAACCTAAAACTACCCTTAGGCCAAGGCTGAAATTTGAGGTCAGGATTGCTAAAGTAGATTTATAAAAACTTAACCCTTCATAGCATAATGACATGATTTAAATAATTCACATCACTCACTGATTTTCTGAAGATAGGAGAAAGGATAGTGAAATTCATTAAAAAGATGGAAACAAACTGAAAATTAGGAAAAGAATTAGAAAGCAAACATGAAGTGGGGCACACACAGTAAATGATGCTTAATAAATATTTAAAATAATAGTCTCCAATAGCAAGAGGTCTAGAGTGTGGCCCCTGGCATCCAACCTTGCTGGGTTCAGATGCTGACTAGGCTGCCGGAGAAGTGAATACAGTAGGTCAATGTCTTAGTCAGCTCAGGCTGCTATGAAAAATACTAGAGGCTGGGTGGCTTCAGCAGCAGATATTTATGTCTCATAGTTCTGGAGGATGGATGTCCAATATCAAGATACTGGCAGATTCTGTGTCTGGTGAGGAGGGCCTGCTTCTCGGTTCATAGACAGTCATCACCTCTCTATACCTTTACATGAAGATGAGGCAAGAAAGCCCCCCGGGACTTTTTTTTTTTTTTTTTTTTTTTTGAGACAGAGTCTTGATCTGTCACCCAGGCTGGAGTACAGTGGTGTGATCTCAGCTCACTGCAACCTCCTCCTCCCAGGTTCACGCTATTCTCCTGCCTCAGCTTCCCAAGTAGCTGAGATTACAGGCGTATGCCACCACACCCCGCTAATTTTTGTATTTTTTAGTAGAGACGGAGTTTCACTATATGTTGGCCAGGCTAGTCTAGAACTCCTGACCTCAGTTGATCCACCCGCCTCGGCCTCCAAAAGTGCTGGGATTAGAGGTGTGAGCCACTAAGCCGGGCCCTGGGGCTTTTTTTCTTTTTTTTAATAGGACATTAATCCTATTTCTGAGAAATCTGCCCGCATGACCTAATCACATCCCAAAGGCTTCATCTCCATATGCCATCCCAGCGGAGATTGGCTTTCAACATATGAATTTTAGGGGGCACAAACATTCAGTTCATAACAAGTAGATACATCAGTTATTTAACCTCCAATGTCCTCTTCTGAATAGCTAGAATACAATCCTCCTTAGTTACACGTTCTGTTCTTGTGGGCTTTCCTTGTGAAGTGGGCCCTTTTGAGCCAGAAGGAGCCTGGTTATTCTATGTCTGAGCCAGAATGAGCCTGGTTATTCTATGTCTGCTGAGTTTGTATTCCCCTAGAGCAGACCCTAAGACAGGAATTCAAGTGCAAGGGGTTTGATTGGGAGATAAACGGAACAGTAGTAGGTGCCAGAGACAAGAAAGGAAGAAAGGGCATGGCAAAATGGGTGCTATGAGCTGATGGGGGTGAGGAGAGGTGGAATGAGAGCCAATTCACTGGGAAATGCGAAGGGCCAGTGTACAACACCTCACAATTACACCTCCCCTCCCCCGAGGTGCAGAAGTTCACATTGTTCTTGGGTAGAGGGATGCAGCCAAGGAGCAAAAATTATCCTGCACTCTGTCCTGCCACATGATGGACAAAGAGACCTCCACTGGAAAGAGAAACTTTTCCAATGAAGAAAGGTCAGTGCTGCCTTGAGAAGTCCAGTGTGCTGAAGTGCCAGAATGGACACCATTTTCTACCCAGCTCAGAGCAGATCAGGCCTCCAGTGTTTGCTCCATAAATACCCATCAAATAATGACCAATGGGATGAATGCAGCCTCAAGGGATGAATGCAGCCTCAAGCCCAGGGGTTCTTCTCCTGGGTTTTTCACTATAATCAGATGAGGAATTTTAAATTGCCTGATATCTAGGCTCCAGTGCAGACCAGTTAAGTCAGATTATCTGCTGTGGGGTCCAAGCATCAGAATTTTTAAAAGCTCACCAAATGATTCCACTATGCAGCCAGGACTGAAAATTCTTGTTCAACTAACACATGAATCTTTTCTACAAAGTCCTTGACAGATGGCCATGCAAGCCTCTTTTTGAAACTCTTCATGGGGAGGGACTCTGCTATTCTCAGAAGCAAACCATTCCCGTTTTTTTTTTTTTTTTTTTTTTTGATGGCACTAATTGTTCCAATTTTTTTTCCTTACTGTGAGCCAAAACCTGCTTCTGTACCTTCCATCAGTCATTCAAGCTCTGCAGTTTGGAAAAATGCAAAATGAGTCTATTCCATTTTGTACATGACTGCTCTTTAGATATTCAAAGCCTGCAATAATGCCCTAACTTGACCTTCATTTTTATGCTCTAAACGTTTTCAGTTCCTTCAGCTACTGCTCTTCAACCTCCTGTAATCATTTTCATTTGCCAATACCACTTTTCTCCTGTGGAATTCTCAACTGAATCCGTGGTCTGTGTCTGCAGTTGGAAATATACAGGGCAGCAAATGTTAAATGAATAGCGTGTGTGTGTGTGTGCGCGCGTGTGTGGTGTGTGTAAAGTGTTTAAAGTGTTATGAGTGATCGGCTGACTTAAAGTAAACCTGCTTTACTAGGAAAAAATAGGATTTACTAGGAAAAAAATAAGATTTCACTCTTTCTGTTCCATCTCCCAAAATTTGTTTTCTTAAACAGCATTTTTCTCTCTTGGCTAATTTGTTTGAACACCTCAGCTCTTGTTTTGCTTTTCAGGGAAATGTAGATATATATTTAACATGCATAACTTGTAGAGGAGAGGGCGTAGAAAAGGTTTATATTTGAGGTTTTTTCACCCATCCGTTTTTTAGGAGTGCTGAGCCATGGAATTCATGGCCTGAAAAACAAAACAAAATAAAAATCAATAAATTTGAAAGAAAGGGAGTACTGCATCTGTGATACTTCAGGGAAAGCAATTCTTACCTTAATGACCAAGTCTATTGCAAATTCTGGGGGCAAGCAGTTGAGCCTCTTCTGGACAAGTGGGATAGAGCAAGCCTTTGCTCCACTGGAGATAATGTGCGTGGCCAGCCACCCTCACCTCGTATAAAACAGAAGCCCAGTTGGCCTTGCAAAGTGCATCTAAAAAAGGGTTCAGGGTGAGGGTAGATTTGTGCCAATTAATGTATCATGTTGCAGAAAACACAGACAAATAGAGTTGACAGGTAATCTTGATTTCGTAAAAGGGTTAAGGCTTTGAGAAGCTCATGGTCGACTCTGAAAGAATCTTAAAGAGACAGTTTGGAATTCCAGCAAGACCAGTGTGGAGCAGCAGGAGGGAGAGTAGAGATGACCTAGGGACAAGAGGAAAGACTTGAATCGCAGGGCAGTCAATGTTCCTCCAGCTCCACTGCTGATTATCACGCTGATCTGTGGGGAGTAAAATTCCCTTTCAAAGCCTTGGCTTATGGATTTGTGAAATGAAGATGAATGATCATCATGATGTCAATGTTCAACCACAGAATTGCTGTAGGAATAGCATGAGTGAATTCCTGTGCCAGGCCTGGATGGCAGACCCTCAAAAATGTGAACATTTTGCCTATTTATTTTTGTTTTTTTTGATACAGAGTCTCTCTCTGTTGCCCAGGCTGGATTGCAATGCTGTGGTCTTGGCTCCCTGCAACCTCCGCTTTCCAGGTTCACGCGATTCTCCTGTCTCAGCCTCCCAAGTAGCTGGGACTACAAACATGCGCCACCATACCTGGCTAATTTTGTATTTTTAGTAGAGACGGGGTTTCTCCATGTTGGCCAGGCTGGTCACCTCACCTTAGGTGATCCACCCACCTCGGCCTCCCAAAGTGCTGGGATTACAGGCGTGAGCCACCGTGCCCAGCCCATTTTGCCTAATTTTTGAGAGTTCACAGAGCTGGTAGTTCGGGATCAAACTTCAGCTCCACCAATCACCAAGTAGCATGATCTAGTGAAGTCACTGATTACCTCTGTGCCTCAGTTTCCTCTGTAAAATAAGGACCATAACATTACCTATCTTGTAGAGTTATTATTAAGACCAAATCACCTGATAGTTATGGAAAGCAGATGGAGCAGAGCCTGATACATAGTTTGTTGCAAAAAGAGCTAGCTAGTAATAAAGGATTCTCCCCTAACTGTGTTCCACTAGTTCTAAAACCTTTGGGGCTCTGTTTATTCAAGTGTAAAATGAAGAACGTGGTTAAAGTCTTTGAGGATTCTTAACCTTATTCTTGGTATCGCAGGATTTGCAGGTTGCACCGTGAGTCTGGTCACATGTCTGTCTCCCTCACAGCCACCCTCTTCCCCTGGGTAGAGAGACCATGAGTTTTTATTTTCCAGTGCCTCGTTGGAAAACAAAGACTCAGCATTTGATAAATGTTTTTGAAGAAATAAATGGAGTAATTCATATAAAAATTCAGTAACACCTGTTCTTTTGGCATTGGTGTTTGGCTTCTCTAGTGCTCTATGGAGAAGAAGCTGTGTTAGGCTCTTGGAGACAAGAAACTGAAAGGCAAACTTTGACTTTTCGGTTTCCTAGTTTTCCCACCTTATGTTTCTTTTTCAGTATTCCATCTTTATGGTTCCTTTACTGAAATTTCCTCACTTACTTTCTATCTTGTTTTTCTGTAGTTAAAATTTGAATATAATAATTCTTTTTAGAAGAAAGAAGGGGTCCATACAAAAAGAAAGAAAGGAAATTCCACTTCTATTAAATAGTTTGGAGTAAGTTATGTAACTTCTTTGTGCTTAATCATTCATAATCTAAAGGGCATCTATAGGAGGTGCAATTAGTGACCATTCAAAATTCCTTTCTGTCTTCCTTCCTGCCAAAACCACAATTTTCTTCAAGAATTTCCCTTCTTCCACCCAACTGTGTGCTCATGAGGAGATCCCAACCTAACCTTAACACCAAAGTCTAGGACAATCATGGAAGTCTAATATCTCTGCCAAGAACTGCCTCTGACAAGTTTATATGACAAAATTCTAGCAAAGCGAAGGATGTTCTTGCCCTAAAAGGAGGTGCTTAAGAATAAACAGCTCATTTTATTCTATTGGACAGCCATAACTCTGTTCATTTTGCAGCTTTGAAATGAAGATGACATGCTGCAAATGGTCAAGTGGAAATATAGAGAGAATGAAGGGTCTTGTTAACATTGGTGGGTCACTGAATTAAACAATCCTGGAGCCACTGAACCTTTCCTTGTTTCCTGAGATGATGAATTTTCTTTTCTGGTTAAGCCAGTCAATTTGGCCTTTTCTATTACTGACAACCCAAAACCCTCCCTTGGAAAACATTATCCATAGCCTAGAATGATTGAAGGAGTTGATGAGATAATGTACAATGCCTAGTACAACCATCCCTCTGTATCCATGAAGGATTGGTTCCAGGACCACCCACAGATACCAAAATCTGTGGATGCTCAAATTCCTTATATAAAATGGCATAGTATTTTCATATAACCTACGCACATCTTCCCCTTTTCTTTAAATCCTATCTGAGTGACTTATAGTACCTAATACTTGCGTATGTCACTTCAGTTGCTTAAATTCAACGTAATACTACCATGTGTGGCCAATTCACGTTTTGCCTTCTGGAAATTTGTGGATTTTTTCCCCAAATATTTTCAATTTGCAATTGGTTGAATCCACGGATATAGAACCCATGAATGTGGAGGGCTGACTCTATTTACTTTTTGTGCCAGACAGGTTAGCATGTCCAACAAATGTTGATACATTTATGATAGCTTTCTTTTCTTGCTATGAGAGGATATTTTATTTGTTTCTGGGTTACCTAATAGTTATGTTCTTGTCCTCAAAATAGATTGTTGCCTTTCTAGGCATCAGATTGGTGCACTTCCTCTTACCAAGACATCTCACTAGGGTGAACATTTGGCATATCTTTCCATTAAACCTCAAGAGCGCCTGGCAGGTATGGGACAGGTGTGCTAAAGGTACAAGGCTGGTGGCCAGTGGAGTGCTTCACAATAGACAGAAGGAATAATAAGATGCCCTCGACACCCACAGGAATCTTACAGTTCAACTTCTAGTCTGTCTTCTTTGATTAAGAATTTCTTAATGGTCATTTCAAACCCTAGGGAGAGAGGTTATGTGAGGTGGCTTTGAGAGACATTTATACTTCAGGGGTTTCAACATGCATAGTCCCTTAACAGAACAATTGCCTTTATTGTTGACATTGCATATATGACATTGTGTGTCTCTTGGGATATAAAACTCACTTAATGTAAAAACATCTAACATAGTTGTTTTGGTTGTTTCTTTTTATTCAGATTTTTTTAAAAGGTTTAGGTGATATCTCAGTTTGTGAGTTGAAGCTTTGGAAGTATTCTTGTTCTTAAACCGGAATCTGCAAACTTTTTCTGTAAAGGGCTAGATAGTAAATATTTCTGGCTTTGCAAGCCATATGGTGTCTGTCACAACTGCTCAACTCTGTTGTAATATCAGGAAAGCCATAGACAATATGTAAATGAATGAGAGTGTGGCTGTGTTCCAATAAAATTTTATTTACAAAAATAGGTGGCAGGCCAGATTTGGCCTGTGGGTCATAGCTTGCCAGTTCTTGTTTTTAATCAGTGAAAAGATCAATTTGAACACTTTGTCCCAGTTGTCACTAACCAACTGTGTGACCATGTTAAGTTATTTAACCTTACTAGGTCTTAGTTTCCTTAATCTGGAAAACAAAAGCACTGGACAAAGTGACCCCTAGGTTTGCCTCTACAGCTAATATGTGAAATTCTGTGATTTCAGCATGACTCTTCAAGGGTATAGCTAAAAACTAAGTAAAGATGAATAAGAACCTTGTGGTCTTGTTTTGAATACACTCAATTCTGAAGTCACTATGGAGTATCAACAAACAGCATGTCCAGCTGTATTAAAAAATCAAAAATTCTATGAAATTCATAAGAAAAATTGTTCATCCAAGTTTTAAAGGACTCGAGGGATAAATGCATTTGAAGAAGGAGAATAACTAGGAGTACTACTACTTATTAAGAGTCTTCCAAAGACTAAGCAATATTCCTGTTTTTTACAGATATTGTTTATCCTTACACATAGCCTATGACATAGTGTATTGTCTGTGTACACCAGAGGAACAGACTCTCTCTTATTATACATGCAGGAGAGAAATTATAAGAAATCGATTCACATGATTATGGAAGTCCCAGTATCTGCAGTCACTAAGCTGGAGACTCAGGAGAGCAGATGGTATAATTCTAGTCTGAGTCTAAAGGTATGAGAACCAGGAACAATGATAGTTAAAGTTTCAGTCAGATGTCAAGTCTGAAGGTAGGAGAAGACCAAGGTCAGGCAAAGAAAGAGAATATTATTTCACTCTTTTATAAGAGTCTGTTCTATTTAGGCCTTCAGTGGATTGAATAAGACATTCTTGGGCTAATAGAGAATAAGACTAATATTCCCATCATGGAAATAAAGAAATACAAATCTACAGTGGTGGAAAGAAATGGGATAACATTAAGGTGATCAGATCAACAGTCGGAGTCCCTCCTTCTCCCCAACAATAAGCTCTTTAGTGGTAGAGGCAGAAATTTTAATCCTCTTCTCTCCAGTGTTTTCTGTCTTTGCCTTTTTTTTTTTTAAAGTTAAGAGCAATAGACCATGGCCCATAAGCAATAAACTATACAAACTGAGCCTGTAGGTATACAGAATAGTGGCATAATTAAATAAAACTTACAACAGAGTTAATGTGACACACACCTAATGATATACATAATGCAGTTTTGAAGCACGGTAATTAGGTATAAAATGGTAAGCTGTTGACATAAATGGCTGCAATTAGTATTGCTTCTGCACAAGCAAACCCTGTGTTAAATTTTACATTTGTCACTTGGTTGGTTCTTTGGGATTTATAAATAATCATCATTGTTGACAGATTTTGTAACTGAAGAGTGCAAAACTATGGAAATTCATGGCCAAAGAGCCATATTTATTTATTTCATTTTATTTGTTTCCTTATATTGTTTGTTTGTACTATATCCTGCCAGTTTCACAAAGGCTTTGGGGTCATCTGCATAAACCATCTATAATGCAATTAAAAAATGCATATACAATGATAAACAAAACAGCAAGATCAGAGGAAATATCAACGAGAAAAGGAAGTATAGATAATAAAGGAGGCTAACAGTTAACTTTGCTTCTTGTAGCAATGGCTAGATGTTGATAACATCTGTGAACTGAGTGCCTAATACATCAATTTATTTCTTATTATTTTAACAACCCCGAAAAGTAGATGTTTCATTTATATTTTATAGATAGGGTGAGATAGATGAAAGTATGTTGACTATGTTCATTCAGCCAGCAAATGAGTGGAGCTGAGACGAAAACTTGGTCTTCATGACTCCAATGTCATAGTGCACTCTACTGGATATAAGGAGACTTGGAGTGAGGTGAGGTGAGGGAGATGATGGGGTTTGGATTTGGAGAAAATAAACTTTGGCTTCCTAGCACCTAGGAAACAGAGAGAAGAGAAGTTGGTAGCCTTGCATGGCCCATGCAAACCCAAGCACTAACAGGAACCACATGACAGCTCCTAGAGGCTATTAGCAGTCAGCAAGCACCCAGCATTTATTTAATGATTTATTGATAGGAGGAGATGTTTCAAAATGTATTAAGTATGTGTTTGTCAATACACTGATATATTACTTACTCATTTGAGTGTGGACCCACTCCTTGCTGTAAAGAGTCATCTGTATTTTAAAGAAAATGATTTTGAAAGATGATAATCTCTGTGCTCATTGCAAATGCAGATCAAAAAAAAGAAAAGGACAAAAACAAATGATCTCTGCCCTAGATTAAGAGAGGCTAATGGTTTAATGTTCTACCACAGACCCTGAAAATTAAAATATGAGCATCATTAAACAGATCTTGATGATTAAAATTTAGAAAGCTTTTCAGAATTCATCTGTGAATTCAATAGAAGATTATGGATGATTGGAAAATATTTTATAGGTTCAATGATATTTGAGACATATTTAATCATATCAAGACTTCAAGAGTTGAGAAAACAAAGCAAACACAGGAAAATAATAAAAGGAAAAAAGGGTAGCAGATGCACACCATATGTGTGGACATGATTGTGGCAAAGCTCATTCAACTTGAATCCTGTGCCACTCACTACCTGAAAGCCTTGGGCAAGCTATTTACTCATCTCTTATGCATATTTCTCTCTGTAAAAATGCCACAAGGTAAAGAATAAATAATGTAGTGCGCTTTAAGTTCATGCTGCCAAGCCTGGCACATAATAAGTACTCAATAAATGTTGGGTTTTTTTTGTTAGTAATTATTGAATGAAGTATAGGACACTGGAGTTAGACCATTATTGCATATTTAATTTATGACAGAGATTGTATTGATTATTTATAGGTATTACTTCATTTAAACTTGGTAAAAAAATTATGAGGCAGATCTTATTATCTTTACAGACAGTAAATCAAGACAAAAAGAGGTTCAGTTACTCATGTGATGCCACACCAAGTAAAGGTGGCAGAGCTGGACTTTACACCCACACAAAGTCCAATGTAGCTGGCTTGCCACCTGGTTAGTTTTTTCTCAAGTCATCCACAGTATGCAGATAAAACCCTTATCATTGATTTGGGAAAGATGACTTGGGGGTTAAAATAAAGGAAACATGATTCCTTCTCTTTATTTCTGTCCTACCCCCACATGTAGTGTGAAATGAAGAGTGAAAAGTAGAAATCAAGATAAGGGTAAGATTAAAATTTTTTAAACTAGGATTTTATCTAAAATTAAGAGAAAAACACTAATTTTTGTCTTTTTGAAAAGTAAGCTTGGAATTATTTAGTTTCTATATGCCTATGTGAATCAATAACTATAATAATCATAATAATGGCAAGCACATCATAGAATGTATTTCAAGGCATGTTTTTTATGCATGCCACCATGATTTCTGCTCCTCTCTGCACCTCCTCATATCCCTAAACATCATTAACCAAGTAGAAATTCCAAAGACAGACAGAGTCCTTTGAAAGAAATTTTCTCTAAAGTAAAAGTCATCCCTTGAAGTTGACAAAAAAGGGGACCTCAAGTTTCTAGTGACAGTGTACTTCCAAAATATTATGTAACTGGTACATTCTTGAACCCTTTCTCCTACGACCATTAAAGACTTAGAATCATGGATTCTTAAATTTGGGAACCAACTACAGGGCATATTTAATCTCATCCATCCTTTCATTTCGCAATGGTGGAAACTGAAGCCTAGAAATGAGATCATGAGGAACTGGAAGTATCAGATCAAAGCAAATATATCCCACCCATCAGTGTTTGATATTTGGGCCACACCACACTGACCCTCCACCCCACCAACATTGCAATGAGGAAGGTGACATGCTGCCTCCAGCCCTGGAGAATAGGGCTATAGAAATACCTAATTCATTTATATCAAATTGTCATCATAGGAGACCCTTAGAAGGAAAGCCTGTATCTACCTACTGACAGAGAGTTTTCATTTACTGCAAATGTCAAGATGGGATTAGCATGCTTTGAGGAGTCAGGCATGGGGGTGTGAATCTGATCTACATGAAGATGCTTCAGGACAGAAATGCTAGCTCTCAGGGCTCCTCATTTTACATGAAATTGAACAACAAAAAATGCTAACTACCTTCCTCCCCTAAAGGTCAATACAAGCAACACTGGCTTTGCTTGAAGTTTCCATTTTGAAAGCAATGTGGTTTCCTCCCTTAAATCTGCACTACAAAAAAGTTACTACCTTTTGTGACAGCCCTTAAGATTATATGCCTCCCCCATTCTCACCTTAATAACTCTCCTCTTTCATTTCATTTCTTTCAAGTTAAGGAAAGGAGAAATAAAATAACATTTACTCTTCTTCCATGAAGAACAAATCTTCTCTTTCTTTTAACTTCAATTATTGCTTCTGCATGCCTCTAAGAAAAAAAAAAGAATTAAAACCTCTCTTAACAACATTCACAACTTGATCATTTTCATTCTTTGTTCCAAGGTCTATGACTCTGTTCTTCACTTCACTTACTTAGCTGGAGTCTATCCAAAACATTCATTTTCTTACATCTGTGTTTATCCCTAGTATTTGTTCTTAGTGGATTTCAAAACATGACTGTTCTCCTTGTGTTTCTGGCTCTGAAAACACTAAAATGCATGCCAAATGTTAGAGAATGTACATGCACTTTTGAAGTCTTTCAGCCATTCATTCAAAGAGGTGTGTTCAGTGCAGACTTAGACACTGTTCTAAGCAACGCTGCCATGAACACGCAATACTCCTGCCTTCATGGAACTTACAGTAAGGGATGCAGGCAGTAAGAATAATAAATCTGAATAATTTACAGCAAGTACATGGAGCGGTGCAGTGACTGGCTATCTCCTCAAGGCATGTGCCATTGATTAAGACACAACCCCCAAAACTCCCCATTGCTTTCACACCCAGCCTGCTCATTCATAGATAGATTATAATATAATTTCAGATAGCTGTAAGTGACAAAGAGAGAAATAAACCCAGCTAAGTGCAGAGACTCTGTTTTATATGTATATATACTTTTCTTTCCTCCTGAAATAATATCTCTTTGAGGAAGTGACATTTGAACAGACACCTAAATAAGGTGAAAAAGTAAGGTTTTGGAGAAGAAAATTCTAAGTGGAGGGGAAGTCCATGACACTAAAACACCTTTGATTTATTGGACAATCTGCTAGAACACTAAAGTGATTGGAAATACGGAAGAGAAAGGCAGAAAGGGAGAAGAGAGAGGCCAAGGACAGATTACACAGGGCCACGTAAATCACATAAGGAAATGTGGATTTCATTCTAAGCATAATCATAAGACACTGGAGGCTTTTGGGTAGGGGTTTAAATGAGGCCGTTTCAATATTCACCTCACCTAGGTAACTCTGTAGAGGGTAGATCTCAGCTGGGGAAGGAAAAATCAGGTTTTGTCTTAAGCTACTGGATGGGTGGCTGGCAGGACTGGGTAGCATGTTTGTGCAGGGAAATGGGGAACCTGCAGACTTTATGACACATTGTGGTGGAGCAGGTAGAACACAAGCCCTGGAGCCAGCCAGAGAAGGGCTTGATCCTCAGGTTGTAATCTATCTGGGCTGACTTAATGTCTGTGTACATGTGGATAAAGAGCTTGATCTCAACTGTGAAGTGTGGACACTGTTGCCTACCCTGCAGTGGTGTTAGGAGTTATCAGGTGATGATATAAACAGAGTTTCTAACAGGGCAGCTAATGTGTTCATAGTCAAAGCCACAGTCTTTTGAGTCAGACCAGGATTTGAATCCCAGCTTAATTAGTCACTTTGCTTGGTAGAGGAGTTTGTGCAGTAGGTAAATCTCAGAGGTCCTTTCTCCTCTTCTGCAGAATTTGTAGAATGATATCCATTTCACACGATTGTTTTGAGAATTAAAACCATGTGTGGAAGCACCTAAGACACAATGGATGCAATTTAGTAGCTGCCGCAAGGTTTTGAACTGGTTCCCTTAACCTCTCTTTGCCACGGTTTCTCCTTCTGTGAAATGGAAACGTCTGATATGTTTGTGAAGATCAAATAAGAAAACATATGTGTAGTGTTTACCAGAATGCCTGGCACGCACTTTATGTTAAAAACAATGTAGGGTGATGTCATGAACATCACCAGCAGGACCTTTCTCTCACCTCCCCTGCTCCAAGCACATGAAACACATTTCACATCAAAGACCAAGTTTCTGAATGGCTTGAGGTGCTCAGGCTGAAGAATGCCTGCAATCCTCTATCTCTGCTTTTAAGTCACCAAACATGGAGGGGTAGCATATTCTAGGGTAAAAGACATTAGACAGAATCTGGAGGGATCTGTCCCTGCCTCTACGATTAAAAATCAGAAATTTTCCACATAAAACCCCCAGATTGCTGACTTGGCTTTGGTAGAAATCTGAATGTTTTACAACAAGTACATGGAGCGGCGCAGTGACCGGCTCTCTCCACAAGGCATGTGCCATTCATTTAGACACAACCCCCAAAACTCCTCATTGCTTTCACACCCAGCCCGCTCATTCATCCTTGTTGCTTAATGAGTATGCAGAGGATTGTGAGTGTGAAATCGTGGCTGACTCTAAGACAGAATATCATCTAGACCTGGAGACTCTCCAGACTTCCAGATCCCAGAATTCATGTTTTCTGGTAGAAACATGAATACTAATAATGCAGACAAAATTCTTGAAACAGCCAAATGTTGGGTCTGTGATTTGCCTGCTCTGGTTCATTAGCCATCGTTCCTATGGCTTCACATCTGGGAGTCTGTAAACAGGCCATGGGCTGAATGACACGGACTGTTGTTTTGTTTAAAACGAATGGCTGTAATCCTGATTAAAGCATCATGTGGGAGATTTTATAATAATAATTATCTGTAGTTCCCATTAGAGCCAGCAGGAATCTGAATCACATTTAATAATCTAAAGCTTGGAAGTAGTGACACTTAAGTACATTGAGATTTAAGTATAGGGATTCCAAGAATGAGGAAGTGGGTATTGCTGCTCTCTAGCCTTGATTAAGTCTCTAACTGTCAGATCAGCTTAGACTAGTTGATACTAAAACCTTCTCTGGTAGATCATTCAGCTACTTATTGTCAATTTTCTGTTATACCTTGTTCTCTTATTGACTTCCACTTTTACTTATTCTTAATGGTGGTGGCAGCTCTATTATTGTGCCAATAATTCAAGCTAATTAACAGAAACCACCAAAAGAAAGATCTCTACTATTTCCAGTTCCTTAGGTTTCCTTCCATGCAGTGATGGCCACCAGAGGGAACAAATCAGACAATTAGGCTTTATGATTAGAACATTTATATGAACAAAGACTAACATGTCATTGGCAGAGATTAGGAGTCTGCAGAATCCAAGAAGTCCCCAAGCTACAGACTCAATCCTTTCTCTTTGTCCTTTGATAAAACTTCCTCAAATCCATCTCCAAGCCTTCCCCCAAGATGGAGCCCACAGGATTATATCTAAGGCCTCTGCCCACAGAGTGAATGCCAATGCACCCCTTCCCTTTTTTTCTTCTTTAATGACCTTAACTCTTGTATATATGAATATAAAACACTCTTCATTCTTCTCATTTTTGTATATATTTTTTGTCCTGTCGTCTTCTCTAACTTCTCCAACTTAACAAATTCTCTTCTGTAAACTATGTCTCAGATATCTCTCTCTTTCAAACAAAAGACTAATAATCCATACTCAGGGACACTTTAACTGTTGGTATTTCTTCCCACCTGAAGACTTTACTTTTAAGTGATGTTCTCATGTTTGGGAAAACCACACATAATTCATTAAAACATGTTGCTTCTGCTCCTCAACACAAGTTTTAGGGGTGATCTCTATTTAATGTATTTTCACATGTGACTGTAGCCTTAAAACCATAAGAGATTAATAATAAAGTTTCTTTTACACTCCAGGGTCAGTTTTTACTTGGCAATATTAACTCCACTTATCACCAGGAGTTGTCAAGTAAAACAAAACAATTTTGTAAAAGGGTTCTCACTTTTCTCAACACTGCATAAAAATTCTTGAAAAAAACACTTTTCTCACTGTGTTTTTTGTTTTTTAAAGCAAAAAAGCAAGGTAGCAGGTTTAATGGGGAAAAACTGATTTCACTACCGTGTACTCTCCCTAGTATTCTGAAAATAATTGTGGGGCAATGGAGAACAGATTGTCTCTTCACATCTCTTGTTAGGCAGGGAACCTGTCTAGACAGCAATCTTAAGGACAGCTGAGCTGCTTCCTGCAGGGTCATAGCTACTCTGCAGTGTGAGAGGGCCAGCCCAGTATGCTTTCAAGAGCCCAGGAAAGGTCACATATACAAAGAACTACCTTCCCCTTCCTGTGCTGATTCTTCATGCCTGAAATCTGTTGAAGAAAGACAAGTAGGATCCCAAGTGGTGCAAGGCTGAGGCAGGAAGCCAAACCAAAATAAAGAAAGGGAGGGAGTACCAGAGGAGACAGAAGGAAATGTAGGGAGGAAGAGAAGAAAGAGAGCCAGGAAGGAGGCACGTTTTTATTCCAATGCTTTTCAGATTTTTCTGGATGTATGACCCAGGATAAGTCAGTTCCTTACTATAAAAGAGGAAGAAGGGCACAAGCCTCATGAAACTGTTGTGAGGATTAAACAAGGTCTTGCTATAGGAAACACATCAATGTATTAGTTAACGTGATAAATGGTTTCCTTCCCCTCTCATGATTACATTTTTCAACTGTAAATTATTAATTCTATCAGGGAACAGAAAACTGGCGCTCTGTGTTTATAAGTCCACACTATAGCATAGATGGGTATCTCTGATCATTTCCTAACAAATTATCTTAGGAAGGTGAGCAAGCAAGGTAAAGAGTCTGCCCGGACGTTGGACTGTTAGAGAGCAGAAGGTAAAGCTTTATCGTGCTAATGCATATTTTTCAACTTTCAGTATTTTCTTAGCATGGGTTTTATTAGTTTGGCAGTGATAGTGGCAAGCATAAGCTCAATGTCCCTTCACCCAAATGACTCCATTTGTCGGACAAAAAGTTCTTCATCTTGTAAACATTCAGATGGATGTTAAGAAAGAGTTGGAGCAAACCTGCTCCGATGTGGTTGGAGGAAGAAAAAGGTACGTTACAAAATATCCCCTTAATACTTTCAAATATCTGCAAGAATCTCATTTGGGGATTAGACCTGGCCTCAACAGAAAGAAGAACAAAACAGGAAAGCAAATGGAATTGTTTAGCACCATTTATATTTTAAGACATTAACATATGTCATCCGTGATCTCAGATCTTCTGTATAAAAATATAGAGTAAAAAAAATAAAATTACCAATGGCTATTAATGTTATTACATCATTACTATTTATTGAAATTTTTTTCTCACCAAAACAAAGCTAAGCATTTATATATTAATACATACTGTCAATTGAGGATTTGACCTATCTGCGTGGAACTTTGGAGTTGATGTAAACTTTAAAAAAATTCACTCCATCTGACCATCCCTACCTCTGACATAGCACACCTGACAGCCATCATACTCCTTAGATGGAATCCAAAGATTCTACCTCTTCCTTGAATCACGATGCCCACTTAGAATCAGTAGGCTAGCTATTTCTATTCGGAGCACTGCCTCCATGTTTTGTTTCTTGATGCTGCTTCTTTTTTTTTTGTTCAATTCACAAACCTGTCTTCTTTCCCACTGGACTGGATCTTATCCTTCACAGCCCTCATGCATACTTAGAGAATAGCATGGGGCAAAACTGAAGAGAACCAGAGGGCTGCTTTTTCTTTTCATATCTCTTGTGGTGGCATTGGGGTTCTTATTGGCCTGGGTTAGGGACTGGCTCGGGGATGTTGGACATGAAGGCTTTGATGATGCTCTGCGCAGCTATCCACTCACTCAAAGGACAAATGGACAAAAGCAGAATCTGATTCATCCATTAAAAAAATTGATTTTGAGGATGATGAAGAAACACAATAAAGAAAAAAGGAAAAACGGTTCCTTCTGAAAGAAAACTTTAGTATGGGCAAAGTTCCTGTAAAGGCTCTTGAGTTATGAATAGAAACCGCAAAGACTTGACATTTATTGTGAACTTTCAAGGAATGCTGGACAAAATGTGATTCATTTTTAGAAAAGTAATAAATCGTAATGCAATGGTGCACTTCCAGCAAAACCCACTGGAAAACTCCATTTCTAAGATTGAAGAACCCTATCCTGTTGGATTTATAATGCTTCAAAAATGAAAATATGATGCCCAATTATTAATTATTATTGTTTGTTTGTTTAAGGTACAGAACAAAGTGAGGGCATATTTAAGGCTCTTAGACTCAGACTTAGCATGTGACTTCCCTAACATGAAGGGAGCAGTGTGAAGGCAGTAGCCCCTGGTTCTAAGAGCCAGCATCATCTGCATAGAGCAAAGGTCCAACAATTGATCTTATCCTTCAGAGCCTTACTCTTCCACATGCATAATGCGAGGGTAGCCTTCCACCACCCCACATAGATGTGTCTTGTCCTTCTCTTCATGTGGGAAAAGAAAATGGGTAAAGACCAGGAGTAGCCTCAGTATAGACTGCACCTACAGCTAAAACCAAACAGACTCAACTGTATATTTAGGGAAATGGGCTATATATTCATCTCCAGGAGAGAGAAGAGGCAGCATGACTTAGAAAAGCAGGGTAATCATCTACAACAGGACCACTAAAGGATGACACAGGATCTGAGGACAAGAACTGAAAGAATAAAGAGAGGCAGGCAGCATATGGTGATAGTTATGAAGAAATCCACTTTCAGACATTATGTCTTAAATATATATATATATGTTTTTGTTTTTGTTTTTCCTGAAAGGGCATTGGGTTGACTTCTGCTTCAGTCACTGACATAACCTTTGCTTTTCTTTCTGAGAGTTACCTTGGGAGCAGCCCAATATGGATTTGACTTGTTCATTTGGCATGATTTAGTACCTGAGTTAGCTTTTCAGAAATCTTGCCAGTATTAGCATTGTGTGCAGATGCTTCTCAGATGAGTGGCGTCTTGGGACATCAGCAGAGATGGTGCTATTAAATCACACAGCCAGTGTCCTCTGCCATTCTATGAAAGGCAGGCAAGAGTGCCGCAGCTTCCCGATGCCTCCAGATAAACTACAGGGCCTTTTAAGGAGTGCCCTGGGTAAGCTACCACGGTGGTGAGGTGCATTTGGGTAAGTGTGATAGAGACAGCCAAGGTGGCGGCCATGGGCCACGGTGAGCTGTGTCAGCCTTTCCCATTGCATATGGCTGCCTGGCTGCCTCTATGGTGAAAGGTAACTGTGGGTAGTAGAAAAATGATTGGTGAAAAGAGAACAGGAATAGGAAAAGGGCAGAAAATGCCCACCGAGACAGGTAATTGGGGAAGAACAAATAGACAGAGGGAGTGGAAAGACCGTGTTCACAGACCCCATGGCACATCCCTTCTAGCTGTGTGACCTTGCACCAGTTACCCTGGCTTCCATATCTCTTACGTAGGAAACCCAACAGGCTCTTGTGGCTGTGTTCTGATCCATTAGCCATTTGAGAAGCCCCTAACTTCCTTTCCCATCTTCTCTACCCTGCCATGTAGGTTGATTTTATTTTTTATTCATTTCTAAGTTGCTGAGAACTATAGTAACAACCCCATATGGCTGTCACTCAGATAGAAAGAAGGTTATTGCTTTTTCAAAACAGGATAGAGTTACAGCAGCGATATAAAATGTTGGCTTTCATCGAGTAATTTCAGATGTCCTGTTGGCTCTCCTGTCCTCTGCAAATGCTCTTTCTCTGTTCACTGGCCGGAAGCTGCTTCGTGTCCTTCAGCAAGGTCAGAGAAAGGAGCTGAAGTATATTTTCTGCTAGATATTGAACACACAAATTATGGTACCCCATTTGGCCAGCCACAAAATGCCCTTGCCTCGTTTTTGATCACTGGGGTGCCAGCACAACAGTATCACCACAAACCCTCAGCACGTTGCTAATTTGAGCTGTTCTCTTGATATGATGGCAGCTCCTGGATGGGCACCAAGAGTCATAAGAAGGCAGAGGAATGGTCAGATTGGCTATGTGAGCAGCCATCACCAGAGTCCTTGGGGTCATCCTGCGAGCTGAAGTCCTTGGCGGCCACATTTTGCAAATTATTTCTGTCTTTAACTCAGACTCTTGGCTTTCTCCTATCTCTGGTGTTGGGAATTGACTATTTCCTCAGAGTCAAGGTCTATCTACTAGAGCAAAGGGCAAGGTGTCCTAGCCATTCTGGGCATTCAGTAAAGGCCAAGCTTTTTTTTGTACACAGAGTAAATACAGACACACAGCTCTCTGAGGAAAATGGTCCAGAAAGGATTTCTGTCAGCCAAATTTGGTTATGTTTTAGGTTCTTTATCAGCAAATAGGAATACTATGACTCCCTTCCTCACTTAGATGTAAGCCAGTCTCTTTCGGCCAGCTTATTAGCTCAGAGGCTATCTTCATTTGTCCTTGTGTACTCAAAGGCTGGCCATAGGACCTACTCATGAATGACACCAAAATGCTGAATGATTTAGGAATTAAGGCTTTAACATTTCTATTTACTTTTCTCTGTCAGTATTTAATGAAATGCAGTTTTCATTTCTTTTAGACTTTCATAGTTTCCATATCCCTCATGCCTATATTTAAAATAAATTATGTAGAGAAAGGCTGCATTTTTCCTTTTGAAATAGCAGTGAAATTTGTAGGAATTCTTGAGAGTACCAAGAAATATATCCACATGAAGATGGATGTGATAATTAACTTGGTATAAGTCATTGTTAAATAACTACTAAAATATTTTTTATTTTTTTAAATAACTACTAAAATATATTTGTCTGATTATAAAAGTGAGACGTGCTCAGTTTAGAAATTTCTAAATTCCAAAAACTTAGAAAATATGAAACACTTGTAATTAAATCAGTGAGTAATATTGACTTTTAATATTTTTGATATCATGGTCCTTTTCTCTTTTTCTTTCTTTCTTTTGAGACATGGCCTCACTCTATCACCCAGGCTAGAATGCATTGGCCGAGTCTGGGCTCACTGCCACCTCTGACCCCGGGGATCAAGGGATCCTTCTGCCTCAGCCTTCCCAGTAGCTGGGTCTGCAGGCATGCACCATCATGCCCAGCATTTTTTTAGTATTTTTAGTACAGACAGGATCTCGCCATGTTGCTCAAGCTGATCTCGAACTTCTGAGCTCTAGCAATCTGTCCTTCTTGACCTCCCAAAGTGCCGGGATTACAGGTGTGAGCCATGGCACCCGGCAGTATCATGGTCTTTACTTTGGTATGTTTGTAAATGCTTGCTCTCTCTCTGGCTCTCTCTCTCTCTCTGTGTGTGTGTGTGTGTGTGTGTACATGTGTATGTGTGTGTGCATAAATTGTTTGCACAGTAATATATACAGGGCACCTCACTTTTTTGCACTCTGCTTTATTTCACTTTGAAGATATTATACTTTTTAAAAATTGAATGTTTTTGGAAACCCTGAAATGAGCAATCTATTGGCACCACCTTTCCAATAGCATGTGCTTATTTCTTGTTTTCATTACATATTGGTAATTCTCACACATTTTTCACACAGTTATTATTATAACTGTTATGGTGACCTGTGACCAGTGATCTTTAATGTTAGTTATCCTTTTCCTTGTTTCAGGGCACCAAAAGTGCACCTCTATAAGACAGCAAACATAAGTGATAAGTGTTGTGTGTTATGACTACTCCACTGATGGGCCATTCCCCTATCTCACTCCCTCTCCTTGGGCCTCCTTATTGCCTGACACACAACAATAAATATTGAAAATAGAACAACTAATAACCATGCAATAGCCTCTCAGTACTCAAGTGAAAGGAAGATTTGCACCTCTCTCACTTTAAGTCAAAGCTAGAAATGTTCAAGCTTAGCAAGGGAGACAAGACAAAAGCCAAGACAAGCTGAGGCCTAGGCCTCTTGTACCAGTTAGCTAAGTTCTGAGTGTGAAGAAAAAGTTCCTGAAGGAAATTAAAAGTGCTACCTCAGTGAGCCCACAAATGATAAGAATGCAAAACAGCCTCGAAAATGTTAGTAGTCTGGACAGATGATCAAACCAACCACAGCATTTTCTTAAGCAGTAGCCCCATCTAGAGAAAAGCCTTAACTCCTTTCCATTCTGTAATGGCTGAAAGAGGAGAGAAAGCTTCAGAAGAAATATCTGAAACTAGCACAGCTCTGCTTATGAGGTTTAAGGAAAGAAACTGTCTCCATAACATACAAGTGCAAAGTAAAGCAGTAAGTGCTAATGTAGAATTTGCAGGGAATTATCCAGAAGATCTAGATGACATCACTGATGAAGGTGGCTACACTAAACAGATTTTCAATGTAGACAAAACAGCCTTTCTTTTGGAAGAGAATGTGATCTAGGACTTTCATAGCTAGAGAGGAGAAGTCAATGCCTATTTTCAAAGCTTCACAGAACAGGCTCTTTCTAGGGGTTCATGCCTCTGGTGTCTTAACATTGAAACCAATGCTCATTTACCATTCTGAAAATTCTAGGGCCCTTAAGAAGTATGCTGATATAATCTACTTGTGCCTCATAAATGGAACAACAAAACCTGAATGGCAGCACATCTATCTATAGCATGATTTCCTGAATATGTTGAGCCCACTGTTGAGATTTACTGCTCAGGAAAAAAAAAAAAAAAGATTCATTTCAAAATATTACTGCTCATTGACAATGCACCTGGTTACCCAAGATCTCTGATAAAAATGTTCAAGGAAGTTAGTGTGTTTTCATGTCTGCTAACACAACATCCATTCTGCAGCCCATGGATCAAGTAGTAATTTTGACTTTCAAGTCTTATTATTTAAAAAATACGTGTTGTAAGGCTATAGCTGCCAGTTAGTGGTTCTTCTGATGGATCTGGGTAGAGTAAATTGAAAACTTTCTGGAGAGGATTCACTATTCTAGATGCCACTAATAACATCTGTGATTCAAAAAGGAGGTAAAAATATCAACATTAACAGGAGTTTAGAAGAAGTTGATTCCAACCCTGATGGATGAATTTGAGAGATTCAGCAGAGAAAGTAACTATAGATGTGGTGGAAAGAGCTAGAGAAATAGAACTAAAAGTGGAACCTGAAGATGTGACTGAATTGCTGCAATTTCATGATAGACTCTAAAGTGTGAGACGTTGCTACTTATGGATGAGCAAAAAAAGTGATTGCTTGAGATGGCATCCACTCCTGGTGAAGAGGCTGTGAACATTGTTGAAATGACAGCAAAGAATTTAGAATATGAATTTGAGAGGATTTACTCAAATTTTGAAAAACGTTCTACTTTGGATAAAAGGCTATCAAAGAGCATCACATGCTACAGAAATATCTTTCATGAAAGGAAGAGTCAATCCATGTGGCAAACTTCATTGTTGTCCTATTTTAAGAAATTGCCACAGCCATCCTAATCTTCAACAACCAACACCCTGATCAGTCAGCAGCCAACAACACTGAGGCAAGACCCTCCACCAGCAAAAACGTTATGACTTGCTGAAGGCTCAGGTGATCATTAGCATTTTTTAACAATAAAATATGTTTAATTAAAGTAAGTACATTTTTTTTAGACATAATGTTATGCACACTTAATAAACTATAGTGCAAACAACTTTTATATGCACTAGGAAACCAAAAAATGTGTATGATTATCTTTATTGCAATATTTGCTTTACTTAAATGGTCTGGAACAAGACTTGCAATATTTCTAAGTTATGTCTGTATGGGCATGTATACATCACACAAGTGGGATCTACACATACATATGTATGTATAGAAGCTTACATATATATAATTTAGCACCCTACTTTTGTTCAACATTAATTTACATTATGATCTTTCCCTTGTCATTAAATGCTCCACAAAAGTTTGATTGAATTAATTAATTTATTTTTAATGGCTTTTATACTCTTTTATTCCTTATAATTTTTTTGCCAAATAATATCCGTATATTCTCCTGTGATCTTTTTTATAATTTCAACTTTTATTTTAGATTCATGGGGTACACGTACAAGTTTGTTACATGGGTATATTGCACGATACTTAGGTTTGGGGTACATATGGTTCCATCACCCGGGTAGTGAGCATAGTACCCAATAGGTAGTTTTTCAGCCCTTGCCCCCACCCAAGTAGTCCCCATTCTCTATTGTTCTCATCTTTATGGACACCACACCCAATGTTTAGCCCCCACTTATAAGTGAGAATACGCAGTATTTGGTTTTCTGTTCCCATGTTAATTTGCTTAAGATGATGGCTTCCAGCTACATCCATGTTGCTGCAGAGGACATGGCTTTATTCATTTTTATGGCTGCAAAATATTCCATTGTGTATATGTACCACATTTGTAACACATTTTCTTTATGCAGTCCACAACTGATGGGCACCTAGGTTGATTTCATGTCTTTGCTATTGTGAACAGTGCTACAATGAATATACTAGTGCCTGTGTCTTTTTGGCAGAGCAATTTGTTCTCATTTGGGTCTATATGTGGTAATAGGATTACTGGGTCATGTGTGAATTTTCACTCTTATAAATTAAAATGTGGAAACGAACACACTAGTTTGGTAGTCCTTGTGGCTGAAAATACTGAGTCCACAGGAGAGCTCCAAAGTTTGCTATGTTCTTTGCTTCCCCATTTCCAGGATCTTTCTCCTCCTTTCTAATGTCTTCCTTGTTCTCCATGTCCCTGGTCTAAAGAAGTGATGGCACATGCTGTGCGTGCTCCCTAGACTTCAGTTCCCTTAAAACATGGCAAATGACCATTAAGTAAGAGGAGACAATACCACTATTTCACATCTCATTCTGGGGGAACATGAATTAATTTCTATGGATGAAATAAAGAGAAGGAAAGCCATTTACTGAACTTGATGATGAAAGATTGTCAAAGTAGGAAACTCAGAGCTCTGAAGCAGTCCTCCTTCTAAGGGTCTTGTCACCTTTACATCAGGAAGCACTCAATTGGATAGTATAGGGGCCAAGGGAAAATTTCCCCATTGCCTCTGAAAGGTAGCTGAAAATCACTGTCAGAAGGCAGATTAATAGGAAGAAAGGCATACAAATTTACTTGATTATAGTTTTACATGACACAGGAGCCTTCAGAGTGAAGAGCTGAAAATACAAGAGAAACTCCACTTTTGTGCTTAGGTTCAGTGAAGTTTGGACAGTTCTCCAAACTTTGATTGGACAAATAGAGTATGATCTAATGTTTACAGACTGAGAGGGAAAAACAGACAAGCATTGTCTGTCTAGCTTCTTCTCTGACTCTGAGCAGCATTCCTTCTTTCTGGGCATGGGGCAGAACTTTCTCTGGAAGGGGGATCTTATGACCTAAAATCAGACAAAGTAGATCAGATAATGTCTTTGTTATTGCTGGTTTTTTTTTTTTTTTTTTTTACATGGCGTTTCTCTCTTGTTGCCCAGGGCGGAGTGCAATGGCATGATCTTGGCCCACTGCAACTTCTGCCTCCTGGGTTCAAGCAATTATCTTGCCTCAGCCTCCCAAACAGCTGGAACGACAGGCCATGCATCACCATGCCTGGCTAATTTTTTTTTATTTCTAGTAGAGATGAGGTTTCACCATTTTGGCCAGGCTACTCTCAAACTCCTGACCTCAGGTGATCCGCTCGCCTTGGCCTCCCAGATTGATGGGACTATAGGTGTGAATCACCACAACTGGCTCAGATAATGTCTTTATGGCCAGTTTTTACACAGAAAGGCGGGAGGAAAGTTAGAGTAATATTTTTAGGTTTTATGGTTGGCTTTGGGAAAAAGGGGTTTTAGCTTCTGTGGCTAGCCCCAGGGGAGAATGAGGGGCCAGAGACAGGAGGGTCGGAGAAGGTCAGAGAAAATCTTTTGTTTCTGAGACCTTCATTTTGGGATATCATTTTTCTGAGCTCCAACAACGGGCAGACAGCTATTTATTTACTTCCAAAACAACTTCTGGGTTCTCTATCAGAAAGTGTGATGAGAAAACAGAAGCTATTAGGTAGAACAGGTCTGGACTCAAATCCTGACTCTTGTATCTGAAACGTTATATATCTAGATATGCCATTTCTTCCCTTTCCATGTGTCCTAATCTGTCCTAATCTAAAAAGTGGCAAAAATCCCCTATTTATGTTGGTGGCTTGGAGAAACAGATACATGAATGTATGAGCAATGCTGGGCATGTTTTAGATATTTTTAATCAATGCTCATTCTGTGTGTGCGCACGCACACAAAGCACACACAAACACACTTCTCGCAGAACCTCATAGCAAGGAGATATTTGGGGTAAATGCTGTAATGTACCTACAGAGATAGTTTTAACAGCTCTTCCTGCTTTCTATATCAGGTTTTTGTTTGTTTGGTTGGTTATTTTTTGTTTGTTTTGTTTATGGTTTACTTTTTTTTTTT
The DNA here is from genome assembly GCF_000001405.40 of Homo sapiens. Classification (NCBI taxonomy): domain Eukaryota; kingdom Metazoa; phylum Chordata; class Mammalia; order Primates; family Hominidae; genus Homo; species Homo sapiens. The sequence continues at coordinate 124,177,862 of NC_000002.12, forward strand.
TTTGAAACAGAGTTTCGCTCTGTTGCCTAGGCTGGAGTGCAGTGGCATGGTCTCGTCTCACTGCAACCTCTGCCTCCTGGGTTCAAGCAATTCTCCTGCCTCAGTCTCTCAAGTAGCTGGGATTACAGGCACCCACAACCACGCCTAGCTAATTTTTGTATTTTTAGTAGAGACAGAGTTTTACTATGTTGGCCAGGCTGGTCTCGAACTCCTGACCTTACGTGATCCACCCGCCTCGGCCTCCCAAAGTGCTGGGATTACAGACCTGAGCCACCATGCCCAGCCAATGGTTTACTTTTTTATTGTTTGTGTTCTTCAGCATCCCTTCTTGTCAACTCCTGGGTTATTGCACATACTAAGCAACTATCTTTTCTCAGTGATGTATTTCTTTCAGTTGAACTCACTGTACGTGTAGAAATTAACACCCTCATTTACCCAGGCATCCGCTAGGCTATAAAATCAATTCCTTTATTATTCCTTGCTGTCTAATTCCTCTATCTTTTGAATAGAAGTGTTGCTTTCCACTAGACCTTATCCAAGTTCTTAATATTATCATTCAGTTTCTAGGACTACAAGCTAGGCTGAGCACTCTAATTATAGTCTAACCAACCTGATCAAAATTTGGGAATTAATTGGTAGTTCCTACATGCTGAGATCTCCCATAGTAATTTCAATGTTTTTGTTTAATGTTTTATTTAATGCTTTGTTTAATGCTTTAGTCTGCTTTTGGAAACCACTATTTAGCTTGTGTTCCATTAAGACTACCGAGTCAACTTTGATCTCAGTTCCTCAGAGGTAGTGCTCATTCTCCACCTTGGAACTGAAGTGTTTTTGTTGTGATGGTGATGGTGGCAGTTGAATTTTTGGTTTTGGACTTTTTTTAAAGAACTTCTAAGTTCACCTTTTAAGATTTTCACATTTATCCTGCTTGAACTCTAGATAGTGTGCTCATTATCACAGACTTCATATAGCCTGTAAATAGATAGCAACAGCAATAGTTTGAATATGAATACAATACTTGTGAAAAGCTCTCTGATTTTTATTTGTTATTTATTTATTTATTTATTTATTTATTTATTTATTTATTTATTTATTTTGTGTGTGTGTGAGAGACAGAGTCTTGCTCTGTCACCCAGGCTGGAGTGCATTGCATTTTTAGAGCTCTTTCAAGAAAGGCTGTATTGATATTAGTGTTTCACCCACTCACTCCCATTCCATACCCCACCCAGCCCGTGACCCTGGCTTTGCATTCTCATGTACCTGCACTCATTCTCTAACTTCAGCTGCTTATTATTATTATTTTTTTTAATTTTGATATGGAGTCTTGCTCTGTGGCCCAGGCTGGAGTACAGCAGTAGCGTGATCTCAGCTCCCTGCAACTTCTGCCTCCCAGGTTCAAGCAATTCTCCTGCCTTAGCCTCCTGAGTAGCTGGGATTACAGGCATGTGCCACCATGCCCGGCTAATTTTTGTATTTTTTGTAGAGACGAGGTTTTGCCATGTTGGCCAGGCTGGTCTCGAACTCCTGACCTTAGGTGATCTGCCCGCCTTGACCTCTTAAAGTGCTGGGATTACAGGCGTGAAGCATCATGCCCGGCCTAACTTCAGTTATTGGTACTGAACACATCAATTTTGCTTAGGAAAAGGTATGAAGGCTTTCTTTGATTTTATTCTCCTTCCTTTTTTAAAAAATCACAAAACAACAAAGTTAGAGCTTTTTCTTAGAGTGATTACATTATTGTATGATGCTGCATTCTACCAAACCAGAGCAATCATCATTCAAGATGAAAATGCTTCCTTTAATTATATGAAATGTCAGTCTGCAAGTTGCACGGCATGGAAGGGGTTGGGTTATTCCAAATCACCAAAAGACAAATGTATTTACAACTTCTATTAAAATCCTAACCCTGTAGCTTTAACAAAATTAACAGGATTTCGATGCATTCCTGGTAAGTTTGACTTATAAATTTCAATTCTTGGCCCCCATGCCAAAGCTTGATGCTGCTCATCTGCTTCTTTCTGCTCCCCGAAGATAGAGCTATTTCAGGAGACACGTTTTGTATTTCCATCAAAACCAGGGAGAGCTTCATTAAAAAATAAACCCATGATTCTTTTCCATTTTTTTTTTCTACCTAGGTAATTTGGGTAATTCCACAGTGAATGAAAGAGATGAAAAGATGTGATTTAAGACACATTAAGGATGTAAATATATACAAAAATTTGGCTTCTTGTCTCTTCTCCAACAATTAATTTCATGAAAGTGTTTTCTGGTGGCTTACAAACAATGCATGAACATGCACAATGGTCTTTGACAGGATGTCAAAGAGCCTGCATGGCTGAGATGACTTCCATCACAGAAAATCAATTTCCTGTAAATAGTGAAGAAGCAAAGATTTTAGGCCAACATCAGATATGATTCTCGAGAATCTATTTCCTGCTTGTTTTCTGGAAGCGCTTGGTGGAAATTTGAAATAGATATTTTGCCCCATCAATTAATTTCTTATTTTTTCATCATCATCAGAAATATCAAAGTTAATATTTTATCAATATTTTAGACCCCATTTTGTTCCAACAGTACATTCAATACAGTTAAAAAATAAATATTGAGTGTTTCCTGTTTGCAATCTGAATATACATATAAATGCTAGTGAGAAATGAAGAAAATAAAGATTCAGTAACCAAAGCCTAAATCTACATAAATTGAAAATAAAATGATAAGTTTAGAAATATTTAGATAAGGTTAAAATTGCATATAAATTCAAGATGAGTTTTATTATGACTCATTATAACTAATTCCAACAGTTGATAGAAATCATTTAAAGAATTGTAATACTGTTTGGTAATATGTTATGTGGAAACATAGTTAGGAAATCTTTCCACTTCCTCAGTCTGGATTTCAGGAAATGAAAGCCCCCCCAATCTCCCCCCAAATAATTCAAGCTCTGCTGTGTAAGTTATAGGAAATACCCTCCCCTGCCAGCTCATTTCCTCTTATTGTTCACCTTGAATGGGGCCCTCAGCTACCTTTTCATGCCTCCCTCTCCCTACAGATGTATCAAGCCTGGTAAAAGCCAAGGGCTTCCACAGGAAAAGAGCTAGGTCAGAGATACCCAAGGCCACCATGAAGTCCCCTTCTGTAAGAGAATGTGAAGGGGAGTTTGAGAAAAGCCAGAATTTAAAAAAAAAAAATTCTAGCCAGTCAACTCATTTAGACCAATACATTAACAAGAAAAGGAACCAAGTTTCTTCTGTGTTCACATTTTCGATGTAATTTTGTATTTAATTCCATCTAAATATTAATTTTATAGTTATATTGCATATTTTATAAAATGTTAGATATTTATTTGAATAACTATAGTAATTAGGATAGTACTTTGCCTTGAAGACTCAATAAATAATTGTAGAATTAATTAAAGTATGTAAGAATTTTTGTGTTCGTAAGAGTGATTTTATGTTTCTGCATCAAAATTATATTGAGTAGGAGTTTCTTTTTTGTATATAATCAAGCTGTAGCAACATAGTATATTAAGCATCATAAAGATATTCTAGGAATATAAATTACCTATGTGCAAATAACCCTATATTCAGGTTTTCCTTTTTTTTTTACATTTTTAAAATTATTTCTTTCTTTCTAGCTAGCTGCCTATCTCCTGGTATATTTTTATTCTATATCTAATGAAACTAGTTGATCTAGCTAACAGGTTAAGTGGATAAAGTGTCCCATTGAATTACATGAAAATTGTTCTGCACTAACTGAGAAAGGCTTACTTCCAGCCCTGGCTCTGATCTTCACTGTATGTATGTACTTGAGCAAGTCATTTCGTTTTATGTGTGCTATTTCTTCCTTAACTAACAAATAGAAATCATGTATCTCCTGCCTGCATCACTGGCTAAGGTGAAGATCAACTAAGATTATAAATGCGCTCTGAGATGTAGAAAATGCTATATATTTATAAGATGGTATCATTTGTACAATGATGATGATGGTATTAATTATGTGACAGACTAATCTTTAATATACACAGCAGGATTTTCTCTTTTACCCTTTCAATCCTGATTTAATTGATAGCTATTTCTGGATCTAAGATATGTTGAGATTCAAAGCTGGCACTGGGACAGAGGGAATGTCATGATTCCAAAATGTATTAGACATAAAGTCATCCAAACAGCTATAATATGTAGAGTTTTGTTTTGACTCATACAAGTTTAATTATCTGTAATTTAAGAAAAGTGGCTTTAATACTAACTACTTACAAATATAATTTCTTCTCACAATAATCAGAATTGGGAGCGCACTTTTAGCCATTACATTAATCTAGTTTTCCTTTGTGACAGAAAACTATATATGTGTCCGTTCCTTATTTATCCTTCATATGAATATTGTTTATCAGCACTGGAAATCTCACCCTCACATCCTCTTCAAATGAAATATGAAAAAATGATTAGTCTACACACAGGCACTCCTCCTTAAATATAATGCTAGGTGAATTTACAAACAGTTATCTCAATGAATTATCAAAATATTTCTAACAAGGGATTGATTGTCCCAATTTTACGGATGACAAAACTGAGACTCAGGAAGCGGAAGTAACTTGCCAAAGCTCACACAGTATGTCTAGAATACTAAAACCTTGTATCGATCAAGACGAGCATGTTGACCTATGCACAAGGAAGCTTTGAAATCTAGTTCATCATTGACAAATCCGGTGAAAATTAATCTTTTAGTCTCATCCTTCCTCTTCCTAATCTTCTTATGAGACTGTATGTTTCTATTTAAGTATTTTTCAGCTACTTAACTGTGTCCACTAAAATTCTCCAATGTTTTTACAAGTTCCAAGCATTTGTCATATAACATTTCACTCATATTTTTGCATTTAGGTCGTTCTTTGTCTCCAAGGTATTAGGTTTTCTTGCCATTCATCTTCTGCCTGTGTCTTTAGTACCCATGAAGCTACCTTGGCTCTGCTGTTTCTCTCCTTTTAATCAGAAGATTTGTTCCATTTTGTTCCATACCAGCCAAGTTATTTCACTATTACATTTCTGAATCTTTCATGCTTACAGTTTGCCTTCCTTACCAAGGAGCCTCTGCTTATGACAGCATTTTTCTTCTTCATTCTCACAAGTAGCAAGTAAATAGCAAATAAATCCTTCAACATGGAAGACCCTCCACCTTTTGCTTATTTATTTTTGTAATTTGTACCAACCCTTTATATTTGGTGAAGATATCACTTTTATCAGGAAGACTACTAGGTACATTGGTATGATTTAGATTCTTCTCTATGGACATTAATTGCTATATTCCTACCACTTGGCTATAGTGACTGGCATTTAATAAACATTCCATTAGTGGTAGAATACGGGAGCAATTTAATGGATGAATGAAATGTGTGTCTAAAAATGAGGTTGCTTAAAAAATTCTGTTTCTCTGATTCATGTTATAGTGTTAGCTCCAGAAGGGAATGTTCTCTACTAATTATTTTATGGTAATCTTAAAAACCTTTAATGGTTTTCCATCTTAACTATTTTTGATAAATAGTAAAAATGTCTAGTTTCTTTTGAAATACATTCAAGTCTTGTGAAAAGTTGAGAATGAGATGTATATTCAATGTGTCACAATCCAGTGGAATTGAACTTATGTTATTGTGCTTGTATTATATTGCACAAGGTTGAATAGCTTCCTTTCAAAAACTGTCAGACCTGGCATTAATCAATCCAATCGAACAGTAAACTACAGTCTGTCCTTTCTTATTTGGCAAACAGATAAAGCACAGTTAATATATTTCATTGCAACCCTCAGGTGTTCTGTTTCTAATGTTTACTTTAGAAAAGGTTATAATGAAGTTGACTTACTTTATTCATACATTCATTCAAAACCCATTTTTCAGTGTAATGTGCCAGGAATCTCTCAAAGGCTGGGAGTAGAGAGAAGAAAGATAACGTCCACCCACTCAAGGTTTTCACAATCAAGATGGGGAGGAAGATAAGTAGGTAATTACATTCAGTTGGTGCAAAAATAATCGCGATTTTTGCCACAAAAGTAATAGCGAAAACCGCGATTACTTTTGCACGAACCTAATAGATTATGTGATTAAGTCTCAGCAGATAAATGCCCAGAATTTTATGACAAAAAGTAGAAGGGAAAACCACTCAGGCCAAGACATTTAGAGGATTCCAGAGGGAGTTCTACATTTGCTAAGTTGCAACTAGTTGCTGGTAGAGTATTGGGGAGTTCGAGGGAGGTCGAGGAGTTTTTGAGTGGGAGAGAACAGCATGTGCCAAGACATATACACAAGATGGGCAGAGGAAGTGTCTACAAGACTGAAAGCTTATTGGCTGAATTATATTATAGGAACATTGGATTCGTATATCTGAAAGAATGGAAGGAGACAAAGCTGGAAATACAAGTGAGAATTACTTCAAAAGGGACCATATATGCCCCTCCCCAGCTTTGGGGTGGGCGGAGCTTTGCATGGAGAAGCAATGTGATTATATTAGCATGGTGAAGCAGCACGCTGGTGTATGGTTGTCAGATAAAATATAGTTACATTTCAGATAAAGAATGAATCTTTTCTTTCAGTATCAACATGTCGCAAATCTTGCATGGGACATATTTACACAAAAAAGTTATTCATTGTCAAATTGAAATTAATCTTTCACTGAACATCCTGTATTTCTCTGTGTTAAATCTGACAACCTTACTCTGATAGCAGTGTGGAGAATGAATTGGAGAAGAAAGGACAAGGCAGAAAGGCCGATTCAAGGGACAACCTATTAAAATCTGCATTCACCCTTTGAGTCACAATGGCATTGCTATTTATTACATTGTGCTAAAGTGCAGGATGTGGACAACTTTGTTACCATGGCTGAGACCCAGAGAGGCACAGCCTGAAGAGAAAGACAATGGATATTCTGGAACAAATAGGAGATTTTAGTGCTCCAGGTTTTACAGGAGCACTGGACCTAAGATGGAACCATACTTTAAACTGGGAAGAAGATGGCATGTGTGCACATTTCCTCTGAAGACTGTGGGGTAAAATCGATACTGTTGTAATAAAACATAGGAAACAAAGACCCACTGCATTTATCCTGGGTCTCAAGGAGAAGTATTCAAACATGCCCCATATTCGTGTTTGTATAATGATTTGAACTTTTCAATTTCTTCCCATACTCAGTATCTTCTATCTACATCACAATGGCTTTGCAGTCAGGAAACAGTTATCATTAACCCAATTGACAGATAAGGATATCTGCACATATACACATATTCTGCCTTAGTTTCCTTATTAAAATTCCTTTTGCATGTCAAATCCAAGCTGAAACTCCACATTTTCTACCAAAATGTTCAGCCCACAGTTTCTTCTCCCTGCCACTTACTATGTCAGCATTACTGAGCCCTGCACAAGGTTCCTCTCTGAGACCTTGTTTGGTTTTGGCTTGTGAACTCATATTGCCACCCACTGGACTGTAAGCTGCCAAAAGGCAAGGACAAATTTTAGCATTTTCCAGGACACTTCTGTAGTATCTTAGTATTAGGCGTATAAAAGACTCCTAATAAATGTTTGATTATCAGACTAGCAGTGGAAGAGCCAGAAATAAATTAAAAATCTAGTATCTCAATATGCAGCCTTCTGCTCTTTTGGGTTACCTTCATACTTTTTAAAAATTTTCATCCCCTGTCAAACCATACAGAGGTGTGATTTCAAGGAGAATGAAGACAACACTGGAGGCCCAGAGTTATTCAGAGGATGCTTTATTCATCTCCCAAACTCGGTGCAGGAATGAGCACCAGCCACACTAAAGAAGAGCGTCTGTTTAAACTGCACCATCAGGATAGGGTCTACCAATGAGATGGAGTTAAGGAAGCTGACAGCTGACTGCACCATCCTTGGCTCCTCTTTTATGAACCCTCAGGGTGTGAGTTCAGTCTTCCCCAACCATTGCTCAGCTTCTTTGCTTCCCAGGGAGGGGGATTGTGAGCAGGTCCCTCTGCATATCAGAGTTGAATCCACTAACTGGTTATAATCCGCTCCTAACTAATGAGCAGTTGCTTTATGTTAATGGATATATTCAAATATTTGTTTACTTGTTAGCATAGGACATACGTGTATACTCCTATAAATAAGATAATTGCAAAGTACGTTTACTATGTATTGTATAGAGCAGCTATTCTCATGGTAACCATGCCAACAAGTATATCAGAACCCCCGGAGGATTTGCTAAAACACAGCTTGCTGGGCCTTAGGGTCCTGAGTGGGCATGAGAATTTGAAATTTTAACAAGGTCCCCAGGTGATGCTGATTGTGTTTATCCAGAACCACACATTGAGATCCATCGATGTAGAAAATACAGTTTCATATTTGTCTGTGTACGTGCTGTGCACACACTGGCTTACATATGAAGACATCTATTCTATAGTTGTGTGTTATGTTTAGACAAAAATTACTGTAAATATGCTTATCTGCATAGCTACTCATACATATATAAAAATATACAAATAAAATGTTTACTCACAAAAGTTGTTTGTATATGACTTTAAGTCTAAATAAATGCTTATGAAAGGTTATAAGCCTATATAATGTTATGTATACAAACACATATGCATGTTTGTACATAGAAATATAGTTATATTTCTAGGTGATACTTGTGTATGTACATGTGTATAGTATCAACGTATCTTTCCCTTTTACAACAAAGGCCTTATTAAGTATAACATCAAATTTAATATTTTAGTTAAACTCATCATCAAAAGCAGTGTTTAAGTGTTCCAACCTGAGGGCGGAGATGTCTCCATGCTGGCCCTGTTAAGCTTTATTAGAAGGATGATCTTTTCAATTTCCCTAGAGCCTCTTACATATTTGCTATATTTCACATATGGAAGTGCCAAATTAAATAAGCTTCATGGTCTTTCAGAACCACCAGGGCCCTCCTATAAAGTCAAATTTCAATCATTTCACTTCTTTGCCTTCCTCCCAAAGAGATAGTACAATTCTTCTGGCATTTAACTGACTAAATTAACAAAAATGCAGTGCAAACTCAGTGTGTTGAGTGCTCCTGGGTCTTACATCCTTCTTGTGCTAAAAGGGTCTGCTTTGTTCAAAGGCAAACTTTGTCTTTGGAAGAGGAGGAAATGCGAGACATGAGTTTGGGGCCTGACACTTAGGAGGGCTAAGGTAGAAACAAAAGAAATGAAAGCATCAGATTGACCACATCTCCTGTGACATACAGTACAATAACAGCTTCTTTCTTCCCTACTCCACAGTTCTTCAAATGCAATAGAAGAGAAAAAAAGAGCAACCTGGAAGGAAAAAAAGAAAAGGTAGCAAAAAGAGATGGATATGCATTACTAGTCACTTCATTTCCAAGACATGATTATGCTTTGGTTATATCTCATGACATCACATTGCAATAAATATTACCCATCATGCATAACTGGTGGCTGAGGTCCAGAATCTTTGGGTAAACTATTTAAGAACTCTCAACTAAAAGTGGAAGAGCTAGAATTTGAGCTAAGATCTGCCTGATTTCAGTGGTTAGATCCAGAAGCATAAATCAGTGCTTTCCTAAAATGGTCTGCAAGGAAGAGTTAAATAATAAATAAAAATCCCTGGGAATTCATTTAAATATACATGTTGCAATGGGGACAAGAGAAGCAGGAGAGGACCTTGTGGGCTTGAATTTTGAACGAGTAAAATAATTTTGGGATATGAAAGAGGGGAGACTTACATGGTGAGCTGTCAACATCAGCATTTCTCAAAAACAAGGTGGTGAGTTGCCCAAATAGGAACTTCACTGGTATAAAGTCTGAGGTTCATATACTTTTACATCCACAGCTTTTAGCAGGATGTTTGACCTGTGGTAAGTTCACAGCAAACTCTCATTAAATTAGTTGCCTTTTTAGAGCTGATTCTGCTTCAAGTTCAACTTCCCTTCCTGGTCCTCTGATGACTAAAACAATTTTACCAGGGGATAAGATTTCATTTCAAATCCGAGATAAGGTTAAATGCAAATAATGCAGAAAAAGAGGAAACATATTGACTCAGCACCTGGGGGTATAAATGATCAATGGTAGATCATCTTCTGATATTATGGTTTATTGGAGAGATGGAGAAGGTCACTGAAGATCTGATCAGGGAGTAGGGATGAGCACAAAAATGAGAGAATCTGGTGGTATCAGACAAAGTGTGCTTATTTCACTAGTTTCCTGGCATCTGGTCTTCTGAGCAGAACTGCAACAGAGGAAAGGCAAGAAATGGCTTTGGGAGCTGGGAGACCCTGTGCACAAAAGCCTTCCTGGCAGCCTTTCTTTCCAGGGTCATTGTGCTTAGACTTTGTTTTACATGAGAAGAAGAGGTATCAACGATTCACCATAGAAAACAAAAGATCCTGAAGGTAGGAAAAACAGTAGTAACAAGGTTTATGAATCAGCTAAACTTGTGTTTCCCCAAATATATTTGTTTACGATGATCCTTTAAGAAGTTTGGAAATCAAGTCCTTTAACAAAACCAAACGTGATTCTTAAGATTATATAAGTTAACAGAAACATCTATTTATAAAAGAAGGAACAAAAAGAAAGAAGGGGCCGGGCGCAGTGGCTCATGCCTGTAATCCCAGGACTTTGGGAGGCCAAGGTGGGCGGATCATGAGGTCAGGAGATGGAGACCATCCTGGTGAACATGGAGAAACCCCGTCTCTACTAAAAATACAAAAAATTAGCCGGGCGTGGTGGCGGGCGCCTGTAGTCCCAGCTACTTGGGAGGCTGAGGCAGGAGAATGGCGTGAACCCAGGAGGCAGAGCTTGCAGTGAGCCGAGATCACGCCACTGCACTCCAGCCTGGGTGACAGCGAGACTCTGTCTCAAAAAAAAAAAAAAAAAAAAAAGACAGGAACAGTGACAAAGTGAGAGAGAGAAAGAGAGAGAGACAATGGGACAGAAAGAATTAGAGACGGAGGGTTATCTCAGCACCAGGTAGAATTCAGCAGTGGCATCTGACATTGTCATGCTTCAGACATTCTGCCATCATGAAAAATTGGATTAATCATAACCTAAAGGGTTTCACATCTGGGTTTCTTAAACCTGGCCTAAATGAGTGAATCCAAGACCGCATATAATGGGATTTCAGTATTTTGAAGATTAAGTTTTTCATGAATTCTTCAAAGTTTCCTCCTGCCAAACAGACTGAAATAAATCAAAATATTTAGGAAACACATATTCTAATCATGAGTGGCCTCTAGATAATTAAGAATTGTTATTTTTAATTTTAGTTATTTTTCAGGAGAGAAATATTTGTCAAGCAATTGTGTCAGGCATTTTTTTAGGTGTTGGAGATACAGCAGTAAACAAAACAATTAATTTCTGATCTTGTGGAGCTTATTTTCTAACAAAGGGAGATAAACAAAGTAAATCAGTAAAATATGTAATATTCTGAATACTTAATATTATTGAAAGCCCTCATAAAGTCCATTTCTAAGCCTTGCTAGCCAGAATGACTCCCGGGGTCAATGCAGACCCTGTGAGGTTTGGAGGTGTGGAGGCCCTGCAGCTTGGCTTGGTCCTCACACACCTACCATGCATTTTATTCATCTTTTGACCCTGGAGAGGTTCCAGACTACTCTGAGCCTCAGTTGCCGCAACTTTGAATTGTGATTCTGACATTAACTCTGAAAGTTTTTGAGCATTTTATAGGAGATAATAGGTGTGAAAGAGTGTGAATGTAACTCTTGATCAAGACAGCCATGCATAATCTTCATTAACATAATTTTACCAATGTCACTAACTCAAATTAACCAAGGAGAAAAATCCCTTTTATTTATGGGGATTTTGTTTTGTTTTGTTTAATAGACTGGACAGAGGTCTACACCTTAAGAATTGGCAAGACTTTTGTTGGCATCTATTACTATAGATTCCACACCTTGCAGGGCTTCCAGGTTGGTATTCTAAATATAAAGTAACAATGGGTTCATCTAAAGGGCATAGGGGATGAAGGTATAGGAGACTAAGCTGCTCTTAGCACATCAACCCCTCGGAAAGATGGTACTGCGGAGCAGAGCAGGTGCCTTCATATGCCTGGCCTTTTCTCTGCCTCCCAAGTGGGCTTTGAACAAGTCTTTTAACTTCACTGAGTATGTTTGCTTCTGTAAAATTGGAAACAATTACCAACTTTCCTATTTGCAGAGCTTGAGAATTGAGTTTTCTCTCCAAAGAGAAAAGAAGATACAAAACCTTCATGCTTGAATTAAAAATTACAACCTTCATATGTTTTGCTAGACCACTTTTTCTAAGTACTCTTAAGGGTGAGCTTCATCTCTTTTTATTCCATAATGTGTATGTTATTCAAAAGATTTATTGCTTTGGTGGTCTGAATAGGGATATAAGAGCCACTATTAGGCTAACAATTGGTAGCAATGATGTTTTTGAGCAAACTTCAAGGGTAGTTAGAGAAGTCTAACAGAGTGTGCTTTATGAGCTAAACACAATAATGGATCGTAGCCAATGCTAAAGGTTCCATTAGGGAGGAGGAGGAGATGAGTGCGTGAGTTTCCACTTACACACTTTTTCCCTGTGTGAGTTGAGGACTCAACTGGCAGATTTTACCACACTGATCCTGTAGGATGCTTATTAGACCAAGTCTCCCAACCCAAAAATCAGAGCTACCCCAGCTTTACAAACAACCACTTCCTGGTATTTCAATTAATTAAAAATTTATGTAGAAAAAGAAAACCGAAAGCTCAATTAAACTACTATGATCCTAGAAAAAAGATAGGAAAATGGAAATTTCTCTCATGCTATCCAATTTTCTGAAGCTGCTGCTTCTTTCTTAAAACAGGAATAAGGGTGTTATAAGAGATGTCTATGTCATTGATAAGATCATAGATCTATTAAATAATACAGTTATTAAAAACAATATACAAGTATTACACACATGTATATGCACATATGTTGTGTATACATATACCTACGTATGTAAATTCCATGTCTGTGGGTAGTTTGTTCTAAGTATTTTCTCAACTTTTGTTTATATAAACTACTGACTATGTGTTATTTACCCCGGCATGAGTTTTTATCTTCTCATTCTCTGGGAGGATACCACTCCATGTGTCTATTGTTTATCTTGCAAAAGTAGATCCTTCTCATCTACTGAATGATAACAGTAGAAGCCTGGCTTTTTTTGAGACATATTTTATTGGAACAAAAGCTGTAAATATATACCTATGTTTTCATGGATTGTGTTTTATTTTTATTGGTGTCTTTAAGGAATTTGCATGTTCAAATGCAAACACCAATAGGTATCTTTGTTTTCTGACTAAGATCTGAAAATGAAATTGAGTGCACATTTTATTTACCCATCTCATCAGGCCAACAAATCCATATGACACAGATCTGGTTGTTCATAAACTTTTTGGTGTGGGATGTTTGGAGAAGATCTCAAAGGATGGGGATTCTCTGAACCGCTTAGTTGTGTATTTCAGGGTGTACTAACCCCTTTTAGTTTTGAACTTCCACTTGCCCACTATGCTTCTTTAAGAGGTTTTGCTTGTTTGGTATTTTTGCCAAACAGACTTTCATAAAATATTTCTTGCAATGAAAGCCTTCCATTCCTTGAAATTCTTGAAAAACTTCCAAATTATATATTATATATATATCATATGTATAGTCAAGTTGGAGAAAGAGACAAGTCAGTTGCCAAATATGGCAGTGTGCTTAGGTTAGATGACAGAGGCAATCATTCGATATTAGGAGAGTACAGTGGAAGAACACCTAAAACAGACTGGCCTGGCTGGGCCCAGTGGCTCATGCCTGTAATCCCAGTACTTTGGGAGGCCCAGGCAGGTGGATCACCTGAGGTCAGGAGTTGAGACCAGCCTGACCAACATGGTGAAACCTCATCTCTACTAGAAATACAAAAATTAGCTGGGCATGGTGGCTCACGCCTGTAATCCCAGCTGCTCGGGAGGCTGAGGCAGGAGAATCTCTTTAACCCTGGAGGCAGAGATCGTGCCACTGCACTCCAGCCTGGGCAACAGAGCGAGACTCCATCTCTGAAAAAAAAAAAAGCAAAGAAAAAGTAAAAAGAAAAATACAAAACTCTCCCTAGCAGGCTTTAAGGAGCTGCAGTCTCGTGTCTCCTTAGTTTGAGACATTCCTGGAATCCTACAGAGGACCTGGTGATGGGGAGCCTGTGTTCTTTCATTCCCATGAAAATTAACTCTATTGCTTAAGTGTGGAGCAGGATGCTTTGTGTCAAACTTGCAGATCCACATGCTCCATTTTTCCCCTGCTCTGGCCCTGGGATCCTAGACTTTCTCAGTTGTTTTTCTTTCTCTCTGGTGTCTGTGGGGCTCCGTCCATGGGATGCACAAGGGCAGACAAGGGCTTGGGAAGAGTGGGTCAGAATGTTCGTTGTACATTCCATTCTTGCTCTCTGCTACCACAGTTGGCCTCTTCTCCCTGGAGAATGCTGTAGCTCCTGCCTGTCCTGACCTTCACACCAGCTGCCCCCTGCAGCCCTGGCACTTCTTTGCCCGATCAAGTACTGCCCACTGTGGCTGTCTAGGGTGATTCACTGTCCTGTGGGGGTTTCTTTCCATGCTCCCCATGCCCTGAGGACAGTATCTTAACTCTATTCCCCCCAAACCATGCGTCTGATGGTGCCAGTGGCTTCCTGCTGATATCCACAACTGACATTCACATCTAATAGGCATATCAGAATCAGAGTGTCAAAACTGAACTCCACACACTCTCCACCTCTCAGCTTCTGCATCCTCTCAGCTGTGGCACCTCTAACCAACCAGTTGTCTCGCTGAAAATCTCAGATCCTTCTCTGACTTCCCTCCTTCTCCTGGGCTACTGTCCTCAAATCTTCGTAAAATGTCATGGCCACGAGGAGTCCTACCATGACCACCCTATTGAATATTAAACCTCATCTCTTGCTTCCCCAAAAACTCCTTCTTCTCCTGGTCTTGCTGTATTTTTTTCTTTGTTTCTTAGCATTTATCATTTACAATAGGACTGCCATCAAAATTGGATGGTTTAAAGCTACAGAAATGTATCTCATTTCTGAATGCTAGAATTTCAAAATGAAGGAGTTTCTACTTCCTCTGAAGCCTCTGAGAGAGGACCCTTCCTTATCTCTTCCATTTCTTGGTAGCTTCAGGTCTTCTCTGGCTTGTGGAAGCCAATCCAATTTCTGGCTCTGTTTTCGTGTGTTTGTGTGTCTCTGGGTCATCACATAACATTCTTCCTGTGTGTCTGCCTCTATGTGTCCAAATTTCTCTCTTCTTATAAGGACACCAGTCATACTGGATAAAGGCCCACCTTCCTTAATGGCCTTAGCTTAGCTTAATTAAATCTGCAAAGACCCTATTTTCAAACAAGGTCACATTTACAGGTACTTGAAGTTAGGACTTCAGACTTCAATGCCTCTTTTTATTTAATTTGTTGAGCGGGACATAATTCAACCCATAACCTATAGTTGACTTATTTATTATGTCCACTGTTTATTGTCTATCTCCACTAGCTAAGAATTAGTATTTTTCAGGGCAGAGATCTTTGTATCTTTTGTTCATTGATATATCCCAAGCATCCAGGGCTATGTGGGAAAACAGTGGTTGCTCAATAGATGTCTGTTAAATTGAGGGAAAGTCTGAACAGCAAGCTGTTTTAAGATTAACGTAAAATGGAATTTTACTCAGCATGGGGAAGAAATATCCCTGAAGCTCTAGGTTGGCATTCCTGATTGTGAAAAGCAAACACCTTGTTATGATATAAACAGATACCAAACCACTAACGTTTCACTTGGAAAACAATACCTCACTGGACAAGGAGGGAGCGAAATTTCACCCTAGTATTTCTTTTCTTTATTCTACAATTAGTTTATGAAATGTGAAGCATTTATTTTTAAGCTAACTCCTGTTAAATCTTCTGAATTCCAGACCTGAGGTTTGACTCTTTAGCAGATGGTAGATATGTACCTTGGAGAGAAAGAGAGGGTGGAGAGGGAGGAGACAGAGACAGGAAGTACAAGAGGGGCTGCCAAACCTCAGCCCTGGACAGACTTCAGCAAACAAACAGAAGTGAGACCCAGCAGGACCGGGTGTGAGCTGGTTTTATTGCTGTCCACCAGCTCCAGGTCATAAGTGACCTAATCAACCTTAGCTTGCATCTTTCTTGCGATAGCTTTGTGCCTGTTCGCTGCACACAGCTCTGATTCTCACTCATCCTAGGCCTTGGCGGGCATATCCAGAGCCCTTTATGGGATCCAGGACACAGCTGCTGCAATATCCCTTCATTCCAAATCACCTCTCAACCCCTCCCCCATTTATTTTCTCTGCGCTACTGAACATTTCCAACACTTGGTATACCAGCATCCTCCTCATCCCCTCCCCAAATGACTTGGCTATATCTCATATCCAGAAAGGCCAGCTATGGAGGACCACAGGTGGGAGCAACCACCCACCATAGCTATTAACAAAACTCAAATTGCACATAGCACAGGTATAAATTAGGTCATATATATATATATATATATATATATATATATATATATATATATAAATATAAATAGGTGTGCTGTATGTTCAGGTAATGCAATGAGGCCTGTTTTCTCTTTTCTAGAACATGTGGTAAACTGACAAACATGCATTTACTGGTCATCTGTGTGCTTCCTTTAGAGGCCAGAAAATTATTCTAAATATTTGAAAATGGTTTACTTCCAATCAAACTAGTTACTAATCTGTATTATTTGGAAAAACTGAATCCACAAAAAAATTTTGCTTAGAATAATTTTCTTACCTTAGGTTGCCACATTATAACAATGAAATAATAATAATGTAATTATAATCATATAACATAATATTTTATATATAACCTTATATATTATAGGTAACATTACACATAATGTAGTAACAATATATAATACAACTATGTGTAATATAGAAATACAATACCAATAGCTTCACTAATCACACATTTATCTTCTAAAAAAACGTTTCTTTTGAATATTGGACACAATGGTAAAAACTAATAGATGGAAAAGGGAAAACTAGAAGTTATTTGCAGTGTCCCAATTCAGTAAGTAATTGCTGTTATACTATATAAGGGATCCTGCAAACCAAAAATCATAACTAAATGGAAAACTACACCAATAGAAAACTGGCCAAATAGATCACAAGTGCTTTCAGAATTAAATAAAAAAAAAACTCAAAAAGCATAAAAAACATCTAAAGAGAACCTCAATCGTATTAAAAGTCAAGAATGCACGTTTGAGCAAGGATGAGAATTCACTGAACATTTATTACTCTGGCAAAAGCAAGAAGCTGGGCACCACTGGGAGTGGTATGGCCGGGTGTGGCCAAGCTGGAGAGCCAGGTGGCAGGGAGAGCAGACGTGACCCCACAGTTCCTGCAGAGAGCGTGCATCCTGGAGAAATTCTCACACAGGATCCTAGAGGAACACTACTGAGAATACTCACTTTTGTGCTTTTAGAGGTGTTGAGAAATGCAGTGAACCCCCTTGCGCAGGGGGCTGCCAACTTCATCTATAAAAGGTCTAAGAGCCGTGAGCCAGAGGCTCTCTTGCAATACTCAACACTGTCCCACAGCACCGACAGAAGCCCCATAGACATGATGCAAATGAGTGGACATGGCTGTGATCTAACAAGGTGTCATTTACAAAATCAGGCAGTAGGCTGGGTTTGGCCCCTACTGTAGTTTGTAGTTTGTCCATTCCTGTATATCCCAATTCCTTTCACACATATTAAATACACACACACACACATAATTCAAAAAGCTAGCAAGATTAAACATAAAATACACATAATCATATAAGAATGATGGCTTGTGGAGGATGCAGAGGGGAATGGAGTGATCAAACAGAGACTAAGCAATGGTGTGGTGGGGAGTGATGAAAATGAACCTAGAAATAAGGATTGTCCTAACTCAAGATTCTGTACCCAGGGCCAATTTCATTTTTTCTAAGCAAAGGCACACAAGCTATGGTTTCGGATGAGGAGCTATAATTTGCTCCTAGTTTTTTAAGAACTGAGATTCTGTGCAGAGTGCTGCCAAATTGCCCACAGTGAGTTAGTATGAAGCGCGGGCCTCTGATTTGATTTGATGATGTACCTAATTGTGGCTGGGAATCACAGTACTTTTTGGACTCATTTTGAGTGCCCCTTTTTTGTAAAATAAATGATACCAGGTAAAAAATAGCAGTTTTTTTTTTCTTGATCAGGATGTAATGATTTAAAAAATGCCCAAGGGAAGAAGACAATTGTCAAGCTACATGCACAATGGCTTAAATTGTTCAAGATATTACCTCTGATGAAGAAGAAATGGAGCTGTCACGCAATGAAAGTCTGTCCCTAGGTGAGAAGGGCTAAGGGATAAGCATACTACAGTGGTTAAAAGCAAGGGACTGGAGTGGATTTTCAATCCACATCCTGGATCTTCACTTCACAGCTACATGATGGACTCTGGCAGCATCCGTTATCTCATGTTACAGTAAGCATGATATTTACCTGGAAGAAATATTTTGAGGGTTAAATGCCCAATTTCAAAAATAAGACGTGTACACAGCGATTACATGAGATACTCAGGAATAACATGGTATAGTTTGTACGATTAGCAATTCCTAATTATTGTTGCTTTCCATATTTCCATGCAAAGATAGTACACTCATTATCCCATACTCCTTAACAGAGAGATGTCTGTTGCTACAAAAGTATAACGTATCATATGGAATGCTACCATGTGTTGTCTTGAACCCCAAGGCATCTAGAAAGCATCCCACTTCCCACTGTAAACAGTCACAAAGCATTTTAAAATAGGTTCATTTTTAAAAGAGCCATTTTTAGTGAATTTGTTAATTAGCAAATTAGTAAAATACCAAAGAAACACACCATGATAGTCAAAGCTTACACAGGGTCACACAGGATCCCTGTCTCAAAAGTCCCGTAACAGTCTCTCATCTGCACTGTCCCCAAGCCCTGGGGACCATGTTGGCATTACATAGATGCTGCTTAGCCCATTTCCTTGTCTTCTGCCTGCAAGGCATGCAGTGAGCACACACCTTCTGCAAAACCTCTAAGTGAAACAGTAGGTGGTCTGGATAAATATAGTAGCATGCATCTCGTGTCTCAGGTTCCTAAGGTTCCTACATCATACCTCAATCTTTCATATACTTTCCTTCACATGTTACATGTTTTATTTCTTCATTCTACTATCCTGTTTCAGAAAATTGCAGGAATATATAAATATGTATAAATTATGTATAAGGTACGAATAATCACAAATACATATCTATATGCCTATGATCTCAATTTAGGGAAAATAACTGCCAGTATGTGGGAATCATTCCATGGATCCCTCCTTCCTCCACCTTTGCAGATCGCATATCCTGTTGAATTTTGTGTTATTAATCCTTTGATTTTCTTAAGAAAGTTTTACCATCTACACTTCTATATTTAGTTTTGTGTGATTTTAAACTTCATATAAATAAATTGAGTTGACTTTTCAGGCAATATTATTTTCTTGAGTTCTGTTGATACTATTGCATATAGCTATAGTTTATTTTAAGTGCTGAATGATTTTCCTTTGGAATAACATACAACAGCTTATTTATTTTATTGGATATTTGTGTTGCTTTCAGTTTTCTGCTCTAACAAGCAGATCCATCATGAATACTTTCACACATATCCTAGCACACATGGGGAGGACACTTGTTTAGAGTATTTACCTAGCAATGGGATTTCTTGGACATGAGGTGTGTATATCTTTAACTTTATTGAAATTATCAAATCATTGTCCAAATATTTGTACCAATTCATATTTTACAAACAATACGGCCCGGCGCAGTGGCTCACGCATGTAATCCCAGCACTTTGGGAGCCTGAGGCGGGCGGATCACAAGGTCAGGAGATCGAGACCATCCTGGCTAACGTGGTGAAACCCCGTCTCTACTAAAAATACAAAAAATTAGCCAGGAGTGGTGGCGGGTGCCTGTAGTCCCAGCTACTCAGGAGGCTGAGGCAGGAGAATGGCGTGAACCCGGGAAGCGGAGCTTGCAGTGAGCTGAGATCGCGCCACTGCACTCCAGCCTGGGTGACAGAGACTCTGTCTCAAAAAAAAAATAATAAAAATAAAAATAATAATAATAATAAAACAATACGTAGGTATTCCATTTGTATTGACTCTCATCAAAACTTCATATTGAAAGAAACCTTGGTTATTGTCAATATGGGGGGTGTGAAATGGCATTTCATTTCCACTTTAATTTTTATCTGTCTAAGTACTAATCAGGCTTTTTAAAGATTGTGAGCCATTTGAGTTTCTTTTTTTTAAGTTTGTCTTCAGATATTTTGAATATTTTTCTACTGGGCCATCTGCCTTCTTTCAAATCGATTTGTAGAAATTATTTATATATTCTAGATGCTAATATTTTGTCAGTTATATGGTTGCCAAAATTATCTTTCAATCTGTGGCCTAGATTTTTACTCCCTTCTTATGTATATACATGTACCTATATATTACAATATACAGAAGCGCTTAGTTTTTTTTTCTTTTCCGACTTTGATTTTAGAATCAAGCGGTACATGTGCAGCTTTTTCATGAGTATACTGCGTGATGCTGAGGTTTAGGGCATGATTCAGCCTATCATCCTGGAAGTGAGCAAAGTACCCAATAGGTAGTTTTTCAACACTTACCCTCCTCCCTCTCTCCCCACTCTAGGAGTTCCCAGCGTCTATTGTTCCCATCTTTTTGTCCACGTGTACCCAGAAGTTGTTAATTTTTACATAGGGGAATTAGTCCATTATTTTCTGACATTTTAAATTCTCTGTATTTTGCTTAAGAAATAGTTTTTTAGCTTAAAGTCATAAAGACATTGTCTTACATATTTTTTAGGTTTTTTTTTTCAGTTTTCCCTTTTACAATTAAACCTTTAGTCTATCTGGCATGTATTATTTTGTGTCTGGATGAGAAGTATGCCAGATTTCTTGCCACATGATTTCTTTTTTTTTTTTTTCCATTAACTGTAAATTCTATTCCTTTCTTACTGGAAAAAACCTTGCAGGACCAAGTCTATCATAAACCAAATTGCCATATATCCTGGGGCTGTGTCTGGTAGTCTTATTTTGTTTTATAGTGGTAATATTCTATCCCATGCCAATATTCACACGGCAATTACTACAGATTTCTATAATTCCTTATATGTACCAAGGTATTTCTTCTCATTATTTTCTTCTTTTTCAGGAATATCTTGCATATTCTTGGGTCTTTCCTCTTCTAAATAAACTTTACTATTAGCTTGTCATTGTTAAAGGGAAGCAAAGCTGGAAGGAGAAAATGAAAGGACAGAGGAAAAGGAATTCTGAGATGGGGTGTGGATTGAATTTCAATGAATTCATAGATCTATTTAGGGAACATCACAATTGCAAACTTTATGGTATTGAGTCTTTCTAGGAAAAAAATTATTTCTATTTATTTAGATCTTCTAAAAGGTCTTTCCAGAGTATTTTATAATTTTTTCATGTATTTTGTTACATTTATTCCAAGGTTCTTTTTTTTTTTTTTTTTTTGAGACGGAGTTTCACTCTTGTTGCCCAGGCTGGAGTGCAATAACATGATCTCAGCTCACTGCAACTTCCGCTTCCCAGGTTCAAGCGATTCTCCTGCCTCAGCCTCCCGAGTAGCTGGGATTACAGGCATGTGCCACCACACCCAGCTAATTTTTTATTTGTAGTAGAGACGGGGTTTCTCCATGTTGGTCAGGCTGGTCTTGAACTCCTGACCTCAGGTGATGCACCTGCCTCATCCTTCCAACGAGCTGGGATTACAGGCATGAGCCACCTCGCCTGGCTGGTATTCTAAAGTTCTTAAAGCTACCATGAATTTCCCTTTTTAAAATCACCTTTTCAATTATTTATAGCTGGTGTATCTAAACACAATTAATTTTTGTACATTGATTTTATGCATAGTAACTTGATAAACACTTTTCTTCATTCTCATAATCTCTATGTAGATTGTTTAGGGTTTTCTAAATATACAATCATCACCCATGAATAATGAGAGTTACACTTCCTGCTTTCCAATCAACAGAAATTTTCTTTCTTTTTCTTGAATACTTTGCTGGCTCGGACCTCATTTGCAATGTCAAGTGAATAATGTTCATGGTGGGCATATCTGTCTTTTTCGTGATTCTAAAACAATCTTTGCAGCATTTCATCAATAAGGGGAATGTTTGCTCTAGATTGGCATAGACACCCTTCCAATCCTAATTTGCTAAAAGTCTTTGTCAAGAACAGATGTTAAGATATTTTTGTTGGATACTGACTTTACATCTATTGAACTAATCATATTAGTTATCTCCTTTTAGCTTTCAATTTGGTAAATAATATTAAATAGTTTTCTAATCCGAAGCCATGTTTTTTCATATTGAATATTGCTGAATTCTCTTTAGAATTTACTCTAAATTACTGAGGTCTCTTATTCATATATATTTCTTTTTGAGACACCACTCATTGTTATGGTTTTCTCAAAACATTTCCCTTTTATCTTGGTTTTCAAATTTATTGACATAATCTTGTTTAGACTAACCTCAATAACTTAAATTCCTCTTCATCTTAAGTCACACCCTATTTTACTTCTTCTAATATGCTTTTATTTTGAATTGTGGTAAAAAAAAACACTTAACATGAGATTTACTCTTTTAACAAATTTTTAAATGCACAATACAGTATTCACTAAAGTCACAATGTTATATAAACAGATCTCTAAAACTTACTCATATTGTTTCACTGAAAAACTTTATATCTGTTAAATGATAACTCCTAATTCTCAATCTGTAACCTGATTTCGAAGCTGCAGGCACTTATGTCCTGCCACGTATTTCTTACTCCCTACCTGTATCCTGAAATCCCAGTCCAGAGGCACAAATTGTCCACACTCTGGATGCTTCTCCGGTTGCTCATCTAATACCCAAATACTGACTGAAACCTGGGTTTCCTGCAGTTTTCCATCCCCTCTTATAGAGCCCCCTTGTTTGTCTTCTGTAGCAGAGCCATCTTCAGGCCAAATCACCTCTAAGACCCATATGTCCTCTGGAGGCAGCCCAAGTGATGTCAATATTTCTCTGGGGATCTGTTTCACCCTAAGGAAAAGGAGGCATCCTGCTACGTTTCATTTTCTCTTTTTGCTGGGCCACCCATCACAAGTGCTAAGAGTTGAAGAGCAGGGCTTGTAAATAAGAATTTAATTACTCCTCATTTCTACAATTCACTCAAACATCTGGTACCAGGCGTGGAGCCCTGAAGCACTGCTCGACCTGCAGGTCACCTAATAGGAACTGAGAAGGACTTCTCTCTCAGCCTGGACCACTCTCAGGTACATGCACTACTTTTAAACCTAGCCAAAAAGGGAGAGAATAAAATTGAGATGTAACAATGTTTAATGATTATGGAAATTGTATCAATCACTCAGTGAGTCAGAAGACATTTGATCTTCATTGACATTCGAAAAAGAAGGAGAAGCAGCAGTTACAGAATCTTTACAATAAGCCATATCCGTTATGTATGATCACATTTAATCCTCCTCAACACAATCATGCTAAGAAAGGGTAATTCTGTCATCTTATGTCAAAGAAAACAAAGCTTAGGAAAGGTAAATAGAGTATTCAAGGGTATACATCTAAAACCCTGCTTCTTTTAACACTTAACCTCTCCCCATGGGGCTCACCATTCTGGTGTACAGAGTAATGTATAAACTATCTTGTGAGAATCACAGTATAGTTGGAGAGACAGTAACTATCATGTTAAGCAGTAAGTGACAGGTGCCCCTGTTGTCTGGTTCTGAATTTGGAGGAGATGCAATCAGGGAGCTCAGGAATGATTAAAGAAGGAAAGCAGTATTTGAAATTGATTCAGAAGATGAGGATTTTGCATATATAAATTTGTTCTCAAAAGTCTATGATACAAGCTTAGAGCAGCAATATTTCAATACATTTTCCACATTCCATAGTAATGGTTCATCTTAGTATCAACATTGGCAAAAGTTATGGACTCTGTTCATTAGCCTCACCATTAATATTGTTTTGCTTTTGCTTTGTCCTCGGCCCCTAAGACAGTGTTTGCGTAATCAAAATCTGAGTCATATACATATTATATGTATATTTTATACATATACTTCATAAATCATGTTTCAAGATTATTGTTACAATGTAAATCAGTCTGATGCTAATTTAAATATCAGGATATTTATGCTGTGCCCTAAGTTCTGGAAAGCAAACATGAAAAATATTAGTATAAGCATTTTAAACTATGTCTAAAATCAAGGTGAAAGAATGTACTCTATCATTTTGTTATGGCCCCTATAGTTCTGAAGTAAGTTTCTCCCAATTTCCTATTCTCAATATTATTACTTCAGTGATCATTTAAAATTTCTGTTAGAACTACAAGGAAAATGAATTGTGGGAGTGTCATAGCAGCCCCAATAAATGTGATTCAGTGGCCATTCTGAGAAATTTTGAAGGAAAACTTTGGTTTTTAAAATGTTAACTTTATCTTGGGATGTCTTTAGTAGTGTAATGTTAATGAATAAATCCATCCTGCAGGTTTGTGAGTGGTAAACAACCAGTCAGGTTAGGTTGGAGAGCAGGACGGGGCCAACTTCAGGAGTGAAGTCTGCATACGAGCATTGTGGTAGTCCGTTTTTATACTGCTATGAAGAAATACCTGCGACTGCATAATTTATAAAGAAAAAGAGGTTTAATGGACTCACAGTTACACATGGCTGGGAAGCCATCACGATCATGGCAAAATGCAAAAGAGGAGTAAAGACATGTCTTACATGGCCTCAGGCAAGAGAGTGTTTGCAGGGGAACAGCCCTTTATTAGACCATTAGATTTTGTGAGACTTATTCACTAGCACAAGAAGAGCATGGAAAAAATTCACCCCCATGATTCAATTACCTCCCACTGGGTCCCTCCTATAACACATGGGAATTATGGGAGCTACAATTCAAGACGAAATTTGAGTGAGGACACAGCCAGACCACATCATTCCACCCCTGGCCCCTTCCAAATCTCATATCCTCGCATTTTAAAGCCAATCATACCTTCCCAACAGTCGCCCAAAGTCTTAACTAATTTCAGCATGATCTCAAAAGTCCACAGTCCAAAGTCTCATCTGAGACAAGGCAAGTCCCTTTTGCCTATAAAATCAGAAGCAACTTAGTTACTTCCTAGATACAAGGGGAGGACAGGCATTGTGTAAATACACCCATTGCAAATGGAAGACATTGGCCAAAACGAAGGGGTTACAGGCCCCATGCAAGTCCAAAATCCAGCAGGGGAATCAAATCGTAAAACTTCAAAATGATCTCCTTTGACTCCATGTCTCACATCCAGGTCATGCCAGTGAAAGAGGCTGATTCCCTTGGTCTTTGGCAGCTCCACCCCTTGTGACTTTACAGGGTACAGCACCCCCTCCTGGCTGCTTTCATGGGCTGGCATTGAGTGTTTGTGACTTTTCTGGGCTCATGGTGCAAGCTGTTGGAGGATCTACCATTCTGAGGTCTGGAGGAAGGTAGCCCTTTCCTCACAGATCCACTAGGAAGTGCCCCAGTGGGCACTCTGTGTGGGAGCTCCAACCCCACATTTTCCTTCCTCACTTCCCTAGCAGAAGTTCTCCATGAGGGTTCTGCCCCTGCAGCACACCTCTGCCTGGATATCCAGGCATTTCCATACATCCTCTGAAATCTAGGCAGAGGTTCCCAAACCTCAAATCTTGACCTCTGTGCACCCACAGGTACAACACCAGATGTGAGCTGCCAAGACTTGGTGACTGCACCCTCTGAAGCAACGATATGAGCTTTACGTTGGCCCTTTTTAGCCATGGTTGGGATGCGGAGCACCAAGTCCTGAGACTGCACAAAGCAGCAAGGCCCTGGGCCCAGACCACAAAACTATTTTTTCCTTCCAGGCCTCCAGGCCTGTGATGGAATGGGCTACCATGAAGACCTCTGACATGCCCTGAAGACATTTTCCCCATTGTCTTGGCCAGTAACATTTGGCGCCTTGTTACTTATGCAAATTTCTGCAGCTGGCTTGAATTTCTCATCAAAAAATGTTTTTTTGTTTTCTATCGCATTGTCAGGCAGGAAATTTTCTGAGCTTTTATGCTCTGCTTCCCTCTTAAACATGGGTTCCAATTCCAAATCATATCTTTGGAAATGAATAAAATGGAATGTTTTTAAGAGCACCCTAGTCATGTCTTGAAGGCTTTGCTGCTTAGAAATTTATCCCACCAGATGCCCTAAATCATCTCTCTCAAACTCAGAGTTCCACAGATATCTAGGACAGGGGCAAAATGCTACCAGTCTCTTCGATAAGCATAACAAGATTCACCTTTTCTCCAGTTTCCAACAAGTTCCTCATCTTCATCTGAGACCACCTCAGCCTGGACTTTAATGTCCATATCACCATCAGCATTTTGGTCAAAGCCATTCAATGCATCTCTAGGAAGTTCCAAACTTTCCCACATTTTCCTATCTTCTTCTGAGCCCTCCGAACTGTTCCAACCTCTGCCAGTTACCCAGTTCCACAGTTGCTTTCACATCATTCTGGGGTATCTTTATAGCAGAGCCCACTACCCAGTACCAATTTACTGTTTTAGTCCATTTTCATACTGCTATGAAGAAATACTCCAGACTGTGTAATTTATAAAGAAAAAGAGGTTTAATGCACTCATAGTTACATATGGCTGGAAAGGCCTCACAATCATGGTAGGAGGCAAAGGAGGAGCAAAGGTACATCTTACATGGTGGAAGGCAAGAGAGCATGTGCAGGGGAATTGCCCTTTATAAAACCATCAAATCTCATGAGACTTATTCACTATCATGAGAGCAGCACAGGAAAATCCCACCCCCACCATTCAAATACCTCCCACAGGTTCCTGATTATGGGGAGCTACAAATCAAGATGAGCTATGGGGACACAGCCAAACCATATCAAGCATCTACTGAGGCAAGAAGACAGGTAGAATCTGAAGGTCTATAGCCCCATTTTCTAGGATATTCATTGAAAGCCAAAGTAAACTGCTACTGAGGCCAGGAAGTTCACTAAAATGTAAGGGCCTAGTGATATGTCCAGACTAGGAAAGAAAATTTTAATTTTCAAGAAAGTCAAAGCCATTAGTTGTAGCCCTAGAACTAGTGACAGTAGAGTACACCCAATCCTAAGTTGGAAACTGGTACGGTGTGACCGTGTCCCCACCCAAATATCATTTTGAATTGTAGTTTCCATAATACCCATGTGTCATGGAAGACACCCAGCAGGAAGTGATTGGGTCATGGGGGCGGTTTCCCCCATGCTGTTCTCATGACAATGAGTGAGTTCTCATGAGATCTGATGGTTTTATAAACATCTGGCATTTCCCCTGCTTGCACTTTTCTCTCCTGCCACCAAGTGAAGAAGGACATGTTTGCTTCCTCTTCTATCATAATTGTCAGTTTCCTGAGGCCTCCCCAGCAATGTGGAACTGTGTCAATTAAAGTTGTTTTCTTTTCTTTTCTTTTTTTTTTTTTTGGAAATGGAGTCTCACCCTGTCTCCCAGGCTGGACTGCAATGGTGCCGTCTCAGCTCACTGCAACCTCCGCCTCCTGGGTTCAAGCGATTCTCCTGCCTCAGCCTCCCAAGTAGCTGGGACTACAGGTGTGCACCACCATGCCCAGCTAATTTTTGTATTTTTAGTAGAGATGGGGTTTCACCATGTTGGCCAGCTTGTCTTGTGATCCGCCCACCTCCACCTCCCAAAATGCTGGGATTATAGGCGTAAGCCACCATACCCGGCCAAACCTTTTTTCTTTATAAATGATCCAGTCTCCAGTATTTCTTCAGAGTAGCATGAGAATGGACTAATACAGAGAGAATTCTCTTTTTTCCTCTGTGTGTTTTGCTGCCTCCTTTTTTTCTCAGCCTGCGTGTTTTGGTGTCTCTGGTAGATCCTGAAGATGTAGTCATATGTACATGATAATTTTTTAACTTCTTATCTAAGATCTCCAAAAAGGGCTCAAATGAAGTTTCCATTTGGAAGTTCTAAAAGTGGGCCTTTAGTCCCTACTCGGTGATTTAAAGTTTCGTTTGAGTATATTCTGATACACATCTTGCTTTGCAGAGTATATGTAGAAATCACTTGTATTTGTCCTAAACATTCTGAAATTGATCCCAAGATTGAGAACAGATGAATAGAATGGATCAACCAAGTGTTCTGGGCCCATTCTGCTGGATAGTAACTAAGTGATTAATGCCAATGGGCCTTGGGCAGAGCTAGTGCCAATCCCAGCACTGTGACCTTGAGCAAGTTACTTAAATGCACTGAGGCTCAGTTTCTTTATAAAACCAGGTCAATAACACCTAACCCTATGAGTTAATTTATGTGAATTGCCTGTCCCAGTGGCCTATTGTCTGGACTCAATAATTGGTATATGGTATTATAATGATGGTGATGACAGCAACAGTGCAGATATGGCTTACCTTGCAGGACATTTTGTGATGCAAAGGGAAACCCTTGTCAACATAATGCGTGTATGAATAACCCCTTATTTTCCTAACCTACCATCTCCTTTCCCTCAACCACAGTGTTGGGGCATGTTTGCCAAGCTCTCTTTGTGTGCTATCACAAGGGTTAGGTTGATTCTGGAGGTCTGAGTGGGCCAGTGGGGGCAGTTGCATGAAGTAGTAAGATGAGGGATAGCTAGAGAAGAGAGACCACCAGTGCTCCAGGCTCTTGATGATCTACATGTGGTTCATGGGCCAGCGGCATCAGAGGCACCTAGGAGCTTGAACCTAAATTATAATCTACATTTTTGTAAAGGTAATTCATGCTCACAATAAAGTTTGAGAAGCTCTGTCCCAGGGAGTACCCTAGAAAATCAAAAGCTGTTTCCTGGGTGAGTAATAGGGGACAGAAGCCTGATACATGCAGGAATTACAGGGAGATGACCAAGGTAGGAATTCCATCAGGGTCCAGTTGTTTTGAAGGCACAGGTTGCAGGCAGAAAAAAAGCACTATACAGCCCAAATATTAATAGATATGAAACATAAGCAAACAATTGATTTTTTTAACTTTTCACATATATTCTGTTCAACTCTGTATGGCAAATATGATGTTTAGTATCAAATGGTAGCCATTCACATTTTCTTAGTATGCTGAATTTATTCCCAAGTTAAAATTCCATTTAAAGAAACGAGAATCCCTTCCTAACACATGTTACAGACTTTAAAGAACTAGACTCTGTGACCCAGTTCATCAAAATGCACTTGAAAAATTCTGTCTGGAGCTCTCAGACCAATGCTACACATTAAAGATTTTATTTTCTTCCTCCTGTCTTTTCCAAGGCTTGACTCCTAACCACTTGAGATGGAGCTAAAGCTGACAGAGAAAGTGAAAATCCTCTGCCTTCTTGCCTGGAGGAAATGCTTGGCAGGAGATTTCCAAGCTGTGCTGTCATCAAAGCTAAACTTAACCTTGTTCAGGAAAAGAACCCTCAACTTTCAAACCAACTCCTTGTCAGACCATTCAATTTGCAAAGTACAATGTTGGGGGGATAGAAAAGGAAGGAAAAATAGCAATGAATGCACTGATGTTTGAGATTGAGACTTGAAATGATGACTACTCATGTTTTGCAATGACATTAAAGTTAAATGTCTTGGTTCACGGGCACTTACCACTCCCTTCATCACCATTAATCTTTGCTCACAGTTTTGAAATACACCACTTTGTGTCTTCAGCAATGAAACGAAATTTTCCCAGGGTTGTAATTGCTTTCCGGTATGTCTTTTCTCATGTTATTTGATTGCTAAAGGTTTTCTTCAAAATGGGAGATATTTAGTGAACACAATACAATGTATTTTCCTGCTATTTTTAATCTGTTCATGCATAATTTGAAGGGTTTGGTGAGGGAAAAATGGAAATTGAACTCATCTGACCGTGACAGATTTGCAAACTCTAAATACAACTTAAACTTTATCGATGCTTTTAAATTACAGCACTGAATACCTGGACATGTCCATATAACATTTATAGCATTTTATGTCTTCATAGCTACAGCCAACATTTGCTTAAGAATCACAATTGTAATTCAGGATGAGCAAGAAGAGCATTTTACAAGGAAAAGTAGAGCATGCTGAAGTATTTTGCCTGGAACAAGCTTTTATTTTTAGCCTGTCCCCAAAAAATCATTATCTAGAGGCCTGAAATGTCTCAAAAAATCATTATATTTGAATACCTGGTAGGTCATTTCATAGAGTCCTGAAGAATCCTATTTAATATCACGTGGGTTTGTTATCTGGACCACAGAGCAATTGAAGGAATGATTGTCTATTGGGACCTACTCTTTTCCTCTGACTTCTGACATGCAAACTTTCTCCAGTGTACAGTTTTAACAAATGGCACACCACACTTTGGTCCAGCATGTTATATCCAGGATTCTTATTGAGTTATTATGAAAGGTGGTATTTCCAAAATTCATATAAGGAACTCTCAATAATTTATACTTACCTCCATGTAATACATTCAGGTCTTCTTTCCAATGCCTTAGCTTGGATACATTTTGTGAGAGTAATAGCATGTGAAAGAATGTCAAAAACCAGAGGCCTGGGCTTGAGATTTAGCCCTGAGCTCTGCCCATGCCCTTCCCTTCCAGTGAGAAAATATCTTTCTAGAAGAGAATAAATATAGAAAGCAGAGACATCCATCATGGATCAAAGAGACTAGATGGTGACTGGGGACAAACCATGCCAGTTTATTGTCCATTCCTGACAAATAAATAGCTCTCATCCCCAAAATACAAAAATCCAGACCAAGAGGCCTAGTGATAAAATCGGGAGGGAGTGGTAGCTACTGAAAACTAAAAACATTCTCGTGTTACAACAATAGGATTTCAATTTATTCATGTTCTAAATATCATTTCCTTACTCAAAAATCTTTACAGAGGTTCACAGGATAGTTATAATTGCAAAGCTGTAGCTATCATTAATTAAGCATTTTCTTTGTACCAACCACTTTTGTCTTTGTTGGTGGTTCATGACAACCCTCATTTGTCATGACCTCCCCGTGGGAAACAGGCATCATCATCTTCATTTTCCATGGAGGAATACTATATCACAGAGAAAGAAATGGATGGCCCCAATTTACCAAATCAGTCAGCAGAACAACTGGATGCACAAGGTACTGAGACCCACCGCTGTGATGTTTCCATTCTATCTCACACATTCACTTCTGCCATAGCTTGCTCACTCATCAGACTTCAAGGCCCTACACAACCAGGCTCTCCTCCAAATTACTAGATATATCCCCAACTTGTTCGGAGTTTTGACTTCTTTACTTGCAAAATGAGAGGGTGTTGGAGGCTGGAACAAGTAAGTCAGAGAGAAGATGCGTTGCCTACCCAGTTAATACTCTTATGACCTTCATACCTGTGCCTCCTCATCTGTCAAATGGTCACCATCTTGGCTGTCCTTCCTGGCTGAGATGATTTTTGCAAAGCTCAAATAAAGAAAGCATTTAGAAATCACACTCATAGGACAAATGGTAATGACAAATCTCATCGATATTCTCTTTAAGTGCTCACAATCTTGAACGCACTTCCCTGTGTGACTTGGAAACATAAGTCACTTTACTGTTGCCCACACATTTTCCATTTTAGAGACCTGTCCAGTTTCTATTCCGATTTCTTAGTCTTCATTTAAGACTGTCCTCCCCTTATCTAAACCTCTACCTAACCAACAAGCAATTGAGCAATTCTCTGTGGTCATCACTGTGAAATGCAGTGAAAGTAGGAAAGTGAGTAAGATGGGGCCTCAAAGAGCTCAAGGACCTGTGTGCTACAACATCTTCAAAATAAACACCTGTCACCGAGCTGGTCCTCCTAGTGGAGGTGGAGTATTATACACAAAAGACCCCATAAAGGAGAAAAGGAATTTCTTGCCTGGAGAGATCAAGGAAGGCTATGGAGTATTTACATCCCGTGCAGTAAGTGCATTGTTGATGAGTGAGCAAGTGGAAGGTGATGTGCGGGCATTCAAGACAGAGTCAAATATAAACACAGCCAATAAATTGGCAAATCCAAGCACAGATTGAGAAATAAGCGGTGCCAGAAGATTAAATAATCCAGAGTTTGATCATGAAGGGATATATAGAAGCAAGGAACTAAAATTTTATTCTGAAGGCATGGGAGACTAGTGAACTCAGGTCAGTCATCTTTCTTATTTCCTGAATATGGAATTCATTGCTCACCTGTCTTTGGGTAATTAAAAACCATCACCTTATGACATATTATGACTTGCCATCTGAATATAAATATATGGTTTTTAGTCTTGTGACACTTTTTATTATATTTATCTAAAAGAAAGACGAGAAGCTTTAAATATGATTTGGAAGTCATCTAAATGTGGGACCATTTATCACCTCTTTTCTGCATGATATAAAGATATGTTAATTTTAGAAATTGATTTGTGAGCTTCCCAGTTCTTCAGGATAACAAAATAGATTGTCAATAGACCTAGAAATATTGAACTAATTATTTATTCTTACCTTCCTTTTTGTGCACCAGGTCATGATGATTCCAATATGGTATGTCTAAAGTTACATAACTCTGTCCATTCCAATTGTCATTGTTTTAGTTCAGGCTACCATTATTATATATATATTCTTTTACTATTCTAAATCCCCTGATTGGGTCTTGTTAGCACAGTCTCTTACCCTCAATTCTCTATCCCCATCTCCACCCAAGACATTTTTCCATATAGAAATTGAAGCAAACTTTCTAAAATACTAATTGCTGTGACTCTCTTGCCCAAAACAGTATTTCCTTGTTTTTATTTCATTTTGTTTTTAAACTATTTTGATTCCTACTGCCTGTATAAGTGCAGAATTTCCTTCTTTTTAAGTTTATAATCTTCAAAACATGAGCTTGGGAGGCCCTATTTTAACATATTCGCATTTTAAAAATAAATTATATATATGAACTTGAATGAAATTCAAACATTTTCTCCAGCCAGCTGTCCCAACCTGCCTCATCCCTTGAAAAGTTATATGAGGTCCATGCTTTCTGTTCCCTTTAAGAGTCACCAGGTTATGTATCAGATAGCATGATACATGATGCCTGGGACACTGTACTTAAAAAATATTTGTTGAATATAAGAAAAATGTGATAAAACCTAAAAAGTATACTATGTTTGGTCTTGGAGCATAAGTAATGCATAAACAACACAGCTCTTGGTACAGAATTATCCTACATATTCTGAACAGATGATAAAGAAAGTGCTAAAAACCGTGTGGATGGAAATATGTAGTAGATAGTCCTGGGAATATCATTTTTCAAGGACAGTAGTTGGAACTGGAGATGATCCACTTAGAAAGCAGTAGCAGATGAAGGTAACTTAAATTCATCTATTTATCTGCCTATCATCGATTTAGATATTTTACATGAATTGTCACTTTTTGTTCTCACAACAAGCCTGTGTATAGTTATCATCCCCATTACATGTAGAGAAAACTGAGATTAATTAACTTCCCAAAGGACACATAATTAGTAAGTTGCAGAGTCAGGATCTGAATTCAGACTGGTCTGGTCTCTTTGCAAATATACTACAGTCTCCAACACACACACAAACACACACACACACACACACATAAGCAACCACATTATGATCTTGTAGGACCACTCCTTCTGTCTCTGGGCTGCCATTATTTTCTCATCTACATACACCAGTAAAGGTCAATGTTTGTTCAAATTATCAGTACACGTTTAACCCATCCACTTCTAAATGTTTGGCATTGACCCCATTGGTTGTGCTATTAGCCAGCTGGCCAGTACTCAACTCAAGCCTATCTTTCTAATCAGGCATTTTCCTAAGTTCCAGTGAGCAGAATGAGAATACAGAGATGTTCGTTTTATTTTAGAATCATTATGCCTAGACCCATGCAAGATGAAAAAGGTTTATGAATGTGTATGGATTGATTGAGCTACACTTTAAGATCATGGTTTCCTGAGAAACGAGGATTTTCAGTGTAATTTAGAAACACTCAATGCAGGATCATGATTAGCTGTTGGAAGTTTAGCCCCATTGTATTCAAAAAAGAGTAGATATCTAGTGAGAAAGACAACGTTCTAGAAGAGAAACTCTCAATTCTGATAACTACTCAATGAACAGAAATACTGTCTTTACAAATTCTTTAGTTGCCTCCTTTCCCTCATTTTAATATTCAATGCATAATCATCTGGACAATGACCTTTTTAAAATATAAAGACATCATCTCTACTTTTAATTTTAAAAAAGTTCTACCTTCCATATTTTTTCTTTCTCCCAATCTTATCATTCAGTACCATCCAATTCATTCATTTATGTAGCTTTTCTTCAGAACCAATAAATTCTGAGCATAATTTGGCACTACTTTGTAATGATGTGTGTGTGTGTGCTGTGAGAAGTGTTAATAGATGGGGAGGAGGGAAAAGGGGTTTATAGAAGCAGAGTGAAATTTGTGGAAACTTTTCAAGTAGGAAACATTATATTTTTTCAAAGATTTGTGTTTTTTCTTATGAGTCTCCTATAAAACCCACCAAACTATTCCAGCCACCACTCTTAGCTTCTCCTATTCCAGAAACTTCTAATTTTTTTGGTTTATGAATTTTACCTGTTACACTCAATAATATAAAAGGTTGAATAGCTTTCTAATTAAGCTATGACACATTATTCATAACCTTAAAAGTTTAATAGCTTTACCGTATTTGATTTTAAACACTGTCAGAGTGATGCCTTTGGAGGCACAGTCCTCGACTTCTGATAAAGCCGATCCTAACAACAGGTCACTTACTCCTGAACTTGGTCTTACGTTTTGATTCTTTGACCAACTTTCAGTACCACCAATGATTTCCTTAACTTAGGCTTGGCTGGGACCTACCATGTGTAGATAAATCTTTTTTTTTTTTTTTTTTTTTTTTTTTGAGATGGAGTCTTGCTCTGTCACCCAGGCTAGCGTGCAATGGCGCTATCTCTGCTCACTGAAAGCTCCGCCTGCCGGATTCATGCCATTCTCCTGCCTCAGCCTCCCGAGTAGCTGGGACTACAGGCGCCTGGCACCACGCCCGGCTAATTTTTTGTATTTTTAGTAGAGACCGGGTTTCACCGTGTTAGCCAGGATGGTCTCGATCTCCCAACCTCGTGATCCGCCTGCCTTGGCCTCCCAAAGTGCTGGGATTACAGGCGGGAGCCACCGGGCCTGGCCTATGTGTAGATAATTCTGCTCTTTCATCCTCATGATGCCACCCCTGGAAGCCAAGCTCAAGGCTGGCATACCTTGTAAGTATTTTTGAAGGCAACATATTAAAAATGGGGTTTTTAAAAAGATGGCTTAATGGGACTAGAGCTGGGTACTACTTGGCTCTCTCAGTGAGAAAACTAATGGAAAAGACCATTGCAAAAATCATAACATAATATTTGGATAGTCAGAACTAGAATCAAATCGTGAGAAAGAGAAAATAAATAAGTGGAAAACTGAGAGATCATCCCAAGAGAAAACAACAATTCAACAGGATAGAACTTGTGTCTTTCATCCTTTCACTCAACAAAGAAGTATTGACTAATTTATGTAGTCTGAAATACTAAATACCAGGGCAAAAAAAGAAATCTGTCCAGCCTGACCCTTTATATTTGCACATCATTAGCTCATTATATTTGTCACATATGAGGGGCTCAGTTGTAAACAACATAGCTCTTGGTACAGAATTACCAACATTTGTTGCATTAGATTAAGTCACTGGTAAATTAGATTTAGAGCATGAAAGTGAAAAGAATAAAGCAAAACAGTCTGTTGTAAAAAAATATTTCTAACCTGAGAATCAAAACATAACAAAAAAAAATCAGTGGCAACATCAAAAATAACAAAAACACTGCTTTCCTCTCAGGTGTAATCTGAGAAGAAATCAATTTAGGGAAGGGTATTTCAGAGCTGTTGAGTTTGGGCTCATTGTGGGGCATCCGTGTACAGATGCTCTTGAAATTCAAGAAGGAAAGAGCTATATTCCTACAAAATTGTCAAATAGAGAGAGGTCTGCCGTCATATTAGAGTTTAGAAGCAGGTTTCAACTCAGGTTTTGTGCAGAGTCACTTTGACCTTGGTTCAAAGCCCAGTTTAGATATTGCAGAGACTCTGAAATGGACAAAAAATGTATAGAGTCCTCATCCATGGAATAAGGTGATGGTCTCCCCGTTGCAGCTGTTGCAGTGACTGTGAGCAACTCAGAAAGCTGCACCAGGAGGCTCCCAAGGAGTCAGGCCTGCTGCTGCTACCTTGTTATGCTTATGGGGTTTAGGATGATGTCCTCCCACCAAGCCACTTACAAGCAGGAAATTAGTAACTCCAAATAAAATATGTCCTAAAATCGTACATAGAATTGCTTTAAAAGCCTGGAAGGAATCCCAGAGCCCTCTTGTTAGCCCTGGACAGCACTAACCCCCTCTTCTGGGTGTTCCCGCAGTCTGCTCTGGCCCCATCACCAGTCACTATTGCAGTGCAGGGAGTGGTGCTGTGTTTATCTCCACCACGTTTGATGAATTTGCGATAATTACTTTTACTCTCTGCAAAGCCTGACAGAAATTTTGACACCTAGTATGTGCTCAATTAAATTGTGTTGATGAAACAAATGAACAATAACCCGTGCCGTTATAAAGTTGAGGAATCTGAAATACAGGGAAGTGAAAAAGAGAGCACATTACTAGTGCAGGCAGAAGGCTCAGGACTCCTGGATCCCAGACCAATGGTCTTTTGCATGTAATTGCTCATGAACATAAGGAGCTTATTTCAAAAAATGTATGGATTATCTTTCAGTCCAAAGTAAATGATTGCTTTCTTGAGCTCAGGGTCTATGTATTTGACTTTATTCTGTCTTCTCACAGCAAGAAGCACAACCATGAGTATTTAGCAGCTGATCAAAAAGCAAGTTCTGCATCAATCTGGAAATGAGTGTCAGGATAGAGAAGACTCGGCCTTCCTTTCACGACTGATTTTAGAAAGCTGTATTTTTGGTCTACTAATTATGAAGTAATGTATCTTTTAGGGTTTCATCGTGAAGAATGGGGGCAGGGTCAGATTCAAGAGTAATATTATAGTATTTATTTTTGTTATTTTCTAAGTGAAATTATAGGTAACAAGGGGAAAAATAATTGAAGCAAAAGGCATGAGTTGTCATGTCTAAGCACCGTTGTAGGCACTCCACAAAATGTATGTTTTATATCTTTTAGACAAAGTAGGCTATTAAGTGTGCAATGCTAAGAGGAATTTTATCTCACCTCTAAATACAAGTGAATCTTTTAAGCTCCAAATCCCCACATACAGACAATTTACCGTGGTAATCAAGACGATGCACACAATTGAACTTCAGTACCATCTGTAACTCTATTGGTATTTTAATAATAATGAATAAAAATATATGTTGGCAACAAAAAATGTTACTCGAAGTAGAATCATTTTAAAGAGTCAATGATAATTTCTCAATAGCTGTGTAGATATCATATTTACTTGGAATTCTCTGTTGTGCCTTTACCTTGTAATTAATATGAAAGAAGACCTTCAGTATTTAACTGTATACATATACTGAAGAACATATTATCCCCTCTTCTTTGAATTGGAAATATGAAACAAAATGCTTGTCCATGCAAATATTAATAAGGAAATGAATGTTTCTTTTATTTTTCTCTTCTTACCTTTTTTCTTTTGCCTTTTTTCTGTTTGTTTGACTTCTGCCCCCTGGGTGGGTAGGGTTTATCTAGGGGAGAGTATTGAAGATGAATAGAAGAAAGGCAAAAAAAAAAAAAAAAAAAAAGAAGAGAAATTCAAATTATCCTGAAAGTTATAAACTACTCTTCATCAATGTTTTTCTGTTGTCCAGGAAATAAAATAATGTCTTTCACTTCGCAGAAAAAAGATCATCCATTATAACAGTTGTTATAAATAATACTACTACTAATGGTTACCTGCCTTCTGCAAAGGTGCCAGAAAACTGGACTAGGGCCACCTACAAACAGTAAGGAAACCTGAATTTTGCTTCCAGCTGGTCAAATAATTAACTGAATAATCTTGGGCAGTCCTGTCATCTCCCTAAGCTCCCCCCAAACCCTTATATATAAAGTGAAAGGCTTGGAACCTGTAATTTCTGAAGTTCCTCCTGGTTCAGAAATCCTCTTAAATCTGTGAATGTAAAGCAAAGTTACGCAAACAGGACTGGGAGTATTTAAACAGCTACTGGATGGAAAGAGCTAAGGTGCTTTTGGTTATACCCACAGAAGTAGATTTTTATCTGGGGGGATGATGGGAGCTAGTGATGGCCTTTACATTATAAAGAAAAGGAGTACAGATGACAGCAAAGTTATTTGTTGAAGAAAAATGGGGAATCAAAAATATATATGAAAAAGGATTTGCATTTTAAAAATAGACTTTTATTGCATCAGAGTTTTTTTTTAAGTTTAAAAAATTCTTTTTTTTAAAATTATTATTATACTTTAAGTTTCAGGGTACATGTGCACAACGTGCGGGTTTGTTACATATGTATACATGTGCCATGTTGGTGTGCTGCACCCATTAACTCGTCATTTAGCATTAGGTATATCTCCTAATGCTATTCCTCCCACCTCCTCCCACCCCACAACAGTCCCCGGTGTGTGATATTCCCCTTCCTTTGTCCATGTGTTCTCATTGTTCAATTCCCACCTATGAGTGAGAACATGCGGTGTTTGGTTTTTTGTCCTTGCGATAATTTGCTGAGAATGATAGTTTCCAGCTTCATCCATGTCCCTACAAAGGACATGAACTCATCATTTTTTATGGCTGCATAGTATTCCATGGTGTATATGTGCCACATTTTCTTAATCCAGTCTATCATTGATGGACATTTGAGTTGGTTCCAAGTCTTTGTTATTGTGAATAGTGCCTCAATAAACATACGTGTGCATGTGTCTTTATAGCAGCATGATTTATAATCCTTTGGGTATATACCCAGTAATGGGATGGCTGGGTCAAATGGTATTTCTAGTTCTAGATCCCTGAGGAATCGCCACACCAACTTCCACAATGGTTAAACTAGTTTACGGTCCCACCAACAGTGTAAAAGTGTTCCTATCAGAGTTTTGCTATAACTCTTTTGGAGAAAAGACCCATGAAAAAGCTTTTAAAGATCTCATTTTGAAAATACTAGGCCAATGCATCTGTGAAATTTGGTTCATTCTTGGAAAGTGATTCCTGGGAAATCAATATAGTCTATCCCAAGTTGTGTGTCCCATTGGAAGTGAGTATGAGAGAAGCCTTTTAGTCTCTCATTATATTTTTTTTCTTAAAATTCAAATACCTATCTTCAGACCCCAGTTTCTTCACCCCTTCTTCTTTTCTACATTAAACACTAATGAATATTCACATACACTTTTGGAGGAACAGAGTGATGGATTCAGCATTGTTCAGACACACTGTTAGAAGTCTGAGATGCATGTGGAGCCTGAAATTGAAGGAGAGCACAGGTTTGCTTATTGAAGGCTGCAGGAGCACTGAGGGAGATAACATGTTCTTTCCTTGCTCCCCAGCCATGTGCTTGGGGTAGTACTGACCCAGTCTCCACAATGCTGCAGACCTGCAGAGGAGAGAATGAAGGCGCAATGTCATCTTTATGCAGGCTCGTGTCTTCACCCATTTTATTACCCCTCCACTTCACCTTATCCTGTTCATCTGGCCAGTTGTAAACCTTTAATGTGAATGAGCTATTTATGATACCAATTTGTGGGCAAGTTTTGTGGAAGAGAAAAAAGATCCCAGAAATAAAATCATTAAAATATTTGCTCTCAAATGTAGCAGATATTACTGGGCAATTCATATACTGCTTCCTATTCTCATTACGGGCTTTATACTTAAAAGGGGACATTTTCCCATCTATTCTTATTCCATCTTTAAAATGACTCTATGGCTGGATATGATGAAAATGACTATTTTGCAGACAGTGAAAATAAAACTTAGTATACCTGAATGTATTAGCTGGAATCATCCAATCAAGAGAAGAAACAAATCTAGGAAAAAGGAATCTCCAAGCTCTAACCCTCAATATGCTTTCCACTAATGCAGCCTATCACAAATCACAAAACAAAACAAACAAGTTTATTGTTCTCATTTATGCTAGATCATTCTTCCTTTGCTTTAAGAATCTGATACATATTTTAAAAAATATAGACATTTGAATTTAGAATGGTTCTATCATCAAACCCTTAACCTGTTTATGCTTGAGGTTGCAATTTTTTGAATTTTTGCAATCAGACCTTGGCGACAACCTTGAGCAGTAGGATATAGATAACTCCCACATGCTTAGCGTTCCAATAATGGAACATTAGGCAAAAATAGGCTTCCATTCCCGTTTACTAGGCTAATTTCATAAGAGACTTGCTCTCTCTTCAACGTAAGCGAGGTTGCCAAAGTGGTTCATGTGAGACAGAAGTGACAGAGGAAAAGATTTATCTGCTTTTGGGGGCAGGGAGTGATTTCTTCCTTTTAGATTTGAGATTTTTCCATTCTTATTACTTTTAGGGACAGGAGATCAAAAGTTCAGATATGTTTCCCAAAAAGCCACTGTTCAAATGCATAGGGTCTATGAGGAAAGGGCTGCTGAAAAATCTTCCTTGGATCTTTCCATTAGCATAAATCTATGGATTGACTAATTTCCAAAGTGGAACAACTGTCCCTGGAAACTGAGATACAAGGCAGACATCTTTCAGAGGAGAAAACGGACAGTAGGGAATGGCAGTTATTGCCACAAGTTAATGGGCTCTGGAAGCTTAGTTCTCCTGGAGGTCAGCACCTCATGATGGAGGGGATTGCACAGGTCTGGAAGAACAAAACTTATCACTTGCCTGAGAGTCTGGACTGATAGATACCAATTTTACTGGTTCGCTGTAATCATAGTGAAAGTCTCCTAAATTTCCTCATCAGTTTATTTATTTGTTTACATCTCTATATTTCTCAATGGCCTCGGAGCTCCTTGAGGTCTAGACTTTATTTTACCCAAAGCTATCCTGATTGCCTCTCTGAGAATATGCACAAAATGAGACTTTATAAATATTGGTTGGACTGAATTAATTTGAAATGATTAGGTTACTTCTACTATTCCATGATCATTTTAACAATTTATATATGAATGCGAAGATTACCAAAAAAGAAAAAGAAGAGAAAAATAAATTCCAGAGTTGTTTCTTGAGCAATGTATGGTTGAGTTGACTTGAAACATATACAGGGGTACAGTCAATTCTGCTACAACACAATATATGCATTTGTAAAAATGGCTTGCTAATTGTACAATAAAAATTTTATAAGAAAAGATTTAGGGGAGAAGTAGGGTTAGGAGTACAATACTCAAAAATTTCATCAGTCACACATAAGACTATAAAAACCTAATAAAATAGTAGCAGAGTTGTATACATGCTCAGTGTCTAATAAATACATAACTACTATATACAATAGCTATAATACTTTATGTTAAAAAGAGCTACAACTTTCCAGTGGAAGTGGGTGTCAGAAAAGCTGTGATTTCTTGTTAAGTAGTGGAGAGAGTGTTACCTGAAATAGGAGGATGGTTATATCTACACATCTGGATGGATGAGGCTTAGAAGGCTTCTGTGAATGTAGATACCGTATTGATGCTTAAGACCTATATATGTGTTTGTGTGTGTGTGGTTTGTATTTTTCTATGGGGCTCACTTTTTTTCCACATTCATCTGATGCTTCTTGATGACAAAACAGGCATACGTACATGCAAGATCTGCATTACGTTGAATATAATTTAATAAGTGATTATTATATGTTTTTTTCTAATATATAAATAATGCAACAAATATGTGACTTTAAACAAGTGCTTTGAGGTATGTATGCACCTTCTGTCACCTGTATCTTCTGCCAGAGGTAAAATGGTAGTGATCTGCTTTCTGTTCACCAAATGACCATAACTGCCGAGAAACCATATCTGCGATTTTTATGTTATTCTTCTTCAGTGAGGATCTGGCTCGGTTTTGTATTTGTCAAATACCTCAAAATATTTTTCAACATTTGTATTTGGGAAAAACTCAAAATACACTTTGCCAGTTGATTTTTTAATACACTTAATGAACAATAATTTAATCCTTGTGTTTCTAATTAATTTTCCTGCAGTTAGTTAAAATACTGCTAAGAATTTGCTGAATAAATAAGCTTAATACTATGTAAATGTTCTTTAAAAAAAAAAATAAATCAAACCAATTCTTCCTGAGAGCCTTTACTACCATGAAGTTTACCTTCAAACTAAACGGCACATTTTAAATTTGTTTTGAGTGAGGTATGTCTAGATTTCATGAAGTCATTGTTCAATGTCCTATGAAATTAAATGTGTACAAGACAAAAAATAGGAAAAGAATATTGGTAATAGTATACTGACTAATTGGCTGGTAGATTGACTGATCGATCCTGCCTCCCATTCTTTCCTTTCTTATTTCATTAGCTCACGATCCCATTCTTTCAACAAACCTTTATCAAAGGCTTGTTATGTACCAGATTCTCTGCTAGGGTCCCACAAAATGTGTGTCACCCAATGGAAAATACAAACAGATAAGTGAATTATTACAAAAAATTTAGATGACCAATTGTCTTAGACCATTTTGTATTGCTATAACAGAATGCCTGAGACTGAGCAATTTATAAGGAACAGAAATTTATTGGTTTACAGTTCTAAAGGCTGGGAAGTTGAATATCAAGGTTCTGGTATCTGGTGAGAGCTCTCTTGTTGCATCATCATATGGCAGAAGACGAGAATG
Organism: Homo sapiens; assembly: GCF_000001405.40. Lineage (NCBI taxonomy): Eukaryota > Metazoa > Chordata > Mammalia > Primates > Hominidae > Homo > Homo sapiens. Next base: position 124,220,721 of record NC_000002.12, read on the forward strand.
AGAGAGAGAACCCACTCCTGAAAGCTTTTTTATTAAAGCTGTAAACCTAAGCCAGTGAGGGTGGAGCCCTCACAGCCTAATCATCTCTGAAAGGCCCCAACACTTAATATTGTTACAATGACATTAGATCTCATCATGAGTTTGGGAAATGACAAAAATTCCAACCATGGCAACAATATACTAAGAGTGAAGAGCAGTTCCTTTCCATGAGATTGGATGGTCAGGATATCAGTGTCAACCCGGAGGGGTATATCTACCTTCTCAAGACAAGCATCTTTGCTCATGGCCCCACCCTGTCCCACATTTGGGCCTCATCAAAGAATCCTTAGAAAGAATACTTTCCACATTTAGGATAGGTTGGAAGGATAGCTGTTGAAGTAAATACCAGATTCAGAATATACAAGATCTAGGACTATTCACTACTGCTTCACGGAATAGAAATAAGTTCTCAGAATAAGTAAATTGTTTTCTGAAGACTTTCACACAACTGGGAATAAGATATTTTAAGTTATCCTACTCCTCTAGACACAATTATTACGGGAGCTCTTAGGAACTGAAGATGGGAGAGTAGTCAAACAATGTTTCCCCCTTTTAATCATCTCGCTTCTTATAGAATAATCTTGATGGCAATAATTTGAGGGTTTGCTCAAGTGGCTTATTGAAGAAATGTAGCTAGTTGGGTTTTTGAGTCAGACAAATCTAGGTGACAATTCTGGCTGCGCTATTTTCTAGCATTGAGACCTTGGACAATCTGCTTGACATTTTTGAACTTAATTTTCCTCATCTGTGAAAGAAAGCTGGACCTGTCCTTCAGGGGTGCTGTGAGGAGTAGATGCAGTAACACATGGAAACCGGGAGTACCTGACCTTGTTCAGAGCAGGTGGTTAATAAATGATGGTAGTTAATTTCTCAACTTCTCTTCTTATGGAATGTTTCTTGCTAATAGAATCTGGTCTCTCTCCCTCTGTCCTCCTATCATTATAGACAACTGTGATGATCCACTAGCATCCCTGCTCTCTCCAATGGCTTTTTCCAGTTCCTCAGACCTCACTGGCACTCACAGCCCAGCTCAACTCAACTGGAGAGTTGGTAAGTAGGCTGACTGAAATCCTAATGCCAAGCACTAAATAATTACGTGGTGGGTAGGTGAAGGAGAGTGAGCACTCTCAGACACTGAAATCATGTCCAATGGCCGTCTTCAGGAAAATATTTACGAGGAGAGGAGTGAAAATCTAATGTAAGCATACTTCCATAGCATAATAGTCATTCAAAGTATGCTGACTTGTGTTCACCCAAATCACAGTATCCTTTTTTGATTATCACGAGAGGTCTTTGTGAAAATTACTTTATAAAAAGCACTTGCTTTATTTTTATATTTCCATAGCTAACATAAATAGATATAAAACATGTTTTATAATAAAATATTTATAATGAATGTTTATTAAATTTTCTTTCAATAAGTTTAATTTTACTTGAAAATTAATATTGCTGATTTTTAAAATACAAAAATACTATTAATTGAAAGTAAGAAAATATAAATAATCTGTTATTCTACCAGCTAGAAATAACTGTAGTTAAGTATATGGTGTTTATCTTTAACATCTGTGTGAAGTAAGAGCACCTCCTTAACTAATCTCTCATATGAAATGTTGTTAACAAATATGATGTTGGATATCTAGGCAGATACGTTTTAGTCAGATTTGGATGTTGACTTTTCTAATGCATAGATACATAGGTAGATAAATACTGCAAAAGAGATTTGAATTATTTCAATTTTTAAGGACTTTTAGGTATCTGATAGTATCTTAATATCTACTAAATATTATAAACTTTTCCTAGGTCAAGAAAAGCGTGTATGCAATTTAAAGAGAGCTACGGGTCTATTAGAGTTTATATTATTTAATTTTGAGTATATTTTCCATTGATATCTTAAGTAGGTTACATTAGCAGGTTTTTGCAATATTGAACCATCTTTGCATTCTGGAATAAGTTCTAATTGGTCGTTGTGTTTTTTTTTTTTTTACACGCTAACTAATTTAATTTGTTAACACTTGAATTTATAATTTTAATCTCCATTATTAGTGAGATTGATTTATAGTTTTTGCTTGTATGTTTGTTTCCTGTTTGTCTTGTACTTCATTTCACCAGTTTTCTATTAAAATGGGATTCATAATTTAAAAGTTAGCAAGTGTCACTGGTTTGTTGAGAAAGCTGTTTAAGAATAATATTCTAAAAACAAAAGAATGGCCAAAGATTCAACAGGAAAATTTCAATTAAAATTTTGTACTAATGTCCTTTGCTGAATATTCTGTGCCAAAAATTTGATTAAGCATTTTAGTTTTATTATGATATTTAGTCCTCACAAAGTTGTTGCAAACATTATTACCTTTTACCTTCAGGTAGGGTTCCTGAGGCATCAGTTTCCCAAGACAGAAAAACTAGTCTGGGGAAATGCTTGCATTCAAACCTAGGTTATCTGAATTCAAAGTTCGTGTTTATATTCATCCCGTTAACAAATCGCTTCACTAGTACAGATTGAAAAGGGGTGTAGCAGCAAGAAAATAAAAACTAATCAATCAACCACAGTTCAAATGCGAGCTATGCCACTTAAAAACTCTCTGACTGTGCACAAGTCACTTACCTCTGCCAACCTCAGTTTTTTATCTGTAAAGTGGCCCAGGAATGTCTGCCTTGCAACATTATGTGCAGATTAAGATCAGACTTGCATATCCAAAATATCTTTCTTACAGCAGGGTAGAGAACTGAACTGGAGCAGGAAGCCCACTTTCCATTTCAGGAAGAAACACAGGTTGGCAGAATTTAACACGGTTTCCAACAGAGCTTCCAGAGAAAGGAGTTGTCTCGATCCCACCCAAATTGTGCAGCAGCAGAAAGCAATTACTACTGCCTAATAGCTCCTGAGCAGTTTCTGGGGGAAGCTGTGGGTCTGATCACAGGCCGGCTCTCTCCCTGACAGACAGATATTGAGTGAGGACAAGTGTCTTTGCTCCAACTTATTATAATTTTTCGGCTCACCGGGGAATTTGAGTGCCTGAATCCAAGGCTAGCATAAATGTACAGAGAGGTTCACTTTTCTTCCGTTTCCCAACAAGAGTCTAAATCAGAAAGGCCAAGCAGAAGACATAGTGATACAGTTGGGATGCACTGACCTAGAACTCATCCTCTAGTGCATATTCCAAGACTCCCAAGGGGGACAGCCTCTCCTTTACTCACCGAGGCCCAACCACGGCCCTCAGTGGGAATTAAACACTGGCTCAGGGAGATACGGTATCAGTGGTTCTCATCCCAGGGCTGTGCATTTGAATCACCTGGAGAGCTTTGCAAGGAGCATTGCCTGAGCCCATTTTTCCTATGTTCTGAATTAATTGTCTTGGATGGGACCCAAGCAAGGATATTGATAAAGTGAAGAAACAAAAGCTTCCAGGTCATTCTAAAATGGAACAAGAGTTGCAAATTGCTACATTGGAGGAATTCATGAGTAAAAAATCCTTCTATTAATAATTATTGAGTCCCAGTATTTGTCAGGCATTGTTCTAGATCCTTGACACACAGTTGGCACAAATAGGCACAAACAGTATTCATAAAGAGCTGACATGGATAATACCATTACCATACAATTACAAACTGTGATACTGATCAACAGCTAACATTTGTCATTAGTAATAATATCAACATAATTATTTTGTTAAGTATGTCCAGATATGTATTTCTACTATAATAAACCATGTATATGTGATATATATGTGTATATAATATATAGAGTAAAATGTATATATATATACACACACATATGTAGTTGAATATATACAGTCAGAGTCTGTCATATACAAAGAGGTGGATATATACAGGTTTGGTTATATAAATATATTCATACATAGTAGGATGAATATATATGTTTATATAGTTGGACATAGTAACATATACATGCATATACAGTCATGTACAAATATATACATATGTGGTATACAGATATATTAAGATAAAACTTGAAAGTCATTATATTAATGCTATTAAGAACAGATTTTGTTTCATGAGTGGAAAAATATAACATTTAGAAAGTTAAGAAGAAAACTTATAATTTTTGTTTATATTGGAAGTATCAGTATAAAATACTGATTTATTTGCTTCCTTTTAAGACCAAACTTATGTCCTGTCTATGCACTGACATGGCTTAGAAGCAATTATAACACTGTCTCAATGAACACTCCTTTTTAATGTGTCTTCCTTTAAAACTTATCTTTTGTTTTACAAAGAAAAAACATGCAATATATCCAAAAGAGCAAATTGTACCACATGGTTTGAAATCTCAGATGCTCTCGAATATACATGCAGATGTAAAGGAGCATCTCTCCGGATGGTGAGATTGTGTGCCTAAGAATTACACCCTCCCTCTTCCCCTGGTTGTAAGCTGATGCCTGGCAGCGCACAACTAAAAATTATAACACCACTATATTGAGAACTTCCCATGAGCCCTCAATGTTCTGAGCCCTTAAGGTACACCAATTCTATACTCACAACTACCCTTTATGTAGATGTCATTGTGATCTCTGATTCATAGGTGACACAGAGAGGAAAGCAATGGCCATGCCCGGCTTTCACCCAAGTGATCTGAATCTGTGTAGTGCTATTGGCCAAAGCACCACAACACTATCCTGCCCAGAGAGCCAGAATAACTTCAGTGTTTTAGACAGGGAAAGCTGTGTGTCATTTTTATTAGTTCACTTACTTCCCTCCCTCTTATGTGATTGAAGTATAATTGACAAATAAAACTGTATACATTTACAGTGTATGAAATGATGATTTGATAGGTATGCATTTTGAAATAATTACCACAATCAAATTAGCTAACACATCCATCACCTCATGTAGTTATCCTTTTCTTTGTTTTGTAGTGAGAACACAAGACCTACTCTCAGCAAAAGTCAAGCATACAATAGAGTATTATTAACTATAGTCACCATGCTGTACAATTATATTCAGAGAATGTATTCATATTAGAAGTGCAAGTTTGTACCTTGATCAACATCTCTCCATTTTCTTCACACCCCAGTCCCTCGCAACCACTGTTCCACTCTCTGCTTCTCTGAGTTCAACATTTTTCAGATTCCTCATATAAGTGAGATAATGCAGTATTTGTCTTTCTGTGCCTGGATATTTCACTTAGTACAATGCCCACTAGGCTCATCTATGATGTTGCAAGTGGCAGGTTTTCTTTTTTATGGATGAATAATATTCCATTGTATAAATGCCACAATTTTTTATCCCTTTATTGATCAAGAAACACTTAGGTCGCTTCCGTATCTTGGCTGCTATGACTAATGCTGCAATGAACATTGGATTGCAGATATCTCTTTCAGATACTGATTTCATTTCCTTCAGATATATACAAAGTAGTTGTATTACTGGATTTTATGGTAGTTTCTTTTTTTTTTTTAGAAACCTCCATACCGTTTCTTATAACTATGCTAATTTACATTCCCAACAACAGTGTAAAAGAGTTCTGTTTTCTCCACCTCCTCACCAACACCTATCTCCTTCTTTATAAAGAGCCATCCTAACGGGTGTGAGGTGACGTCTCATTGTGGTTTTGATTTCTATTTTCCTGATGATTAGCAGTGTTGAGCATCTTTCTGTGTGCCTGTTGGCCATTTGTATGCCTTGTTTGGAAAAACGTCAATTTAGTCTTTTGCTCATTTTTAAATTGGGTTATTTGTTTTTTTGCTACTGAGTTGTACTTGTTCTTTAAATGTTTGGGTATTAACCCCTTATGAGATATTCGGCTTGCAAATATTTTCTCCAATTTGATAGTTTGCCTTTTAATTTTTTTAATTCTTTTTCTTTTTTGTACAGAAGGTTTTTAGTTTGATATAGTCCCACTTGCTCATTTTTGTCTTTGTTGTCTGTGCTTTAGATATCTTAGCCCATTTCAGTTTCTTATACAAGAATAGCTAAAACTGGGTAATTTACAAAGAAAAGAAATTTATTTCTTACAGTGATAGAAGTTGAGAAGTCCAAGGTCAAGGGGGGCAGATTTGGTCAGGGTCCTCTTGCTTATGGGGACTCTGCAGAGTCTCGAGACAGCCCAGGGCATCACATAGCAAGGTGCCTGAGTGCTCTAACATGGTAGCTCAGGTCCCTCTCCTTCATCTTATAAAGCCACCAGTCCCATTCCCATGACAACCCATCAATCCATTAAACCATTAATCCATTAATTAGTAAATGGATTAATCTATTCATGAGGTCAGAATACTCATGAGCTAATCAATCATCTGTTACGGGCTGCACCTCTCAATACTGCCACATTGGGGATTAAGTTTCCACATGAGTTTCACAGGACAAACGTTCAAGTTATAGCAGTGTCATATCCAAAAAAGTATCATTTACTTTGGAAAGCAATGAGCAATCACTCTGAGTGTGCTGGGCATTTCTCCACTCTGCCTTGTTCAATACACTGAGCCATATTTTATAATATTCTGCCTCAACACTTCAACTTCCAGCATGTTCTCCTCCCTAACAGATTTGCTAATAAATGCAGTCACAATGGTCTGCTTTATATAGCCTCATTCTATTCTCTCTTCCAAGAGGGTATGGTGAACCTGCCTCCTTCAGATCTACTACTCAACACCAAATCCCTGCCCCTTCTAAATGTCCAAACACCAGATTTTACACACACACTCCCTCTCTCCCTCACATACACACTCACAAACACAAACATGTGTTCGGAAAAAGAGTAGGTACTAAGATACACATGCATTATTTTAATTCCCAGGGAATAGTTTAAAATAAGTAAGTAATAAATACTTGTCAAAGTATAATTTTCAATAAGTTAAAAACATAGCTCTCATGCAAATATAAACTCATAGGTCTTATACAAATATAAACTCAGCACATCGTGTGTATGTGTGTGTGTGTGTGTGTGTGTGTGTGTGTGTGTGTGTATTAAACTTATTAAGGCAGGAACCAGTAAAATGGTAAAGCTAATTCAAAGAGTATTTTTTGGGAACTGTGTATTCAGAGACATTTGGTGAGGGTGGGGGGAGGCGGAAGAAAATAATATTGGAATAAAATTGCTAGGTAGATACAAAATTAGTTAATGTATGTATTAGTCAAGATTCTCCAGAGAAACAGAACCAACGGGATATATATATACACATACACATACACACACACGCACACACAAATACATATATACACGCACACACACACATATACACATATATATGAAATCATTTATTATGAAAATGGGCTCACATGATTATGGAGGCCAAGAAGTCCCAGGATATGCTGTCTGTAAGCTGGAGAAGAGGGAGGCTGGTGGTGTAATTCAGTCTGAGTCCAAAGATCTGAGAACTGGGGGAACCAGTGGTGTGACCCTCCATCTGAGGCCCAAGGTCTGAGAAATTAACGAACCACTGGTATCAGTCCCAGAGCCCAAGGACCCAAGAACCTGGAATTCTGATGTCCAGGAAGAAAAGAAGATGAATATTCCAGCCCCAGGAGAGAGAGAGAAAATTCAGCTTTCCTCTGCCTTTTTGTTCTATCTGGTCCCTCAATGGATTGGATGGTGCCTGCTCACATTGGTGAGGGTGAATATTTCTACTGATTCAAATGCCAATATTTTCCATAAACACCCTCACAGATATAACCAAAAATAACACTTTACCAGCTGCCTGGATATCCCTTAACCCAGTCAACTTGACACCTAATAGAAACCATCACAATGTCTTACAGGGTTATAAAACTTGGGGGTTATACCTTCTCTATTGGACACACATTTATAAGTTAGCATGTGACAACTTCACAGTATCTAAGCTCTGATCACCCAGGAACTAGCCAAACCAAATGACATGTGCATTTTTCTGGAAAATTAAATAATTGTTAAATGGATTTGCTTCAAATTGTTCCAGGAGGATACTGAAAGATCATACTATATTTTCTTATGATTTCAAAGCTTTAGATAGTGTTTTCTTAACACATTTATTCATTGGTTCATTTATTACAGTAATTAGTGAATTTCTTCTACTCTACACCATTCAGCCTTCCAACACTCTTGTCAAGGAACATCCTGGTATCCCACTGGGTATCCCACTCAAGATGAAATTTAAATTGTAAAACCCATGACCTTCAGAGCATCAAATCCCCCTCAAAAGGATAGAATGTCCTCAATAATATCCTTGTACCTCATCACTGCTGAACTATTTCACACTGATGAGCTCCCCTGCAAGTTTTTGGGCATCACTGAAAATTGCTGAGTCCCTTGATGATTATATAAAACCTTGGCAAACATTGAACATAAAGGACTAGGGAACACTTTACCCCTACGTGTGCTCAGAACTCAGGTAGACTCATGTCTGCCCTATACCCAGGAAGAAAGTGTGCGTAACTGATCAGTTTGCCATAGCAGAAAAGACCAACTCAAACATTGAAATAAAGACTAAAGGAAAAATGTGCTGGGCAAATGTTAACCTATGAGCTCCCCCAACCCTAGGTAAACCAAGTTTAATGAGTTCCATCAATAACAAACTAATTTTTCTGAGAGAAAACACACACTTGGAAACAGCTGTTGGGCTGTAGGTATTGCTGTGCCCATCAAGGTCTGGGCAATCCGGCACACGAGGAGGGGATTAATAGTTAAAGCTCAACTATAATAGTCTCCATGCTGCTATCTCATCGATAGAAGGGATTTGCCAAATAGAATTTTTGTTCTCTCACTTCCACAAACACTTCAGCCTTCATCTCATCACACACAAAAAAAATGAAAAGCAAGGAAGAGAACTAATTACTTTTGGAAAAAAGAAAAAACAAACACAACAAAATACATTAAATTGGAGGTCAGATCACCATTAACTTAGGTTGCCAACTCAATCTATATAATTGTGGCTTAGGACGGATCAGTCTTTGTCAAATATGATTTGTTTTGTGGCAAGAAAGCTTTTGATCTCGGCATTAGAGTCAGCTGGGCTTCAGAGAAAGACTTACTGTCCGCAGGAAGTGCAGGGGTTGGTGGTATATAGCATGAAGCCACGGAGTTGTGGGTTAGGCCTTCTTGAAAATGAAGGGGAAGGATTTAAGTTACTTTAGATGATTAAAAGGAAAATAGAAATAGACATCTTTGGCCCCATGAGAGGAGAGGTTTGTATTTTTCTATTGCATGTTTTTTTTTTCCAAATAGAGTTTGGAAACCATTATGTTTATCATTTGTTCCTTGAAATTTTAATCCGTCTTCCTCACTCAATGTATTTTTTGAGATGCTTGCCTGTGTAAGTTGAGATTGTGTGTTTCTAGCATGACAGTTTTGTTGCCATGGAGAATTTGATTTCTTATGTCAAGGCATTTTCAGCTCCCTGGGCTCATGGATGGATAAAAAGATTTAAAATCCTTACCTCCCGCTTTGGCACAGATTCCATGCACACTTACCACCCCCCATACCACTTCCTTGGGCAGTACTTGTTACAAATTGCTAAGGACCCTAAAGGTGTTCTGAAGTTGGTTTTCATCTTGATGTCATCAGGCCATCCATGAGGAGATGAGGGTTGGAAGCAAGCAAAAATCAGGGTTCATTTGCACAATTAGCATTTCAGCTGTCTAGGGACTTTTTCCAGATTACAAGGGAAAATCCTGGGAACCCAATTTCATAAACAACACTACAACGTCTGCTCTCTGGAGGCAACATGAGTCTTCTCTCTGGATTTATTAAGCCCCATAGAATATATATCTAATCTACTCTGTTTTATTTTTTATTTATTTCTTTTGTGTGTGTGTGTGTGTGTGTATATATATATATATAAATTATTATTTTTTTTTTCTTGAGACAGAGTCTCACTCTGTCACCCAGGCTGGGGTGCTGTGGCATGATCTCGGCTCACTGCAACCTCTGCCTCCCAGGTTCAAGCAATTCTCCTGTCTCAGCCTCCTGAGTAGCTGGGACTACAGGTGCATGCCACTGTGCCCAGCTAATTTTCATATTTTTAGTAGAGACAGGGTTTCACCATATTGGTCAGACTGGTGTTGAACTCCTGACCTTAGGTGATCCACCTGCCCTGGCCTCCCAAAGTGCTGATATTACAGGCGTGAGCCACTGCGCCCAGCCTCTAATGTGTTTTAAAAGACAGTAAGCTATACAGAAATGGGTCAGTGGATTACCCCCTCTCCCTGTGAACCACCCTTCTCTCTTTTCAGCACCTTTCCTTTCTTGTGTCCTGTCCTAGCTGTCCCAGGCATGGTAAGCATCCAAATCTATGCTTTCCTCTGTTTCATCACACTCTCCCTTCCCAGTCGAATTGTGTATGGTGGGTAGAAGCTGGGACATCCACCAGGAGCTTGTTACAAATGCAGAATCTTGGCTTCTACCCAGAACTCCTGGATCAGAACCCGTGCATTAACAGCTGGTGCTTCTGCAAATTGAAATTTGAGATGCAGCATTCTAGAGGATCACTGAACCTTTTGTTATTTCAGTTCTCACCTCTATGACTTATTTACTGTGGATCTTAGGGGTAGGAGAGAGTAGAAAGAATCAAAGTTGGCTAAGTTATTAAAAAGAAGGAATTGTGTTGAAAACTTTTGTTCTTCATTTCTGTCATCACTTCAGTACTCTGGTACTCATTTTTCTCATTTTTTAAGATGGAGAAACAGAGTCAGAGAGGTTAAGTCAGTGGCCCAAAACTACACAGCTAATTTTGGTAGGGCTTGAATTTGAATCTAGGTCTGTCTACTTCACATTAATCAATATCTTTATTGATGTTGATGTAAGATCTTAGTCTGAATAAAGATGCTCTTGACATAATTAGCTTTCAGGTAATTTTGGTATTCCCTTAGGGTTCTCAGTATTTTAACTAAAATAATAGATTTTCAGACATCAAGGAAGAAAGAGAAACCTATATATCTTGCCTTTTGAATGCCCCTAAAATCATACTGTGTGGCCTAATATGCCTGAGGGAAAAACTAACCTTGACCTGGATATTTAAACAATGCCTTAGGCCTCTTCTTTTACTAGGACAGCTATAGATCATTGAAAGATACAGGACAGAAACCTTCTGCTATTTAACAGGAGCCTTGGGACCCTGTCTCAAATTGAGACAAATTCAATGTGATAGCCCTCTATTCAGGCTGGCTAATTGCAAAACCACATGATGAGGAGGAGGAGAAGGAAAGGGATTATAGAAAATTTGTTACTGGCTACTAATCAAAAGATTTGAACATCACCATTTGGCACAAAAAAAAAGTTCCAAGAAAGAAGCGAATTTCATGTACTTCATCCTTTACTTTTTTTTTTCCTGATTGTAAGTCACTTCCTTTGAAAGGCCAGGTTGCGATGACTTCTAAGCAGCACTCCATGAAATGCAGTAAACCATCACTTTGATGTTTCTAACACTTTGCAAAGAGACAAGAGCTTCTTTAATTCATTAGTTCATTGAATTTAACTTAAAGCATTGCAACAAAACTGTAAGAATAGAATTAAGAGCATGATTATTAGTGACATATTTGTCTAGTGATTGGCAGTTTATAACAGCAATTTACAATGTCAGTTTACAATGTTTTCAATGTGTGTCACATTTAGGAGGAAATAAGCTATGTTCAGCTGGAACATTGTGTGGTAGATGTTTTTCCTTCGTCTAACTGGGAATAGTTAGAAGGAGTCTACTGGATATGTTGTTGGATACTGGAGTCTTCTTCTCGAGAAGCCTTTCATTTAAACATTGTGGACATGTCCTTAAAAACATGAGTTTAGGTTTACTGAATTCTCCATGAGAAGTGAAAATGGCAACATATAACAAACGCCAAAGAAACAGAAAATGGGAGTTAATATAATCCTTTAGTTCATCTTTCTCCAGATTTTCAATTTGAAGACTCCTTCTTTCATGGTGACCCCCTCCTCATTTCTCCTTTTGAGTATCTCACTCCTTGCTTATTTCAGTTATATTCATCTACGCAATTGGTTGATCATGTCTGGACTTTAATTTTCTAGCCAATGAAAATGTTTCATTAAAAATCCAGATTTGATCAAAGAACTTTTATCATTTGTTTTGCTAAGGACTGGCTTCTAATGAATCTTTTCTACAAAAAATATCCATGGCAATCAGAAAGCGTTCTGGGGTATCTTTATTGGTGTGCTTCTGTGTGTAAATAACAGAAAATCCAGCTCACACTGGTTGAAAAATATTAAATTATTCAGATTAGGCACATAAAGATTGAAAGGTGTTCATATTTCTATTTCCAGAACAGGGTGGTTACAAGATCCTTTACCCTATAATACTTTATTAAGCTGAACATTCATTTTGTGAGACTTTTTGTATCTGTGGGTTTTTTTTTTTTTCATTACAAAAGGATTAAAGGTAAAAATTAATTATTAAAAACAAAAGGAAATTCTCAAAAAGGGCAGGCTCCAGGGCTGCCAGATTTAATTCAACAATACCATCCTCAGTGGCAGCATTGTCCTGGAACTGATAAGCCTGCCCAACATCTCAGCCAGCTTTACAACATTCTGGGAATCAATGAGACCATGACCTCCTGTGGCTTGTTTTTTAAGCTATCAGAGTGTGAGCCCTGGAATAGCAGCATAATGAACATCTCCTAGGAACTTGATAAAAATGTAGATTATCTAGACTCACACCAACCTACTAAATTAGAAATTCTGGCAGTAGAAACCTATGTTTTCCCAAGTTCCTTAAGTGATTCTGATGCTCACAAAACTTTGGGAAGCACTTCTTAGAGCACTGAAACTCTTCAAGGATCCAAGACCCAGAATCACCCTTTCCTATTTCACCAGCTTCCACAATTTGGTCATCTGCCCAGTCCTGAAACAATCACAGTCAAGGAGGATGGAATTACCATCGCTGAATTTACATTCATTATCTGATAGAGAATAATCAACCATGTCTATAAATCTTCATTCTATCCCTTTCTCTCTCCCTTTCTCTCCTTCTCTCTCTCCTCTCCTTCTCTCTTTCCTCTTTCTCTCCTTTCTCTCTCTCTCTTTCACAGTAATACAATTCAATACACTCATATTTAATCATTTTGTGTCCATAGTTGTGATGCCTGTGAGTTTATATATATATATATATATTATTTTATCCATGGTATGGTAGACACTAACCATACTATTTTTATAGAAGTAGGGAAATCACTTATCCAAAGTCACAAGGTAGAAAGTGACCTTTTAAACTCAAAAACACCAGAATTCGACCAGGCACTGTCTTTTAAAAGAAAATTGCTCCAAGAATCCAAGTTAAATGTAATATGCTCAACTGTGCATAAAGTATATACTGCTCATGAGAAAAAAAATGTAAGTGGTAATGTCATCAATATGAGATCTGCAGTTTCAAATCACTTCCAATTCCAGTTCTCCCTTTTCCCTTTGATAATCTTGGGAGAGTAATTTTTTTCCATATGCCTAAAAACAGGAACAGTGTTTTACCTTGCTGCTGAATCTTCTATATATATATAAAATCAGGTATACATAATCCACTAGAATCCACTAACAATCTCTTAGTCCTGAGCAGCAGATGGGCAGAGTTAGAGTGTATTGATTTGCCAAGTTAAAATTGAACTGAGCCTCTACTCATTTTATAAGAGAAATTTTACAACAGCACTGGCCGATAGAAAATTCTGCAAGGATGGAAATATGTGTAAGTGTGCTATGCAAGGTATTCACTAGCAACACGGCTACTAAGTATTTAAACGTGGCTACTGTGACTAAGAAATTCAATTTTTAATTTATTTTAAGTGAAATTTAAATTTAAATATTCACTACCATATTGAACAATTAGTTTTAAAGCCTGTAAGTTTTATATACATGACACTCCCATCCAAGTTTTTTAAAATGCCTGGGTGTTTTTATGCACACATGAATCAGCCCTTGGTCTGTAGGGGTCATGAATATGGAATATCCATCTTGGGTCTGAACTCCAATTCTTCCCAGCCCAGACTGCCCTCCTGCCAAACCCCCTCACTTCTTTTATAACTTCTGAACTATGAAACAGGCAGACAGACCTCCTTTCCTGCTCCATCAGGGCCTTGATTGCTCCATTTTTCCAAAGGGAAGATATTTATTGGAGGACATCAGCAAAACTGTCTTGAGTACTGAGCGTCTTTCAAAATAATAACACAGCTTTCTCACTATAGACACTGACAGACACACCAGTGTGAAGCCAGGTTCACACACTGTCTCAGAGGCTGTTCGTGCTCATATGCCTCAGACTTCACCATTTCAGCCAAAAGCCAGCATCTTGGAAGCTGAGCAGAGACAGGACTTTTTGTGGAAGTAATTATTGAGGCGGTGGTCTCTGGAGATAGGGCCTGAGGGAAGCAGGGTAAGACAGAGGGGAAAGCTAGCAAGAGTATAGTCTCCACTGAAGTCAAGGTTCCTTCAGATGCCACAAAGATGTTCTAGACCTCAGACTACACTGTAAAGTCTGTCATGCCTTGAGACACTGGGACCAGCCTTTTGAACTTTGTATCAATCTGACACTCGCTGAGTTGAGGACATGGGAAGTGATAGCTCCCAGGCAAGAAGGCTTCTCTTTGGCCAAGGACAAATCTCTGGAAAAGGGGATAGTTCTAGTTGTCATCTAGCACTCACAGCTGAAGGATGAGTTCACCTGCTAGAGAGGATCTGGATAGAGACCTGAGAACATCCTCAACAAGACCACTTTCAACCCTAAGAGCTAAGCTTCTCCTCTCGGTGTTTCTCTCTGTGCTTTAGATGCCACCCTGCTCTTCAGAAGCTCTCAATTAATACCTGACCAAGTTGGTGTATAAAAACCCCAGCTCCCTCCCACTCAAATGAGATAACCCTAAGGTGCTTCCTATCCCACTGGGATGAAACTCACTCACAGGGATGATGTCCTGATGATGTCCCATAGATGGGCTTTCCTTTCTGCTCTGCCTCATCTTCCTGGGATCACTTCCCAAATGAACTACTTGCATTCAAATCCTTGTTTTGTAACTGACTTCCAGGAAAGCCAAACTAAGTCATACACAGAATCACTCTCCCTAGACATTACTCTTTTGGCAGCCATCAACTATAATAACCGGGTCTGATTATTATCCAAAATCACCACTCCCTTAGGTGAACCTCCTCTTAAAAGCTCCTTTGTTGTTTTCTGCAGACTGGTCTCAATCAGGGTCATTCCAGATTTTCTTACAGGTGTTTATCATTTTTGCAACCCACATGGTGCATGGTGTGTTGGCAAGTTCCCACTTATTTATTTATTTATTTATTTATTTATTTATTTATTTATTTAGTGATGAAGTCCCACTCTGTTGCCCAGGCTGGATTGCAGTGTCATGATCTTGGCTCATTGAAACCTCTGCTTCCCGGGTTCAAGTGATTCTCCTGCCTCAGCCTCCCGAGTAGCTGGGATTACAGGCACACATCACCATGCCCTGTTAATTTTTGTATTTTGAGTAGAGACGGGGTTTCACCATGTTGGCCACACTGGTCTTGAATTCCTGACCTCAGATGATCCGCCCGCCTTGGCCTCCCAAAGTGCTAGGATTACAGGCGTGAGCCAAGTTCCCACTTTATTTTCCCCTGGTTAACTCCTTAGTCCCTAATTAATGTGGAACTGGAAGTGCAGGAGGCGTGGCCTGGACCAGGCTGCAACACCTTAGCCTTCCTGCACCTGCCCAGGAGCAGAAAGATTACGCCCAGGGTTCTTGCCAACAGCTTTCCTCCTCAAAGATTCTTGCCCAGCCACAGGTCCTATTACACATGGGTGATCCCGTTCTACAGGGAGGAGCAGGAAGCCCTTCTGAGTGCTACAAGCATGTCTGTGAATGTTGTTATTACTCTTACACATACTGCATAATGTTCGATATTTATGGGAGAGCCTCTTTCTGTTATTCATTACCATTACCAGGTAGCTGTGTCCCTAAAACATCTAGAACTTTTACTTACAGAGGCATCGACCATTTAATAATTAAAGATGTGGCTAGTGATTCAAGTTAGCCTCACAGTAATTTGTGAGAATATGCTTGTAGTTTCATAGGGCCTTCTGGAAGACAGCAGAAGTAACTGCCTGGGAAACTTGTTTCCTATAGGGTTTATTTTAGGCTTTAAAAAAAAAAATGGTCAGGCTGTATTTTTAAAACAGATTAGGTGTGGCCAGGCATGGTGGCTCATGCCTATAATCCCAGCATTTTGGGAGGACGAGGCGGGTGGATCACCTGGAGGTCAGGAGTTCAAGATCAGCCTGGCCAACATGATGAAACCCCGTCTCTACTAAAAGTACAAAAAATTAGCTGGGTGTAGTGGCGGGCATCTGTAATCCCAGCTTCTCAGGAGGCTGAGGCAGGAGAATCCCTTGAACCCAGGAGGCAGAAGTTGCAGTGAGCCGAAATCACGCCATTGCACTCCAGCCTGGGTGACAGGAGCGAGACTCTGTCAAAAGAAAAAAGAAAGAAAACAAAAACACATTAGGCATGAAAATGCTATGCTGCTATGTGTGTGTATGACGCTTTCAACTCCAGTTGGTCTTGGACTAAATGTACTCTCTTTTTTTGAAAGACGGTTGTGAAATATCGTTTTGCAGAGACTAGTATATAATCCATTTTGTGCCCATTTCCAGTGTGTGGCATCAATCACTTCTCATTTCCCTTTTTGAGTTAGAAGTGGAAATAAGTGTAGAAACTGAGGAATTTCTGCATTTTCTACTGGTTATTCTGCTTCATGCTTACAGCCTACCCTAGTGTGTGCAGTTTGGAATGCAGGATTAGCAATAAGTGTCTTGGTATATAGAAGTGAGCATGGAGTGACTGGGAGGCAGGAGATCTGGTTTTGTTTTGTTTTGTTTTTCTTACTTAAAACTGCAGCTGGGCATGGTGGCTCACACCTGTAATCCCAGCACTCAGGGAGGCTGAGATGGGGGGTGGATCACCTGAGATCAGGAGTTCGAGAGCAGTCTGGCCAACATGGTGAAACCCTGTTTCTACTAAAAATACAAAAATTAGCTGGATGTGGTGGCACACGCCTGTAATCCCAGCTACTCGGGAGGCTAAGTTGGGAGAATCGCGTCAACCCATGAGGCAGAGGTTGAAGTGAGCCGAGATCACACCATTGCACTCCAGCCTGGGCGACAGAGCAAGACTCTGTCTCAAAAGAAAAAACAACAACAGCAACAACAACAACAAAACACAATTGCTTAGAATTCTCCATACAAGTCTATTCTTGCTTTCTTAAGATGTTGGTTCCTATTGAAACCTCAGGCAGGGACTTGAAATTAGAACTGGGTTGGAGTGCAGTCTTTAGCCATACATCTGGGTTAGCTGCCTGGCCCATTGAGGCTGCTTTGAAAAAATTTAAAAAGGGCTACTGCTGATTTCCATGAGAATCAACTGAGATACTGGAAACAATGTCAAGGTGAATTATGTTTCTAGTGAGAATTGCTCTTATGAGGAAGCAGGAGGACAAGGACCTGAGGGATTTGTTGGTGCACTTGAGAGGCCGCTTGTAGCCCAGGGAAGACCTGGGTGCTGGATGCAGGTTTCCTGGGTCTGGAGCTCCTGCATTGCTACTTCCTAGTTTATGATCTTGGAAATGCTACCCACTATCCTGTTTGCATGATGGAGATCATTTGAGAATCTCTCATCTAGTGTGACATCAGGAACAGAGCTGGGTCTTGAACCAGATTGCCTGACTTTTGGTACAGCATCTCTATTCCATCTATTCCTCCAAAGTCAAATAATATAGTTTGCAGAGTATGAGGCTTGGAGTATGCTAGAAATAACTAAGACATAGCCTCCAAATCATTTTGGATCTTTTGTTTGTCAAACATTTAAACAATTCCAGATGTTCTCTAAGGTGAGATTATTTTCTCTTTAAATGCAAGTGTTCCCTTTAAGTGTAAACTTCTTTAAATATCCTTTAAATTTAAACTGCAGAGTTTATAGGAATTTTTGTAGTTAATAGCCATTGATACATCAGCCAAAATTACAGACAGCATTGCCTCAGTCAACACCTTCAACTTGCCAAATGCACTTATTTGTATGTATGTTATACCCCCAATTTAGAGAATAATTCAGAAACAAGAAGCTAGTGTAGGTGCAGTGCGTTTTTATAGTGACTACAAATAGTTTCTTCAGGCTACTTTCATCATTTGTGAAAGCACATTTATTGTTTGGTGGAAAGAATGAAATGTTTGCCATAGCAACCATGGCAACCCTGGGTGTCTTCCCTATTAGCTGTAATGCGGGGAGCATCTTCAACAGCAGGAAAGAGTCCTCGGCAATTATCACCCAGATAGCATCCCTCCATTTTAAAAGCTTTGGCTGAAACTCTTGGGCTCAGAAAATTTTTAACATGATGTGTTGATGAATGGTAACAACAGCTATTCCATTTTGGTTAATTTGGGGGAGATTAATAAGCTAAGTTTTTTTACTGTGGGAAAAAGGGAGCTATGATTTTCTTTAGACAAATTTGCAGAAACTTTAATGCTAAATCATTCTCTATTTTTTTGTTTTGGTTTGTCTTGGTTTGGTTTAGCTTTGATCAGTCTTTTGTTATTTTATTCTTTGCAAGCTAAATTTCTTGTCAATTTATTTCCTTGTTTCCATTCTTCATGTAAGTTCTTATCATATGCTAATTAGAATAGATGAAGGAAAAACTTTAAAGCATGATGAGGAAGTCTAGTTGTGAACTATTGAGGGTAAAAGAGAAACAGTTAAGGCTTAAGAATTTTCATTTTAAAAATAATGATGGTCACAGAAACAGCAAAAGTCCTATATTATAGCATCAGCTCCCAAATTGCTGTACATATTCTTTACGCAATAAATCACATATGAGTAATAAAATTCTCAGCTTATAAAAGAAGAAAATGTTGATAAGGGAAACTATGTTATATGCAAAAATCAGAAGAGTATAAAATCACTCATACATTCACCACAGACAAAATCGCCATATACATTTATTTTCTATCATGTTTTAATATTGCTGAGAGGGGACCATTTCAACAACATTTTTTTTTTTTACTGAGAAAGAATGCAGCCTCATGAACTGGGCAGCAGAAGACATTGAATAAAATAAAGAATATGTTTAGAATTATTTTGGATTTTTTGAAATATAAAACCTCCCTCTCTATAAGCCTCTCTGTCAATTTTGAGAAGCTAGAGAAAGGCAGAGGGGAATGGGAATTGTGAATATGTTGAGGAAGACAGAGTTGAATGACAAAAATGTACTCCTAGATCTGGCATCTCAGAATCTCTGCTCAAATACCTACTTCCAGTGATTTTCCTCCTTACTAATTTTCTGGAGTTTTATAAACTGTTTTTTTTCCTGTTGAAGAATAATTGCAAATAGCTGGATTTACCCTATGTTTTAATCCTGGGTGCCAAATTTTCCAAACTTGCTGGACTTCAGTTTCCTCAACTTTATGATGGAGATAATGCTATTTACTTAAAAGGATATTGTATATTTATTCAAGTAGACAAAATTGCAGTGTCAAATAGAGTCCAATGCACAATGACTTAAACACAATAAGTGTTTAGCTCTCATTCATCTACTAGGTGAACGTGTTCAAGTAGGCAAGTACTTTCCTTCATGTGATCTTTCCATACTGTGATTCTGCCATCATCTAGATCTTGTTGTCAGCTGCATCCATCAGTGGTGGAAAAGGAAAGCAAGTGGAGAAGGAGCACGCTAGCCTGGAAGTGGCACAAATTATTCCCACTCACATTCTTATTGGAGAGAACTTGACCACATGGCCATAACCATGAAAGTATGGAAAGCTGAAAACTGCCATTAAGCCATGCACTCACTGCAATTCTACTACCAAAGAAGGAAGAGAGAATGGATATTAGTGACTATCTGCCATAACTGCCACTGTATTCATAAAAAACACTTAAAAATCACATTCCACAATAGATGCTGAGCACATTCCCTTCCCCTTCTTTCCTGCATTTGAATCTTCTCAGGAATGGTGAGAAAAAAAAAAAGAAAAAAATCAAAACTTTTCTCAAACAAAATCTGCTAAGGGCTAGCTGCTTACTGAAGAAAATCAACCACAATTTGCAAGATGTGCCTTTAAGTCCTCTATTTTTCCATCCTTAAAGACAGAATAGGATTGGCTTTATGCCCTCTATCACTCTGTCTGCATTGCAGTCCTGTACTATGAGAGACTCTGCAGGAGGAGCTGGGGCTCTAGAAAACTCTCAGTTACCAAGGAGATGTCCAAATGACTTCTTCCAAGGTGGCGAGAAAGTAGACTGAAACATCGCTAAAATGATTTTCAATGACATAGATTGAAAGAAAAAGGTTATTGATTAACTCCTCTAAATGAAAACTTCAATTACCTCTCCCTACTTGATGTCCTGAGTTGCTTCTATGCTATCTCTACCCATGGCATAATACAGTCTGCGATAGCTCCCACATGGGCTTCAGAAGATTTGTGAAACTTGGGAACAGTAGAAGTGAATATTGTCTTTTTTACTCCTATGTGAAATAAAAACAGAAAATTTAGGCTACAAGTCTTTCAACTAAGAGAGAACTCACATTGATCTTCTGCAAACCTCAGGTGTGATACATACAAAATTCTCGGGCCAAAACAGTTTTTGTATGTGTGTCAGAATGCCCCTACATGTCAGGTATACTGAATCACACGAGATCCAAGAATGTTAGAGACTCTGTCATGCCTCTGAGATTTTGTGTATGTTGTTCCCTCTTCCCTGGCTAATCTCCATCGAACTTTCCACCTTTTTTCCTAGGATATGGCTGCACTTGCCTCAGGTTTCACCTCTACTATTGCTATCTCTAGAAGGCCTCTCTGATCAGCTCCTGAGGCATTCTGTGCTCTGTGTACCTGCTGTTTACCTCTTGTGATGGTTTCTTTCACATCACATGTTTTTGTCAGCCTCTCTCTCTCTCTTCAGCACCCAGCATACTCCTGGTGCTCAACAAACATCTGCCGAATAAATGAATGATACTCTTCAAAGGCATAGTCGGTGTCCTTTCATCTTTGTATCTGCAGCACAATATCTTGACCATGATAGGTTCATAGTAAATATTCAGAGACCGAGGAGAGAGAAGGTAATGAAAGAACACTAAAACAAGGAAGAGAAGGAAGAAAAGAAGGAACGATATATTAGTCAGAGAGAGAGAGAGAGAGCACATGTAAGCCTAGTTCATATATATCTGCAATCAAAGGCTGAAGTTGTAAGAAGAGAAATAAATAAAACAAATGTCACTAGGAGTTTGTAAGATAGAAGTCATAATGACTAAGGAAATAGGGATGGAAGCATGGAAGATACAGCTTCTGGCATGAGTCTTAAACCATGAGAGAGATTTTGATGGAGGTGGAGAATGGAAAGTACCAGGGGGTTAAGTACAGAGGCAGGGAAGAGTAGGGCCCATTTGGGGGTAGAGTCATCTTAGTTGAACACTGTTTCATTTCCCTTTGATAGTTGAAAATTGTAGCTATGTGAGACATTACTACAACTCTCTCTCACTCTCTCTGATCCTGTTCCAGGAACTGGCGGTTGGTCCCCAGCAGATTCCAATGCTCAACAGTGGCTCCAGATGGACCTGGGAAACAGAGTAGAGATTACAGCAGTGGCCACGCAGGGAAGATACGGAAGCTCTGACTGGGTGACGAGTTACAGCCTGATGTTCAGTGACACAGGACGCAACTGGAAACAGTACAAACAAGAAGACAGCATCTGGGTAGGACATCTTTTTCCTTCCAATGAATAAAACTGAGATGTGCTAATGGTAACCAGAGTATATTTCCGTCATTTTCCAATATCCAGATTGTTGGTAGTTTAATAACTGGTGAGTGCCCATTAGAAATAATTAGACAATTTTTAAGGCCCATGCCCGGCATGGTTCTACTTCCTAGGAAAATTAGGATGTCTGTCGCAAATAGTTTAGTATGTTCCCCTTTTTGTAGTAAACTGGGTAATTCACTGACTGAGCCTCACTTTCTTCATCTATAAAAATTAATTAAAAAACAGATAAATGTACCAAAAAGTACGATTATTAATGTGATTATACTAATTTACTGAGTGTTTATTGACTTATTAGTTTATTATATGCCAGGCACTTCACATATTTTGTAACAACACAGCTAGCTCAATTACATCATTTGATCAACATTGCCCAATGTATGAATTGTGACTTGGTAATCTTTAAAATCTGGCCTGACTTTAAAGCCACGAAGCAGCTTCTATTGTAGATTTACAAATAATTGAAAACTAAAACTACAAAACAAGTAGAAAATTTAGAATTATTCTGTCATTGGAAACAATCTTCAGCTTCAGAGTGAAGGACAGTTTGCTCCAAGTTACAAAACAGAACTTTCCTCCCCAGTCCCAGCCCCACACTCTTGACCTCACTGTGTGGGTGAAAGGCTGTCAGCAAATTATTAATGGAGGAAAAGGTGGAGGTGAAGCAGATAGCAAAAGTCACCTGGAGGTAGCTTCAGAACCTCAGGCACTGAATAAAATAAGTTGTAAGTTTATATTATTTTTCATTGAGAAAATAAGTCACCATTTTTTAATCCAAATGTGTGTAAAATGTGAAGATACGGAAATTAATAGCATATTCTTTCCTTTTCAGATTCTGTCCTCTTAAATCAATGCCAATTTATACTTTACATTAGTGTTGTCTTCACATTCACATTCCCATGTTGGCCCCATCTCCCTGATAAAAATGAAATAACTTCTGTTTTATATACTCATTGTTATTTGTTAATTGCCTACCCATCACTTGGGGTTGTAATTGAAAACAGTCATAAATTGAGGATTAAAATTAGTTATGGCAGACTGAATCCTGAGAATAGTATTAATGTCATCTTTATTCTGGGTCACTTGTAATATTAGGTTATAATATTTATAAAGGGCGTAAGTTTTCTTCATTTTCAAAAATAGTCTAAACAGTGAGTATACATGGAAACAAAGAGGGGAAAATAGACACCACAGCCTACTTGAAGGGAGAGGTTGGGAGGACGGCGAGAGTCCAAAATCTACCTATTGGGTACTGTGTTCAAAACCTGGGTGATGAAATCATTTGTACACTAAGCCCCAGGGACAAGCAATTTACCCATGTAACAAACCTGCCCATGTACCCCTTGAACCTAAAATAAAAGTTGAAAAAGAAAAAAAATTGTATTTTGGGGACTATTTTATTTTTTCTCAATTTTGAGGTCCCCATAAATTATTACAGGTTTTCATTTTGTTTCACTTTTAGTTTGAGATAAGAAATAAGCACACCTTCCATTTTGAGGAACAATTTTAAGGTTTTTATGTTGACTTTAGAGGGACAAATCGATGTGGGATTTTTTGTTTTCTCTGGTACTTGTCATTGGGACTGGTTGTCTTTAGATTGAGTTGTAGCTTTGAGTTATTGTGCCTAATTTTTTTGTTTTTAATCATGAGTTTCATCTTCTTTAGAACCAAATAATCTACTTTCAGCTTAGCCCCTGGGTTGGGATGTATTTCGAGGGATGACAATTCCTCTGGGCTCATGAGCAGGGGGCACAAAGCCTCTTTCACTTCCTCACCCTTGTCACTTTCCCTGTGTTTCTAAATGATTCCAAGCTCCTCAAAGGCAGGGATCTCTTTATATGTCCATTTAGCCCCTGTGCCCGGTATCACTAGACACATGGCAGGAACTTATTTTGGGGTGATTATTAAGAGAACTGCAGAATTACTAGGGCTCCCTGAATTGAAGGGTGGGGGCAGGAGACTTTCCCCATTCCCTACCTTGCATCCCAAACAGCCTTGACATGGTAGGGCAGGTAGAAGTTGCTGGATGGGCAGAGAAGGAAAGGCAGGGCCCTCCGTCTACAGTGAGGCAGGAAATTCCAGCAACAGCTCCCCAGAGATGCTTGCAGTGGCTGCAGGGCAATTGGGAGAGAGGCAGCTTCAGGAGCAGCCTTTTACTAAGTAAGTACAGGGAGAAGTGATTTGAGGAGGGACCATTACAACTTCCAATTTAAAGAGTAAAATAGAGTGGCGTTAGGCAGGAATACCATGACCGGTCATGTACAGTAACTAGGCTCAACCCTGGAAAAATAGGTGTCCCCTTAATTAATACTGGGATAACTAACAGTTACTAAACACCTATTACACAAGATATGTAAGCAAATGTAATTCTTTATGTATATTAAATTGTCATTCTATAAACTGGTGATTCAATGTTAACATCTCCAGGAACAAGAGGCTTGAGGCTCACAGAGCCCAATCCAAGCTCACACAACCAGAAACTGGTGGCAAAATATTTCACAACTAAGATTTATTCCTAAATATAGTTGGTTGCAAAACTGTAGTTTCTGTTTCTCTTTTAGTACACTGATTTATTTTTTATTTTTATTTTTTGATTTTCACAGAATTGATTTACTTTTCTCACCTCAAATGTCAACTTTGTCAAGCCAACTCTTTAAGAATAATATGAAGCCCTATTGTTTAATTCACATGTTGCTAAATATAAAAGTGTGAAGATACCAATAATACCTATTTGTATTTGTGTATGTTGTAAATAGTGCTTGGACTCTCTAAAACCCTCTAGGCTTTCAGGGTGTTTTACAAACACTTCACAGAAATCTGTGAAATTTGCCTTGTGGCTAACTAATATTTATTGGTGATTTCATCAGATTACGCTGCTGGATTAAAGAGATTATCTTGAGAGCTTTTCTTTTTACTTTTTATTTTTAATTTTAAATTAGAATTAAGACTCTGGGTCCACCAAAACTAAGCCTTATAACTAAGACAAGAACAATAGTCAAACAAAAGGTTTTGCAAAACTGTCTAAATTGTTTTGTTTAACTTTTCAGAAAAAGTCAATGTCTAAAACATCAAGTACTGGCTTAAAGGTGGTTTATCAAGAAAATAGAGAATATATACATATATATCTGTGTGTGTGTGTGTGTGTAAATATATATATGCATGTGTGTGTATATATATGTGTGTGTTTGTGTGTATGTATATATATACACACAAATATATATATACACACAAATATATATATACACACAAATATATATTTATATACACAAATATATACATATATATATATTTGGAGAAAGGGTCTTACTCTGTCACTCAGGCTGGAGTGCGGTGGCACTTATCATAGCTGACTGTAGTTTTGATGTCCTGGGCTCAAGTAATCCTCCCACTTCAGCCTTCAAAGTAGCTGGGACTACAGGCATGCACCACCACATCTGGCTAATTCTTTTGAAATTTTTAAAACTTTCTTCTTAGAGATGGGTTCTCACTATGTTGCCCAGGCTGGTCTCCAACTCGTAGGCCCAAGTGATCCTCCCACCATGACCTCAGGTTTACAGGCTTGAGCCACCGCACCTGGCCAATGAAGCAGAGAAGCTCTTGAATGCTTATGTTCACCTGGTCTTCTGCGGACCCTCAAATTTTAGATAATATATAGTTTGTAGTGCTCTTTAAAATTGATTTACCAAACAATACATAGCACATCCTGAGGATGGGACAATCCATTCACCAGTACTGAAGAGATTTATTACATTTCACAAGGTTCGCTTCAGAAAAATAATCCTAAAAGGATACCTTTGCAATGTACGGTAGCAATTTTTCATGCCCTAAAAATCCAATTTGGAGAGTTTCTGATCTGGCACTGAGTGGAATGCTCATGAATGAGGTCACCAAACAGCCACTTAGTGATGCACCATGATTTATGCACAAGCCAGAGTCCCTCGCTTCACTAAATAATCAGGCATGAAGGTGTGTCAGGGACAAACCCTGCAACAATGTTCAGAATCTTAGCAGCTCCAAAACCTCTTCCTGATTGGTGTGTAGACATGCCAAATCATTACAAATATTAAAATTCCGACTCTGGGCAGCAACATGAGCCAATGCTTGGTAAAGTGGGTAAACTTGTTTGGAACAAAGGAACCTCTTAACTAAGTCCACTCAGACCAGGTCCTGTTAACAGTCCTTTTGAAAGATATGCCAGAAGAAACATGTACTGTTCATGTTATATCCATGAATAACCACAATGTTGAGCCCTTTCCTTCATGAGCACAATTCCCACACTGTCAGTGAGGGTCTTCTGCCCTAATTCAATGTCCCCACATCCTCAGCTATTCATCACATAGCTCATGTCAGTCCCCTTCTCTACCCTATCATCTCCTGTGAATATTCTATATTTTATTAATATTAAACTTGCAGTTTTCTCTTATTAAAATTATGTTGCCTCTCCCCAAACAGACAGCCATATAGTCCTTTATTATAGACGCTTTTGGCCTGTGCACTCTGATGGTCTGTGATTTCCTGTAACTTTCTGGAATCTGTCTTAACATGAAGGACTTGCATTTGTTA
This sequence comes from Homo sapiens, assembly GCF_000001405.40. Classification (NCBI taxonomy): domain Eukaryota; kingdom Metazoa; phylum Chordata; class Mammalia; order Primates; family Hominidae; genus Homo; species Homo sapiens. The sequence goes on from NC_000002.12 coordinate 124,247,019, forward strand.
CCTGGCAGTTTTCTCACACAGAGGTCAATTCAAGCAATGGATTATACATTTTGGTCATCAGTTCCCCGATTTCATCCTTGAGTGACTTCCAAATTCTCTGGGAGATGCTCTCTGATCTTCATGATTTATACACATTTATTCTGCCACGTTGGGCCTAGAACATCCTGAGTATTGATCACTGTTTGATATAGTATTTTAACCCTACCAATTTCAGAAAACAATTTGAGAGTGAGAATCTCATCACCATCAATATATATCTTTTAAGCTCTCATTATATGCCAAGCACTGTGCAAGGTGCTAGGCTTACAAAGGGGCTTAAGCAATGGTTTTTCCCATTTCTGGGTGTGCAGAACCATTAAGGAGACAAATCAATGGCATGCAACACAGTATATGTGTATATGGTAGCACGGCAGCAGTTCACATGCACGAAGCTTGTCAGAGAGGGTGTTCCTGGCAATATATGAATGTGAGGGGCTTAGACTACTTGAACCAGAAGAGACCATATTTAAGTTATGTTGGCTTGTCAGCAACTACAGAGTACTGTATGTGTAACAAAAATTCAATAAATATACAAAAAAATGGGAAGAGAAAATGGTGAAAGTGAGGTGCATTCACAGCAGGAGAAATGCTATAAGCAAAATCTTAAAGGAAGATGTATTAAGGACACAAAAAAATAATAAATTAGATATAAGATATAGCTGGTTAGTGATAGAAAATGAATTTGAAGAGAGAGACTGGATAGATATTGTAGACTAAGAGCACACTCGTATCTTTTTAAGCTAATACATTATTATTTATTAGCCATTGTAACAAAGTTTGTTAACACTTCTCTGTTTTAATTTTTTGTTAAATAATAAAGACTACATGTAGGAACATGGTCTCAAATATATTTGTCAGGATTTTTTAAATGGTTCTCTCCTTTGTTCTCTCACGCACATATACTAATAAGCTTTTAATACAGATATTAATTTCAGTTTTGGCAATTATTAAAAGCTCAATTAAGAACTTAGCATGCCCAGAATCTTGCTGCTGATTTAATGGAGACCACCAATGCAAAAGCAAGTTATTACAATGTCACAGACTAACAGAAATAAAGTATAGAGGGAAATGCAGAGGCTTTTGATTACGATCTGATTACAGTTGCACCACTGGTTGCTTGCATGACCTTGAAAATGTCCCTTAACACCTCTATAGCAGGTCTTTCTCCCTACCCAGGGCAGGGATATATCTAGAATCTTCCAGGCCCATTGCATCCATTCCTCCACATTTCCTTGCTCAGACACTGGTTCTTGGCTTACCCTGTGGGTTGCAATGTGAAATACATGGAGATAAAGCCTGGACTTCACTATGAAGCCAGCTTAGAATAGTCAACTAAAGGATCTCAAAGCTCATCATTCAACTTGAATAATCCCAGTGGTTCTGTCCTAAGCTCTTTTGCTGATTTTAGATGATCTTATAACTGGATAGAGCTCTGCAGAAAAGGAAACAGGGAAAAACTGGCCAATCAGCATTGTGAAAGCAACAGCTGGTCTTCACCCCAGCTTCAGCAGGCTCCCTCCAGCCCTCTGGCTCCACATTTAGCCCATGAAAGCTCCTCACTGATGCCCATCTGTTTTCTCTTCTTAACACTAGAATTTGCTGAAATGTTTCAGAGAATTTCCCAACATGGGGCCTAACCTCTTTAAGGAGTAAATGCACTCACACATTTACACATGTGGCATTTAAACACATCACAAGGACAGGGAGTCAATGTGTAGTCTTCAGGATTAATATTCATATGGACACGTTCTAGGGGAGACCAGATGTTTGCAGTCCCCTACAAACTGGTTGCATGTGTAGTGGGATAGGATCCAACAGCTGATATCAAAATAAGGAGGATGATCTGCTTAAAATTAATTCTCCTAAATCCACTGCTATTAAATTAATCTTATTGTTAAGGTGCTTAATGATTCCCAGCAATCTCAACTTGTAATTGTATTTTCAATATGTATAAACCTGTTAGTCCTCACTCTGATTCCTCTTAATCTAAAGTGAATGTCTCCAAAACCTAAGCTCTGATTTTTTATCTTGCCCAAATTCCTACCTAAGGGGTCTGTGGAGTCATGCCCTACAAACCATCAATTCTCCTCAGATGGGTTTTATTTGACCCTGTATATCATGACTTACTTTCCAATCTGACTCTGGCATAACAAGGAAGAAAATAAAAATGTTTTACCCCAAAATATATTTCCTTGCCATACCTGGGAATTACTCTGCCGTCTCTTGTGGGGAAAATCCACATTCTATAAAAAATCTCCTTTCCCCTTTGTTTTCCTTCCTTCTCAGATCCAGGATTTAATCAACTAAGAGCCAGGCACCCTTTTAAGTCTGATAAGAAACATTTTACAACCTGCACTCTCTGAAGTCTGCTATCTGAGAACTTCCTCTGCACAACTTGGTCTCCACAATCCTTTAGCTTAACCTGAACATTCCTTTCCATTAATCCCAGGACTTCAGATAAACTCAACCAATTGTTAACCAGAAAGTGTTTAAATTTATCTATAGCCTAGAAGCCCCCATCCGCTTTGGGTTGTCCCGCCTTTATGAACCAAACCAATGTGTTTCTTAAATGTATTTGATTGATGTCTCATGCCTTCCTAGAATATATAAAACCAATCTGCACCTGACCACCTTGGGCACATGTTCTCAGGACCTCTGGAGGGCTGTGTCATTGGCCACAATCACTCATATTTGGCTCAGAATCAACCTGTTAAAATCTTTTACAGAGTTTGACTCTTTTCATCGACAAGAGTTAATATCTCAACTTTAACATCCAGCAAAGTATTCGGATTTTTAAAATGTAAATATAGTCAATGATGCTAGCTAGGTGTAATGACTGAGTTGAAGAGATTTTTAAACTAATCCTTATTTATTTAATGTTTAGCTAACAAGGATGAATTCTTTTGTGTGTGTGTGTGTGTGTGTGTGTGTGTGTATGTGTTTCTTTGTTGTTGTTTTCTTATATAGATTATCTCAGCTTTGAAGTGTGACATGGATTCTGTGACCATGATAAATGACTAAAACCCTAAAGCACTGTTTTTCCTCTGTAAAGTGGATGTAATGAGGGTAGTCACCTCATATGATCTGTAAAGGAGAGATTTCTCAAAAACGAGCATGCTTCAAAATGTCCCACAGAACATGTCAAGGCAAGGCCTACTGGGCTCCGCCTGCAGAAAGCATTCAGTAGACCTAGGGTGGGACTGAGAATTTGCTTTTGTAATGAAATCTCAGGTGCTGCTGGTGCTCCTGGTTGGGGACCTCACTTTGAGCAACAGTGCGTAAACTTTAAATGGACTGAACCATACAAGGATCTTTACATAGCATTATCAATAATAAGGGATGTCATTGCCATGAAAGGTAGGTGTATGTGATGTGCCTGGGGGAGAGGCCCAGAGGACACTGGCTCTCAGGGTCTGCTTTCTTTTGAGCTTTGTATACAAAAGGAAAAGCAAACAGTAAGTCAGTCTTTCTCTCACTTGATAAACTAAATACTCAGTGGAAACAATAAGATCTTGTGGTTGCAGATGAAGACAGTTTACCCAAGCAGGCTCATTAGGGACCATTCGCATAGAGTCCTGGCAGCATACAGGGGAGCTGGAGGAGGAGCCTGGGGGAGTTACTGATGCCCAAAGAAAAGGACTCTAGGTCAAATTTCGAGGCCCCAGGTGTCTACCTGGCTCTAGCCAAATGGAAATATTCCAGGCCTGGCAGGAACATCAACAAAACCAAGAATCTCTCAAGTATTTTTTTTTTAAGTTGAAAAAAAAAAAGCAGGCTTCATTGAAGTTATTATTGCAATGGTAACAATCAACATTAAGAAGGAAAGCATAATACAGTAACCACAAGTTTCTACTACTCTTAAGTACGGTTTCCAGTTTTGTGGGCCTTAATGTTAATTGCAGATAAAGGTAACTAATTTTAGTCACTGATTATGTGAGGCTAATAAAAGTAGAGAGTGCAAACAAAATAAGTGTGAGCAGGCGTTGCTCTTGTGTTTCACGTCTCTGACCAATTGCAATTGTCCATATGAGAGGCACATTTCCTACTGCCTTGTAACCAAAGGACCGTTCTGCTGCTGTGGCTGCTCTTGGAATCAGAGAGAGAAGCTGAATGATGCCCCTAAGTTTGTCTAACACCCTAGACTTGTCTTGAAAATAATTCTCTAATTTAGTGACTCAAGAATTTTTCGGAAGTTAATTCAGGAGCTCATAGGAAAAAGAAACAGTTTTCCCCCACCCCCCCAAGTATTGGAAGTACAGAGAAGGACTCATAAAAATTGGGCTGGAGTTATTTAACCTTGAATACTGTGGGTGATTTTTTTTTCCTTTTGTAGGAAGGGAGTATTGGAAGTACAGAGAAGGAGTCATAAAAATTGGGCTGGAGTTATTTCAACTTGAACGCTGTGGGTGCTTTTTTTTTTTTTTTACCTTTTGTAGGAAGGAAGATGTACTTGCAAAAAATCTCCCCAAAGAATCATGGACCCCTAACATCCTGCCTTATCTGACTGTAATTTAGGGTATCAAGCATCTGTTAGGCACATTCTGCAGGTACTAAATTAAGGAGGATTCAAGAGTAGAATGTGGAAATTTCCTGTCAGAGGTAAGAAGAATGCATGGACAGGTACAAAATGGAGGAATATGCACAGATGGGCACATAGATGAGAGCATGAAGTTTCTGACTTGTCAGTAGAAGAAGTGCTATGATTTTTTTCTCCCAGAAAATATTTTGATTTTGCAATGATTCAGCCACATTTTTGTCCTACCTGCCTGTATTTATGAAACAATAATTGAGAGCTAGAGTTCCACGAATGGACTGTAAAACAGAGTAGAAAGAACTGATGAACAGAAGACACAGCAGGTAAGCATGAGCAAGCTAGCCCACTACGTGTAAACAGCTCAGCTGACTGGGTGTGGCACCTCCCTTGAATATGAAGCATTCTGCATGTAGATGAGAGAAAGGAAAATGCAGTGCAGGTGCAAATGACAGTGACCCAAAGCCATGTTCCTCTGAGAAGTAGACACTTTCATGCCTGGGCATCCTCCAGGCCTTCCCTATCTAGTGCATATTTTTGCAAAGGCTTATGTTGTGTTTCAGACACTGTGTTTATATGTGAGGGCTATAAATATGTGAGAATTTAAGAATGTATGTGTGTGTATAGAAGAAGAACCAAGCCACAGCTTGGGCGGGGCATCCTAAACCCCTTAATAGGCACGTAATTTAAGGAAAGATCCTGTGCTTACCAGAGAAGCTTTGTTTAGAGGCCCGTTCCTAAGTCCCCTTGCATCAAGCTTGCTGCTCCTGCATCCCTCAAACCCAGAAATGCCAAAGCTGCAATGCTGGCATAGGTGTATATAGGTTAGTTCATGTCCTTGATTCATGGGTGATGACCCACCACCCTGCCCAGCAGAGTCCAGGCCATCTTTTTTCTGAGCCCTCTCTGGGGAGAGGTGGCAGCTCAAAAAGCCCTTGAGTCTTGTTTCTTTTTCTTTGGTGGGGACTCTAATCTGTTGCTAATGATTCCTTCATACACTCCCCCCTCATTCCACGTAATGTGTTTGAGTTCTCTTCTTGAAATACATTTGTCATTTATTGAATAATTTCTGAAACAATTAAATGACAACTCAATGAATGGCTTTGTCAATTTTGTGTAATGGAAAGTCAAATTATCATGTAGGAAAAGCAAAATCTTTCTTTTTATAACATTGCTAAAAGACTTCAAAAGTAACTGCATAATTATAAAAAAATTTGAGGTATTAAAGTTTGCAAAATCAATAAGAATATCTCATAAACCTATTTATTTTTGGAAATTGAAACCATACACATGGACTTATTTAAATGTAAATGTAAAGATGTGAATAAAGACCAATATTTGTAGAAGGCGATCTTATTATTTAAGACAAAGTTGAAACTTTAAACATATACATCTGTATGTGTATATATACACATATATAATAGTACATAAAATATATATTTATTTACATACTTAAATTATATGTTTTTATATTTGTAGATTTAAATACAGTAAGTTCTCACTTAACATCATCCATGGGTTCCTGGAAACTGTGACTTTAAGCAAAATGGTGGGTAACAAAATCAATTTTTTTCTCATTAATGTTATAATGAAAAGATATTGAAGAAAACAATGTTATTTGAGGACTCATTGTACATTGTTTTGTTTAAAGTCTGAATTTCCAAGAACTTGTAAAAGACACTAAGGAATTACCGTATATACTTTTGTATATATATTTAAATAAGTTTAAATAAATATATGTGTGGTATAAATATATGTGTCTATACATACATATCTTTAATTCTCAGCTTGTTTCATCTTGATTTCTTCTTATCTATAAATTTTGGTTATTCAAACTTTTTACCTTCCTATAGTAAATAGAGGATTTAGAAGATTTTTGTTCCACTACCTCCTTGGCAGGTATGCCAGCTGCCTTACTTTAAAAAGCAACAATTGCAATTCTTCGAGACAATTATAATTCATTGCTTTCCCTAATCAGCAGGACCTCAGATAAATGGACATATGAAGATTTGTTGAGAGTATTGTTCTGTGGTTCAATGACTTGTGTGATTTCCTTATTTAAACAAGAACAAAGAAGCCAAAGAAAATAATGTATTTTAAAAATAATTGGGCACTACTTATCAGAGTGGTTGGTGGACTGGATACTAATCAGGATAGTAGACTCCAAATTATTTTTTTTCCAGTTACAAGTACCTTTGTTTATTCAACAGTAGACACAGTGCTGGCAGCAACCTGTAACTGTACTCCATGGATTTAGATAAGAAGATGATGGGGAAGGGGGATTTTTAAGTCACACTAGATCAGGATTATATTGTTTCATTTGAGTCTCTTTTAATTCAAGTGTATTTAATAACATTCTCCTTTATGAACGGATTTGGAGCATGAACTTTGGATTTAGGCAAATCTGAGTTTGAATCCCTGCTACTTACTGATGGTTTCACCCTGGGCAGCATTTTATATCCTAAGCCTTAGAGTTCACATCTGTAAAATTTTTATAAAACCTACATTAGAGCAGTATAAGAATTCACTGAGGCAATCTACATAGACTCCCAATGTCCCTGACATATAAAAAGTACTCAAGTTAGAAATATTTAAATCCTTATCTAAAGAAAACTTGAATGCTGACCAAGACTTTAGCAGAATCCCAAAAGACACATTTCTTCCCTCAAATGTAAGAAAATATTCCCTCAAATGTAAATGTATCTTCAAAATATCCCAGCTCCTGCCCCCAGATGTATTTTCCTAGGCCTGAGGCATTTGCAAATTCCAGAGGCCATGGCATGCCAGTGTCTGTTGGCTCTGCTGGTAAGGGGGGCAGTCTCCCTTTCGTGGCTCCTGCGCAGTCCAGCCTTTCTCCTGTTGGGTGATGCTGCTAAGCATGCTCCCAGGATAGAGGAAGCATCTGCCATGCTTGTGGGTAGACATGGGTTACTAAGTAACATGACAGAAAATGTAAGTGGATCTGGAAACAAGGTAAACCACCAGGAGAGCCAGAAATTTAACAATGACCAGATTTTAAGCCACTGGCATTTTGTTTAAGTCAGTTCCCAGTAAAATCATTTGAGCATGGCTTTAGAATAAAAGCTGGGGACTTGGTTGATGATGGGATGCTGTATGGAGTAACTTGATGGAGGCCCAGAATCTCAGGAACCATTTGTCAACATCTCTTCTTGCAACACTAAGTAATAGCAGAGCCATCGTACATTCATTTCAGAATGGGCTGCCTAGCCATTCAAAATGAGTGAGTCAGAATACTGACTTTTGACTAATTTCTAGAAGCATGCAGTTGTTTTGCAACTTGTCCTACCGCAGACACAGATTCCTTAACCTCCTTCCACTAGATAAGATATTATCTAACAAGGATTCCCATATAAGCGAACATTTTGTTACGCGAAAGCTCAAATAGCAGCAGAGTTTGTACAAAGCTGTGGAAGAAAGTCCTAAAGAAAGAATGCAGGTTAGCAAGGAGAGGTCAGGAAAGTAACAGATTTTGTACTAGAAGAGAATAGGAATAAGCAGCCAGGTGTGGTGGCATGCACCTGTAATCTCAGCTACTCTGAAGGCTGAGGCAGAAGGATTGCTTAAGCCCAGGAGTTTACAATCAACCTGTGCAACATAATGAGACTCCATCTCAATTAAAAAATAAAATATTTAGGCTGGGCACAGTAGCTCACACCTGTAATCCCAGCACTTTGGGAGGCCAAGGCAGGTGGATCACAAGGTCAGGAAATCGAGACAATCCTGGCCAACATGGTGAAACTCCATCTTTACTAAAAATACAAAAATTTAGCCGGGTGTGGTGGTGTTCACCTGTAGTCCCAGCTACTCAGGAGGCTGAGGCAGGAGAATCGCTTGAACCAGGTAGGCAGAGGCTGCAGTTAGCCGAGATCACGCCACGGCACTCTAGCCTGGGCAACAGAGCGAGACTCTGTCTCAAAAATAAAATAAAATAAAATAAAATAAAATAAAATAAAATAAAATAAAATAAAATAAAATAATAATTTTTTTTTAAAAAGTAAATAAAAGCAATGGGAATAAGGGATCAAGAAAAATGTAGGAGTCTTTAAGGCACCAAATTCAGAATCATCCCTATTTGGGGAAACTTAAAAAATCTTTTAAGAGAGGTGCCAAGTACAATTATCACAGGATTTGAAGTAAGGAATCCATGCCCCATTCCTGGCTGTGTCCCTTATTATTGTGTGCATTTTCATAGCCACTTAATCCCTCTGAGCTTCCAAGGCTGTATCTTATCCAGATGCACGTATGCAGCCCAGGCACATAGTAGGTACTCAATAAATGCTGGCTTTAAATAATTAAATGTGATGTCATTTTCAAGAAACATTAGCTAGGTAGGTATTGTGACAAGTCACAAGATTGTTTGAAAAAAATACATATAACATCTTTTAACTGTGTAGAAAATAACAGAAATGTCATCAGTTTGGCTGAAACACAGGGCTTGTGCTGGGGTCCTAAGAGATAAGGCTTGATAGATATATTGGCTGATGTATCTTATGCGTTTGCTCAGGAAAATATGGTACATTGCTTACATCTGTTGTTCTAGAGTAATTATTAATTGAGCCACTTGTCAATATAAAAAAAACCTTCGTTCGGATAATATATTATATTGTCAATGTCTTTCTAGCTGCCATCAATTCAGAGTGAGCAACTTATACTTAACTCAGAAATAAAGCAAACTAAGGATATGCCGTACCTTTGAAGTATGTGTGACAAGAAGCTGGATGATAGTATTAGTTGCTATTACATGGTGCTTATACCAGTGTAAATTCAGGAGAGGGCTGGCATTTTTTTTTTAAGTTTAAAGTTTAAGCATGAGGAAAGGCCTATCGATAGATAAAACTTTGGTTGTGAGTCTCCAATGGTTTTATAAGTTCACCATCTTTAGGAACATACATGAAATTAGAGTGTACAATAAGGCAGTACTGTAGAAACCCTAACTGCTAAGGAAGTTCCTGCAGCTGGCTCGTGAAAATAATCAAGGAAGGAGCTTACCTGCCTCTGTCGATTTTTATTAAAAGCAAAATGAGTTTATTTGGAGAAAAGATGCCCAATAGAACATGGATTAGCAAATTAAAGAAGGATATACTTAGTTTTACTAAGTTTCAGAAGAACAAAGTCACTCTTCTATTCTATGGAAGTGTATGTAAGAGCTATAAGATTAAACTCACTTCTTTGGGTTAGTTTTAAACTTGTGCACAAATAGACTTGATGTGGTAGGTTGAAGAGTGCTCCCACAAAATTCCTGTGCACCTGGAACCCAGATGTGATGTTATGTAGGAATAAGGTGTTTGCTGATTAAGTACTTAAGGATCTAAAGGCAAAATCATTCTGAAATTAGGGCCAGATAAATCTAATGACTGATATCTTTATGAAAAACAGAGGGGACACCTAAGACAGGTCATTTAAAGAAAAAGGCAGATACTAGAGCAATGCATATACAACCCACGCAGTCCCAAAGACTACCAAGAGCCTCTAGAAGCTAGGAGAAGAAAAGGGAAGATTCTTCCCTGGGGTTTTCAGAGATCATGTGTCCCTGTTGGAATTATGCTTCTGGACTTCTGGCCTCCAGAAATATGAAAGAATAATTTTCTTTTGCAAATCCCCCAGTTTGTGGTAATTTGTTATGGCAACCATAGGAAAACAGTACTCTTTAAATATTCATTATTTTGCAACCTCTGCTATTACTCCTCACTTAACTCTGAGCTCCTCTGCTAGGGTGTGGCCACCATGCACTGAACACAGCAGCCTGCACACAATAATTTGTATTCCTCCAGGGCACCTAGCACAATGCCACTGCTGGTTCAATACGTCCATGACTGGTTATGCATTGCCAATCTTCTGGATCATTAAGCCTTTGCTCATACTACCATCTTCACCTGGAATTCTCCTTCAAATTCCCCATACTCTCTTGACACATACGTCTCCACCTTCTGTAAATTCTTCCTCATCTTTCAAGATCTAGTTCAGCTCTAATCCCAGGTCTACAACAACACTTCTCCTGATTCAATTACTTCAAGTAAAAGTGATCCTTTGCACATCTGCACTCCCTTTCTCCTTTCTGGGTCATCTCTTCGGACTTGGAACAATTCTTCTCTAGATTTGGTTATAATCCACCCCCCTCCGCCCCCACCCAACATGTTGCTCCATGCGAGTTAGTCTTGTCCATGAAACTGGATAGAGTGATTTTGGAAAACAAAGTCTCGTCTGATTTTTACCTTCATCTCTCTACTTGGTCTGGTATGGAGTAAACATTCAATAGTAACTTGCTGACTATTTGCCCTGGCTGTCTCATTCCACAGTGATAAAACCGAAATGTTCTCTAAAATTACTTTTCCATCATTATAAATTTGACTTGAAAGCCATGCAATTGATGCATTTGCTGGGGATTATCTTTCGCCCGTCACTCATTAAATCTGTCCTCATATAGCAACAATATTTATAGGAACAGCTAGACGTTAGCCCCCAAGTGAGAAAATGACCCATGCAAATGCCCTGGCATGACATAAATACCCACAGCAATGCAGATTGTGTGATGACTCTGCTGGGTGGCTACAGTTCTGGGGTATGGGCGATGGATGAGCTAACTTGGAGAAGGCAGCCTAGAGTCGTCAGGGGAAAGAAGAGGGTGCAGTACCTCATTAATTTGTTCCCAGCCAACAGTTTTCAAAGATTAGCCACATAATAATGCCCCTAGAATATGCTCTTTGTACATGACCAAAGATGATCTGACAGGCATTTCAAAACAGTAATTGTTGGATTGATGACGCTGCTGAGGAAAGAGGACTCATTATACCCAATTTGGAAGATTGTGAATATGTCGTATAAATGGGTTATGAGGATGCATTTGGGTAAAAGAGCTGGACAAATGCATGATGACATTACAGTACCCCAATGGGTGTCTCAGACATACAGTACATTCTCTCACCCTTCATTATTTGAAGACTGGGGAACAATACTGCATGTTTAAGAAAGTACAAGTTCAAATTGTGGCCAGATGTACGCTATGGTAAGGGAATGAAGTGGTTCTCTAGTGCATATGCAATCCTCTAGGGACATAGGCAGTTGTGACTGTGCTATCCTGTGCCTCACTTAAAAAGAATCCACTGGACAAAAAACATTTCAGCAAAGAAGATTTTATGATGACTGCCTTCTATGACTCACATGCCTTCCTACAATAGGACATGTATGCATCATTGGACCTTTGACATTAAACAATCTCGAATAATTTTAAAAGCATGTATTAATATCCAGTAATACTTTTTTTTTTTACTTTAAGTTTTAGGGTACATGTGCACAACGTGCAGGTTTGTTACATATGTATACATGTACCATGTTGGTGTGCTGCTCCCATTAACTCCTCAATTAACATTAGGTGTATCTCCCAATGCTATCCCTCCCCCCTCCCCCCACCCTACAACAGGCCCCGGTGTGTGATGTTCCCCACCCTGTGTCCAAGTGTTCTCATTGTTGAATTCCCACCTATGAGTGAGAACATGTGATGTTTGGTTTTTTGTCCTTGCGATAGTGTGCTGAGAATGATAGTTTCCAGCTTCATCCATGTCCCTACAAAGGACATGAACTCATCCTTTTTTACCGCTGCATAGTATTCCATGGTGTATATGTGCCACATTTTCTTAATCCAGGCTATCATTGATGGACATCTGGATTGGTTCCAAGTCTTTGCTATTGTGAGTAGTGCCGCAATAAACATACATGTGCATGTGTCTTTATGGCAGCATGATTTATAATCCATTGGGTATATACCCAGTAATGGGATGGCTGTGTCAAATGGTATTTCTAGTTCTAGATCCCTGGGGAATTGCCACACTGACTTCCACAATGGTTGAAGTAGTTTACAGTCCCACCAACAGTGTAAAAGTGTTCCTATTTCTCCACATCCTCTCCAGCACCTGTTGTTTCCTGACTTTTTAATGATGGCCATTCTAACTGGTGTGAGATGGTATCTCATTGTGGTTTTGATTTGCATTTCTCTGATGGCCAGTGATGATGAGCATTTTTTCATGTGTCTTTTGGCTGCATAAATATCTTCTTTTGAAAAGTGTCTGTTCATATCCCTTGCCCACTTTTTGATGGGGTTGTTTGTTTACACCGATAACAGACAAGCAGAGAGCCAAATCATCAGTGAACTCCCATTCACAATTGCTTCAAAGAGAATAAAATACCTAGGAATCCAACTTGCAAGGGATGTGAAGGACCTCTTCAAGGAGAACTACAAACCACTGCTCAATGAAATAAAAGAAGATACAAACAAATGGAAGCACATTCCATGCTCATGTGTAGGAAGAATCAATATCGTGAAAATGGCCATACTGCCCAAGGTAATTTATAGATTCAATGCCATCCCCATCAAGCTACCAATGACTTTCTTCACGGAATTGGAAAAAAACTACTTTAAAATTCATATGGAACCAAAAAAGAGCCCGCATTGCCAAGTCAATCCTAAGCCAAAAGAACAAAGCTGGAGGCATCACACTACCTGACTTCAAACTATATTACAAGGCTACAGTAACCAAAACAGCATGGTACTGGTACCAAAACAGAGATATAGACAAATGGAACAGAACAGAACCCTCAGAAATAATGCCACATATCTACAAATCTCTCACTTTGACAAACCGGACAAGAACTAGAAATGGGGAAAGGATTCCCTGTTTAATAAATGGTGCTGGGAAAACTGACTAACCATATGTAGAAAGCTGAAACTGGATCCCTTCCTTACACCTTACACAAAAATTAATTCAAGATGGATTAAAGACTTAAATGTTAGACCTAAAACCATAAAATCCCTAGAAGAAAACCTGGGCAATACCATTCAGGACATAGGAATGGGCAAGGACTTCATGTCTAAAACACAAAAAGCAATGGCAACAAAAGCCAAAATTGACAAATGGGATCTAATTAAACTAAAGAGCTTCTGCACAGCCAAAGAAACTGCCATCAGAGTGAATAGGCAACCTACAGAAGGGGAGAAAATTTTTGCAATCTACTCATTTGACAAAGGGCTAATATCCAGCATCTACAATGAACTCAAATATCCGGTAATACTTTCAACCAGCATAGCTTAATATGCATCATAAAACAAATGGTTTTGGATGAGAGAGGTACATTTTTTAGCTTTAAAAGGAAACATTCATTCATTCACAGAGTAAGAGCTGTACACTGAAATGAAAATACCATCCAATGCAAAATATGTGGAATCCCTTCCCCACAGCTCTGACTCTAGTTAGATATAATACATGTCATACTTATAGACACACGTACACAAATGGAGTGCAATTGTCACATCTTAATTTTGAAAAATGACTGTATTTACCAAATAATTATTCCCTTTTAATATGTCATTTTAAAAGCATCTTGAGAGATAATTTTATATTTTTATTTTTTGTGGGTGGAAATACACCTCAAATTTTATAATAAAATTAGAAATGGCAAGGAGTTCTATGTATCAGAAATTTCTTTATGGCAATTTAAGAAATAAAATTGTCATTCTGAAAAGCGATACATATCAATATCAATGATAGCCCACATAAATGAAGGCCATGTTCATCTGCTAATTCAGTGAATCTTATTACTAAAGAGGTAGTGGCTATTCTGTGTTGGGACTCATTTAAATATAGAGATATCTAAAAATATAAATATCCTCCCTACATAAAACTCTTCAACAAAAGCCTCGCTGCCCAAACTCCCAACAATCTTCCCTCTCAGCAGAATTCATTGTCTCAGGAGTTTTCCCCAACTGTCCCATGAAGAGAACACGTCGCACTTTATTTTATAAGCTTTTTATTTGTCTTGCTCCCCAAAAGAGAGTGAGATTTGAGAGAAGGCAGAAACTGTAACTTACATAAAAATATCAATAACGATTGATGATAAGAAGCAGCAGCAGCAGTAGCATCGATAGCATTTCCCAATACCCCTACTCCTGCCCCAAGCACAAATCTGCCTCATTATGTCCTGAATTCCCAGCGTCCAGGTGGGTGGCAGTGGGAGCCCTCCTCCTCAGGAGATGTTCCACCTGCCTGCTACCTGCCGCAGTGTTTGCCTTGTAACCAGGCCATTCTGTACTCAGGAGCTACAGGCAAGTTACTATTTCTGCAGTGACATTTCCTTATTTCTTGGCTGTCAAAAACAGAGGCTGTTCAGGTACCAGTCCTCCTGCTCTTGAGTAAGAGAAGAAAATGCTGTATTTGTAGTGAAAAGGGTGCTGGTTCAACGCTAGCAGGATTTTCCAATTGAAGGGGTCAAGGAAACATGTGCAGATTAAACAAGCACAATTTTTAGTTTCATTATATTTATATGATGATTGTAGCTACTTATTAGTTATTTATAACCCACCACAGCTGGTTCGGTGGCTCATGCCTTTAATCTCAGCACTTTGAGAGGCTGAGGCAGGAGGATCAGTTAAGCCCACGAGTTGGAAACCTATGGGCAACATAGTGAGATCTTGTCTCTACGTTTCTTTTTTTTTTAATTATCCAGGCATGGTGGCATGCACCTGTAGTCTGAGCTACTCTGGAGGCTGAGGTGGGAGAATGGCTTAAGCCCAGGAGGTGGAGGTTGCCACCAGTCAAAATCACACCACTGTACTTCAATTTGGGCCACAGACTGGGACCCTGTCTCAAAAAATAATAAATGAATAACCCACCCCATTCTAAGCAGGACTATGATGAAAGATATATAATAGAAAAGTATGATATGAATCAATTAGTGAATAGTGGAAAAGAAGAAATGATTGTACACACAATAAATCCAGTGTGAGGCTAATACCTCAAATTAGATTACATACATAGTAGAGTTTTCTATGACAAGCGTCATCTTTGCTAACATTGCTATTGCTTAAGAAATACCAGCATCATTCTGTAAACTTAATAAATTCAGAGAGAAATATTAGCAATTTATCCCCGGTTCACCTTTTACTTCTAAATGCTAGTCAGATTACAAAACTGCCTAGATATTTTGCAGGTCATTGAAAAGACACTAGAGTTTTTGGGTGGAGGACAAAATAGAATTTTTCCAACAGCATTCTGTTTTTTTTTTTTTAATACTTTAAGTTCTAGGGTACATGTGCACAACATGCAGGTTTGTTACATATGTATATATGTGCCATGTTGGTGTGCTGCACCGATTAACTTGTCATTTACATTGGGTATATCTCCTAATGCTTTCCCTCTCCCCTCCCCCCACCCCACAACAGGCCCCAGTGTGTGATGTTCCCCTTCCTGGGTCCAAGTGTTCTCATTGTTCAATTCCCACCTATGAGTGAGCACATGTGGTGTTTGGTTTTTTGTCCTTGTGATAGTTTGCTGAGAATGATGGTTTCCAGCTTCATCCATGTCCCTACAAAGGACATGAACTCATCATTTTTTATGGCTACATAGTATTCCATGGTGTATATGTGCCACATTTTCTTAATCCAGTCTATCATTGATGGACATCTGGATTGGTTCCAAGTCTTTGCTATTGTGAATAGTGCCACAATAAACATACGTGTGTGTGTGCCTTTATAACAGCATGATTTATAATCCTTTGGGTATATACCCAGTAATGAGATGGCTGGGTCAAACGGTATTTCTAGTCTAGATCCTTGAGGAATCGCCACACTGTCTTCCACAATGGTTGAACTAGTTTACAGTCCCACCAACAGTGTAAAAGTGTTCCTATTTCTCCACATCCTCTCCAGCACCTGTTGTTTCCTGACTTTTTAATGATGGCCATTCTAACTGGTGTGAGATGGTAGCTCATTGTGGTTTTGATTTGCATTTCTCTGATGGCCAGTGATGATGAGCATTTTTTCATGTGTCTTTTGGCTGCATAAAGACGTCTTCTTTTGAGAAGTGTCCGTTCATATCCTTTGCCCACTTTTTGATGGGATTGTTTTTTTTCTTGTAAATTTGTTTGAGTTCTTTGTAGATTCTGGATGTTAGCCCTTTGTCAGATGAGTAGACTGCAAAAATTTTCTCCCCTTCTGTAGGTTGCCTGTTCACGCTGATGGTAGTTTCTTTTGCTGTGCAGAAGCTCTTTAGTTTAATTAGATCCCATTTGTCAATTTTGGCTTTTGTTGCCATTGCTTTTGGTGTTTTAGACATGAAGCCCTTGCCTATGCCTATGTCCTGAATGGTATTGCCCAGGTTTTCTTCTAGGGATTTTATGGTTTTAGGTCTAACATTTAAGTCTTTAATCCATCTTGAATTAATTTTTGTGTAAGGTGTAAGGAAGGGATCCAGTTTCAGCCTTCTACATATGGCAGCCAGTTTTCCCAGCACCATTTATTAAATAGGGAATCCTTTCCCCATTTCTTGTTTTTGTCAGGTTTGTCAAAGATCTGATGGTTGTAGATGTGTGGTATTATTTCTGAGGGTTCTGTTCTGTTCCATTGGTCTATATCTCTGTTTTAGTACCAGTACCATGCTGTTTTTGGTTACTGTAATAATGGTTTACATTATTAGCTACTGGTTATTTTTGCTATATGTAGGAAGAGAATGTTTTCAATCCCTACATGTCAGAGAAATGGAAACCAGACTCCCCTTAAAAACTGTCTGGATGCTCAAACCGTGGGTGTTCATAAGAAACTTCTGAGTTGATTCACAAAGTGAGTTCATTTTAACCTTGTAAATGTTTGATACTATTTTTATAAGTAACAAGAACAAATGGCCACTTCCTGTAACATAACATAGAAATAATATTCCGGTTGAGAGTGTTCGAGTAAACAATGCAGTACCCAAATCTATACCCTTCCCCCACACACACAGGCACACACACACACATACACACACACACACACACACACACACACACACACACACACACACCAATCGCCATGGCTAATATCAAGATTAGGTTCAAAGACACCAGAACTCGGACAGTTGATCCTTTTGAGGCAACATAAATATGGTCAGCCTGAGAGTCAGTCCAGTCAAGGTTCCTGGGAAAACTCCAGAATCATGTCTGAGGGATGTACTAACACAGGGCAAAAGGTTAGGAGCAAGACTGAAATTAGGTTGTCAGTGGAGAGCTCAGGCTCATGTGGGGTGGGATGGAATGAGACCAACTCTGGCCAAGGTAGGAGGGTCCTGGCTGATTCCCCTCAACCATCTGCAGTGGTTTTGTGGCTTTGCTCGCATGCCAGAGGCAGAACAGACAGACAGCCGACAGCAGCTCTGGTCATTCCTGATATTTTATTTGTGTTCTTCATTGGACTGGAATGCTCTGCTACTATGCGTGTCTACTTGTGTCTGTGAAGTGTGTGCATGGGCACGTGTATCTGAGTCTGTGTCTGTGTGACTGGGTGTGTCTTTGGGCATGCGACATTTCCTTTTCCCAAGTTAGTGTGCTTTGTGCTGAAAGCCACATGAAGCGTCAGTAACACAGACCTCCTAAGAGATGACAGAGTGGCTGTTCTCACCCATAAATGGTGTTGCTAGAGGATGTGGGGAGACTTCTCACTTAAGGTGCTTTGGTTAGGAACATGTAAATTCACTGTTTTTGAAATGTAAGTTTCAGACAGGGACTGGTAAAATAATGTCCAGCCTCTCTCACACTGTCACTTCCCCACCTAGGTGCACAAGGATGTGAATAAAGCTCCCACTGTGCACTGCTTTGCCATCTGGAATCCCTTAAGCGAGAACTGTATCTTTTCCAGCGCAGCTCATCCCTGCTCATTCGCCTCATTCCTTGGTGTCAATTTCACCTTCTGCCGCCATTAAGGTCCAAATGGGCGGCAGGGCACCTCTGCACACTCTAATTATGCTAATAACGGCTCGCTGACTGCACTAATGGGGTCATTATCGCCCCTCATGACCATGGGGTGCAAATCGCCACTTTAACATCATCATTCCTGTCCTAATCCATCACTATCCTTCACACTAGCCATTCTTAGAACCCAAAAAACTCTCCCTAAAAAGGATGCTTTGTGCCTGTGCTTCCAGGAAGCATTCAGAGATGAAAGCATGGGGGACTGAGGGCAACATGCCTGGCAGAGATTACAGCAAGTTACGGAAGAGAGAAGGCCCTCTGGCAAGGTTTTGAGATGCAGGGAATGAAACTAATTCATGGGTAAAGGATTCTGACATGAAATTGGAGGTGCACACTCTGGCTTATCTAGGTGACCGAGGGCCGGCCTGGGAGCTAGGGACCTGTCTTCTGCTCCAGCAGCTCTGGTTGGACTACACAAAATTAATGGGCCTTCACGTTTCCATTTGCAGCATGAGAATGGTAAAAAAAAACAGAGTCAGTCAGGTTACGGGTCAGTGCAAAGTCAAACCTCCAAGCGGATAATTCAGTAGCCACAAGGGGACAAACTGCAAAGTCCCAAATGTGTCTAGTGTTGACAACCTTCTCTCAGCTCGCACTACATAACCAAAGCTTATGAATTCAGCCTCCATGTTCCCACCACCAGGCTCCCATCCTTATTAGCTCCGTGGCTTTGAGCAAGTTGCTTAATCTTGCCAAAGCTTAGTCTCCTCATCTATAAAAAGAAAAATTAAATTATTGGGCCCATAAGACTGATGATATGTTAAGCCCTATTCCCAAACCTTATACATGGTAAGGGCCCATCCAATGGCCATTGATATTACTTTTATCTACAGACTTGGATCTAAGTTTGAGGCATCTTGCACTATGATATCCCAGCATCACCATGTATGCTAACCAGTCAGAATTTTCTAGTCTACAGGACTACACATGACCATTTTTAAGAACTAAATCAACATATTATATTAAACTGAGTGGATGAAATCAACCACATGGCATTTATGAATATAGTATCAATTTCTTTACAGACTTTAGAAACCGATTTGACTCTACTTGTCTCTGGGAGAGAGCTAAATTTCGCCTTCCAAAAAAAAGCTGAACAGCCCTCAGAATGATTTATGAATAGGTCTTTGATGCATAAAATCTCATTTTCTTTAGTGCATTTGTCAAAAGATTTCCCCATGTGTGTCTTGTGCAGGACTTGGTTGTTGTAACCCTCTCAGCCTCCCATGCAGGAGGAGTATTTTTCCTGATGCTTTCTCTTGATAGGTCTTGGGATGATCATATTTGACTGATGTGTTAGTGTTCTTACTTTAACTCGTGCACTATGAACTTTATATCATGTTTTACTTCCCAGCATATTAATGCTCTGGTCTTCAGTGCAGATGGAGTGAAGCCCTAAAACTCAGCCCCGTCAGCCAATTAGGATTCATCTGACAAGCGACACTTTGTCTTTTGTGTGCTAGCCTGGGAATGGCAAAAAGACAGCATCTTGTTTGCCTTTTCAAAAATACACCCCCATAGAATAGAAATTACGTACGCTTTTGCTGGCTTAAGCATAATATAGATTTATTATGTGGGAAAGATAGATGAGAGATTTTTTTTTTTTTTACAATGCTGGGAAGGCTTTAAAATTATTTACTGTCCTCATTATCATTAGGAAGCAGACATTATCTGATCTATCTCTCCAGTTTTTTATGGTAAAACTCTATTTTAAGATTCATAATTTTTAAAGACTGCCTGCCCCTGAATGGAATATGCAGGCTGCACGGGGAGGAGTGATACCTGATGGGGTGTCCCACTGCCATCTCAAAAGCATACTTGAAAAGTTGAGAAAACATTTTCTAACAGGATGTGAAAACTGAGTCTTGAACGGAGTGGATACTGCTCAGAAGAATATTTGCGAAGGAATGACTGCTGAATTTATGTAGTGTGAACATTTAAAGTAAAAATTCAAATCCTCACCTTTGGGGTCATGGTGATTAATTTCCATTCCAAATGTAACTCTTCTTATAGGCAAGAAATCCAGTAAATATTCCCCTGTGACCAACAACCCCGTGAGCTGTTGGCAGAATTAATAAAGCTGTCAGGATTTCTTTGGGATATTGCACGTCTCCCTGTATGTCATTTAATTGTGAAGTGTAAATATGCATATGGCCCATCAGGAAGACTAAATATATTAGTCTTTAGGGCTTCAGCTCCTGTTTCTGTACTCATTTATCAATTTTGATTAAATTAGGGGAGAACATTTTGATACAAAAATGTATAAAATTTATGTAGCTTTCTAGGAGAATGACTTGCATTGTTTATACAGCATAAGCATCTGGGGAGAAATATATATTTTTCTAATATGCAGCTTTGGATAATATAAAATGTTCTGTATACAAGATTATGTTCACAGCTTGGGAGAATTTGGGGAAAATGCTCCTGGCAAGCAAACTGTTTTTAAGAAGGGAAAGTTGAAAACCAGGAGCAGAGGGAAAACATAATGCAACTTCTATTTTCTCGAACTTTAAAATATGCAGCTTCCGAGGCTGACTCACAATCCAAGTGAGACCTCTGTCAGAAGAGTCTGAGTATGCAGAGGGAGGGGTGCAGATGGAGTGAGAACACTTATGGTAATGTCAGGATCCAGCTCAATATTTCAAAGCAATGCTTTCTGTACAAGCGAAGCACATTTGCAAGGGGATTGGCCTTTACTGTGTGAACTCAGGGCTATCTTTCGACCAATAGATACCGGCCAAGCTAGGAATGAGTCAGTGGTTTGTGACTGTCTGCACTGGTTTTGCTTTGAAACAGTCAAAGAAGAGAACTGCCATTTAAAAGAGTAGCAAGAAATGTGTGAGCATTGTAATTGGACATTAGTAAAATCCAAGTGTGAGTTTGTTGTTGTGTTGTTTTGTTGTGTTTTCCCTTCCCTTTGAGTGTCGATTTGTAAATTGATGTACTGACCACTTTGTATAAGCTCTGTGTTGTACAGATATTATAAATTTAAATTCAAGCAAAAGATAGGTAAGAATATCCCCCTTTTACAGATGGAAGGATCGTGTTCATAGACATTAAGAAATCTACCCCAACCCTACAGTGATGTAGTGCTCTTCTGACCAAGATGGGTCCTGGGGCCAAATCGTAAATAGAGGCCTACCTACCATATGCTTACTTAGGTAAATGTTATAAATGATGCTACCAAACTTAAATAATTTGTGTTCTCTACTCCTTTGTTAACAAGTATACTTTCACAGCAATGTGGAAGTCTAGGGTGAAATCAGAGCAATACATGATACACATCACCCCTGCCCATTCAATATCTGACTCCATCCTTCAAGTCACTGGGGGCCAAGCTTACATTTCCGGGTTGCCCACACTGCCCCAGTGTCTACACCTTGGTCCCATAGGTGCCCACACTGGTCTTGTGGCCTGGCCTATTTTCACTGGGAGAGTCCTTCACAGGCCCACAAGTGAGCTTAGAGCCCTTTGGTCAGGAAATTCTGAAGTTTGGATGCATGAAACATGGTGTAGACCAGAATGAGAGGGTTGGGTGGAAAGGCAGGGGGAGGGAAGGCTTCCAAGTTCGCTCATAGCCTGCCAGGACCCCTAAGTGCTCGTGGCATGGGAAAACAACAGCAACACCCAAAGGAGGACCAAAGCAGGGGCCCTTTAAAGCAGGAAGCCCAGGAGAGTACCCCCTGCTCCCCACCACCCATCTAAGGGAAATACTACCACCTGGGCATTGTGATTGAAAGGAATTAAATTCAAATCAAGATCATGGGACTCCAAGCTGATATTTTATCCACTCTACTTTGCTGACTTCCTAGTATTTTAAATGAAAACCTAAGAAAAAATAAAAATGTGAATCTGGTCATCTATTTCAGGAATCCTTTTCATAGTAACAAAATAAAATATTTTAAGAGTCACATCCCAGTGCAGAACCTTTGAGTACCTTGTGCCCTTGAGAAGTGGCCACAGGTCCCAAACCAGGGCCCCCATTAAGCTGAGCTAGGTTTCTTTCTTTGGGGTCTTGTTGAATTGAGCCTTAGGAGCACCCCAGGACTGCTTATCTGCTAGTAATGCCTGCGATAAGATATTCAGGGCTCTGTTGATTTCCCAGCTGTGCTTCCAGTGAGCGACAGGAGTTTTGGGACACTTTGTGCCTGCAATCGCTGGGAGAGAACAGCCATGATAAGCACCAGGGAGAGGGATTTTTTTCGCCTGTAGTCTGAACACGGAAAGTGATAAGAGAGGAAGGCCTCTGCAGACTGACCCGAAAAGCAAATGCAGGTGGAACAAAAGGCAGCCCTGACTATAAGAAGATAAGGCAGCTGCACAATTGGTAGCTGGCTGCAGGATCTCCATCCATTCAAGTCACGACCTTATCCTACAGCATGTGATGGAGCAAAGAAGTAAAAAATGTATGTTTTAAAAAAGAAGTCTCAAGATTTTCTGTAGTAAAATAGGTCAAAACATCCAGTCAAATTGAAAGAAAGCAATGTAAAAATTTGAGTCAACTGGAAAGCTGGGCATTGTTTGGTCAGATCGATATCCCACTTACTCAAATCATGTCTGCGGATGTTAATGAGGACAAACTAGTGCTAGAGTAGCGAAAGCATAACAGTTCTTATATTTTTTAAAAAATATACAAGTATAAATAAGCTATCATGGGGACCGGGTGTGGTGGCTCATGCCTGTAATCCCAGCACTTTGGGAGGCCGAGGCGGGTGGATCACCTGAGGTCAAGAGTTCCAGACCAGCCTGGCCAACATGGTGAAACCCCGTCTCTACTAAAATACAAAAATTACCCGGGCACGATGGCCTGTAATCCCAGCTACTCAGGAGGCTGAGATTGGAGAATCGCTTGAACCTGGGAGACGGTGGTTGCAGGGAGCCGAGATTGCACCACTACACTCCAGCCTGGATGGCTGAGCAAGACTCCATCTCAAAAAAAAAAAGGACTTTATGAAATAATTTTTAAATAATCAGATGTCAAATCTCTCATAGGGAGCTTAGCAGTGATTCTGCATAAAGGCCATAGGCCCAGGTCCCAGCCACACACCTCATTTCAGAGATCACAGTGAGGATGAAATGACAAAAATAAAGCTCCTAGGTCAGGGGCTGGCAGGAGGTGAGTGTGTAGGACAGTCCAACTTCATTTCATGCATGTTTGGAGACGGGCCAGGGTCACGTCTGTTTGACAAGCAGAATATTTGAGTTCTCTAAGTTTTTAAGGTTCTGTAAGTTTTTAAGGAGGAGAGTGAGAATGACTACTGAGTATGTAATTTGGTCATTTTAAGTTTGTAAATTAAATGCCACATGTGCGCGTGCTTGCGTGCATGTGTGTGTGTGTGTGTTTTAGGCCAAGACAAAATGTTACCACATCAAAATTCCTTATCCAAAAAAGTCATGTCAAATAATCACATTCCAAAATACATGTAAATGGCCATATCAAAATGACAGAGTCAAAATGTCAGATCTCTTTCTCTTCCACCTCAATCCTCCCACTGTTAGAATATGTATGCTTATCACACTACGTGCCCCCATGTTGGGTTCCTAAGTTATGGTCTTCAATCCCATCAAGCGAAGTTTTCTGACTGCTGGACTGTGGCAAGGAATAGGATTTTTTTATAGAGAGATGTCGATTCTTTCAGCCCTTGGAGCTGCTGGTCTGGGCCCGTGTAGAACCCCTGTCCCTGTGGTCGTGAGCAATCTCCTACTGTGCTATACCTATATAATCAATGAATGTTTCGATGTGAAAAAGGTTGGAAACCATGGCCAGGCAACTCTAGAAAGGGAAAAGATGAAAATGGTTTGAATAAGTCAGAAAAAAATGTATGAATAGGTAGATTTTTAAATGCACAGTCTTGAGAGAAGCACAGAATTTAAAAAAAAAAGGAAAATAAATTCCATAAGAGGAGAACAGCAAGAGACAAAATTAGGAGTGCAGGATTAGAAGGTGTGAAGGAAACAGTAGTGTGGCTGACATTCTGGAGGGGCATGTCTGGGCCAGGAGACTGCAACCGAAGCCCATTTCATGGTCAGAGAGGCCTGGAGATGGGGGTTGGCTAGAAGGCAAGAGAAAAAGGTGGCCTCTGGGTAACGATGTAACAGGATGAATGTGTGGTTTGGGAAAATGCACTATTAACTGCATGCAGGACTGATGGAAGGAAAAGGTAATGGAGTCAACAAAATCTGATCAGGGTCTCTCTGAAGTTATACTTCTTAGGTTTTCATCAGAAAAACTTTGGCTTGGAAAAGATACAGCTTTAATTTCCTTCATTTAGTTTTTTTTTAATCTATCTATCTATCTATCTATCTATCTATCTATCTATCTATCATCTATCTATCTATCTATCTATCTATTTATTGAGACAGAGTCTTGCTCTGTTGCCCAGGCTGTAGTGCATTGGCACGATCTCGGCTCACCGCAACCTCCACCTCCCAGGTTCAAGTGATTCTCCTGCCTCAGCCTCTTGAGTACCTGGGATTACAGGAGCTCGCCACCATTCCCAGCTAATTTTTGTGTTTTTAGTAGAGATAGGGTTTCACTATGTTGGTCAGGCTGGTCTCCAATACCTGACCTCAAGTGATATGCCTGCTTCAGCCTCCCAAAGTGCTGGGATTACAGGCGGGAGCCACTGTGCCTGGCCTAATTTCCTTCATTTTAAATTTACTTTATATATTTCTAAAACAAATAAATACAGTTTTCTGCTTGAGAAATTCCTCTTGGTATGGTTTTTAAGCTTTAATTGTGTATGCTTGTGACATAAACTTATTTTTCTTGTCCTCCACATTTGAGACTTTGCTATAGATAGCTAACATCAAAAATTAAGCAGCAAAGAAGCTTATTTCTGAGATATTTTTAGTTTTCCCAATTCCTGATCTGGACTTCCAGTTTTCATTTATTTTCTTAAGTTCTGATAAGATGGATTGCTTTGGCTTATGAAGTAGGTACTTTTTCTGGCAATAAACTTTACTTTTAAATATGTTATGAAAGTGGATTGAAATGCTCTTTAATAGAAACTAGCTGTGGCATATATATACCAGACATTTTTATACAGAATGTGCTTACAGAAAGGGAATCTGAAGCCTGAGAACTTTGCAGAAACCATCTGCTCTCTCCCCCACCTCTTCAGAGGAGGGCAGAAAAGAAACAGAGAGACAACATGTTAAACCCTAGAATTTTAAAGTCAAGATAATGTAATTCTGGCTTTGTCATTGCACAGAAGAGGAAGAAGGAGTGGGTGAATTAAATAAATTTGAATACAGCTTCCTCACCATTCATTAGCTATATGCTGATCAGATTGCTTCAGTGCTCTGAGCCTGTTTCCTATAAAATTAGATAACAGTATCTGCCTGACAGCACTGTTGAAATGATTAAATGTGCAACACCAGTAATGAGGTAAAAGTTCATTAAATCATATCTATACAATATTATTTCATTAATATTTTTATGAAAAATAATTCAAAACATCGTAGAAAAGATTATTAGGTTCTGTTTGGTAAAGTAAAGAATTCAATGCATGAATCTTCTAAAAACTATGTCTAACTATTGGATGAACAAATGCATGACCCTGTAGGTCATTTCCTCAAGAATTCTGCTTAGTTCTTGACCCTCTTCTCCAAAGGATAGTGCTAAAATATAGAAGGCACGGTGACGGACTTGATTCTGATACTCACTAGCTGTGCAGCCTTAAGAAAGCCATTCAGATTTTCTGGCTAAGAGATCTAGGAGTATTAAATAAGATAAAGTGTGCAACATACCCAGTATAATGCCTGTCACATATTAAATGCTCAATAAGCATTGGTCCTGTATTCTTAGCACCTCATCTGTAGTGCTAGAATGCTACCAGACTTGCCTATTTCTCAGGTTATTTTGAGTTCAAAAGATATAGTGGGTGATATAGTGAGAGACATTATACATATGCAAGCTAAAATTAAAAGCAATTATCCAAGATCAGTGTTCTGATATGGAACAATAGATGAGAAATGGAAATCCTGATAGCTTGAAGAGAAAGATGGACATCCAGGTTCCCCTTATTGAGTATCTGCTCTCGTCCTCATTTAATTTGTCAGCTTCTGGAGCTGACTTAATGAGTTTTTCTCAGCTGCTGTCATTGTTTCCTTCTCCATCTTCCCCTTACAATTAGAGTTTCAGACCAGAATCCCTACAATTTCCATTTCCCAAAGACAGAACATATACACGGTGTGCTTTCAGGATGGATGCCATGTTGACCTACCAACCCTGGAAAGGAACAAAGGGAGTGTCCCCCTTAACCCCGACCTGCTAAGCTGTAAACCCTGGTTCACCTGAATGTGATTGGAGCATGGTATTGTGGTCTCCCCAACAAAGTCCAGAAGGAGTCAAGTGGGGGCACAACTTGTAAAATTTCCTTCATAATGAAAATGTGTGTTCTTTATAAATGACTTCTCTTTGCAGTAATTCTCTTCCCTATAACTTTATTTATAACAATATTTTTAATGTTGACCTTGAAGCTCAAAAACTTTAAATAACTTGACCAACTACATATGTCCAGTTAGCAAAATTGCTGGAGAAGAGGTACAAATTTGTGTGAGTCCACATTTGTAGGCTGGCATTGGCCTGGAGAAATATCTAGCAAGCTGCATATTCAGCATTAAATGTTCAAATCACCTCATTAAAAAAGCTCAAAGAGTTGACATCAACTTAGCAATATATTTAAGCAAATGTACCCCAGATATTATTATTTCAATATATGATAATTCAAAATTATCAGTTAGCTTGCTGTTTTTGTTTTGCTTTGTTTTTGTATTAAGATCTTTAAAACTCAGTGTGTATGTTATACCAAGAGCACACCTTAATTTGCACTAGCCATAGGTCAGGTGCTGAATAGCCACATACTGGACAGCCACCTCACTAGCCACCTCCCATTTTTAACATCTTTCACAGACAGCATCTAAGTTATAAGGTACACTTTAATTTTCTAACACTTGTGGAGGCTTGAAAGTGACCAACAGTGAAAGAACAAAAAGTCCTATGTTTATTTTCACCGCTTTTTCCCTCCCTCAATATTGTCACTGGTAAACTGAGATCTTTTCCCATTTTGTGTGGATTGCACAGAAGAACCTCCAGCTGGAAAAGACAATCAGGTTTTTTTTTCCGCTGGCCAGGGAATGGAGAAGGCACTCTCTTGCTCTAAATGCACCTCTCCCCAAACATTAGAAAGCATAGGGTTTTTAAGGACTGGGTACATGGCCAGAGAGGAATGTTTGCATGTGCAGAGTGGGACTCCAGACGTGCAGACTTAATTCATAAGTATGTCTTCATACAACCCACGTAAACAAAATAGCAGAAGTTTTCTTTTAGAGGTGGAATTTTTGCATTATAATAATATGTTAATGATCTAAAGGCCACTAGGGATTGTCTGCTCCAGTGTTGCTGGTTTGGGGTTCTTATCTCCCTCTGGTAATCTGGACAGAGGTCAAGAAGCTCTGGCACCATCCCAGGCCATCTGACTTCTTTAAGCAGCTGTGCCCATAAATAAAGGGACTGTATTAACCCATTTTCATGCTACTGATAAAGACATACCAGAGACTGGGAAGAAAAAGAGGTTTAATGGACCTACAGTTCCATATGGCTGGGGTGGCCTCACAATCATGGTGGAAGGCAAGGAGGAGCAAGTCACATTTTACATGGACAGTGTCAGGCAAAGAGAGAGAACTTGTGCAGGGAAACTCCTCTTTATAAAACCATTAGATCTCATGAGACATATTCACTATCATGAGAACAGCATGAGAAAGACCCACCCCCATGATTCAATTACCTGACACTGGGTCCCTCCCATGACATGTGTCAATTGTGAGAGTTACAATTCAAGATGAGATTTGAGGGGAGACATGGACAGACCATATCAGGGAATAAAGAAAAACAGTAAGAAAAAGAACTTTTCCAGTTGTTTAATCAGGGCTGTCCTGGTAATGAGGTTGAGTTTCTAAATCTCAGTATCAGACCATTCATTCTAATTCCATTACCCTAAACCTAAACCACTCTGTCCAATCAGCTACAGTCACGTGCCTGCTTATGAACCACAAATCCCAGGATGATCACCTCATTGCCTAAATCCATATTTTCAAATCCAGCACAAAAAAAATCTACTGCATGGGCCCAGGTCCTGACACATTACCTCATTATCTATGTGTCTGCACCATCTTCTGGCTGTTGATGCCTCATATTGACATCTCTGTGTCTATTTCAATTTCTGACCCAATGTTTTATCCTAATCTCTAATCCCCCTTCCAATGGCTGCCTTGCTTCTTGACCCATGGTTTTTCTTACATTCTGCCAAGAGTACCTCTTTACCATGGTTTTTCTCACATGGCATAAGACTTGCTTGAGTAGGATGACTTTTTAGTTTTGTCTACAATCTCCAGTATTCTTGGCATTTACTGCATGCTTACTCAATTTCAGACTTCCACAAACTACATGATCTGAATTTCATTAGATGCCTCCCAAGTGACCCAATGAGAACAACAGACTTGTACCTGGTCATCAGACTTTCTCCTGACTTGGATTCCTCATGTGACTTTTAGTTGCCCTGCCAAGTTTGCTGCCAATGGAACTGTCTAATGTCTGCCAAGTGAAAGGGTTTTTTGTTGTTGTTTTCTTTATTTGTTTGTTTTTTTCCCTTAATTTCAAGTACTATGAGATTTCTCAGAAATAAACCTAGCATCCTTATTCAGCAAACTTCACACTGAAACACTCTGTACTCCTGGGAAATATTTTAAGAGCCACAAAAGCCAAAAGTATATGGAACAGCTTCTTAAATAAGATTTTCCCCATGAACTTAGATTTACCTTGTGTGATATAATACAAGTCTAAAGTTAACAATTTCAGAGGAAATAAGAAATAAAGAGGAAAGAAAACTAATATCCCATGCCTAAGGGCATATCAGGCACACTTCAAATATGAAATGATGTAAAAACAAAATACCTTAATAGGCAAGATTATATCCCTGCTTTTAACATAAAGGAAGTATTGACTTATCTAATTAAAGACTGAATCAAGAAAACAACTGAGTGGAACAGCTTCTCCTAGTTGGCATTTTTACAACTATGTCCCTTGATTTATTTAAATGATACATGCACCTAGTAGATTTCAAAATATTAATTCATCAAAATCTGTACATGTTTGGATGATGAGCCCAATCCAAGGAGTGGACATATTTGGGCCCAACCTTTCAAACTTCCAAGTTCAGAGTCTAGATGAAAATGACTTCCCAAGTCTAAAGCTGATATTAGCTAAACATGTGACAGGGCCTTTCCCCCACGATTCATCTATAAATCCTTTAACACTATCATTCTCTGGGCTGGTCAGGGAAAATCTTCATTTGGGCGTTATTTTTAAGTATTACACATTTAAAGACTATTATAGACAAATGAGTGTGCACCCAGGGGACAAACACCAGCAGAGTAAACATATTAAAACCCAGTAACATGTAAAAGGTTGGAAAACATTACAGATGCTCAGTCTGAAGGCTGTTATTTTGGCAGGATTAAGAGAGGAGACATGGATTCCATGACAAGAACAAGAAGCCACAGAAAAATGGGGCTCAGCAAACATCAGTGGGTGGGACCACCTCCTACCTGAAGTGGTGCAGATATTAGATGGGGGAGGTGAATTTAATGACCTTGACAGGCCTCTCCAGCCCTGAGATTCTATCATAAAATATTCCTTTCCCACACCACATGTAAAATATAAATGTTGCTCCCTGAAACCCAACCAAGAACAGGCTGCTTTTAAATAAGTGAGAAAAGAGAATGCCTGCTAGTGAGGACTTTATACTTTGACCTGGGGTTTGTTTCTCTATAAATAACCAGCAATGCACATCGCCATGCAAGATGGGCTTGGCCTCAGCATATCCTCCTGGTCTCATTTTCCTTATACCTGAAGGGTAGAAAGCTCAGGCCCTTTTTGGCCTTGGGCAAGAGAGCTTTTATTGATTGCACTTGTCATGAGTAATCTGCAGCCAAAGGAGAGAAACCATATGAGTCCTATAAACAGCAAGTCCTGGTATTGCATTTGCCATATTTTCAAAATGGATATGATATACAGGAGTGATGCAGAAAGCTAAACAGTCTATAGGTTTATTCCTGTCTCCATGAAACCCCAACATGTATTTCTTTAAAAAGTGATGGGGTAAAATTAGTCTTTATTAACTTTCATTTCCAAGAGGTTTACTAAATACTACCATTTTACATTAAAATAAATATTGGGCCAATAATTCTTTTTCATTATTTTTATAATTGCCATTTCAACCATCTGTCAATTACCTTAGCACATCATTTGTGAATAGGTTGATCTGCTAGCAAGAACAGCTCTAATGGAGGCAGGGCATGGATTTGTCTTTTGCCATCAGAAATCCAGGCAATTCAAGGCTGATAGGGCAAACATCAAGAAACTAGTAAGTGCAGGAGCTATGATTTTAATCTAGATTCATTTGCAGTCAGGGTCCATGCATTAGCAATCACCACCATGCGGATATGCAGAAGGGGCCAGCCTCAGGAAACAGGTCATTCCATAACTGCCCTTGTTACCTTCCCATCAAGTGCCCCTGTTCTCCCAGCAGAGGAAACAGCCACGTCATTGTGTTAAGCTATCAGTGCCAGTTCCTCCTCCAGTGGGTATCTGCAACATCTTCACTGGGGGAGATTACTGTTAAAAACGCTGAAAGAAATTTTAAGACAGAGATGGCAGATTTCACAAATACAGATGAAGCCCATTCTTAAGTTATATGGGATAATAAGCTCATTGGAGTTGCACAAAAAATCCAAGATCATCAAGGCAATGGACCCAATGCTATATTTAAGGAGAGACATTAAAAATAAGTTCATAATAAGATATAAGCAGATTCTACTCATTTAATTAATTTCTACCAAAAGAATAACAAATTAACTTGAAGATAAAAAAATAATGGGAAAGAAGTGATAATTCGATTAAAAAGTAAGGCATTTGCTCCTATAGAGAAATAACATAAACAGATTTTTGAAAACATTTACCTTTGCCTAATTATTCATTACGCTCAGCTTTATATGGAAATGACCAAATCTTAATATCCCAGATGGCCCATCATGGGTTCACTTTCTATCCACAATCAAAACAAAGCCCTAGACAGTCAGTGAGTTCAACATTTTCTGCAAATTAGTAGACATTTTGAGCAAACAAGCCTCATGTGGATGATGCAGTACTTCAACTGAATGATCAAGAGCTTAAGATGATGTGGAATGCTGTCATCAAACCCAATCTGCTCATTCCAAGCTGTGATTTCTGACTGAAAAACAGGTGACCTTTAGCAAATAGCTTGAACTAAGGTGGAAAGATATGCATACATATTGAGTTACATTGGTTTCTAGCCTTTGATTTTACCAGTGTTTTAAATTAATCTCCTCTTCTTTCCTCCTTTTCCAATCCTTATTCTTTTCTCATATTTTCTTATTTGTGTCCTAAGTTCAGTATGAGTAAACACATACCTTCTTAAAGAACATTTCTAACATAATTTAGTATTGATCTTGTTTATACATCAGTTTAGGATGTATGTAGAATTTGTTTCTATTCACTCATTTAATTTTCTGTTCGATATTTACTGAACACTTGCCAAGTGTCAACAGGAGACCTGAACAAGACAGGTTCTAGAGGACCATGGGCTGCCACATATCCTAGACAGAGCTAACACTAGGGTGACCTAATAGCCAAGTATTTCCTGGGACAGCTCTGATTGACGCCGCTGTCTGAGCATGACTATACTGACTTTTTCATCTTCAAGTGTTCTAGTTTGGAGGACAAAGTCTGTGATTTATCTATATTCTTAGTTAAAACTGTAGGAAGTGTGTGTGTGTGTGTGTGTGTGTCTGTGTGTGTGTGTGTTTTAAATTGGTGAGCTTGGCAGCCTGTCTTCCTATGTGTAGTTTCCACTAGGTTAAGAAACCTCAAGTCATATGATTGACAAGGGAGTGACATAATTTGCATATGGAATGAAGCTCTGACACCTACCAGAAAACAGAGGAACCACCCAGAATTCTGTGTAGTATGAGCTCATATAACAGAGGTAATGATAGGTAACATTCACTGACTCTACACTATATGTACCAGACTCTGTGCTAAAGGCCCTCAAACTTCATTCAAACCTCACCAATATCCATATGGTAGGGAAGGACATTTATTTCTATTTTCTTATTGAAGACACAGATTCTGATAAGTAAAGTTAGTTTTACTTATCAGGGGATCCAACCATAACCTCTCTGGAACCTAACTAGGGAATGATGCATATTGACTCACTGCATCTAAAAAGTGCTACCAATTACACAGAATCTCTTCTCACCCGGCTGTAAATAGGGTAGAGAGAAAGGATGTGAGAGGAGTCACAACCATTGCATTTGATGAGCTTGTGTGGTTTCCCACTTTCTGGTGAAACCTGTTGGATTCAGGGATTCATCCCTTACCACCCATACTCCAATCTCCTTACCTTCACCCTCCCCAGTCCCTACATATACATATTATACCTTTGTCACCTAAAAAAAATAAAAAATGTACATTTAACCTCTGTTCCATGCCTTTCGTCCTCCTAATATTTTTCTTTACTTTATACTTAAACATGTAACTTAAATATCCATCCAGCATTTGCTTCTAGAAATTTAGTGTTCTCTCAACTATATCAGAAAATTCCTACTGCATGTGTTTCAAGACCTGATTGTCATCCTTAACCTCTTATTTCTGTTTAAACATCTCAGCCACCTTCTCTGTGATTATTTTATATATATACATATATATACGTATATATATACATTTTTTTTTATTTTTGAGACAGAGTCTTGCTCTGGAGTGCAGTAGCACGATCTCAGCTCACTGAAACCTCTACCTCCCTGGTTCAAGCAATTCCTCTGTCTCAGCCTCCTGAGTAGCTGAGATTACAGGCGCCCATCACCATGCCCAGATAATTTTTTTGTATTTTTAGTAGAAACAGGGTTTCACCATGTAGGCCAGACTGGTCTCGAACTCCTGACCTCAGGAAATCCACCCGCCTTGGCCTCCCAAAGTGCTGGGATTACAGTCATGAGCTACCACACCCAGTCACTGTGATTATTTTTTTTGCCACAAGTTTTCTACACCACCAGTGGCACAAGGCTGTTCGTTGTATAGAGTGAGATTTTGCTGACATTTTGGTGACAATGGCGAGTGATTTCAGCACCAAAGGGAGACAGCAAAACGTTGAGCATTGGGTGTCATTCTACCTATGGCCATCAGCTATTATTTAGCTCTAGATAATTAAGTGGCCTCTAGCTTTGGAGGCCCCAGTCCCTTGCAACTATTATGTCTTCAAATCAAGACACTTCTCTTATCCCATCTTGTTACATGACCCCAGTTCTCTAAAAAAAAAATACATTTATTTTGTCTAGTTATTAAACAATTCTAAAAATAACAAAAAGTCCCCATGCAGCAGAATAATCATTTCCCCTGAGAAAGGAAGCCACCATTTCTGTTATTGTACCTTGCTTTA
The DNA here is from genome assembly GCF_000001405.40 of Homo sapiens. NCBI lineage: Eukaryota > Metazoa > Chordata > Mammalia > Primates > Hominidae > Homo > Homo sapiens. The sequence continues at coordinate 124,280,895 of NC_000002.12, forward strand.
ACTACTTTGGTTTAGACCTTCCCATAACCAAAATATTCATTAAGCTGTTTCTCTAAATAGGATACCAAGATATTTCTTCTACTGCCACTCTAGAACAAAGAAATACTGAAATTAGCTTTTAAACCAAAAATTTTGTCCTAATGATGTAAATAAAATATATTTAATTAAGCATGAAAAATGTATTTATTGAACTCCTGTAACACTCCAGCAATGAGGGGAAGAAGATTATGGGGCTATAAAGCAGCATAGTATATGAATCCTCAAAGAATTGTCAAGTCAGTTTAAGAGAGAAAATTTTTGAAGAATAAATACAAAGGAAAAAGAGGATAAAAAGGCTATGCTTTTCTTTTACACCCCCTTCTCCTGCCTCATTAGAGAAAATTGGTATGAAGATTAAAAGAAGTCTACGAAAATAAACATATTCTTTAAACTTTAAGTAAATTAATTGAAATTAATTCAGTGCTTATTTATTTCCCAAACTCCTATCCCTTGAGAAAGTGATGGCACTCGGAGATTTTGCAAAAAGAGTATTCTAAATTGCTGTTCAGTAAAATATCTCATTGAGCATGGTCAAAGTAGAAAACATAGACTTATGAAAAACATTTTACCATGGAAAGTTTCAGGTGAGTAATTCTTTTCTCAAAAAAGATATTGTCTTGTTATGTTTTTACACATGAAGATATTTAAAAGATTACCATCTTTATAAAGCTAGTGTCATCCTACAGTTAAGCGACAAGAAGAAGCCAACAACTTGAGGAAACTTGGCAAATGTGGTTCTCCTGGGACCAATTAGGTAAGAACAGGAGAAATGAGCTTTTGCTTGCTTTTTTCTGCAGTGGTTTCACAAGCGGGCTTCAGGGTTGTTGCTGACCGACTACGGAAGCCGGATGGGACCTTTTAAGCCAGAAAGCGAGAGGCATCTTTTAGAGCTCTACTTCCTCAGGCTCAGGCCGAACAGCAATCTCTTTCTGTAACTAACCCAAGCTCTTCCCTCACGTAATTTCTCCCAGGAGCACATAATTTCTCCCAGGATTCCCGGCGGCATTTGTCTGCAGGCACGTTACATCTTCACTCTTTTTCAGAAACCACCCTCCCTGTCCTTTCCTCTTTGCCTGGGATGAATCCCCAGTCCCCCATATGTTAGATGCAAAGATCCAAGGCAATGAGGTTTTCAGGGTCTCAAGACTAGAGCTGCTAAAAAGTTTAGACATAGGTAGAGATCCCAACAAGCATAGGCACCCAAAAAGGGCAAAGCATTACTGATGGTAAAACAAAGGGCTTTGAAATCTGACACACTTGTGTTTGAATGCCAGATTATTAGTATACTAACGGTGCACCTTGTGTCTAATGTTTAGCTACAACAAACCTCGGTATACTTATTTCTGAAATGGGAATCATAGTGAGTTTTGAGGTTTAGAACTGATCAGTATAAAGAACTAGGTGTTCAATAAGCAAATGTCATGTCTTTGAAATGAAAATGATAAACCTACGTGGATTTATTTTCCCTTTATTCATCTTTGGAATTGGTTGTAACAGATAATTTATGCCCTACATGCCAGAGAGTGTTCACAGCCAGTCTGTTCTGACTGATGCAGATCTCTCCAGAATATGCTCACAGCACCAAGCACCTCTCTGTAATTGACAACAGCTGAAAGTTTCTATTTATTAATGTATGTAGTTTAAAATGTGTTTTCTAATAGACTGTAAACTTCTTCAGGTGAAGGACTTTTTTTTTTTTTGCATGAATGTTTCCAAGGCATACAAAGATTCCTAGTGCAAAATTAGCACACAACAGATAAATACATTAAATCAAATTTTAAAATGAGCCTTCAAAAATGGTTTTCCCATTTCACAGGTGAGAAAGCTGGGGCTCTGAAAGAACAGTTTTTCTAAAGTAGCATAGGTAGTACAGAGGGTCTGAGATTCAGACCAAGAAGTGATTCTCTAGAGTCAATATTAGTTTCTATTATATATGAAATAGATAATATATCATTACTGTCATTTTTCAATCAGTGAATAAACAGAAGTCCAGAGAATGTTAAACAGATGTTTGCAGAGTTGGGGCTCAAACCCAGGCCTCCAATTAGATGTCCATTGCTCTTTTTTTTTTTTTTTTGACCTACTTTCGGGTCACCATGAAAACCATTCTCAGGATATTCCTACCTTAACTTTGCTCTTGGCTGGCTGTCCAGGATTTGCTTGCCTAGGCAGGAGCAAATCTTTTTTCCACTGTATGAATTTGTGGAGTCAGTAGTCCTGCCAGAGTCTTGGTTTGGTCTTGGTTGAGGAGGTAGCTTTCAGCTATCACCTGCTTGCTTGTTCTAGTTTTGCTGGAGAGCATTTTCCCCTCAACATTTTTGGCAGGCAGCCAGGCCTTTTTATTATGTGGAACTGCTCCTCAGGACACACCACAATGGAATGTCAGAGTGTGATGCTGTTGGGAGGTTAAGTAAAAGAGGTCACAAGTCTTGCCAGCTCAGGGGCAAAGAGGTGAGCTATCTGACCCTAGCATCTGCTGCAGCACTGCTGTGAGTGCCACAGTTGGAGACATCCTGGCACATGTGTCTTTGGGACTCAGGTGTGGGCTCTGTGAGTTGTGGACTCTTGTAAGCCAACTCTGGTTGCAGAGAGGCTGGCTTCAATCAAGCACATAGGAATAAATTCAGGAGACAATGGAAACCTACTCTGTCTTGGCAATATTAAATTTTTGCTGAGAAGACTTGCCTTGATCATGGAGAATGAAAGAGGGACTATTAGTCTGTTTGGGCTGCTGTAATAAAATACTACATACGAGGTGACTTATAAGCAATATATTTATTTGCTTCTCACAGTTCTAGAGATCTGGAAGTCTAAGATCAAGGTGCTGGCACAGTTTATATCTGGTGCGGGCTTTCTGTTTCATAGATGGCACCTCCTAGCTGTGTCTTCACATGGTCTCTGGAGATTTTTTATAAGGGCACTAATCTCATTTATGAGAGCCTCACCCTCATGAACTAGTCACATTCCAAATTGTGCACCTCCCAGTGTTACTGCATTGTTGATTATGTTTCAACATGTCAGTACTGGGGTAGGGAAGACACAATTATTGAGACCATAGCAGGGGCTTTTCCTCTTAGCCCAGTACTTGTACTTTACCTATGTTCTCATTGTTCAGCTCCCACTTATAAGTGAGAATATGCGGTGTTTGGTTTTCTGTTACTGGAACACAGGATGTTCTAAATGCCATGCTGAGGGTGAGGCCTACAAGAGTAAGCCAAGCAGAGCTCTTGCCCTTCAGAAGCTTATAGTTTAGCAGAGGAACCAGATAAATCAAAACAATGTATAAGTTTTGTTAATAGTTCCAAAAGGAGGAATGGTGGTTTTTCAAATATAAAACAAGTCTTTTTCCACAAGGCTACTGCCTGGGGAACCATTTCTAGATGGGTCAGGGAGGCCCCCAGATGTACTTTTTAGATGCTCAATCATGAGAAGAGTTGGGGTTTCCTAGGGAGGGGCTAGGTTGGCCAGAAGCTATTTGGAAGCTATTTGTTCCCAGGAAGGGAACAACACACACTGACACCTCTCAGGAGGATGGGGGAAGGGAGAGCATCAGGATAAATAGCTAATGCGTGTGGGGCTTAATTCCTAGGCGATGGGTTGATAGGTACAGCAAACCACCATGGCTCACATTTACCTATGTAACAAACCTGCACATCCTGCACATGTATCCTGGAACTTAAGATTAAATTAAAATTTTAAAAAAGAAAAAAGAACCAAAAAGAGAGCATCTTGTGTTCTCAAGAAACTAAAAGGCCCGGGCAGGTCTTAATAGAGACTAAACTCACAGCATTCAGTGATGTACTGGAAAAGAATGAATGTTTGAAACAGTGTCATCAAGCTTTACACACCTATAAAATTGTTATGCCTGCTTCTAAGGTGGAGTGTGTGCTGGGCAGAAGCAGTAGGCTATCCCCAAGAACACATGAGTCAGTGGGGAATGAGAGAAATGACACTCCCAAGGGAAAGGCCTGTGTGAACCAGGGAGTTCACCCAGGGTATTCTGAGACAGGGTCTTGCTTTGTCACCCAGGCTGGAGTGCAATGGCATGATCATAGCTCACTGCAGCCTCAATCTCCTCGGCTCAAGCAGTCCTCCCACCTCAGCCTTCTCAGTACAGTTTGTGAATTTGAAACAGGTTAGTTCTTGGAGTGTGAATATGCATTCAATAGTTTGGATGTGTTTCTGTTTTCCACCGGGCAACTTGAGTAGCTTTAGTTTGTAAGATCCCAGATAGCGTTCTCTTCACTGATAGTTATTATCCGAATACCTTTGTAATGCCTGAGTCAGTGCAGTTTTGCATGAGTTCCCTGGAGAATAACTTTCATGAGCTAACACCACTTTGATAGCTTTCCCTCCCTTTCTACTCTTGGGAATATCTGGGACATAGGCTGAGCTCCCTTTTCATAGAGTTATCTTAAGAAGCGAGATTAACTATATACTATGTAATGCATACATTAAACAGGAGGAAACTAGATTATATGGAGTCATTTAAATTGCTAGCCAATTTTATGTGTTGGCTCTCATCTCATCTACAGTTTTAGACTTTCTGTCTTTCTACGTGCTCATAAAGAAAACCCTGGATGTGGCCTGGTGTGGTGGCTCACGCCCGTAATCTCAACAATTTGGGAAGCCGAAGAGGTTGGCTAGCTTGAGGCTAAGGGTTCAAGACCAGCCTGGGCAACATGGAAAAACCCCATCCTCTGCAAGAAAAAAAAAAAAATTAGCCAGGTTTGGTGGCGTGTACCTGTAGTCAGAGTTACTTGAGAGGCTGAGGTGGGAGGATCACTTGAGCCCAGGAGGTAGAGGTGCAGTGGGCTAGGATTGTGCCACTGCACTCCAATGTGGGTGACAGAATGAGACCTTGTCTTGAAAAACAAACAAACAAACAAACGAAAAACAAGAAGAAGAAAAGAGAAGAGAGAAAACCCTGGGTATGTAAATCTTGTTGACACTGTCTCAAACATTCATTCTTTTCAAGGACATTATTGGATGATGTGAGTTTAGTCTCTATTAAGATCTCATTTGGGTACCCTTTTATTCAGGTGATAAAATATTTTGTTATTAATAATATTTTCATTGAGTCAATACTTATTATTTACTGATCTCTCATTATACAGCATGTGTTTTAAATAAATCACATTTTATTTTGATAACAGAACACTAAACTAGGTATTTGAATCCTGATTTTTAACTATGAAGAAACCAAAAGCCGGAAAGGTAAAATGATCTCCAGCAGGCCATAGAGCTACTGATTGGTGGTTCTGGGACTCAATTCGAATCTGCCTGGCTCTGGCTCACAAAGGCCTTTCCCTTGGGAATGCCATCTCTCTCATTCCCTGCTGACTCATGCCTTCTCGGCGACGGCCTACTTCTTCTGCCCAGCATGAACTGCCCCTTGGAAGCAGGCATAACTTCTTTACAGTTACATTCCAGAGCAGCAATGCTCAAATTTGGTGGCACCTTAGAATTACCTGGGGAGCTCTAGGTCCCACTTCTAGCTATCCTAATTTCGTTGTTCTGGACTGGGACTGAGCATCTGGATTTATGAAAGTTTTCTGTCAATGTGGATATGCAGCAAAGTTACAACAATTGTTTTAGAGCAGTGGCCCTCAAGTAGAATGTGAACACAAACCTCCTGGGGATGTGTTACAGAAAATCCTGATTCAGCAGAATTGAGGTTGGACCTGAGATACTGAATTTCCAAAAAGCCCCCAGTGATGCTATTCTGTTGGCCTACAGACCAAGACATTGCTGGCAAGGCCCCAGAATCTCCCCATTTTCTCTGCATAGCCCGCCCATCTCCTCTTTTCCAGGTCACCCTTCTCCTGGGAGAAATTCTCCAGTTCAGGGTTTGCACTGTGTTTTCAATGTAGCTGTTCTCTTTCAGCAGCTCCCGTTAATCATTGGAAAGTTCCATCTCAACTAAAACTCTCTGTTAGCTGAGTAGAATAGGGGGTGGCATGTAAAGAAGTCGAGGTCACAAGATCAATACCCAAGTTTAATACCCACAGGGACCAGTTAGCTTTTCTGTGCCCTGAACCCAAGTCTCCAGGCCAGCCATGGCTCAGATGTATGGGATTGTCCCTGAGAGATGAATGCTTCATGTCCATCACACATGCAATACTTACCAGAACAGCAGCCACAGTCTGACTCCCACTCGCTCAAAGGTCAATAGCATATCTTGATAGGAAATAAAGACACAGCAATGTTAGCTACAATCGGGTGCTTACCTGTGCCAGGCACTGCGGTAAACATTTTAGAATCCTTGCAACATTCTTTGAGGTAGGTGGTCTCATTATCTCCATTGGATAAATGAGGAAATGGGGTTCATGGTTTTCACCTTCTGACAGCATGCAACCTGTAGATAACCCAAAATCCAAGGACTTAGGCCAGTATGCCGGGTGCTAACCAATGTAAATTAGGGTTGATAAAGGATTTGCAGCTCTTTGGCGTTGGAAACTTCAAAATATGTTTTTCTACCATGTCCCTGTCAAGCTTCGTTAATCTCGGCATTGTCCCCTCTCTCAATTTATACTGATGATGACTGCCTTGTTTATTTATTGTGTTTTTAGAGAAGCTCAAATTAGACCATCCGTATGTTTAAAAAGAAAAATTGAAGAACTGCGTAATATTGGGAGCATTTTAGCTTCATCGAATCTGTGCAGCAAATGTATCCACAGATTTACCTACCATAATATGAGTCTGGTCCTTCCAATCTACCCCTCTTTTGATTTGTCATCAGTGTACAAGGTCATAATTCTCATCTAAGAGCCTAGAGATTTCCCCAGTCAACTTTGTTTTATTCTAATGTACCTGACTAGTGGAGTCTGCAATATTTCTATAGGTTAAAGAAACACTAATGTTTTATTTTTAAGTGAAAAATTCAAGGAAAGCTACATCTTTTTTGCTTTAGTGTTCAGAAACACAAATTTTTGATATTTATAATGAATACTGACTAATAAAGACTACGGATTGTATAATTTTGATGTTTGATGTTAGTTTGTTTATTTGAGACAGGGCCTTGCTTGCTCTGTTGCCCAGGCTGGAGTGCAATAACGCAACCTTGGCTCACTGCAGCCATGACCTCCCTGGCTCAAGTGATGCTCCCACCTCAGCCTCTCAAGTAGCTGGAACTACAGGCTTCTGTCACCATGCCTGGCTAATTTATTCTTTTTTCATATAGACAAGGACTCACCATGTTTCCCAGACTAGTCTTGCATGCCTAGGCTCAAGTGATCCTCTAGCCTTGGTCTCCCAAAATGCTGAGATTACAGACATGAGCCACTGCACCTGGCCAGGACAGTATCTTTTAGTACTAAAGACAAACTGCTAAAAATTAAGTACCAGATAGCAAAACTTTTTAGAAGTATTCACCATTAGCTTTCTCTGCTCAATTCACCAATTATACTCTCACTGTAAATCAAGTCAATCAATTAGTCAACAGATTTTTATTGAAAACTCTATACATGGGGCACTGTGTTGAGACCCAGGAATTGAAAGAGCCCAATCTAAGGCCTCCTCACAAGGAGATGTGACCCTTTCTTGTAAATAGAATTTTAAAAATTTAATTGTTTGCTTCCTCTATAAATTATTTTCTCTTGGTGTCATGGAAGATCTATAAATTCTGATAAATACTTTTATTTTGAGTTAACTTCCTTCAGCATGCTTTGGATAATAATAAAAAATGGAACTCATGATTCTTGCTATTTTAATTAAATTAAACCCTTGAAACCCCCGTCTCTCAAGTGATTTTCCACTCCCTTCTATGGGTTTATTTCCTAATAGGCACTTTATTACTCTTGAAAGTCATTTATTTATTCCTTTAGATACACTGCCCGTTTTTCCTGCAATGAATGTTTAAGTTCTATGCTGCTAAAAGTTTCTTCCTGGTTTGGTGTTCAAAGCCAAGAACAGTGACTGGAAAGTCAGAGAAACTCAACCAACTTTCCTTGAATGATTGTGTGAATAAATGAAAATTGGCTATGAATGTAGTAGAAGTGAATTCTAGCCCTAGATGACAAGTTAAACAAAGATGCCTTTTTAAGTCCTCTGTCAAACCATAAGACTTTAGAATTTTACAATTCAGTTTTCTAATTAACAATGATAACCACTACTTGAGCAGACCAATATATAATCAGAGGGGTTAGGTGGCCAGTGACCCAAAGATGCTAGTCATCAAAACAGCACTCAGTATTGACATTTTCTCTGTTGTATTGTGCTGTGTTTCAGTCTTCAAAGGTGTCTGGTATATATATTTTACTTTTTAATCTTCTAAAGACCGTTTCACTAATTAGACACCTATCATTTTTGGCAAAGAGCCAAAGTTAACCTTCACTGTATTGCTCTAATAAAGATTGTTTTTAATGAAATAGGTGACTAAGCTATTGTTAACAATCTAGAGTAATAAATGTATGGAGGATTTTCAGCTGTCTAAAGAAAGAGTTAAGTGATATAGATATAAAATTTGTTTCACATGGCTTAAAAGTGTAGACAATTACAGAAGAATGTTTAAGGGATATGAAAATGTATAAGGTTGTGAATACAAATTTGTCATCAGTCTCCATAATATTAAAATAAAAGTCTATTTCTTGAAGCATAAGAAAATTGTTTCAGCATTAGAAGAAACGTAATAAAATGAAATCTATACATTTATAACCAATTACCACTTACGAACATTCATTGCATAGCCAGACAGAGGACCAGGCCTTCAATGTATATTTTTTAAATGTTACTGTAATCCTGTGAAATAGATATATTGCCATCATTTTACAGCTGAAGAAACCGAGAGCTGGACAGATTAAAGAATTAATGTGAAGCTAAATCTGGGATTTGAACCAGGTATCCTTCCTGTGCCATGCTCTTTGCCTCTACAGCATTGCCTCTTGTGGGTCTGGCTGAAATTACACACAGTATAAACTTGATATTTGAAGATGCTTAGGTGTGTGTACACTTTTACCCAGTAGTGTGGCTTTTGAGAAACTCTACTTGTGGGATTATGAGTACTTTTTAAATTTTCTAGTTTATATTTATTATTCCAAATTTATTCAAGAAATATGTCACATTTTAAAATGTGCATCTAAAAATATTCATTGGGTTTTGGGGAGGGTGTTTATAAATCTTTGAAGACATTGCAAAGGGTACTATCTGTGCTTCCCTCGACTTCCCCTTGGAACTGCTGTGAGAAACAAGCTATTAGGCCGGGTAGATCGCTGGTCTGACTCAGCATGGCATATCTGAAGATGAACTATTCACTAAGTCATATTGAATGTGCCTTCCAGTCTTATAGCCGTTCCTGAAACTCGATAGCTAATAGAATGCCATATTCAAAAGGCATTGAGCACTGTTTTCCCCAGTGCTTTGAGTTTGGAAATCATGATATAAGTTATTACTACAATTATTTTCCACCTTCATCTGCCAAAGAAAGTGAAATCAATTCATCCACATCTTGACTGCAACGCTGTTGTAAAAGATCCTCTACCTACTCTGAACATGGATCTTTAAAATTGAACCTACTGATGCAACATAAATTTTAGAAAAGTCATCTTCAACTGCCAGGCTGGCCGCAGTACTATTTAAAACATGATTTGGGGACCTCTATTTCAATTTCCATTACTCACAGGTCACAAGTCTTCACCTTTGTTTAGGCAAGTCCTAGACTAATGCTCTCACCGAACAGAATAGTTCTGCTGTCATCCACAGGTTACTTGACCTCTCTCTACTATAGTTTGTTTTCGTGTAAATTGGGAACTGTTCCATCTGCAATTCACTCAGTAGGCATTTTGTGATGCTGTTTGTCATGGTGGTCCTATGAGGAACCCATGAGTGTTTCATGGTCCTGAACTTTATTGAAGTTACAGAATGGGCCCTCCTTCTGATTTCAACTCTTACTCACCACAGGCATTGCAGAGGCCCTGAGCCATGCCAAGTCTCATCTTCCTTCCTTTATTTATTTATTTATTTATTTATTTATTTATTTATTTATTTTAAGCAGGGATAATTGTAGATGTTCCTCATAGAGTTGTTGTGAATAGGAAATGAAATAGTATGTGTGAAAACTTGCCACAGTGACAGTCACAGAGTGAGATCCTCATGGGCAGTAGATGCAACTGAGCAGAGATATAAATGCCAATCATTTTGAATGTGATAATCTTGTATTTATTTTGTAATTAATAATCTTGTAGTAATTATTGTTTGTTTTTTGTTGATTCATATAATTTGATTTGCGTATATAGTCATTGTTGAAAAATTGGCAAAGAGAAAACGGAGGCAGAGATATCTCCACAGATAGATTCTATCACTGCTACCTACAACCATTTTAAATTACTGTTAAAATTTTGGTGTTTTTTGCTTTCATTTTTATTAACACAATCAATATTTTCACTGATATAATTATATATACTTATACAAGTTTTATGATACCTTCTTCATTCTATAATGAAAGATAAACACTTAATATTGCTATTACAAATACTGGCAACTATTAATTAATATTTTCAGTCTGTATGTAATTATTTTTATCTATTTAGAAACTATAGATAGTAAATTAAGAAAAAATCAGTATTTGTAATTCTGTACACCAGAGAGAGCCACATTTTAAGATATTTTCTTCTGTTTTTTTTTTTATATGCGTAGACCTATGATTTAATCTAAGTTGCCAGTGATTGTCAGACCTACAATTATTTCCTAAGGAGAAAAAAATGCTGCCAAATAAACACTGACACACTGCTTTGTACCTCTTAGAACTTCTGTTTTGTATGCCTTGAAATGGCCTTCAAATTATATAGGCAGAGGTATTTATTGTAGTATCAGTCTCGGTCATACATTAAAAATAGATGCAAAATTAATTGGGTAACATATTCCTCGGACAAAACCACATTCACAGTCTGTCTCTCTTGACTCCTGTTTGGCTTATTCACATCTGTGTCCAACATGGTGTGGTCTTCTGTGCTGCTGTTTCTCCCAAGTAAACAATCTTTTTTCAATGTTGAATCACAGCATAATATTTTAAAGCCATTTTAAATAGCAATTAAACTTAAAATTGACTCATAAAATAATGAAGCTGTGCCCAGCTTTGCCCAAGTCTACACAGTTTTCATGTGGCCAAGCACAATCATATGAGGACCAACAGTGACCTATTGACAGGAGGGTGCACCCCAGTTTTAGGCATGCTACAGTGCAAAAAATATACACAGCTAGAACAACTTGAAAAATTACATATTTTTTCCTTTAGGGTGCTTTATTTAGTTTTATCTCTCTTTTTTTTATTCCCATTCAATATTGAGAACATTTCCCAGTATCTTTAAGACCCTTAGAAAAAATCTCTTTCAAAGAGATTTCAAATGCTCTTCAATTAATGTAGCACCAAAAGCCTTCAGCTTTTGAGGCTTTTAGAAAATTACGATTATTGAAAACAAACCTTACAAACAGGAATATATTGAAGATTATTCCTACAAAAGCAAAGGAGGAACGGAGCAAATTAAATGATGGACACTCAGATATGTACAAAATTTAATTTTAAAAACCCATAATTACATGTTGGAATCTCTTGACTTCTGGGAAGAATATTTTGATAGAGCTCCTATTTTTAAATAGATAAATTCATATCTTATATCAGAAAGAAATAAAATTGAGAAAGTCTATGATTTCACATAAACCTCAATCTGATCATAGATTGAAGAGAAGCATAGAGGCTTATTTGACAAGTTTTATTGTATAATATTTTTATTAAAGAAAGATATTATAAAAGGAGGAGAAAACACTTCGCATATAAAATATTTGACTGAAATATGTTAAAAACCTTATGCAAAAATATTAGAATTAAGAATATCCTCCACTTATCAATGTTTTTCTGAATTTTGCAGAGATCTCAGCATCTAAAGACAGAATAAATAATATCGTGGTCTACAAAGAAGCCGCAGGTAGTTATGTCAACAATTTCCAACATATAAATTTTAAACTATAATTCTGAAGAAAACTGTAAGCAGTTTTCTATAAAAATTACCATATTGAAAGATATGTTTTTCAGAAAAATGCAATAATGAGGTAGTAGAGACAGAGCTAAAGTATAAAGTATATGAATAAGCAAAAAGAATAATTGTTATTTTAGTTTTTAAAAATAATTTTATTGGTGAAAATTGTTTTATTTCTTAAGTTTAAAAATCCCACCAATATAATAAAGTCAGTTTGTGATTCAGCAAATAAATATTTTTAAAAATTTTTAAATTTTTTTATACTTGAAAATCATCTCTCATATGGTGTTTAATATGATATTTAACCCTTTCCTTACTGTAGATCATTTAGGATAGTTCTACTTCCTCTACTGTACTCAACAGAAATGGGTATCTCTCCCTTTGCAATTCTGATCATTTTGTTAGGATAGATTCCAAGTACTGGAATTTCTAAATCTTACAAAAATTTCAAAACTGAATTGCATTGAATAGTATTCTCTGAATATCAAGAAATAAAAATATTAAAATTCCAATGCATAATTTAATTCTATGCATAATCCAATGTAGTTAATAACAATCCAATGCATAATTGAAACAAAAATATTTTGAAATAGGTTTTAAATAACTAAAAGAATATCAATAGCACTTTGTAGTAACATAATGTTCAGCAAATTATATGAATAGAACTTGTGAAAATTATTTTTAAATAGTTATAATTTTCAATCAATTATATTTTTAAATCAAAGGCATTTACTAGGTATTGGCCGTGTTCTATGCATTATGCATACTTCTCTCTGAAAGGAAAAGAAAGAAAAGATCTTGTTCTTAAGAGATTCTTCTGGTAGTGACTGAAATGCATACACCGAGATAATCACCATAATCCTCTACAATTGTCCTAGTAAAACACCCGAGGACAGCAAACACAGAGACTGACCAATCTCACCTGCAGGAAAGTAGGACTGGGACCAAGCATGCTTGGGGTAGATTTCAAAGGAAGCAGTGAGAGTGGAGCTGAGTCTGGGGGGCTGAGAAGTTTGATAGCAGAGATGAGAAAGAATGTAGATATATAGGGACAACATGGATGTAGTCCTCAAATAGGGAAAAGCATGGTGTATTTGAGGAACAGAGACCACTGTGAAGTTGATCCCAGGATGCATGGGGCTGGGAGAAAGGGTAGGGTGGAAGGAGGCTGGGTGTCTTGTATTAAATTGGGATGTGTCTTATTTGTCCCGACATGGAAGCTCTGATTGCATTAAATTGCACTTTTCTCTGGAGGCTGGTAATTATGCTACTATCCCACATAGCATATTTATTCAAGAAATATTTAGTGATACCTTGTTTTCTGCGTACTAGACACTCTTCTGATCCCAGGAAAAGAGTCTTGGGCACAACAGATAAATGCAATAGCAATACATGAAAAAAAATAAGGTAATATTTTAAGTAATGAGAAGTATTATAAAATAAGTAAAACAGGAATTTTTTTTTTTTAATCCTCAGGCTGGAGTTCAATGTAAACATATTCTGAATTAACACAGCAGGGGTCTCTCTTAAAAGATGATATGTGGTCTATAGAGTCCAGCCATCTTTAGTACCAGAGGAGAAGAAATCTAGGCAGTGGAAACCACAAAATGACAAGTGCAAAAGCCCTGGGGCAGGATCAAGCTTGGCAGTTTGAAGAACTGGAGGAAGGCCAGTACCTGAAGTTCCAGAACAGAATAAGGATGAGATGGGTACAAGAAGGGAATGTAGAGGTATTTGGAGGCTTATAGGTCTTTGTGAGGAGCTCGAATTTGATGCTAAATGCTATGCGCAGCTACTGGAAGTTTTTAGACTAAAGTAACATTTTCCGGCAACAAAAAATTCGCACTTTCACTTTAATGTGGAAGTGAGTACATGCCACATATATTACTCAGTATAATGCATCCATGGCTTTATATAATATTTAAAAATATAGCTTTGTATAAAACTAGAGAGGAGATGGCTGGGAGCGCCGAGGCGGGCGGATCACAAGGTCAGGAGTTTGAAAACAGCCTGACCAACTTGGTGAAACCCCATCTGTACTAAAAATACAAAAACTAGCTGGGTGTGGTGGCGGGATTACAGGCACCCAGCTACTCCGGAGGCTGAGGCATGGGAATTGCTTGAACCTGGGAGGCGGAGGTTGTAGTGAGCGGAGATCCTGCCACTGCACTCCAGCCTGGGAGACAGAGCAAGACTTCATCTCAAAAACAAAACAACAACCACCACCAAACAAACAAACAAACAAACAAACAGACAAACTAGAGAAGAGGAGAGCTTGCACATGGTTCTCAGGTTGATTTCTTTTTTTTTTTTTTTCTTTTTTTGCATAACTGTGAAGATCAATTTGGATCGCTACTAACTCTAGTTTTGATCATTTGGGCTCATGTTTGGCAGAGGTGGGAGAGTCGTTTATATGGAATGGATTATGTGGTGTACAGAGGCCTACCAGGTAGATACCTCAGTTTCAGCCTTGTATGCTCGAATATATAGAGAAGACTTTCTGACTTTTCTTTCAGTACAATATTATTTGAGAAATGAGTTAATTTTCCTTCTGATTGTCCTTATGGCAGTGGTTACTGAGGACAGCGAAAATCACCTGGTGACCATTGAATAGGTCTGGGAGACAAAATTGAGTGTGGATCTTCTTCTGTCTGTGTATTTATAGATGTTGTTTCTGTGTGATACAAATGAGTTTTCATTAATTGACTTAAAAATAATTAGTGCTTACAACAAATATTTTGTCAGGAAAGTAAAGGAACAAAAGAACGGCTACTCCATAGGCAAAGAAGCCCCAAGACCTGCTGTTTGCCTATTTTATGTTTATTTCTAAACAAAAGGTGGATTATTCATGAGTTTTCCAGGAATGAGGTGGACAATTCCAGAACTGAGGGTTCCTCCCAATTTTAGACCATATAGGGTAACTTCCTGACATTGCCATGGCAGTTACCATCATTCTGACTTTGATTGATTTTCACTCAACCTTTTTCCAAGAGGTAATCATCTGCAAGAAATAAGTGATTAAAGGAATTCTTTAGGAAATTAATAATAACAAAAAGTTTTAGATAATCCTCCCCTGAGCAGTATATTATGTTTGCATATTCAATGAAGAAAGTCCTAAAACCTATTATGTACATTTATATAGTACCTTTCCCTTCTATTCATATTTTGGCCTATTCTTTTTTATATGTATATCTTACTAGATCCATTCATATCATGCAGGCTGCTATTCACTTGATTATAGTGATAGTGCACTTTTTTTTCATGCAATGTGTCAAGGTAATTAATATTAGCTGCTCACAACAGAAAATCACCCTTGAAATTCCAGTGGTTTAATGCCACAAAGATTTATTTCTCAGGTCTGTGATTGGGTGGCCATTCACCATCTTGTAGCATGCTGCTTAGAACAAGCACCCTGCAAAGTTGCAAAGGCAAGTGAAACAAAACAGAAGATGCAGAGCGGCTCTTAACTGCCCGCAAATGGCCCACAGCACACACCCTTACAGAGTACTGGGCAGATCTGGTTTCATGGCTAAGTGTAATGGAGGACATGAAATGGATGGTGAACACTGTCTTTGTCACCACCAGCCTTTCTGTCACCAAATATCTGCTACCCTCTTATACATGTACACTCCCATCTTTTCCTGTCCCTCCACTCATTGGTGGTCATGATACACCACACTTTTGTCATTCATGCTTTTGAAAGTCATTCCAAAGTGCCATCCAATTACCTTGTCTACTT
The DNA here is from genome assembly GCF_000001405.40 of Homo sapiens. Taxonomy (NCBI): domain Eukaryota; kingdom Metazoa; phylum Chordata; class Mammalia; order Primates; family Hominidae; genus Homo; species Homo sapiens. The sequence goes on from NC_000002.12 coordinate 124,296,642, forward strand.
CCAAGACCACGTGTGTGGTAGTGTTTTCATAAAGTCGGCATGTGGCCTCTCTTAGTATAGAGACCTTGACTTAAAAAAGAAATAAAATTAAAAAAATGAATATCATCCCTTCTCCTCAATACCCCCTCTCCCCATAAATGTATACACATATATATCCAATGTGCAAAAATAGAACAGGAAAAGGATAGCTGCAGTAGGCACTGCTATTCATTCAGAGGGTGAGACTGGAGAAGGGCTCTCTGCCACTCAACAGTCCCCAGCCTGCAGCCGTTCTGCAATCCTGTTCAGCAAACGTTGCAACATCCTCCTGCCTTGGAAAATGGAAGCTTGATTTGCTCTCTGGGGCAGCTCCTTTGTCTATCACTATCCAGGCTGTTAGACTCCTCTCTGGAAGGTTATTCTTTTCCTATTACTTTCTCTGGCATCAGCAAAAATGGAAATTAGGGGATATGCCTTTTGGGGTTATACTTTCTCCTCTCACTTCCTATCCACAGAAAGTTAGAGCCACAAGGAATATTTTAAGCACCAAATATTAAAAAGTCCTTTTGGTCCAAACTCATGGTATGTTTGATAAAATATTTGCCTCAAAAACTAAGTGAACTACTGGTCAATATGCCTGGTTCTCCGTGCCGGTAACCACACCCACAGTTCTTTCGGAAGTTTTGACTTCCGTCGCAGCACCCCCTCCCTGAGCCTGTCTCTCTCAATTTGATTTCAAATAATCTTTCTGGGAAAATGCACAGGAATGATACACCCTTTGGATCTTTACACTGAATTGCTTTATCTAACTGAGAGATTGTACTGGGTCTTTGCTGCTGAAAATCTTTATAAAATCCTATCATTTCTTTTGGTTATCTAGAAGCACCGTTTTTTCCAATCAAAAAGTTCCCACATTTCTGCAATCTTCCAATGTCTCCTGCTCCCTCATATATACAATCTTTTTTCTCTTTTTTCTAAATCTTACCACACACAGCTGATATACTCTTCTGATTTGCAGCTTCTTCCCTTAAGACTTAAGTCCTCTGTGCATATAGTCTGCCTTCAAAGGTCATGATTTCAATAAAGGTTTCACCATCACCAGACGTAGTCTCCATCTTTCCAACTTCCATTATCAGGCTCCTTGCCACCCATCGGAGAACTACTAAGCCAGGCAATCCACATCCAATTATTTATTATTATTATTATTATTATTATTATTATTATTATTATTATTATTATTTTGAAATGGAGTCTCACTCTGTTGCCCAGGCTGGAGTGCAGTGGCGCAATCTTGGCTCACTGCAACCTCCGCCTCCCGGGTTCAAGCGATTCTCCTGCCTCAGCCTCCTGAGTAGCTGAGATTACAGGTGCTCACCACCACGCCTGGCTAATTTTTGTTCTTTTAGTAGAGATGGGGTTTTACCATGTTGGTCAGGCTGATCTCTAACTCCTGACCTTGTGATCTGCCCATCTCAGCCTCCCACATATCCAATTATTTACTGGCACTCCCTTCTTCCTTTTTTCTTATTTGTTTCTTTTTTAAAACTTTTATTTTAAGTTCAGGGATGTAAATGCTTGTTTGTTACATAGGTAAACTTGTGTCATGGAGGTTTGTTATACAGATTATTTCATCACCCAGTTATTAAGCCTAGCACTGTTCCCAGACCGAACTGAGGGTCGGGCTGCTTATTTTCATGGCCCAAAAATGAGATGAAGATGAGCTGGGAAAGAAGGGAGTTTATGTCTGTAACTGGGTACAGGGAGAAGGCTTGGAAAATATCACCAGACCAACTCAAAATTACGAAGTTTTCCAGAGCTTATATACCTTCTAAGCTATATATCTATGTGTAAGTGTTCATTCATCAAAAGTCATAAGTGATTAACTTCCTCTAAACTATAACTAAGGTCTGAGTCCTGAAGACCTTCCTCTGGAGCCTCAGTAAATTTACTTAATCTAAATGGGTCCAAGAGCTGGGGTGATTGACCTTATCTTGTCTCCTGCTAAATCATGAAGGTTTGGGGAGTTTTTTCAGACCCCCAATAAACTTGTTGTGGAGGCCTTGGGAGTTCCTTCAGACCCCCCAATAAAACTTGTTTAATCCTAAGTGGGTCCTGTTAAGAATTCCTTCATTATCTTGTCATACTTCAAGACCCAGGGATGGCCTAGGCAAAACTCTTGGTGGGCTTTTGTTACCTTCCAGCCTTTTTGTAAGGACACTGGCTCTATCAGCTTTTAATGTTTAACTTAACCACTTAGTGCTGAAACAATTGTTCTAGAGGCCTGACTGCTGACTGTTCAGCCATTAGGAAGACCTGGCCTGCCACAGTGTCATAGGACTATCTCCTTAGTTTAGCTAAACATGGGGGATCCTTGTCACACAGCCATGAAAAATAAGTCTCGCAGACAATTTGAAGGGGAAGAAAAATGGAATTTATTGGACAAAAAGGAAAGAAAAGGGAAACAGGGACACGTCACAAACCCAGAGAGAGAATCCTGCTAGTATATGCTTCCCACATCACAGATTAAATCCCAGGTTCCACGCAGGAAGAGGAGGGGCCAGGCTCTTCCCCACTGCAATTGGTGCATATTTTTGTGGCTCCCCCACAGTGTGCATTCCTCCCAGTGCACAGGCTGGTTGGAGTTTCTCAGGGGACCCCTTTTTACCCGGCTGTCTCAACAGTACTCATTAGTTATTTTTCCTGATCCTCTCCCTCCTCCCACCCTCCACCCTCCAAAAGGCCTCAGTGCATTTTTCCCTTCTATGTATCCATGTGTTCTCATTGTTTAGCTCCCTCTTATAAGTGAGAATATGCTGTATTTGGTTTTCTGTTCCTGCGTTAGTTTGCTAAGGATAATGGCCTCCAGCTCCATCCATGTCTCTGCAAAGGACATGATCTCATTCTTTTTTATGGCTGCATTGTATTCCATGGTGTATATATACCACATTTTCTTTATCGAGTCTATCATTGATGAGCATTTAGGTCGATTCCATGTCTTTGCTGTTGTGAATAGTGCTGCAATGAACATGTGCGTGCGTGTGTGTAGAAGCACTTGATTTCAAGCTACCAATTTCCATACTAGTCTAAGTAATTAATACTAACTGTTCATGGAAGACAAACTTCCAAACTCTCAATGTTGAATGCAGCAATGTATTTCTCACATTATAATTGGATGTGGATGAGGCATCCTTCCTTCATCTAAAGCTTAGCCACCTGGAATGCCTGGTGTCTGAGGTCACAAAGACCATGGTGAAGGGAAGGACTAATGGATGTGTTACCCTAGCTTTTAACCATCTTGTCCCATAGTTAATACACACCACTCTTGCTTGCGTCTACTTGCTGGAACTAGTCTGATGGCTCCAATCTCAATTCAAGTATGGCTAGGAAGTTTAGGAGAACACATGTAATATTTGGTGAGGATTAAATCTCTTTCTCACACTATTACAAATCAGCTTTCCTTTGTAAAACTGCTTTCACATCCATGATTTAATATTAATTTCAACTGTTTCTTAGAGGTGAGACAGCAAAGTCATGACTCATTCCAGCTCTGTGGATGAGAAAATCTATGAGTATCCACCTGTCTTTGATTACACTGACTTCCGTAGCATTTCCTCTTATCTTAGGTTTACTGCACACAGAAATCTGTTTTCTTATTCTCCAAACACTATCACTGAACCCAAACATTTCCGTAATCACAAAGACACATAATCACAAGGAAGGCAAATAAGTCTGATAAACTATAACAAGTGCAGAGTCACCTCACTGAGTCTATAGGAAGGATCTGCTGGAGGAAGGGTGGTTTAAGCTGATGCATTTGGGATGGATAGGAATGAGTCACGTGAAGATAGGAGAGGAGTGTAGTTCTAGGCATGGAGCAGAGAATAGAGCAGGCTGGGAGGAAGAAGAGCGTAAGAATCCTTGGTACGATGGAGGAAGGTCATCAGGTCTGCAATGCCTCCTGTAGAGGGGACAGCAGTGGGGCTGGACCACAGGCGAGTGGCAGGGATAGAAGCACTGGCAGGCCACATGGAAGAGGTTAGTTTATGCTGAAGATGGAAGATTTAAGCAAAGTAGGGCCAGGAACTTTTTCATTCCCTTGCCTTCCTCCATTGCTCTGCAGGCTGCAAGGACTTAGAACAGGTTTGGCCTGAGGGACAACAGCAGCTTTTCAGCAGGCAGTTTCTCCAGATGATTAAACAAAGGTAACCAGAGGGCCAAAGGGCATGACTCTGCTGCAGCTTTCACCTTGAAACACTGAAGGGAAATCTACTTGCCCACAGGAAATACGAAATCCAAGCATTCTAGATATAATGTATTTCTGCTTTGGAGAAAAATATATCCTCAAATACTTCAGTACAAAATACCACAGTGAAAAGTTTTAAAACATGGTATGCTTTTAAACAAAATGAGCTCCCTGAAGAAGCTGCAGTATCTAAGCTCACACTTGTTTCTTCTTGAATTTGTGATTTAGCAGTTTTGGGATTAGGCATCACGTGCTTTACAAAGATGTTGATCTGTAATTGCTAGTACTGACTCTTTTGCTTTCATGATGGATTATATACCATTTGCAATTGATAGTCTCTGAATCTTTATTTTCTTTGCAAAAGTAGCATGTCATCTCCAAAAACCGGACAGCAGTGCTTGCTAAATAAAGTGTAGTATCGATCAACGTGTTAAACTATCATGCCTTTCACAATTTGCGAACTAACATTGCACTATTCGTTTTGCTCTTATCCATCACACTTAACTCTTGCCTGCATTTCTGCTCCCCAAGCAGGGACATAAGAAGGCAATCACTAGTGAAGGATTTATGCATAATGTGGTATTCTTGGCTATCCTCATATAGTTAAATTTCATTGATGCTGTTTTGGAAAATGACTTTATAATGAGGTGAAATTATGCTGCTCAGCTTGGCTTACTACCTATAGTGCTATGTGACACTCATGTACATTATACTCCACAAAAGAAAGCAGGACACACTCATATCCCATTCACTGTGTACTTCCTAAAACCTCATTCCCAAAAGCTTCTATTCAAACCATGTTTCATCCTCTCCCAGATCTTGGCACTGTATCAGGCCTATGATGATACTCCTGATGCAACAGCAACTGTTGCCATTTTGCCTCTGATCTCTTGGGTGACTAATTTCTGGATCCACCTTAAAAACTCCACTTCAGATTATTGTTGGAGGACACTCACCACAGGTGACTCCTTACGGGAAAATGTCACTGAAGTACTGTTATGGACTATATTTTATTATCCCCAAATTCATAGATTGAATTCCTAACTTCCAAAGTGACTATATTTAGAGATAGGACCTTTAAGGACATAATTAAGATTAAATGAGGTCATAAAGTGAAGCTCTAATCCAATAGGACTGATGTCTTTGTAAGAAGAGGAAAAGACCCTAAGATGGCATACACAGAGGAAAGGCCTTGTGAGAATGCAGTGAGAAGGCAACTGTCTGTAAGCCATGTAGTGAGGCTGCAACAGAAACTAAAACAGCTAGAACTTTGATCTGAGATTTCCAGTCTCCAGAACTGAGAAAACAAACTTCTATTGTTTAAGCCACATGGTCTATATTTGGTTATAGAAATTCTAGACAACTGTTACACAGACTATATACTGTTAAGAATAAACAAATAAATAAATAAATAAGTAAAAGCATGCTATCCCTATCCCTTTGCTCTGTTTCACATTTATGTGCCGGTCTTAGCTTAGTTTATTCTGCTATAACAGAATAACACAGACTGGGTAATTTTAAATAAACAGAAATGCATTTGGCTTATGGGTCTAGAGGCTGGGAAATCCAAGAGCATGTCTCTGGCATCTTATGAGAGTCTTTGTGATGCATCATCCCATGGCAGAATGTGAAGGGACACGGAGGGTGAGGGCAAGAGAGTGAGAGAGGAAAAGTACTAAACCTACCATTTTACCAGGAACCCACTCCTGGAGTAACTAACTCACTCCGCAAAATAGCAGCATTGATCCCTTCATGAGGGCACAGCCCTTGATGACCTTAATCACCTCTTATCAGTCCCCACCTCCCAACACTCTTGCACTGGGGATTAGGTTTCCAACATGTGAACTTTGGGAGATACCAGCAAGCCACAGTGGTACCCATTTTTGTCATCTGTAGATTTGGCTCTTTACCCTGACCAAAGACTTCTGGGCTTGAGTAAGCTGAGTGTGTTGCAAAGAGTACTTAGTTTAGAAAGTAGCTAGTCCAATGTGAAACTCCTTTTTTGCCTTTGGTGAAATGAATCTTGTCACCAGATTCTGGCCTGGATCTTGCATGTTTACTGCTCAGAGCTTCTTCCTAGGAATTAAATCCTTTGTTGCTCTTTGTTTTTTGTATTCTGACTACGTAGATTTGCTCTTTGCCTACATAAAGGGACAAACCCACCTTCCTGTTGTTCCTTTCTTAGCTGATCTAGCTTTTTGTATTTGACTGCAGTCCCCCCTTAAATTGTGTTTTCCACCAGCTTCCACTGTGTTGTGGAAACACCCTCACTCCTTCTCATGAACATTTGGGAGGTCTATTTTTTTCATTTTTTCTAAGCCCTGCTGAATCATTACCAGCATATGGGGAGGAGGGAGGCAGAAACCAAGTATCACTCCCCTGAAGCTACTCAAACAGGACAGTGTCTGTTTGGACACATAGCCAGAGTGTTATGGAAGAAATTCTTGTAAACTATGTATTCAGTCATGATACACATTTCTAAATGGTGAGTTTCAAAAATAGATGATTCCACCTTGCAAACTTGTGCAAATGTATATAACAGACAGAGAAGCAGCAGCCTGTCCATGTCAACAGCCATAGAAAATGTCTGACACTTCCTCTGAGGCTAGAAACAGCTGTTGATGGAGCTCACAGCAACCAAGACAGGTGTTCAAGTTAGAATCAAACAGTTGTCAAAATTTCTACTTCTCTCTGTTTCTTTAAAACATCGACACATTGAAGTGTAATGTAGTTTTCAGCTATTAATGGAATTAAATATATAGATTATCTAAAAGAGTAAAAAAGGTTTAAAAGAGCAACTTATTTGGGATCAGTTATTTCCACATGATGAGGCATGACCTAACTCACCTTCTGAATCATAATCATCATAATAATAACAATAATAACAGACTGGGCACCATGGCTCACATCTGTAATCTCTGCATTTTGGGAGGCCACAGAGGGGCATCGCTTGAGGCCAGGAGTTCAAGACCAGCCTAAGCAACATAGAAAGACCCTGTCATTACAAAACATTAAAGAATTAGCCCAGCATGATTTTGCATGCCAGTAGTTCCAGATACTCAGAAGGCTGAGAGGGAGGATCACTTGAGCCCAGGAGTCCAAGGTTACAGCAAGCTATGTTTGGGACATTGCATTTCAGCCTGGGCAACAGAGTGAGACCCTGTCTCAAAAAGATAAAAAGTAAATACAAATAATCATAAATTTTATTAATGCCAGGAACTATGCTAGGTCCTAGGGAGATATGATGCTCAAGACAAAGGCTCTAACTGTATATATTGTATACTTTAGCAACTTTATAAGTTGTATACTTTGGCAACAAGGATAATTGAATAAATAACTAGGCAAATCATTAGAAACATAAGTAATTATAATTTCTATGCTAAGGAGAAGTACTTTGCAAAGGGAGAATTTATAAATTGAGCCCTTGACCTAGGGCTGGGGACCAAGAAACACTTCTGTGAAGCACTAACATTTGTGCTAAGATATGAAATATGAGAGGGGATAACCACAGGGAGAAATGGCAAAGTAGACTCTGCAAGAAAACAGATGATATAAAAACACTGAACCAAGAATTGTTCATTAGAATTGCAGAAGGTTATAGGAGCCAGATAGGAAGGGGCCAGATCCTTCAGGTTTCTGATGGCAATGATAAGTAATTAGTTACTTAGAGTTCTGAAAGCACTAGACAGCTGTAAAGAATTCTTAAGTAGGGAATAATATGAACAGAACCTCCTTTAAAAAAATAACATTCTGGCTACAATGTTGAGAGTCAATTGGAAAGAGACAAGAACAGTGATGAGAAAACGAAGGAGGAAACTAGTAGCCATCAACAAGGAACAGTGGCATCTCTCAGTTCATGCCATATACAAATGGCCAGAGGCTTCCTAATTTGCTTCCTAATTTTCAAAAGTATTCTCAGGACCTAGGTGTTTCTTTGAAGATGACCTCATTCATTCATTCAACCTCCATTGTTTGTGCACTGACCCTATGCGAGGCACTTGGGTTCGCGGAGGGAATGCACAGCCCTGGCCCCCAAGGAGTCCTCTAGGGACAGGTAATTGAGTTATGGTAGATTGGGGGTTATCCCAGGAGTAAACAAAAGAGGAATAGTCACACTGCAGGCCACATGTGGTGGCACACACCTGTAATCTCAGCACTCTGAGAGGCCAAGGCAGGTGAGTTGCTTGAGCTCAGGAGTTTAAGACCAGCCTGGGCAATATGGTGAAACTCCATCTGTACAAAAAATACAAAAAAAAAAAAAAAAAAAAAGTGGGGTGTGGTGGCACACACTTCTAGTTCCAGCTACTCAGGAGGCTGAGGTGGGAGGATTGCTTGTGCCCAAAGTTTGAGACTGTAGTAAGCTGAGATTGCACCACTGCACTCTAACCTTGATGACAGTCTAAAAAAAAAAAACAGACAAACAAAAAAGGTGACACTGCAAATGGCACCTAACCAGAAGCTGGGGAGTTAGGAAGTGTTTCACAGAGGTAATGCTGGTAATGCACATAAGCGAAGGAAGAATGAAAATTATCCAAGTGTTTCTCATGAGTATTGGCTGTTACCTATAAGTTATTAGTTTGACATTTAGGAAAGTTGAAAGCAAGACCCTAAAAACTATTTTGCTTAGTTATGTCATTTTTTTTAGGAGAAAAATAGTTACCATGTCTGCTATGGCTTGATTGTGTCCTTAAAGTTCAAGTGTTGGAAACTTAATCCCAGTGCAACAGTGTTGAAAAGAGAATTCCTAGTAAGAGGTGATTAGGTCATTAGGACTTTGTCCATTACTGTTATTTCAAGTGTGACCTTGTTATAAAAGTGAGTTTGGCCACTTCTTGCCCTTTTGCTCTTTCATTCTCTCTTGCCTTTCTGCTTTACATTATGGGATGACACAGCATGAAGGCTCTCACCATGTGCCAACATCTTTATATTGAACTTCTCAGCCTCCAGAATTGTGAGATATAAATTTCTTTTAAAAAATAAATTACCTAATATTTTTATTCTTTTATAGCAATACACAATGGAAGAAGACAATGTTGTTTTGCCTGTGTCCCTTATGGCACATTTTATTATTTGCCTATATATGTCTCTGCTCAGTTCTCAAATATTGTTTTTAATCAGGTCTCATCTTTCCTACTCAAACTAATTTCCAGTTCTTTGCACTCTTCCTGCTTCTGGTGTATAATTCCGTCTCCTTAGCATCTTTTATTAGTCAGAGATCGTGAGATTGCATTTGACAGAACCACAACTGAAATGGCTTAGTAAAAACAGGAACATGGTTAGTTTATCTAGCTTGTAATTGAAGACTACACCAGTTCAAGGCACCTCTGGATACAGGAATCAAATAAGATCCCAGCTATGTTGTTCCTCTCTTCCTCCCCAAAGTGCTCCCAGTCGCTCCCACCCTCTCAGTCTCAGCCACCCTTTCTGCCTCTCACTTCTGCTTCACTCCCAGGCAGATCTTTCCACCTGGAAGTGAGTTAGACACAAGCAGTCTTAGGATGACAGCCTAACAGTGTGTCCCAAACAGAAGAAAGCAGTCTTTCCCCCCCAAATAAGTCTATGGAAATTCAGAACTGAGCTCCAAATGGTCAGAGAGTTAATGACTCTGGCCAGGAATATGACCTATGTTGGTTGCCCAGACATCAGCCCACACACACACTCCTGACAAAGAAGAAGTGTGGCACCTGCTTCACACAGATGGCATGAGCTAACAGTGTGCACTGCACAGGTTCTCTAGAGAGTGTTGAGGTGCTATCACCAGAACGAGAATGCTATGGAACAATCTCTACCCCAGAACACACCTGCATGGTCATCATGGTCATGTATTTGCAAACTTGGTTTCTCTCTCTCTCTTTCTTTTTTTTTTTTTTTTTTTTTTTTTGAGGTGAAGTTTTGCTTTTGTCACCCAGGCTGGAGTTCAGTGGCATAATCTTGGCTCACTGCAACCTCCGCCTCCCAGGTTCCAATGATTCTCCTGCCTCAGCCTCCTGAGTAGCTGGGATTACAGGTGCCTGCCACCACGCCTGGCTAATTTTTGTATTTTTAGTAGAGACGGGGTTTCACCATGTTGGCCAGGATGGTCTCAAACTCCTGACCTCAGGTGATCCTCTTGCCTCAGCCTTCCAAAGTGCTGGGATTATAGGAATGAGCCACTGCAGCCAGCCTGGTTTCCCATCTAATTCTCTTTCTCCCGTGGAGGCAGGGATGAAGAAGATTATCTTAGTCCAGGATGCTATTAGCCTGGATGGCTTGAATAACAAACATTTGCCTTTCATGACTCTGGAGCCTGGAAGTCCAAAATCAGGGTGCCAGAATGATTGGGTTTTTGCTTACTGCCTTCTTACTAGCTATATTGTCACATGGCCCTTCCTTGGTGAGACAGAGAGAAAGAGAGAGAGAGAGATCTTGTGTCTCTTCCTCTTTCATAAGGACACAATCCTATCATGGTGCTCCATTCTCATGACCTAATCTGATCCTAATTAGCTCCCAAGGTCCCATCTCCAAGTACCATTACACTGGGGATTAGAGCTTCAACATACGATTTGGGGAAGGACGCTAACCTACTGTCTACAACAAAGCTCTACTCACTGAAATCACCTACATTTGCTTCTCCTAGAACTCATCTTGCTGGGCATTGCTTCCACCTTCAATTTTTGTTACCAAACTGGAGCACTGTATCCAGGACCTGAAATCTGTGAACTCAAGGGTTTTTGGCTTTAGCCTCAGCCATTATTTTTCTATTGGTTGTATTCTGATATAATGTGACCCCAGATTCAGAAAGTAGGAAGACAAGTTCTTGCTTTGGGGGCTGAAATGCAAACTGAAGGTGAAGGAAGGACAATGAATGCTCAGTTGGCATTTCTTAGGTTTCAAGCAAAGAAGAAGAGATACAGGTGGGGAAGCAAGTGATGATGTAGCAACCAGATTATGTAGTTGTTGATACTCACTGCTTTATTTCCCCCACTGGCCCTCCATAGCTTTACCAGAGTCTTCCCTAAACCTGGCTGGCAGCTGATTAGAAATGCCAAATTTCTAATGCCACTCCAGGCCTGCTGGATCAGAACCTACAATATATGACAAAGCTGGCGGGTCATTCACAACAACTTTACAGTTAGAGAAACACCGCTCTGAAAGTCTGAGTGCCAGGTACTCTGTGGTTCAGGGTGTGGGGAGAGATTTGAGATCCTACACTTGGCTATAATGTTAATGGGACATAATTATTTACTAAGCTCCTCCCACAAGCAAAGTGAATTTCAAGGAAGAAATGTTGGGCTTACATGAACGTCTCTTCTCTTTATGGAAAGTTACTTTTCATTGCTAATATTGGAAGACTTTTTTTTTGTAAGAAAGTTATATTTTCTTTCCTGTAGACCAAGGTTAGTTGTGACCTCACATACCTAAACTGCCAGTCTTGGTCATTAATTCACACCCCAACTCTGCTTACAAACCGTTTATCCATCCCCTGCCCTGGTTTCTAACATGATTCTTTATTACCTGCTCAGCTAGCAGACTAAATTTATTCAATTTTCTTTTCCTTTGGCACAATCAGCCAATCCCAATGTTGCAAACTAAAATCAAACCAGATGTGCTAAGAATTTTATTGACTATTTTATGTAACAAGCTGAATGACCAGAAGGCTCAAACCAAATTAATTGAAAATTAAAGCAGAGAAGATTTAAGCCAGACACTATTTAAACAGGCTTAAAAGGTTAGCAAAGGAAAAGCACATAATCAGTTTGTTTGAGTGATAAAATAAGAAGTTAAGCTGAATTGGGGAGAGAAAACTTGCCTCTTGAACTGTAGATTTATCTTCTAAATGAAGTATCAGGTGTTTTAATGTTTTTGCAATTAAAAATGAACAAATATATAAATAAATATAAAAGCACTAACTGGGCCAACTTCTTGCATGTTACACTGAAAAATTATCTGGTAGATTTGTAAAATTGAAAACAGAAGCTTTGGGAAGTAGTAAAAGAATCTGTGTCTGTGAACCAGAGTGCACTGGCTTCAAATTCCCACAGACCCTGTGCGTGTTACAACTCACCAGTCAAGCTGCACAACCCTGAGTTATGCTCCTTACCTGTGAATGGAAATAGTCCAGTGCCCCAACTTATCCAAGGGGAATATGTGCCAAGACCCCCATGGATGCATGAAAACTCAGATGAGACCAAACCCTATATATGTTTTTTTCCTAGACATACACACCTATAATAATGTTTAACTTCTAAATTAAGCACATCAAAATATTAACAATAATAACTAATAATAAAATAGGACGGTTATGACAATATACTGTAATAAAAGTTATGCAATGTGTTCTCTCTCTCTTAAAACGTCTTGCTGTACTGTACTAACCTATCTTTGGACTGCAGATACTGGGGGCAAACTAAAACCTAGGAAAGGAAAACTGGATGGGAGGGATGACTGTGACAGCAACTCTAAAGGACCATTGTACAGATTAAATGTGAGTATTGATTTACAGAGCCTGACATATACTACAGATATTCAGTAAAGGAGAATAAGTAATATTGAGGGTAAAATTGATAGAGGAGGCATGTCAGGAGTGAGATTGTTTGATGCCAGTGAACATTTATTTGACAAATCCACTTAAACTGAAAAAATAAAGTCACCTCTCTATTTTCATATTTGATCTTCAAAGCCAGCAGTTACAGTAGGATAGGTAGATAATTTCCCAACTTAATAAATATGGAGGGAATACAAACAGCAATGGGGTCCAATGATGATGTAAGGTCCCCAGCCATTCTGAGGCAGAGCTAGGGCTGAATCCCAGCTTCCCAATGACAAAAGTCTGGGGCCTTTAGCCAGAGCGGTGCCTCCCCTGAGGATATGCTACTACGCATGTGATGTCCCTTGCAGCTGTGTCCCAAGGCCCCTGCTGATGACCATGTTTCCCATCAAGATAGTTGAGACATGAAAGAGAAGGGCTCTGCATAGAATCAACAAAATATCGTCTCCACAAGGCAGGCGATCTTTTCTATTCCACGGATTTATCTGAAATACATATTTATCCTAAGGGCATAACAGGAACAGTGTCTTGCCTGTACTAGGCATCGGGAATATTTGTTGGGTTAATCAGCAAGCATGTGCTTCCGTATAGCAATGGAAGGTGGCTAGCTTACACAGTCTGTCTGCTCTGGGCAATTTTCATCTTCACGAGGCCTGAATCTCTTACCTTTTTTTTTTTTTTATGAGCATTAAGTTCAGGGAGATGGAGTGGTTCTCAAATGTTAGTTTATGCATAAGAATCTCCCAGGGTGTTTATTGTAACTGCAGATTTCTATTCCTAGCATCAGAAACTAAGTCAGCTGATTGAGGTGGTTCCTGGAACCCTGTGTTGACATTAATGCTGGCATATTGGGGCAATGCATTGCGGTCCCTGATGTAGATTGTAGGTGGAAGTGTGGGCTGTGTGTCTGTGTTTTTGTGAGTGGAAAAGGAGGGAGGAGGAAGGTGTTAAGTGAGAAAGAAAAGATTTGAATGAGTGGAACTTCCTACTTAGTGGGTTGGTAAACTCTTTCCCCTCTATTAATAATAACTTTTATCTCCACCTCCCTTCTGAAGGAAAGGTCGGGATTGGCTAGAATCGTAACTTCCCATTACAGTTTAATTTCCTTCCTTCCTCTAATGCCCCCTTTCCCGTGCCCAAGCCCTCCCTTAACAAACCCTCGGAGAGAGCAAGAAAAGAAAACAGGCCTCCTCAATTTCCCTAATGATTCTTTTGAAAAGCCTTTTTTTTTTTAAATTTGTATTTTTAGATCTCTTCAAACAATGTTCCTATTAGAAGGTTGTCAAAGGCCCCGTGGGATTTATGGAAATTTTCATTAAGAAAAATAGGGAATAATTTCAAGGACAGTGTCTAATGTCATAAAAATGGCTATTTTTAAAGTTATGGATAAGTAGAAGAAGCTTCCTTACCTCATGAACCGCACTTGCAGTGGGAGCTTGAGGCTGGCAGGTGGCAGAGGGAGACCCACATAGGTTTAAGCCCAGCGCTCAGCAGCCCCAGGGCCTTGTGCAAGTGCCTAACCATGCTGAGTTTAATGCCAGTCCTCGACACTTTCATGACTGTTTTTCTTTAAATTTAGATGAAAATGAGACAGTCTCTGTAAATAAAACTCAGTATATATTCCTGGTAGTGAGAGAAGCACTCCAGTACTATTGGGTTCCTTACTCTGATACTGCAAGACAACTTCAAGTCTTCTCACGTCTTCCTAAGAATCCCTTCAGATGAGCTTCTTTGCTTCATTTTTTTCTTAGATTGTATCTTTTTTCTAGACTATTTCTAATAACCTATCATTTTTTTCCCTGCCTGTATTAATCCACTAGGATTGCCATAACAGAATACCATAGACTGGGTGGCTTAAACAATAGAAATTTATATTCTTACAATTCTGGAAGCTGGAATGTCCAAGATCAAGGTGATGGCTGGTTTGGTTTCGAGTGAGGCCTCTCTTTCTAGCTTGCAGACGGCCGCCTTCTCATGGAGTCCTCACATAGCCTTTCCTCAGTGCATGTCCTTGGATGGAGGAAGGAAAGAAAAGAATAGGGGGAAAGAGAGGGAGAGAGGAGTGTGGGGAGAAAGCGAGAAAGAAGGAAAGAAAGATTTTTTGTCTTTTTACAAGGACACCAATCCTACTAGGTCTCCACCCTTAATTACTTCCTAAAAGTCCTTTCTCCAAATATGTTCACATTGGGGGCTAAGGTTTCCATTCAATTTGAAGCTCAAATTTCCTATGAATTTTGGGTACACATGATTCAGTCCATAGCACTGCCTAACTGCAGTCCTTAGGTTCTCTAATTTTCTAATGCTCCCATAGGAGGAAGTAAATCATTTGTACAAGTCACCTGACGGTCACGTGTATTCACTCAGTGAAACTTTGCTAATAGCTGTCTATATGATGAACTCTATACTAGGCTCTGGTTTGCCCAAATTAGTAAAACATGATCTCTGCCCTTCTGGAATCTAACTGGGAGAGGCAGACACTTAAAAAAATTAGAGCAATAGCATATTACAGATATGATCATACAAACTGGCTCATGGTACTGCAGGGTACAAAGGAAGGGATCATCACTTATGACTGGAAATGAAGATTCCAGGGAATCGTGAAATAATGGTAGAATGTGATGTGGAAAGGAAACAGAAGGCAAGAAACAGCCTGGAACAGCAAAGGTAATAAACAAACTCCAGACAACTCAAAGGCTCTAGAAGCTGAATGGAAGTAGGTGACCCAGTGTGAGCCATAAAACCAGCATTTCATATGGGGGCTCCTTAGTGGAAGAACTGATAGCTTGCTGAAGAGCAAATTCTTTGTCCTTCAAGGCATTAAGTGTATTTTAACAATAAAGTAAAGTGTTTGAAATAAATATTAGGTTAGAGATATATGGGATTGAGTCAAAAGTGAGTTTTGCAAGTGAGTAAGTCTTTAGCAGAATTCTTAGTGATGAGTTATTTCTTTTTTTATTTTTATTTTTTATTTTTCTGAGATGGAGTTTCACTCTTGTTGCCCAGGCTGGAGTGCAATGGCGTGATCTCGGCTCACTGCAACCTCCGCACCACTCCCCACCCGCCCCCCGGCTTCAAGTGATTCTCCTGCCTCAGCCTCTAGAGTAGCTGGGATTACAGGTGCATGCCACCACACCCAACTAATTTTTGTGGGGGTTTTTTTGTTTGTTTATTTGTTTGTTTGTTTGTTTGTTTGTTTTTGAGACGGAGTCTCGCTCTTTCGCCCAGGCCGGACTGCAGTGGCACTACCTCGGCTCACTGCAAGCTCCGCCTCCTGGGTTCGCACCATTCTCCTGCCTCAGCCTCCCGAGTAGCTGGGACTACAGGCGCTCGCCACAGCACCCGGCTAATTTTTTGTATTTTTAGTAGAGACGGGGTTTCACCATGTTAGCCAGGATGGTCTCCATCTCCTGACCTCGTGATCCACCCACCTCGGCCTCCCAAAGTGCTGGGATTACAGGCGTGAGCCACCAGGCTCGGCCAATTTTTGTATTCTTAGTAGAGACGGGGTTTTGCCATATTGGCCAGGCTGGTCTCGAACTCCTGACCTCAGGTAATCTGCCCGCCTTGGCTTCCCAAAATGTTGGGATTACAGGCGTGAGCCACCACGCCTGGCCAGTGATCAGTTCTTTCATCGGGGCTATTGAATGAATAGGATTCAGCTCTGGGCTCTGAATAGACTGGAAATTACTGTGTGTGCATTTTAACAATGTATCGAGAACATTTATCATGTTTCTCACTTAACCCTGTGCCATCATCGATATGTAACAGTCACTCAGGCTTGCACATTCAATTCGTACCAAAAATAGTCTATGAGGTAACTACTCTCGATTATTATACGATTAATCACCAGTCAGGAGTGGTTAGATTTGTTTTGTTTTGTTTCGTTTTGTTTTGTTTTTTCTGTTACATTTAGGCATCCAATCATTAAATGTATTTGTAACAGAAAAGGCAAAACTTCTAGAATCTCTGTTACTGCAATAGGAACTTGTTCAAGGCATAGTCCCTAAATTTTAGGATCATTTGACACTGAACTGTTACATCAGACCCACCCAAGAAAGGTGTGAACAGTAGCCAACAGAAAATCAAGCTGCAGGCACTATTTTTGTTCACAGAATTGCCTAGAAACTCAAAATTCAGCTTCTGCTCTCACATACCTCTTTCTTTTTCTGTCTTAACATACATTTCTATTTGTCTCTTGACCTAAAAACAAGAAAGGAAAAAAAATCTAGCTGTGGCTGTGTCCTCACACCCCTTCCACCCGTGGTAACTGTCTAGAATTTAGATTGTGCCATTGTCTGGATCATGCCATCATGTCTTTGTGGCTAATTGAGGATACAGCATACACCCTAGGCAGGCCAGCCCATGGAGAGTAATGTGGAATCCAATAAAACCACAGGGCAGGCAGGGGGAGTGATGGTGCGAGGGATACCAGAAACCTTTAATCCAGATCATTCCTGTTTTCCATTCAATTGGTGGTGGTTTGCCTAGGACCCCAAAACTGTACTTGCAGATGAACTTACTACTTTTCTTCCTAATGGCATCTTCAGACTTAGAACTAAATCTCAGACTTCAGTTGCTTCCCTTAATAACTGAAAATATACTGCATTATATTCCTTGTCCTTCAAAGTAGCTTTTGATGTGTTGGCCCAACGGGTCTTTTCAGAAATACCGTGCGTGGATGATTTGTAGTAAAACTGAGATGCTGTATATTTTCCAAGTACCAGATTCACAAGGAATAATGCGATAATGATGCCTTGTTTTCTCAAGCTTTCAGACGTGCCGGCCTAGAGCTGGCAACATGCAATCTCGTACTACTTCATCTGAATTACTGAAATGGGAGACTTCTGTCTGCATTCTATTACTGATTTCCGTGTTTCACAACCTGCAGTTTCCTAGTCTTCAGGGGTAAAGGAAACATAGCTCAAATTCAAAAGTGCCTTGCCAAAGCCAGTAAGAAAAGCTATTTCTCCTTGATTTGCAGCGACTCATTTGAATCTCCGTAGTGGGCCCTGAGAGACCCATATTTTGTCTTTGGGAGCAGGCGCAACACAGAGTTGATTCATGATTTTAGCTGAGGGGACACATTGAGGCACCAATTGACTAAATTATTTTCATGTGGATAATGGATTTAGGGCCTTCACTTGATTATGTCTGACTTCTCCCAGTCTAAGCTCAGGATTCCCATCTTGATTATTTTAAATTAATAATATTTATGAGTTTGTTTGTTTTCGTTTAGAAATATAATGCATGCTTATTTTATACAATACAAAATATATGAAAAAGAAAATAAAAATCTCTAATAATCTCATCATTTTTACCCAGGCATTTCAAAAGCCACCTATGTATGTATTTATCCAACTATCAGTTCATCTATTCATCCATCCATCCACTCCTGCATATCCTACTTTACGAATGTATTTGACAGCTTATTTTATATTATGAGCATGTTCTTATCTAATAAAATATCATTAATTACATGGTCTTAGTGTCGGTTGCAATTTTTGTTTCAAAATTTCTTTTAATATTAAGGGAAATTTAACTGAATGTGTATATAGTATATGCATAAGTATATAATGCATACATCAAACAAACAAGCCTTTTTTTTTTTTGATGGGGTGTTGCTCTGTTGCTCAGGCTAGAGTGCAGTGGTATAATCACAGCTCACTGCACCCTTGAAGTCCTGGGCTCAAGCCTCCCTAGTAGCTGAGACTCCAGGCACATGCCACCATGCCTGGCTAATCTTTTTAACTGTTGTAGAGACAGTCTTTCTATGTTACTCAGACTGGTTCTGAACTCCTAGCCTCAAGTGGTCCTCCTGTCAAGGCCTTCCAAAGTGCTGAGGTTACAGGGCATGAGCCACCACGCTGAGCCCCTAATACGCCTTTCTGTCTGGTCAGTCAGTTTTGGATACTACTTAGCCTATGCTATCCTTCCTCCATCAGAGGAAAACTTGATTATATAATATGTAAAATTTGAAGGCTAAAAGGGAGCTCAGAGACCATCTGGCCCTGTGGTTTTCAAATCTCAAGGGTTCCAAGGAGGTGCCTCAGGGTTTGCTTTGGGCCAAGGTAGAAGCAAGCAGAACAAGGCTTCTGCTCGGCTATCACTGGAGCTGCTCCACTTCTCTGTTTTATAAATAGTGTCAGGTTTCATAAGATGATGTATTTTTAATGTAATTTAATTTAATGTTTAGTATAAACGTTTTGCTGCTTTTAAAAAAATACTTGAAAGCTGTTGATCTTGTTCAACTTCTTTCTCAAGGTGGTCGCCCCTCCTACAGCAAGCCTGACAGGTGGCTCTGAGAAGCTACTTTATCTCCCCCAGGGATTCTTGGCTCCGCATGAAAGTACAAACCCTGAGCTGCAAGGGGATCCTGCATAGCTTGAAAAAAATCTACCCCTCATGGCAGTGATTACCACTTTAGGAATTTAGGTATATAGTCTCTTTTGGGTCTAATGCATATGCAGCATGAGAAAAAAAATTTCTAGGAGTTTCTGGGAAAGAAAGTTCTTCATTCTCATCTTGAACAGAAAAGATGGCTCTCCTTCCTACCTGCTGATGTAAGTCCTGATATAACTACTGCAACTCCCGATACCAGCCTGAGGATGGACCATATACAGAGGAAGCCAGAGCTAAGAGAACTACAGAGACATAGATGCAGACTCCAACAGAACCTCAACTACTTACCGCCCTTGACCCCACCTTCAACTCTCAACTGAGTTGGTTTTATTGCCATAATTATTTGGGCCAGCAGGAGTTGGGGATTCTGCTGTACATCCACTAATGAATGTAAGATGTGATCTTCACCATGCCTGCAGACCACACTTTCCTGGAAAGGGTTAGTAGCCCTGGAGTGGGTTAGTAACCTGCTGGGTGTTACAAAAGAGAACTAGCCTGGGGTCGGAGGACCTGAATATGATTCCAAGCGAAACCAGATAAATTTTCTTCCTGTGAAGTTGCCTAATATCTCTTTAACTCAATTAGCACATGAGTGAATTGGTGATAAATATCTATAATACATAAGTCACAGGACTGTTAAAAGGTTCACACTGAAGCATGTTATGTATTATACAAAATGTAAGGAGGCTGTCTCATATTTGTGATATCTGCAGTGTGCTAAGAATGGCTCTCACAGCCGGGCACGGTGGCTCACTCCTGTAATCCCAGCACTTTGGGAGGCCAAGGCAGGCAGATCATGAGGTCAGGAGATTGAGACTATCCTGGCTAACACTGTGAAAACCCGTCTCTACTAAAAATACAAAAAATTAGCCGGGAGTGGTGGCAGGTGCCTGTAGTCCCAGCTACTCTGGACGCTGAGGCAGAAGAATGGCAGGAACCCAGGAGGCAGAGCTTGCAGTGAGCCCAGATCATGCCACTGCACTCCAGCCTGGGTGACAGAGCGAGACTCCATCTCAAAAAAAAAAAAAAAAAAAAAAAAGAAAAAGAAAAAAAAGAAAAGAAAAGAAAGAATGGATCTCATAGTGAACCTTCCTGTATGCCAAGGTCTACACTAAAAACTTGACTTTCATGGTCACACACAAAAAAAACTGTATGAGGTAGGTACAGCTACTCAATTTTATATCTGAAACTCAGATGTTCTTTAGAATCCCGAATGATCTGGGTTTTAGAAAGGTTATGTTGAGCATGCAGTGGGTGCTATGCAGCAACATCTGCTTAGTCTGGGCAGCACGCCATTATTCACACATAAATATTTCTGCTGAAGAATATGTGGCTATTTACACCGGGTGGCTTCAACTAAGACCATAAAAACCTCACATGACTTCAGGGCAGACTTACCTTTAGATTAAGTTCAGGTCAGATTTGACAACCCAATGAATTAATAATAATACTAATAGTAATGATGATAACAGTAATAATTTTCAAACATTTTTGAAAATTGGAACTATAAACTGTGCTGTTTTATCCAATGTTACCAATACAAAAACTAAAGCATGCAAAGTTTAAGCAAATTTTCACGTCACTCAGCTTTTAAGTAGAAAAGCTAAGACTGAATGCAAGCTGTCTCAGGAGCCTGAGACAGACCACTTTGCTTGCCACTTTGCTCGCCAGTGCTCACAAAGGCTGCCTGCCCATCTAGGCCCTGTCCAACCCAACAGTTAATGGAGCCATCTACATTATCTTTCTCAAAGGGCATTTAGAACATCAAACCATGTATTCCAAATCTCAGAATTTTTTTTTTTCTGGAGGGAAAACAAATACACTTTTTCTGCTTTAATAATTCTGTATAACATATTATTTGGTCTAAAGAGAAGTTACTAATAGGCAATTATTAAAGTCTAAGAGCCAGTTGAGATATCCAAGTACAGTTGCCCAATTGCAGATCACTGAGGACACTGATTTAAAATACACATACACATATATTCAAATTCACAAACAGACACACACCATACACACGTAGGTGCACCCTTAAAGTAATGGAACATGTGTGTGTGTGTGTGATACACATTATTATATTCCAGAACTTTTGCTAGAGATGTGAAGCCAGCAGTATGCTAGACACAGATAAGCAGAGACAGCACACACTCCTTTTTTGTTTCTTTAAAAATTGCAGTGTGAGTGATAAGATCTGGGGTTGAAGTGTTTGTGAGGCTTCATAGGGGAAATGTAAAGGAAGTAAGTGCTTCCCAAAAGATGCAAAAGTGCAGCAAGACTGGGACGATGAGCTGAGACTGCACTGGAGGCAGTGGAGGAGAGGAAAGGAGTTGCAGTCAGCGGCCACAGCACACACCAGTGGGTCCTGGTTCAGTATTGCTTGGCCCCAAAACTACAGGCAGAGCATTTGACAGGGATGAGATCACAGGGCGAAGCAAACAGGGGCAAGTCACGCAGGCCTCTTTTGCTATGTAGAAGAGCTGAATTTTTTAAAAACATTAACATCTAAACCTTAAGTAGTGTTAAGCTAGAAACTGCTGTTAAAATATACCTTCAATTCAAACAGAATATATATTTTAACCACTCATTTTTATAAGGCCTAGTGTTAAATTATGGCTTGAATAATCAGTAATTCTTCAAAGTATGGATGAATCTGTCTCACATTTCAGGTACAGTGCAGAGACTTGTGATCAGGAAATAATGAGATAATTATATTACTTTTTGCTCCACAGTCAGGCTTTATCATTTTTAAGGAATGTCTAAAATTCTATTAAGTGTAATTGTTGAAGCTATTAATAAACCAAGGGAAGAGTTTGAAAAACAGCACTTAGAGTTTCCCTTTAGTTTCAGATCATGTCTGAGAATAGAAAAAGAATCTGTATAAAATCCTGGGGCAGAATATTTTGCAATATTTTAGCTCAATCCAATGTTAATCCTGGCTACACAGCCTCTCTGTTCCCTAAGCCAGAAACCCCAAAATCTCCTTCCCCCTCCTCTCCTACCTCCCACTTCCAATCAGTCTTCCATCTCTATCTCCTAAATATGCCTCCCTCTATTTCTCTCCAGTCCCCCTGCCCACACCATCATTACAGCACCTACTGGGTCCTTGTGTTGTCATCAAAGCTCAACTCTCCAGGCAGTCTTCCTACATCCTCTCCTCTAGTTGGGTAGAACTGGTAACTCCCCTCTTTTGCGAAATACCCAAACCTCCTGGGATAGTTTTTAGCCTTTTCCACTGGGTATCTGTCTCCCTTCCTGCTCTAGCTCTGGCCTACCCTACCTGTTGAGAGGAAGGATGGTGCTACACTCCGTTTTCCTCTCTGCACTTGGCATGCTGCCAACACATTCACTTGTTGAGTGAATGACAAGATACCTATAAAGGTTCTCTTGCCCAGTTATTTCATTCCTTCATTTCTGTAAGTGGCTTTTCCTATTAATTAACATGCTCATTAATACATAAGTCCAAAGCAGATGGCAGTTCTTCACTTTTGGGATTTTCAGCACATTGATATGATAAGTGGCAAAAAAAAAATGTATGTAAACAACTCATTCTCCATGATATTAATGAAGGGTCTCTCATTCCCTGTTAAAGGTATCAAAGACTATTTTGTATCAGGATTCTGCCTTCTGGTCACATGAAGAAAAGCTAAACCTCAAACTGGCACAGTTGAAAATAAGTACCTGATTTTGTATTTCAGTGTAGACTGGGGTATATTTGACTCTTTTCCAGACTAATGTTATTGATTTTGATCATGTGTTTGGTGTGTGTTTGTGTTGTCATAGACTCCTTTTAGAAATTATGCAGTCATTTTTATTTTCCACATTACTCATCTCCATTCTCGAGGTCAGGGTTTCTCAGCCTCAGCATGGTTGACATTTTGAGCCAGATAATTCTTCGTGGGGGCAAGCTGGTATATTGCAGGACATTTCACAGCATCACTAGCCTCTACCCACTAGATGCCAGTAGCACCTTTCCCCTATACTGTGACAATCAAAAATATTCAGAAAGGAAGGGGGTTGGGAAGGTGGCAAAATTGCCTCAAGTGAAAACCACTGCTCTAGGTGGCCAGTGCAACGTGATGGCTATGTTTTTATAACTCCTTCCACAGCTTTATAACTATATATTAAAAGGCATGCATAGAATTTTTTGTTATTCTTTGTTTATAAATTAAGATTGTATCCCTTCTCTACTTCCTCCAAGTCAATAGATATGATACCAACTGATTCTGTTTTAATGTCCACAAAATCTTCCACGGTACAGGTATGTTACAGTCTTTTTAGCCAACGCTCCCTGTGTGAACACCCACTCTGATTCCATTTACGTCGTAACATACAATTCCACAACAAGCACCTTTACAGTTATATCCATTTATGCTGCCTCATTTATTTCTATAGCCTACCTTCCCTGCAGTGAGATTTCTACACTGTTAAGCATGTGGATATTTAATGGAAACAGATGTTGATAGATTGCTTTCCTCAAAGGCTGTCACAATAGAAATTTTCTCCAGCAATGTATGAGAGCACCTGCCCACCAGCACTCATTGTCAAGGTTCTACTTTTTAATAGATCTGGAGTGATATCCCATTGTCACTGTAATTTGCATTTCCCTGACTAATAGTAATATTGAAGAACTTGTTGAATAAAGTGTCTAACTGAAATAGTGTGACCTCAGACATCTGCAAGGCCCCAAGTCCCGCATTTACTGCCCACTTCTGATTTCTGGAGCAGCTGCCACAGCCACTGACATGCAAGCTCAGACTCACCTGACCTCACATGCTCTAAAATTACGCTGTATGTTGTAAACCTTTAACCCCTTCATCAAACAAGCTTTCTGTGCACCAAAAGAAGGAAAAAAGCATAAAGATTCAAGAACCTTATTTGGCAGCATTCAAGGAAAAAAAAAATACTTTCCTCATAATTAAATTGTCTGTATTTAATTATTTAAAGTATTTTCACATTTTATGTGAAGTATTTCTCACATTTTATGTGTGTGGGTATTTGTGTGTTGAGCCTGTGTGTGTGTGTGTGACCCCTCCAAACAGAAAATGTGAGACATGTTCACTGGTGGACCGTGCATTTCTGATGCCAAATTAAGTATTCTCTGTTTTTAGGAATGCGTCACAATGGGAAAAGAGATCAATTGTAAAATGAATAGCTGCTGGGTTGAGTTTAAGGGAAGATGGAATGCTCTGTGAGGGAGAATGGAGTCGCTATGTTCCAGGGCTATGATAAGCAGTCATTCTGGAGATCTTGTAAAGTCTTTCAAGCAGCAACTGCAGCATAGCTCCACAGAGGATGAGCTGAAGGAAACAAGCTTACCCCATTGTAAGGATGCAGAGGAAATTCAGTGCTGGAGCTAAAAATAAAGAAAAGGATTAGAATGGCTGGGCGCGGTGGCCTGTAATCCCAGCACTTTGAGAGGCCGAGGCAGGCGGATCGCCTGAGGTTGGGAGTTCAAGACCAGCCTGACCAAGGTGGAGAAAGCCCCCGTCTCTACTAAAAATACAAAATTAGTCGGGTGTGGTGGCACATATCTGTAATCCCACCTACTAGGGAGGCTGAGGTAGGAGAATCACTTGAACCTGGGAGGCAGAGGTTGCAGTGAGCCAAGATTGTGCCATTGCATTCCAGCCTGGGCAACAAGAGCGAAACTCTATCTCAAAAAAAAAAAAAGAAAAAGAAAAAGAAAAAAAGAAAAGGATTAGAATTTCTTTTGCCTTGTGTTTTCATCATCTAAAAAAGGGGAAAAGTATAAATTCCACTATGAATTTTTTTGAAAAATAAATTTCAGCATAAAGGAGTACCTGCTCATTAGAGTAAATTCAAAACAAAAGCAAAAACAAAAATGTTTTAATAGACATCTTGCAGTGGTGGTCTAGAAAATGTATTTTTCAAGGAAGTGTGGTTAGAAATTAATAGAATGTCTCCAAGGTTGTAGTATTGGGTTGATAGTCCCAATTTCCATTCTGAGTTTTTATGTACTCTGGATCTTTTAAAATATAAAAAAATTAGGAAGTTAAGGCAGGTTCTGTTAAGAGGATTCTAATTTTAAGGCTCTAAATTTAAATTTAAAATGCTTATATCGGCCAGGTGAGGTGGCTCACGCCTGTAATCCCAACACTTTGGGAAGCCAAGGTGGGTGGATCACCTGAGGTCAGGAGTTCGAGACCAGCCTGACCAACATGGTGAAACCCTGTCTCTACTAAAAAGGCAAAAATTAGCAGAGCATATTGGCACCCGCCTATAATCCCAGCTACTTGGGAGACTGAGGCAGGAGAATCGCTTGAACTTGGGAGGCGGAGGTTGCAGTGAGCCAAGATTGCACCACTGCACTCCAGCCTGGGTGACAGAGTGAGACTCCATCTCCAAAATAATAATAATAAAATAAAATAAAATAAAATAAAATAAAATAAAATAAAATGCTTATATTGCTTTTATAAACCATTTTCTTATAGACTTAGTTTTCAAAACAAATCTGTAAAGAAAATATATTATTCTCATTCGACAGATGACAAACAAAATTTGTCAGGGCTTGGCACCTGCAGCACAGGTTAGAGATTGCATTCATTCCCAGCTCTGCCAGAAACCAGGCAAGTCATTTACCACCAAGTGTTAGTTTGTTACATGTTTGAGAGGGCTTATCATCTGTAGATACTCAAGTTAACCTAAGAAATTTTACTACAGTCAAATACCAGGTAGGACAGGCATGTAATATAAAGGGGGTAAGAGGATAAATGAGTAAAAGGGTAAAAATGGTATTTGAGAATCTATATTGCAGCAAAATGAATAATGAAAATCATGATAATAAATCAGGGTCATCGGTATGTGTGCAAAGTAATTATTTAGTAGAGCTGTTCTGTCCTTGTTCGTATAGTCTCAGCTGAAAATTGACTAACAGATATGGCATATTATTAGCTGCTTTGCAATGACTCCTTGGGCAGTTAGAGTTTTCTGAGGAATACTTGTCCATGGAGCAGGTCCTCAGGTGATGAAACCATCACTTCCTTCTGGATCCCACAACCTCACCAGGCAGAACTACTGTCTACTTGCAGTCCTCATGCTGCCTCTCTAAAATTCAAAGAATTCAAAATTATCTTTTCAATAAACATTAGCTGAGCATCTAACATGTAACTAGCAATGTGCTCTGTTCTGTAATATAGAAATATTAAGAAGGATTAGACTATGCTTCTTCAGTGCATAGTCTTCTAAAGTAGTTGGCTTATAAACAAAAAACATTTATTTCTCACAGTTTTGGAGGCTGGAAACTCCGAGATTAAGGCACCAGCAGGTTTGATAACAGATATGGCATATTATAATCTTATAAGTAATTTGGTAAGTTTATGATGTTATAGAAGTTAATGTGCAAGGCATACAGGAGACCCATGTGTGCCCAAGCGGGTCAGGAACACTTTCCCAGAGGAGGAATTTGATCAGGTGACAGAAGTTCTCATGCAACTCAGAAACTTACAAAACAGAGATCTCAGATCCTTATCTCATAGCATCTCCAGTTGCCTGACTTGATCCTAAGGCTGTAATAGGGGAGCACCAAAACAGAATCCCATAGACTCAAGTCAAGACCTACTCTTATAAACAAATGGAAATAAAGCTTAGTACAAGTGAGAGAATCTTGTGTGCCCTATGAGTCATACCCTTCAGCAATGTGTCTCTTGCATCACTGAAGCTGTGCAAGGGAATCAAGTGCAGCAAATAAGTCAGGGGCAGAGGTTCCATCTACAGGAGAGGACGACACCTGTGGACCCGACTCTGGGAGGCAGAAGCACCTAGCCTGAGGTGGAGATTCAAGCCTCATCTATGTATAGCCCTGACACAGCTTCCACAGCACCCTCATATCACATGCAAAGGACAGGTGTGTCTTCCATTTAGCCTGCTAAATCAGGCCTGCCAACCCCTGCCTCCTGAGGAGGCTTTCAGAATTAACTAGACCATGTTGGCAGCTAACTAGACAGCTAAGGAAAGAAAGCATTACCTCATCTTTGCACTGGCTCATTTGATATTCCACCTTCAATTACTCCAACTGAAAGTTGAAATAAAAATAAAAAGTTATGGCCTTTGTGTGTGTGTATGTGGGTGTGTGTGGATGTGTTTTTGTGTGTGAAAGGAGAAATAGAGAAAGAGAGCAATAGAGATTTGAGGTTTTAGAGACAGAGAGAAAAGAAGGAGAAAGTATTTGTGTTAGGTTCTGGGAGTGCAATTTGGGAAAAGTAGAGAGCATTACGAAAAAAAGAGCCAAAAATACATTCATTAATATTCATTAATTTGCTTGTCTTTTTAAAGACTTGACTATCTATTATGGGTTAAGTACTATGATGGACAGTGAGGATGTAGCGTGAACCAGACAGAAATAGCCCAATTCCATCACACCTTTAGTTCCTAGGGAACCACTGAATTGGTAAAAAGTTCATGTATTCTTGGAATTCTGGTGGCAGTTCTATTTCACCCTGAAGACCTGAACCAACTTTCTAGGCAGCCTGGGAGTCCAGGACACAGACACAGAAGGAGTTCCCAGAGCCAGAGTGAATATGAGGTTGTACTGACATTGACTGTTGGGCACAGAGCCCTTGTAATGAAATGTCTAGGCCATAGATGTATATGTCAGATTTAAATAGGTCTGAGAGACATCAAAGAAAGTGGAACTTGGAGAATGATAACGAAAGGGAGTGAGATTTGCGGTAAATGGAATATGGGACTCAAGAAGAATGCCTGGAGTGCTTGAGCCTAACAGCCAGCTAATTGGGTCCCTTGAGTTTGGAGGGACGGGTAAAAAGTGGGAAGCCAAATTAGATGTGCCAACCAAAGGAAGTTCAAAGGTGAATGGGTTTCTTTCCTTAAGGACTTTGATAGCCTTGTAAACTGACAATGCTGAAACAATGTGGTTAGTGCAAGGAGGAGGAGACAGCCTGCATGCTGTATTACTGATCAGACAGAGAAGGCAAGCAGGAGGACTTTCTGTAGGACTTTCTGGAGGAGAACTCAGGGAAGAGAAAGAGGAAGTTAGCTTTTCGACAATGGAAAAGGGGCATTTTATAAGACAAGCTTTCATGAATCTAAGGTTTTTGTAGTTCTATGAGTTTCAAGGCAATCTTGATTGAAGTATTATGAGTAGGAAAGACATAAGCACAC
The DNA here is from genome assembly GCF_000001405.40 of Homo sapiens. Classification (NCBI taxonomy): domain Eukaryota; kingdom Metazoa; phylum Chordata; class Mammalia; order Primates; family Hominidae; genus Homo; species Homo sapiens. The sequence goes on from NC_000002.12 coordinate 124,324,925, forward strand.
GGTTTGTGAAATGCTCTTTTATTCTAGCTCTAAGTAGAAGAGTTTCACACTTAATGAAAATAAAGGAGACAGAGTTATTCATTCAGGAACAGGATGCTATGGCTTGAATATTTGTGTTACCACAACATTCATATGTTGAAATTCTAACCCATAATGTGATGGTTTTAAGAGGTAGGGCCTTTGGAAGGTGAGGGTGAAGCCTTCATGAATGGGATTAGTGCCCTTATGAAAGAAACCTCGGAGAGCTGCCTAACGTTTTCAGCCATGAAAGAACATAGTCAGAAGGCACCAACCATGAACAGGGAAGACAGTTCTCACTAGATATCAAACCTGCTGGTGTCTTAATCTCGGAGTTTCCAGCCTCCAAAATTGTGAGAAATACATGTGTTTTGTTTATAAGCCAACTACTTTACAATATTTTATTATATAAACTTGAACAGACTAAGACACAGCGTTTTCATGATGAGGTAGTGAGGAATTAAACTGGTATCATTACCACTAATGTGAAAGGGAGAAGACAATTCACAATCACATCACGGAATTCTGTAAAAGCTTTATCTCATCAATGATGTTTCTCTAATACAGAGTGTCTCCATGAAGTGATTTGTTTTTTTATTTCATTTTTGGCATAAGATAAACTGGTAGAAAGGCATTCATCTTGGGGTAAAAAAACTTTGGCTGTGAGCTCCAACTCTGGAACTCATTAACATAATTTAAGACATTGATCAAGTCACTTTGGCTCCCTGAGCCTCTATTTCTCTACCTCTCAAATATGAAAGGGAGGTGAGGCCATTTCGAAGCTTCCTTCCCAGTAGAATACTGTACATTTAACTATATATTGCAAATGAGAGTGAGGATTGATAAATAGGAATCTGTTTGCCTTAACTCATATTCATTTAAAGAAATTGAAGAAATTATGACTATAGACCTCCACTAGGGGGATGAGCCATGCTTGCTGGGCCCCATTCTACTTGCAGCCCTCTAAAATGAGTGAGATGGCTCAGGGCTTTGTACAGGGAGTATGAGCATGAACCACACCAGCTAAAGGCTTAAGATTTCAGCTCAGCCATGCTGGCTGCAACAATGAAGACATGAAATGAGTATAAGGAGGATAAATGAAGATAACAAATAAGTAATACATAGGATTAAATGTTTGCAAAATGTGCCAGAGTGGAGTGCAGCCACGGGAGACAGCCAAAGTACATTAAGTGGAGACAGAGGAGGGAAGGTGAGGATGATGTTTCTTTGTGGAAGGCTCATCATCAAGACTGTATCCCCAGGGAGCCTGTGCATGGGGATTACCATTACTCATAAGCCATGTGCATGGCCTGTGCAAAATAAGCCTCCACAAAGTTGTGCTGTAATTATGAGGATTTCAGCATGATTTTTAAAGCACTAAACTTGTTTTTCAGCCAAGATCTTCTGGTGTGCATTTGTGTGTGTGCCTGTGCCAACATGTGATAGTCGTGGGCAGAAACTCCAAAAGTAAAGCATAAAGCTTTTCTCATATGTACCCCCAACTATGATTAAAAAGCCTGTGCTTGACAGAGAAAAAAACAAAATAATATTTTATTAGAAAGTAAGTTTATTAAAGCAGCTAAGAACATGGGCTCTGGAGGCAGATTCCTTCAGAGAGGAAATCTCTGCTGTCAAATTTATTAGTAGATGTGTGACCTAAGGCCTACTTCAGTTTCTTCATTCTTAAAATGAGCATTATAGGCCAGGCATGATGGCCTATGCCTGTAATCTCAGCACTTTGGGAGGCCGAGGCAGCCTGATCACTTGAGCCCACGTGTTCAAGACTAGCCTGGGCAACATGGCGAACCCCCATCTTGACAAAATAAATAAATATACAACTATAAAAATAAATAAATAAATACATACATACATACAAATATTAGTTGGGGATGGATGCACACCCATAGTCCCAGCTACTTGAGAGGCTGAGGTGAGGAGATCACTTGATCCTGGGAAGTAGAGGTTACAGTGAGCCAAGATTGAGATTGTACCACTGCACTACAGCCTGGGCGACGAGGTTAGATCCTGACTTTTTTTTTTTTTTTTTTTTTTTTTTGAGATAGAGTCTCACTCTGTCGCCCAGGCTGCAGTGCAGTGGTGCGATCTCAGCTCACTGCAAGCTCCGCCTCCTGGGTTCAAGCGATTCTCCTGCCTCAGCCTCCCAAGTAGCGGGGACTACAGGAGCCTGCCACCACACCTGGCTAATTTTTTGTATTTTTAGTAGAGACAGGGTTTCACTGTGTTAGCCAGGATGGTCTCGATCTCCTGACCTTGTGATCTGCCTGCCTCGGCCTCCCAAAGTGCTGGGATTACAGGCATGAGCCACTGCGCCCGGCAGATCCTGTTTTAAAAACAAAAACTAAAACTAAAAAACTGAAAAGAAACAAGCATTATACAAATACTTGTAAACAAAATTCTAACCCTCTCCCCCTACAGCCATCTGAAAGGACCCCTCTTTTCAGCTGAGTGCATTCCAAGGTCAACCTGAAAAACTAGTTCAGGCCATGATGGAAGTGGGGTTTTGACATTATACCCTCCTCAGTTTTGTAATTCAGGAAAAGCCAACCAGCATTAACATCAACACAGACCTTAAATCTGATGAAAAGCATTTACTATCTATTCTCTCTGAAGTCTGCTAGCTGGAGGCTTCATCTGCATAATAAAACCTTGGTCTCCACAACTCCTTATTGTAACCCAGACATTCCTTTCTATTGATGATAACTCTTTCAACCAATTGCCAATCAGAAAATTTTAAAATCTATCTAAGAACTGGAAGGCCCCTTCCCCTTTGAGTTGTCCTGCCCTTCCAGATCAAACCAATGTAAATTTTACATGTATTTATTGATGTCTCATGTCTCCCTCAGCTGTACAAAAGCAAGCTGTACCCCAACCACTTGGGCCCATGTCTTCAGGAACTCTTCAGACTGTGTTAAGGACCTATCCTTAACCTTGGCAAAATAAACTTTCCAAATTGGTTGAGAACTGTCTCAGATACTTTTATGTCATAAGATTGTCGTGAAAATTAAATGAGTATTTTTACGTTACAAAAGAAATAGAGCAGGGATTGCCATATAGAATGTGCTCAAAATTGAAGGCTTTTCTGAAAAGAATGTTTTAAGAAAAAATAAAAAAAAGCAGAGCTACAGAAAGAAGAAAAGTTTTTTAAAAAAGTTATGTTTAATTCAGGTCCTACAACACATTTTTTTTTTTGAAGGACAATGTATTGTTCCCATTTTTCATTTATCATATATAAGATAAATGAGTTCTAGCAAGTTGGTACTTTAGAGTAAAAATTCCACAGGGGAAAAGATGGTTTCTACATTGCAGATTTTACATTGATGTTCTCTGTTCTTCAAACCAGTAGTTTTGTTTTTATCCTTAGCTTCCATGCATGAGGCAGTGGGTTCGTAGCTAACCTTGCTCACATTATAGGCATGATTTAAAGTATCTTGCTTCTTACTCAGAATTATTTAAGCTCATTCAATTCTTGAACTCATCCCAGAGCTCAATCCAAAATCTCCATTTTTTGTCCCCTAAATTAGTTCCTTCTCCCTTCTCACACCCCAGGAGATGGATTAAAGTTTCCTTCTTTTTATCACTCTATTTAAGTGCTTATAAGCGTTGTCTTTTAGCAAGGCTTCTCCTCAAAGAAATGCAAATGATAAAGGCGCCTGTTTGTTCCTGCAGAGGATAAAAAGAAGAGTGAAGTATGCGATGTCTCTGGGAGAATAAGTTTTTTTCTGAACAGTTCTAATAGGATGGGGTGAGATAAGTAGTTCTTTAACAGATATACAAAAGAAAGGCTTGGGAGGTCTAAAGGGGGTAGTTTTTTATCCTGATCAGGTGAAAATTAAAATCTTTAGAAAGAAGATGGTTGTAGAAACTGCTGGGGAAAAGGGTAAGCTTCCTCTTTACCGCCAGAAGGTTCACTGAAATAAACTGACAATAGACAGGTTAAAAGGAGAAAAGGCATCCATGCTTATGAACCTGCATAACCATGGGAGCCATATGAAATAGGAGACTGAAAGAAGGGCCAGATGGCTGAAGCTTAAATAGGACTTCGTAGGCAAGAAGGAGACAGGGAATGTAGGCAACTTTGAAGGGTAATAAATGATTGCTAGGGGAAGTAAATCGGCCCAAAGAGCAACATTTTGTAACTGGTTCTCTGAAAACTGAATAGAACCAAAGACAAGACAGTAGCTTGGGATAAAGTTCGTCTGAGCTCTGGAGGAAGTGGGAAGTGAAACTTCATTGTGAACAAAGATTATTTTATTACATAGATAAAGTCTCCCAGGTAATTTATGGAAAAAAAAATGTGTGGTGTGGTGACAACTTTTAGTTCTTTCTTTTCTCAGGTGGTTAATCTTTCCAGGTTATTTGATAAGACTCTTACGAAGCAATTTTAAGACTTGCATTTCTTTTGAAAGACCTTTCCTCAGTCAGATAGGGGAACTTCCAGAGATAGCCCCTCAGAGAAACAGGTGAAGGTGGGGGTTGAGAAATAAGAGAAGGTTAGAAAGTCCTTGGTTCTGAGGCTGCTTCTACAGTCTTCCAACTGCCTTTAATTCAAAGGTGCTCAGCATGCCAAAGCTCCATACCTTGGTATATTGTGCTCTGAGCCCTAACATTTCCCTGCTCAAATATTTCTAAAAGTTTCATACATCAAAAACTAAGTTGGTGGCCGTGAAGAAAAAAAACATATATTTTAGTAGCTCGGTGGCAAAGGATACCATTAAACCACTCTCCTATCTCCGGGTATTTGTCAGTCCAATTAAACAGTTGGTTTGTATTTCAGAAGGTAGTGTTTGGAGGCTTCCCATTAAAGTTAAGCCTCTATATGGCTCAAGCAAACAGGTCTTTAGCAAGAGGCATTTTTGTGGGCACAGAGGAAAAACAATGGTTAATGTTTGGTGTAGTCTACAAGCTAGTTTTTTGTTTGTTTACAGTTTAGAAGGCAGTCAGTTGAGAAGATTCCTAGATTTGGGTTTGAAGTATCTTCACTTGGAAATGAACCAGGCAGTGGCAATCTCACAGATTTTTCTGAATTGTAGTTTATATCAGATGTTCCTGTGAACTCGCCCCAAAATTGTACCTGTAAGATTTGGGTGGATTCTTCTCTTCTTGAGGCTCGAAATAGCATGAGGCTCTGGGACCTGTCAGGAAGTGACATTTTTTACTTATAAGACTAGAAACTCTGTGAGGAAATCCTTTATTCAAGGTATGAGGCCAGGTTTCCAGGGGCTTCTATAGCTTTATAATATCAACCTCAGTTCCTCAAAGCTGTCTACTCATATTGGAAGATATAATATTCCAGTCAAAGCCTTGGTAATATAATCAGTGCTTCCAATTGTCCTGTTACAAAAAGAGCAGATACTTAATGAACTTATGCAAATAACTATATTGCCATAATAAAAGCATACTCACAAATAGTGATATGGTTGGTCCCCACTCAAATCTCATCTTGAATTGTAATCCCCATAATCCCCACATGTCCTGGAAGGGAATGGTGGGAAGTAATGGAGTCATGGGGGTGGTTTCCCCATGCTGTTCTTGTGATAGTGTGTGAGTTCTCACGAGATCTGATGGTTTTATAAATGGCTCTTCCTGCTTCACTTAGCACTTCTCCTTCCTGCTGCCTTGTAAAAAAGGTGCCTTGCTTCCTCTTCACCTTCCACCATGATTGTAAGTTTCCTGAGGCCTCCTGAGTAATGCAAAACTGTGAGTCAATTAAACCTCTTCTCTTTATAAATTACCTAGTCTTAGATATTTCATCATAGTAGCATGAGAACAGACCAATACAAATAATTTCCAAATTTTAGAGAAATCATGCAAAAAAAAATGCTTCAATTATGTTTACAAAAGTATATATTACCAAATTGCTGGAAGTCATAGAATGCTTAAAAAATGTCTTTTTGCATCTGGAAAACAAAACATAAAAAGAATCAGCAACGTTTCAAACAAAATTCATAAAAATTATAACCTCTCATTAGTTTAGTTCCTTATAATTAATTTTGTTCTACTTGATGTTGAGTTAGCAATTTCATGAGTCCAGTTTTTGCATTAGTTTTGGAAATTCTTACCAGGTCCAATAATATCAGAAATTACCAGAAACTCATACTTGTCGGAGTCCTTTTTTTTCCATATATCTTTAAAGACAACAGTTTATAATTAATTTTTCCCATATGTCCTTAATGACAACACTTTATAATTCCCTATAAAAAAGCTTCAGACAAAACATCAGAATAAAACAATTAGCTTTAAGCAACAAGAATTAAAATGACCATGGTTGAATATCTGATGGTAGTTCATTATAATAATGTCGCAAATGACAAGGAAGTTTGCTTATATTTGTAGCCGACAATAATTTAATAGCCAAAATTATGACTGATAACATATACCATGACATATCAGATATTTAGGAAACTCATAAAATTTGGAACACATATGAATAGTATATCTATGCAAGTGTAACTCAAAAGAGGTCAAACCTAATTTTTTATTTGGCAGTGCTCTCTATGTATTAAACATATCAAATAACCTTAATTGGTTTGTTATCTCTGTTTTGTACCTTTAGGTGCTATTCTGGAACTTCCAAAACTCAGTTTGAGGTCAAAAAGACTTCATTTGTATTTTGGAATTTTTTTTTTTTAAATAAAGGTTTAAAACACTTCATTAAAAATAGGATCACAGATTATTACAAAATAATAGTCATTCATTCCACTAACCAGAATTAGAATTAAAAGGCTCAAAAGAAAATACAAGATGTTAAATAGATGTTAAAAAAAATTATTTACTCTTTCATAGAAAGTAGACTCCATTTTTACAGCTAATCAGAAGACTTAGAAAAGAGAGCACAAGCTCACAGAATGTGTCTCTCTCACTCATCCTCTTTTTGTAATTCACTCAAAAGATTAACAATTTTTTTAATTTTAATCTTTTATCAATATTACATGAAAATCTTAATTCAAAGAAAACATTAATGTTTACTTTTGTATCAGTGTACTTTTGATATTAAAGCTCATCTTAAGAAAAGTTCATAAATAATTTCCTTTTAATCTTTGTCAATTGATTACACATAAAATTTTTATGATTCATCCTTTATAAAATTTTTATAACTTTTTAAGACATTTTACAACTTTTTTAAACAGATATATATGTTTTACTCATGTAACTTTCTATAAATCTCTCTCTTCTACTTACTGATTTCTTTCTACCTTGTTTATTTCTGTACTAAATCCATATTTTTAAAGAACCTTTTAAAAACCTCTACATTGGACAAAAATTACTTTTTCTTTAACAAAAATACATTTTCATGTCTATTTAAAATAATTTTTCTCACCAAAACACACTTCTTACTTCTCTTGTATATCTTGCACACAGAATTGTTTCCATTAATTTTAGTAATTTTAATTACATATATTAATTAAAATTTTAATTATTAGCAATTGTAAACCAGCATTCTGTAGACTAACACAATTTTATACTTTCTATAAATATGTGTTACCTCATAGAATAACATTTCAATGTGGAATAGTACATATTTACTAACTGGCCCAAATATATTTTGTCTTTTTATAAACTTAAGAAACCAAAAACAAATAAACATATGTTTAATAAGTAATGTTTTAATATTTCATCTTACTTGGAAATGACCTAGATATTCAATGAACACTCATTTAATTTAATTTAGTAAAACTCTAATGATGTAGTTACCAAAGAGATTTAGAAAAACTTTAAGTAAACGTAATATAAAGCATAATTATTATTTTAAAAAGTTCATTTCTAAACTTTTATTCCAGTTACATGTATTTAATTAACTTGCATTTAGGTCAAATTCATACTGTTATGATTTTAAACATCTAATAGTGATAAAAGTTGTGTGTCTGTATTAGATTTAATGTTGACAGACATCCTATTTTTAAATCAAGTAATGTTATTTTTATTTACCAAAGATTATAAATCCACATAAACTTTAGAAGCATTTGAGCTTATTTTTTTATTTATAAATGCTCATTTATCACTAAGTCAATTCAGTACCATGTAGACAGAATACAAACCCAAAGATATACACACGCATACATAAAAATATAGGCAGACCAAAATAAAGAATTTATAGCTCTGATTTTATAATTTTAATCATGAGGCAAGTAAAACTCACTAGTTTAAAAGGATAATTGGAGCCTGGCGCTTTGGCTCATGTCTGTAATCCCAACACTTTGGGAGGCTGAGGTGGGAGAAATGCTTGAGCCTTGGGAAGTTGAAGCTATAGTGAGCCGTGATCGCACCATGGCACTCCAACCTCGGCAACAAAGCAAGACCCTGTCTTGAAAACCAAACAAAAAAATGAAAACACACACACAAACAAAAAAACAAAATAAAAGGACAATTGGATACAAACTGTGTCTTTGTAAATGGAGCAAGTTAAAGACTGTCTATCTCACATGGACAAAGCCCTTATTGAATTTTAGAAAAGACAAGGTAGGAAATTTACATATCATCAGCACAGAGAAAGAACATAAGTTTTTCCAAGAAGGTGTTTGGGTTTGTCAGGTGGAACAAAGAGGAAGATTTAAAATATATGTCAATGTAATATAAAATAATAGCAATCCATTACAGGATTTTATAAGAAAGTATACAAATGAGAGCCTATAAGAAAAGTTTAGAAGCCTGTTTTAAATAACTGATTGAATATAAGAAGGTTGTAGTTCAAAGACCAATTTTGTTAGATAGATGGTTTTTCAATTCATTTTTTGTTTCTTAACTGGATTTTGATTTCAAGGCAGAGCCCGGTAACAAATAGGACCAACAAAGAATTTGTGGCTTCTGGGGCCTAATACTTATACATGTAAAAGACAGGTGTAACTGGAAGGCAAAGTACTAAGATCTTTAAAAATTAAGGACCTAAGCATGCAAAGAAACAAAACAAATCTGAATTTGCCCGCTGCATAATGACCAGTACTGTAATTGCTGCCAATTATCTTTAAAATTGCTGGTCTTGCTGGTGACTCATGAGTTAATAAACACCCAAAGGTCGAGTGTCCTCTTACAGTACAAAGTAGCCCTTGGTACTCCTAAAAACCCAAAAGATCACACAGCTGACTGTAAAACAGTGCAGAGCTTCAGACCTCAGTGGATGTAGTCCAGGACTCTCGGGGCTCCATGAGGAAGGCTGAGGAGCCCAAAAATGCGTTGTGTGGTGCCTTTTCTGTGTTCCTTAAGGGGTGTCTGGATTGCTAAAGGCCTATTTTTGATGTTTTTATGTAATAACCAGAAGTGTGATGTTTTCTATTGGTAATTTTTTATCCACTGACCACCAAATGGAGGAGGTAGAAGCTTTAAGAAAAATATATCAAGGGAACCAGATGGAAGGTTGAGGCCATCAGAAAGAAGTGGAGGCATCAGTAAATGAAAGAACAAATCATAGAAGAGTCAGCTTGGGAGTTTTTCAGAAAGGCCTATGGAGTTTTACACTATCCCTGGCAAAAATCATGTCCACAAGAAAGAAAGACAGAGGAAACAGTGCATATGGTTAACAAGGATTCAGAAAGAGGAAGTTTCAGTCCACTGTGAAGTTTTCATGGGAGAAACAGGATCCTATAGAGAGATTAGAAAGACCTAAAAATGTGGCTGTTTTTAATAAAACAGTTTTTTACTTTAAACTGAACTGAATTGGGGAAGGAAAAGTCTCAGTCAGGAATCCAGACATCCAAATGATCTTCTGGTCAAAAGGATTTTACTTTTGTTTTAGGTCAGATTTTTGCTTTTCATTTTATTAGAAGAATTTCTAAGGCTTGTTGTGACACTATTATGTGTTTTTCTTTCAATTCAATCTTCCCATAAATGCCAATTGTGTAATTGCATAATATGAGAGTTGTCTAATTTTTTTTTTCAAATATAGAAGACTTTCCAACTTAAAGAATATATTGTCTGGTTATCGACAATTAGGATCTCCGATGGTACATTTATTCCAACAGAGACTCAATCCAATGAACCCCTTTATGGAATGACTAGATGCTAAATCTCCAAGTTCAGAATAAACTCTTTAAGCAGGAGGTTTCCAAAAAGGGTGCAGAAGATGCAGTTGCCATTGCCCCCAAATTTTCATCCACAGAAACAGACTAAGACGGCAAAAAGATATCTGCTACCACAGGTGGTTAAAGATGGTGCTTACAAATAGTGTCTCTAGTCTCCACCCAAAATATGGGGTGCTGCTAGTCACAGACCTGTCAATCTATGACATTGGGTAGGCACTTCTGGTATTAGACTTTCTCAACACTAACCAGGCAACCGAAGTTGAAATAACAAAAGGCCCTTAGGGATGGGACTTCTTATTAAGAGAAACTCCCCTGAGAGCTTTGTACATTCAGACAAAGAGAGTGCTGCTGAATAACAATTTGTGTCTTGGGTTTCCAGTCTTCTCAGACTGGCCACTTGGCAGGACCCAAAAATTGGGCTCCCAGCTAGCAAAGACCAAAGGAGGAAGATTCCCACCTGGTCACAAAGCCAGGCTGTCAGGATATAAGATGAAAAGAGAACTTTATACACCAAAGTTCTTTTTATGATGAATGACACAAAAAGACAGGGACAGAGCAAAATGAAGACCAATTCTGGGAGGAAAAGGATGAGACGACATGAATATTCATACTAGATATAAACCAGAGTTGTAAAGACCAGTCCATACAAATGTTTTTCTCCTATTAATCTAAATTTGAAAAGGAAGGAAAGACAGGAAGTGATGTTTACCACTCACTCAACTGGATTTTGTAGACAGAAATTAAGGAGGCTGACTGGTAAAGGTCTCTTACCTTTTTGCCAGCTTGTCAGTCCTAGGTTTTCTCAACTGTAGTTTCAAGTGGATCACGATGATTGTGGTATACTGCCAACTATGCCGGATTTGCAGGGGTGAAAAACAAAACAAAACAAAACACCTTCTACCTCACCCTCTGAAGTTTGCTGAAATAAACGGATAACATAATGATTAATACAAGAAAGGACATACATATTTATTTATGTGGACAAGCTTAGGAGCCGTACAAAACACGAGACTTCATGAATGACTAGGTGGCTGAAGCTTAAATAACTCCCTCCTTATAGGGATGAGGGAGATAAAAAAAAAACCTAGGCAATTCTGAAGCGTAGTAAATGTTTTTTATGAGAAATGAATGGGCAAAGAGCAGATAACAGATTTTAAATGATATTCTTTGGAAATGAAATGGGACCATAGTACAGATAATAGCTTGGACCAAGGAAGGTGAGGTACAGAACTCTGCTATAAACAAAGGTTGCCATATTATACAAAAAAAGTCTTCCCTCCCTAAAGGGGTCCAATTTTTGGGTCCTGCCAAGTGGCCAGTCTGAAAAGACTGGAAACTGAACACACAAATTGTTATTCAGTAGCACTCTGTTTGTCCAAATGTATAAAGCAGAGGTTTTCTTTTTTTTTCATTATACTTTAAGTTTTAGGGTACATGTGCATAACGTGCAGGTTTGTTACATATATATACATGTGCCATGTTGGTGTGCTGCACCCATTGACTCGTCATTTAACATTAGGTATATCTCCTAATGCTATCCCTCCCCCCTCCCCCCACCCCACAACAGTCTCCGGTGTGTGATGTTCCCCTTCCTGTGTCCATGTGCTCTCATTGCTCAGTTCCCGCCTATGAGTGAGAACACGCAGTGTTTGGTTTTTTGTCCTTGCGATAGTTTGCTGAGAATGATGGTTTCCAGCTTCATCCATGTCCCTGCAAAGGACATGAACTCATCATTTTTTATGGCTGCATAGTATTCCATGGTATATATGTGCCACATTTTCTTAATCCAGTCTATCATTGTTAGACATTTGGGTTGGTTCCAAGTCTTTGCTATTGTGAATAGTGCCGCAATAAACATACTGGTGTGTGTGTCTTTACAGCAGCATGATTTATAATCCTTTGGGTATATACCCAGTAATGGGATGGCTGGGTCAAATGGTATTTCTAGTTCTAGTTCCCTGAGGAATCGCCACACTGATTTCCACAGTGGTTGAAGTAGTTTACAGTCCCACCAACAGTGTAAAAGTGTTCCTATTTCTCCACATCCTCTCTAGCACCTGTTGTTTCCTGACTTTTTAATGATGGCCATTTTAACTGGTGTGAGATGGTATCTCATTGTGGTTTTGATTTGCATTTCTCTGATGGCCAGTGATGATGAGCATTTTTTCATGTGTCTTTTGGCTGCATAAATGTCTTTTGAGAAGTGTCTGTTCATATCCTTCGCCCACTTGTTGATGGGGTTGTTTGTTTTTTCCTTGTAAATTTGTTTGAGTTCTTTGTAGATTCTAGATATTAGCCCTTTGTCAGATGAGTAGATTGCAAAAATTTTCTCCCATTTTTGTAGGTTGCCTGTTCACTCTGATGGTACTTTCTTTTGCTGCGCAGAAGCTCTTTAGTTTAATTAGATCCCATTTGTCAATTTTGGCTTTTGTTGCCATTGCTTTTGGTGTTTTAGACATGAAGTCCTTGCCCATACCTATGTCCAGAATGGTATTCCCTAGGTTTTCTTCTAGGGTTTTTATGGTTTTAGGTCTAACATTTAAGTCTTTAATCCATCTTGAATTAATTTTTGTATAAGGTGTAAGGAAGGGATCCAGTTTCAGCTTTGTACATGTGGCTAGCCAGTTTTCCCATCACCGTTTATTAAATAGGGAATCATTTCCCCATTTCCTGTTTTTGTCAGGCTTGTCAAAGATCAGATAGTTGTAGATATGCGGCATTATTTCTGAGGGTTCTGTTCTGTTCCATTGGTCTATATCTCTGTTTTGGTACCAGTACCATGCTGTTTTGGTTACTGTAGCCTTGTAGTATAGTTTGAAGTCAGGTAGTGTGATGCCTCCAGCTTTGTTCTTTTGGCTTAGGATTGACTTGGTGATGCGGGCTCTTTTTTGGTTCCATATGAACTTTAAAGTAGTTTTTTCCAATTCTGTGAAGAAAGTCATTGGTGGGAATGGCCCTGAATCTACAAATTACCTTGGGCAGTGTGGCCATTTTCATGATATTGATTCTTCCTACCCATGAGCATGAAGTGTTCTTCCATTTGTTTGTATCCTCTTTTATTTCATTCAGCAGTGGTTTGTAGTTCTCCTTGAAGAGGTCCTTCACATCCCTTGTAAGTTGGATTCCTAGGTATTTTATTCTCTTTGAAGCAATTGTGAATGGGAGTTCACTCATGATTTGGCTCTCTGTTTGTCTGTTGTTGGTGTATAAGAATGCTTGTGATTTTTGCACATTGATTTTGTATCCTGAGACTTTGCTGAAGTTGCTTATCAGCTTAAGGAGATTTTGGGCTGAGACGATGGCATTTTCTAGATAAACAATCATGTCATCTGCAAAGAGGGACAATTTGATTTCCTCTTTTCCTAATCGAATACCCTTTATTTCTTTCTCCTGCCTGATTGCCCTGGCCAGAACTTCCAACACTATGTTGAATAGGAGTGGTGAGAGAGGGCATCCCTGTCTTATAAGGAGTTCTTCTATAAGGGCCTTTTGTTATTTTAACCTCAGTTGCCTGGTTAGTGTTGAGAAAGTCTAATGCCAGGAGCTGGCCTCAAAAAATAGATAAAAAGTCTGAATGTGTGTGGTGATAATTTTTAGTCTTTTCTCCTCTCTGGTGGTTCATCTCTGCTGATTAGTGAGATTCCTAGGGAGAGGGTTTTAATACAATTGCAATTTTCTTTAGAAAAAATTTCCTCAGTCAGATAAGGGAACTTCAGAGAGAGCCCTTCTCTGCCATTGGAGGTTGCGGAAAAAACAAGAAAAAGTTAAAAAGTCCTTAGTTCTGAGGCAGCTTCTGAGACCTTCCTGTTCCCTTTATTTCAAAGTGCTCCAAATACCAAAGTGCCATACTTTGGGATATTTTTCACTGAGGTCCAACAAAACCAAAGGTTATGGTTGCTCATTTGAAAATAAACATTCAGGTATGGTGAATAGTGAGGTGAAATGTCATGAATAATGTCAAAAGAAGAGCAGATGGTCTTATGGATTATATTCACAGAAGAGCTGTAACATAATCTATCTGAGACTTGGGGTAGTCATGGAGGAAAAAAGTTAGATGGGCTTAGAGAGAAAAGGAAGAGGACTATTCTTGCTGAGTGCCTTATGTTTTCTCAGTTTCATTCAATCACACTGTAACTTTGAGAGGTAAATTTTATACCCACCTTTACATAAAGAAAGTTCTTGGACTTTTAAAAACTTTGACAAGCATTGCTTAGCTAGAAAGTTCTAGAACCCTCTCTCTCCCATTCCAACCTGAACAGTAAAAACACATTCTTTAACTTTATTCAATAACGAGTCAAGGTAGGTCTCTTGTCAGGGAGACAAATGAAAGGCTCATATTTTATATGTCTCCAGTGCACTTGGCATAATCAAGAGTGTAGTATAATTAAAATTGTAGACAAAGGAATGAAGAGGATTAATGTGTTACAAGTTTGTTGACTAGGCTGGAGAAAAGAAAAAGAGACAGCTGACTAGTGTGGAGTGTAATATCACAGAATAATGATATGGTAAACTGGGCCTTGTAAGGGCAAAGGGAATTGTTTCCTTCCCCTCTGAAGTTTTGAGTTTGCAGGAGGAAATAGACAATAGATTAACTGGAGAAAAGGAATACAAATTTTTAACATACAAATATGTGTAATTGCCTGATGGGTTTTTCGTGCTCACTGTACAGACAAAACCAATTCACTGAGACCATGACATTGTATTAAAGAGTTTAATTGATGTGCGGGCAACCCACATGGGGAAACTGGAGTCATCTCTCAAATCTGTTTCCCCAAAGGCTTGGAAGGTTAGGTTTTTGTAGACATTTTGGTGGGCAGGGGTGAGGGAATGGGTGATGCCGATTGGTTGGAGATGAAATCACAGGGGTGTGGAAAGTGGTTTTCTTCCCCTGAGTCTGCCTCTGTGTGGGGCCATAGAATCAGTTGAGTTATGAGTCACAAGTCTTGCTGGCGTCAGTCTGAAAAACATCTTAAAAAAAAAACTTAGAATTTGCAATAGAGATGTTATCTACAGGAACATTGGGAAGGTCACAAATCTTATGACCTCTGTCCACATTACTCCTGAGCAGTAAAGGATTATAGGAAGTATGTCCACAATTTCAGCAGAGTTCTGTCCTCTCTCATATTCATAATCTTGTAGCCTTTCATTATTTTTACAAAGGGAGATTAGTCTGGGGAAGGGCTATTATCAGCCTTGTTTTAAGGTTAAACTGTCAATTAAATTCCTCCCAAATTTAGCTTGGCCTATGCCAGGAATGACTAAGGACAGCTTAGAAGTCAGAAGCAAGATGGAGTCAACTCTATCAGATTTCTCTTACTGTTATAATTTTGTGAAGATGGTTTCATGTGCACTGGAAACATACAAAGGATAAGACTCAAAAGAAAGTGTCAGATAGCTGAGACTCAAATATTCTCTTTATGGGTTGGGGAGCGGGGTAGGAAAATGGGATATGTAGGCAGTTTTGAGGAGTAATCAGTGATTTTCAGGGAAATTGAATGTGCCCAAATAATATACCATACTCTGAAACAAAGCACCTCTGAGCTCTGGAGTTGTGGCAACAAGTTGTGGGAAGGTAAAGGGTAGAACTTCACTGTGAATAAAGATTGTACTATTATTCAAACAAAGTCCCAGTAATCTCTTGGAAATACCCTAAGAAGAACAGATAAAGTCCAGGCTCACAGGTATAATCCCAAGCTGTTTGGGAGCCTGAGATGGGACGACCCCTTGAGACCAAGAGTTCAAGATCATCCAGGGCAACATAGTGATAATCTGTCTCTACCAAAAACAAACAAACAACTATATATATACACATACATATATATATGTATACATGTATATATATATATATATATGCGTGTGCGTGTGTATATATGTACACACACACTATATGTATATACACATATATATATACATATATATATATAGACACACACACATATATATATATATATTAGGTGGGAAGGGTGGTGTGCACCTGTAGTCCCACCTACTCAGGAGGCTAAGATGGGAAGACTGCTTCAGTCCATTGCAGTTCCAGGCTGCAGTGAGCTATGACTGTGCCACTGCACTCCAGTTTAGGTGACACGGTGAGACCCTGTCTCACACACACACAAAAAGAATCCATAAAAAGTCTGTCTGGTGTGTCTCACACACACACAAAAAGAATCCATAAAAAGTCTGTCTGGTTATTTAAATAAAACTTCTATGGAGGAGTTTTAAGACACTTGCATTTCTTCCAAAAGAAGTTTGCCCAGTCAGACAGGGGAGCTTACAGAGACAACCCCTCCCTGAGTTGGGTGGAGTACTCAGAAACAAGACATGGTTAGAAAGTCATTGGTTCTGAAGCTGCTACTAAGTCTCTTTCATTTTCTTTAGTTCAAAGCAATAGGCAAGCCAAAGTACCATACTTTGGGGTATGATTTTCTGAGCCCCAACATTTGCCTCTCTGAAATTTCCTTAGAAGTTTTACACATTAAGAGCTGAGTTGGTGGCTATGGAGAGAAAAATGTTAGTAATGGAATGGCAAAGAATCTCATTAAACAAGCCTTCCATTTCTGGGACTAGGTTGGTCCAATTAAACAATTGTGTCTTATTTCAGGAAGTGGTGTTTACAGAGCTCCCATCACAGTTAAGGTGAACGAGTCTTTAATATGTGGCATTTCTAAATCAGAAGAAAAACAAAGGTTGAAGTCTGCGGCAATCTATACACTAGTTTCTCTGGATTCTGGAGGGCAGTCAGTTGAGATAATTTCTAGATTTGAGTATGAAGCATCTTCAGTTGGAGCAGAAGCAGTCAGTAGAGATCTGACAGATTTTTCTGGATTGTAGTTTGCGTGTTATGAGAGAATGTCTATAAATAAGCTGTTGTGGTGATTTCCCTGAAGGTTATATCAAGCTGACCAGTTTTGTCTTGTAGGGCTTCAGAAAACTGATAATTTTAATTTTAGTTATCTCAAGTCAGAAAATTGGGAGAAAATTGGAAATGCTGTAATAGTTTGGAGACTCATAACCAGGTACCGGAGGAGACCACAAGGAATGAATATCCAGTCCAAATTACAAGCAAAGGATAAAATCTCAAACACGATAAGCAGGGTTAGAACCGAAAAATGGGTATATTATAGTTTTCTTCTGAAACATGTGTTTTCTCTCTTCAGTCACTCTAATTTTTACCAAAGATAATCACAGGAAGTCCAATTTGTTTGCAAAAATGAGTTTAACCATCTAGGTTCTTCTTAAGACTGTGTTGCTGAAACTTTGTATGAAGAATCTCAAATTAGGCTTTTAAAAGGCCTCTTACAGGTGTGCAGCCAAGCCAGAGACACAACCTCAAATTCTGCCCATAATACCTGTAGATTTGGGTTAATCCTGCTCTTCTCAGTAAAGTTCTCAAACTATCTCCAAGTTCTTGGGTTTGTCAGAGAGTGACATTCTTTACTTACCAGCATGGCAGCCCCGTGAACCGTGTATTCATAGTACTAGACCAGTTTCCAGGGGGCTTTTTATTGGCTTCATAAAGTCAAATTCATTTCCTTAAAATGGTCAGATTATATCTGAAAGTTAGACTATTCAGCCAAAGCTTTGGTAATATAACAGTGTTTCCAATTGTGCCTTATTAGAAGAAGAATAAATTCGTATTGAACTTAGGTAACTACATTGCCATAAAATGAGAATACTCAGGAATAATTCACAAATTTTGGAGGGATCAATCAGGGAGAAAAAAGGTAAATGTTTCAATTCTGTTCACAAAAGTACACATTATGAAATTGAAGCAAGCTATAGAAAGTTTAAAAGAAAAACAAAGTCTTGCTAAATACGGAAGACAAAATATAAAAAGAATCAGCAATGTTTCAAACAGAAAGTTGTAAAAAATCATGGTTTTTCATGAGTTCAGTCCCAAATAATTAATTCTTGTTCTGCTTAATGTTGGGTTGGCAATTGTATCAGTTTAGTATTCTTTTTCATTTGAGTCTTGGAAATTATCAAAGTTTTCAGAAACCTGTACTTGTCAAAGTTCTTTTTATTTTTCCTATATACTTCCTTGAAGAAACAACACCTTAGGATTATAATTGCCTACAAAAAGCTTTCAGAAAAGGCATCAACATAAAGCAGTTAGTTGTGGACAACGAGACAAGACTTAAAATGGCAATGGTTAAAGATCTGAGAGAGTTCATTATAATAAAAAAGCAATTGAAAAGAAAATTTGATTATTTCTGCAGTGTTTATACAATAATTAAATGTAATAACCGAAGGTTATAAATGATAGCATTATCTTAAGACATATCAGAGATCTAGACATTGCATACAATCTTTGGACACATATTAATAACATACCCATATGAATGTAACTTAAAGAAAGTTAAATATTATTTCTTATTTGACAATGTTTTCATATAATTTAACATATTGGATAAGCCTCATTGGTTTAATATCTTTTTAGGGGGAATTTTAGAGACTTTCCTTAATTGTCCAAAAGTTAGTTTGGGGGTCGAAGTACTTTTATTTTGATTCTTAGGGGGTTTGTCAAATATCAAAGGTTTAAAACATTTGATCAAAATAAAATCACAGGTCACCATAATATGATATTCATGTAGCCAGAGTGACAATAAAAAGATTTCAAAAGCAAAAACAGGAAGTTACATAGTTGTAGAGAAACTTTTACTCTTTGGTAAAGAGGAGACTCAGTTTTCCTAAGTAATCAAAAGACCTAACATGACAGTATAAGATACAAAGAACGTGTTTCTCTCTCTCCTCTCTCTTTTGAGAGTTTTTCTCAGTCCATTTTGTGTTGCTATATCACAAAATATCTAAGGCTAGATAATTTATAAAGAATAGAGGCTTATTTAACTCGCACTTCTGCAGGCTGGGAAGTTTAGCCCTGGCTTCTGGTGAAAGCTTTCCTGCTGCATCGTAACATGGTAGAGAATGTAAAAGGGAAAGCAGATATGTGCGAAGAGGCCAAACCTGTGAGCAGTCTGGCTTTATACTAACCGGTTCTTGTTGAAACTAATCTATCCCCATGAGAACTCATTCAGTTGTACCAGAACAAGAACCCATAAATTATTGACAGAATGGCTCCAAGCCACCACAAGGGCAGAGCCCTCATGGTCCAAGCACCACCCATTAGTCCCCACCTCCCAATGCAAACACATTGAAGATCGAATTTCAAAAAGAGTTTTGATTAAGAGAAATAAACCATATGCAGACCATAGCAATTTCACCCCTGCCCCCCAAAACTCATGTCCTTCTCAAACAAAAAATGCAATCATATCATCCCAATATTTCCAAAAGTTTTAACTTGGTCCAGCACCAACTCAAAAGTCCAAAGTCTAAAGTCTCACCTGAGACTGAAGGCAAGTTTCTTCCAGTTGTGAGCCTGTAAAATTTAAAAAAAAAAAGTTATTTATTTCCAAGATACACTGCTGGAACAGACATTTGGTAGACATCCTCCTTCCAAAAAAGAGAAATAGGCCAAAAGAGAGGAATGATAGGCCCCATGTAAGTCCAAAACCTAGGTCAGGTGCAGTGGCTCACCCTTGTAATCCCAACACTGTGGGAGGCCGAGGCAGGAGGATCAGTTCAGGACAGGAATTTAAGACCAGCCTGGGCAACATAATTAACATTATTTAAAAGTTAGCTGGATGTGATGATGTGCACTTGTAGTTCCAGCTCCTCAGGAGGCTAAGGCAGGAGGATCTCTTGGGCCCAGAAGTTGGAGGTTACAGTGAGCCATGATAGCACCACTTCACTGCAGCACGGGTGACAGAGTGAGACCCTGCCTCAAAACAAACAAACAAACAAAAATGTCTAAAATCCAGCAGAGCAGATGTAAATGGTAAAACACAAGAATAATCTTCTTTGATTTCATGTCTCACATGCTGGGCAAACTGGCATGACTGTTGGGCTCCCAAGCCCTTGGAAACCCCTGAATCCATGGCTTCTCTGGATGCAACCTACATGGCTACCAGTCTCTGTACTTGGAAGTGGGGAGAAGCAGGAAAATGTTACAAAGTTATCAGTTCGGTGACTGCTTGTAAGACCTTTTAATTTTCTTTGCTTAAGTGCTCAGCATGAGAAAGTGCCAGGTTTAGGGTATTAGTTTCTGAGCTCCAGTGGCATGAACTAGCTTAATACACGTGGGAGAAGAAAGTAGACAATGATTGTGAAAAACATTTCAGTGTTACAGAGTCCTTTGTATGGAAAGCAATCCAGTCCTTAGACTTTAAGCCATAGAACATTTTGTAGAACGTTCCATGGAGTAGTGTTGGAATGCACTTTTCTTCTAAGGTATTCTAACTATATCAGAATATTCATTTTTCATCACCTCTGTGATGGGCTAGGCAGTGCTTCCTAGAGCTTCTGAGGCCTAGTTTCCTCTCACTCATATTTTCCTCTATTACTGTGACCCAAATAAAAACTCAGTGGAAACAAATCCAACATCACAGCAAGCTCATTATCAGTTGTGTGGAGGTGGAGACCTGCTGTCATTAGTATGGGGGAGGAATTACACAGCAACTTGGAGAAGCAGTTTAGAATTAAATAGAAATGGAAAGAAGTGCTTATGAAAATCTCAGCTTTCATAAATAAAATAATGTTGTGGGTGGGTTAAAGAGGTAGATATAACTCTTTCATATGTCTGTCTTTATATTTTCATAGTATCCATTATTTTTCAAAAAAGTTTTAATCTTGGCTGCCAAATTTGCTCATCACAACTAATTGGAATAGAGAAGAAGAGAAAATAAGGACAGAGTTGAAGTGACATTGCCACAATGCTGCTAAATCTCTCATGATCTCATTTTCTTCCCATATTCAGCAAAATTATCCGTTCCTCTATTATTCCCACCCTTCTTTCCCTCCCTCTTGCTTACATTTACCCAAAGCACCAATCAGCTTGAACTAGTTACTAAAACTGAGAAATAACAAAAAGAAAAATTCCAAGTTGTTTGAACTTGCAGTTTTCTGAAAATTACTTACCATAAGACAAGTTACAAACATGTGAATCTAATGCTGTTTTTTAATCAACAGTTGGCAAGACCAGTGAGGTGAGATTCTAAAATGTGCTGCAGATATTTTGCTATCATAATAAAGTGTTGAAGTTTGTGAATGGTTTACTTTAAAAAAATAAACTAAGGTGTACTTAAGATGATCCCAGTGGTATTCCTAAAATACCACACTCACTTGCTTACTTAAATTCCAAGACGTTTTCTGGGCAGCAGAAAAAAAGCATGATTTGAGAGTGAGCAAAAGGGTAACTGCATAACACTGCAGCACTGGAGAGGTAACTGTCAGTGATGAAATAAGACTAGTATTCGTTCAAGGTCATTAGCAACATTGAGTTGTGACTGTTATGGCTTACTCTGGTTTATTTTTTATTTTAACTATAGATAGAGATTTAGTCTGAAGAAAAGCAAGATAGATAAAGTAAAATAGTGCACCTTTTTTCAAATGAGTAAGAACACAATGAACATACCAGTTAGCAACAGCCCAGCACTTAGAACTTCTAAATGAAATGCAAGAGGGTGATGCAGATGACAATTTTAATAGTGCTATCTAATTCATAACGTGTTAGAATATATAAATTCTATTGATTGCAATTTAAAAAATCAACTACCAATGCTTCTTTTTCAATGGCACCTGCTTGCTCTCCTAATTAACATTAGGTAAAATGGAGAGCTAGGGGAAAAGACCAAGACCTGTTTTTAGTAGCTAAAAATATGTTTATTAAAGAACAAATTTTGAAGTTGTTTGATTACCGATTTTACTACTCAGATGCTTATAGATAACTTTGCATACAGTATTATTAAAATCCAGTACTGACCAGGCATGGTGGCTCACACCTGTAATCCCAGCACTTTGTGAGGCTGAGGTGGGAGGATCACCTGAGGTCAAGAGTTCGAGACCATCCTGGCCAACATGGTGAAACCTCGTCTCTATTAAAAATACAAAAAAAAAAAAAAAAAATAGCTGGGCATGGTCATGGTGGTGCGTGCCTGTAGTCCCAGCTACTCAGGATGCTCTGGTAGGAGAACCCTTGAACCCCAGAGGGAGAGGTTGCAGTGAGCCAAGATCATGCCACTGCACTCCAGCCTGGGTGACAGAGGGAGACTCCATCTCAAAAAATAAATAATTAATTAAATCCAGTACTGTAAGATAATAAATTTGTGTTTTCTGAGCCACTATGTTTATGGTAATTTAGTACAGTGGCAATAGGAAACTAATAGAGACACCAAAGCTTGAATGGTTTATTAACTGCCTGGTCCTGAGGCAGCCCCCTCTCATGACGGGGCATCTGGAGAAAGACTAGCTAAGGCGTTCTCCAGTAGTGTTTACTATTTATCTTCTTTCCTACCTCTTCTTCACTGCAGAGCGTGACAGAGTCTGGGAGACTGAGGGGGCGGGGGCACAAGCCCTCTTTGTTGAGTGGCTAACAGCTCAGTGCAGACAACAAATTTACCAGGAAACCTCTTTCCCCTCCTCCACCAGGGCAGAAGGACACGTCTGAGAGCACTAGGCGGGCAGATTGAGCAGAAGAAAGCTGGGAAACTGCTCCACATGGGGTGATTCCCCTGAGGTTTTATTTCCAAAATTAAATTTGTGTTGCTTTCCAGGGTGCGCTCCTATGATCCTATGATCCCTGTCTATTGACACACGTTTTGTGCTTATGGTTGCCTACCTGACTGATATTTCTATTTAATATGACACTTTAGCAGCTAATTCACAACAAGCATTGCAGACATAGCTCTTTGTGGCCGTCAACTTAGATGATTAAAAAGGTGAATATGTAAGTGTGTATGTGTTTACATATACACCCACACAAATGTAGACATATACACATGTAGTGTGTCTCCTTGACAATTTTTTTTTTTTTTGAGACGGAGTCTTGCTCTGTCACCCAGGCTGGAGTGCAGTGGCACGAACTCCGCTCATTTCAAGCTCCGCCTCCCAGGTTCACGCCATTCTTCTGCCTCAGCCTCCCGAGTAGCTGGGACTACTACAGGCACCTGCCACCACGCCCGGCTAATTTTTTTGGTATTTTTTAGTGGAGACGGGGTTTCACTGTGTTAGCCAGGATGGTCTCGATCTCCTGACCTAGTGAGCCGCCCGCGTCGGCCTCCCTGATAATTTTTACCCACAATAGTACTCATACTATCTCCACAATTTTTCAGTGTACAAGTCTTATCTTTATTTTGTTAAAACGCATTTTAATTTTTTAAATTACCTCTGATAATGTTATAAATTATTTTCTTAATTTTTTCAGGTTGGTCATTGCTAATACATATAAGAAAACAGAATTTTCAAATAGATTTTTACTTATTCCTTTTAATTTAGATTAATTTTATTTCATTTCTTGCTTAATTGCTCTGGCTTAAACCTCCAGTATAATGTTGAATAAAAGTGACAACCGAGGGCATCCTCGTTTTGTTTCTAAACTTAGGGAAAAAACTTTCTGTCTCTCACTATTAAGTATGTTGTTAGTTATGGGCATTTTGTAGATGCTGTTTATCAATTTGAGGAAGTTGAGAAACTTTTAAAGAAATGTTCTAATAATAAACCTTAGTTTGCTAATTACTAAAACTGTATAATTATTATATTAAATTTAGAAAATGCAGACATGTAGAAAGAAGAGTATTTTTAACCAACCCTAAATAGACTACCAAAATAAAACCATCAGTAACATCCAATTTGGCACATAACCGAAGGAAGATATCCGAGTTCATGGTTTATCTACTATTTTTCATTTTGGACATAATATTGTATTTAACATATTTGTATTTGTAATTTTTCCAATATTATATTTTATGTCTCCCCAAATTTCTAGAAATAGTGTTATAGAATCACAGGATATAAACATTGTGTGTACATGAGTGCATATGTGTGTGTGCATGTGTGTGTCAAGCTGTTTCTTATCTATTATCTATGTATAATTCTCTCTATATGTCTATGTATATAAATACATATATAACATTAATATTTATTTTCAAGAATTCTTGTTAAATTGATGCCCTTCCCAGAGGTGTGTGTTCTTGCCAATTTTTGGCATCTTTAAAAAATGTTTGTGAACTTAACTAGTAGAGATTGTGTAGAAGTGTTGCTTTGATTGGACATGTCTGGCTTAAAATATAGTCATGTCACTCACAACGGAAATACATTCTGAGAAATGTGTCATTAGGCAATTTCATTGTTGCGTGAACATCATAGAGTGTACTTTCACAAAACCTGGATAGCACAGCCTACTACACGCCTAGGCTGTACGATGTAGCCTGTTGTTCCTAGACTATACACCTGTACAGCCTGGTACAGTGCTAAATACTATAGACAATTGCAACATAATGGTGTTTGCATATCTAAACCTAGGAAAGGTAGAATAAAAAATGTTGTATTATAATTTTATGAGACCACCATCACATATGCCATCTGTCTTGGACCAAAACGTCATTATGTAGTGCATGACTGTATTAGTTTGAGCTTCTTATTTTCCCGTTTGTGTAAGTTATTTAATTTTCTTCCTTTGTGAACTGATGTTCACATCCCTCATGTTTGTTAGTTTTCCAGTGCTTTCTTTTACATTGCTTGAGTCCCGTATATAGTAAAAGCACTAACTCTTTGTCTAACACACCTATAAGAAGACTGATTCTTTCAACATAATAGAAACTATACTTCCAATTCAGTGGCATTTCCTTCAACATAGTCACAGTGGGAAATTACACTTACTTCAATGATGGTCCCACTTATTAAAACACTGTAAGATATTTTTACTCTGAAATAGTCTTTAGAGCTCTCATGCAAACCATAGGATCAGCTCAGCCCTTTTTTAAATCATTGGGAGCCTAATGCAGTGTAGCCATCTTGCTCATTCATCTATTCCCTAGACTTGGTTTTGAAATGACTTCTGGCTATTTCTTTTTTTTTTTTTTTTTTTTTTTTTTTTGAGACAGAGTCTAACTATGTCGCCCAGGCTGGAGTGCAACGGCGCGATCTTGGCTCACTTCAACCTCTGCCTCCTGGGTTCAAGCGATTCTCCTGCCTCAGCCTTCCAAGTAGCTAGGATTACAGGCACCCACAACCATGCCCAGCTAATTTTTGTATTTTTAGTAGAGGCAGTTTTCACCATTTTGACCAGGATGGTCTTGATCTCTTAACCTCGTGATCCGCCCGCCTTTGCCTCCCAAAGTACTGGGATTACAGGCGTGAGCCACCATTCCCGGCCGACTTCTGGCTATTTCTAAACTCAAATTCTTCTTGAAAGATGAAAATTTGCTGCCAGTAATAGTATGAAAAATATGAGACCTTTGTTCCAAAGTAAATTTGTTAGAAAGAGAGACTCTTCTAAGCAAGCTTAGTGTTATTAGGAAAATTGGATCTCCTTCCAGCTATGACTGCTTGGAATGCTAAAATATTCATTATATTTTCTGATGCATTTAAATACATATGTATATAAATTTAAAGTAATTTGTGTAAATGCAGATGGTTTGTGGCTTGTTTTTTTTTTTTAATCCTTCATTTTCCATGGTCAGTTCTTACGCCTTCACATTCGTACTATTAATTCTTTACACTTCTTCAATAAATTTACTCAAATATAAATAACTTCAGAAAAATTTAAAATCTACCCCCGCAAAAGCTTCAATATCTGAAGTTTATGTGGAGAATGACTTGAGGATTTTTTTTTAAGAATAGAAGGTATAAAATATTTTTATTAGGTTATTTTATCTATAATTTCTAAATCAAATTAACAGAAATTTATTGGAGATATAGTATATGTAAGGTTATATATTTTGCTAACCAAAAATAAATGATTAAGACTAAAATTCTTGGACCCAGAATGTACATATCATGAAGTCTTTGTGCATCCTGAGATAGTAACTCAGTTACCTTATGGCCCTCTCTTTAAAGCCTTTTTTTTCGGCATGTTGCCTCATATTTAAAAAATACAGGCAAGCCAAGCTTTTGTGTGTTTCCTCAAAGAGGCTCCTGCCCTGCACATCATTAGAAATGTTTCCCTTTAAACTTTCTATTTTTCCAAAGAACTTCGATTTACACTGGCTTACACTCTTCTGTATCATTCTCTGATATCACCTTATCTGTACACGACAGATAGTGTCTTTGATAGTTACATTTCTCTAGAGAAGAGAACAAGTTTTGAACATCAAACCAAGAAACTCATTCTTTTGGGGAACTGGGAGATGGGTTTGCAGAAATGTTGTAGAAAAGAGGCTTCCAGAAACCAAAGATATTCTTTGCATTCTTTAACACTTTGCAGACCCCTGAGAGTGACCTGATTTCAGGGTTGATTTCCTTCAGGGCAGCCACTTTCTTTCATGCCAATGCCAGAGTTAAAGTACGGAGAGAAGGCCAGTCTTAGAGCAGTGCTTCTCATTCTGTGACTATACATCCTGGCTCCACTGGCTGTCTATCATTTGTTCAGTTCACCTTCTCTGGCAGGAAGACCAGCCAGCCTGGCAGTGTTCTTGTTGGCATAATAGAACTGTCATGGGTTCATCTGTAGCCATGGACAAGGAGAGCTAATGGAAGCTGGAAAGAGTGGATTCCAGTTGGCATATTGAAGAAGCTTAACTGAATAGTTTTCAAAACAAGAAGTTGTGGAATAAGAGTTACAGGGAGATAGTAGCACAAAAGGAACGAGGAAGCAGAAAGACTACAAAGAGAAGCAGAAGGGCAATCATGGAGAATAAGAAAGAAATGTTTCCCTACATCTATTGAGTGACCTGGCCAAGTTTAGTTAAAAGACCTGGGGCATTGTATAACAATTGGTAGTGTCGAAGAATATTTTACTTGGGAATAAAAGGAGATCAGCCGCCACTCATTCACACATTAATCAAATGTCTACCATATTACTTATAACTTAATTTCTGTAATTACATTACTGAAGCAAAAATGCTGAATACACAACACTAAGAGCTGGTAGTTACATGGAGGAGTAAAAAGGTAAACAATTTAACATATTAACATAAATTATGGAGCTGGAAGAAACACAGAGGAAGGACTTGAACTTAATTGGCAGTAGGGGAAGGATTCCAAGAATAGGTGACAGCTGAGCTATAATAGTGGCGTGAAGCTATTTCTTTAGAGAAAATTTCTGGGGAACACGAATGACCAGTGCACTTTTGCTTTTGGGTACACAAACAGGACAGGCACACAAGATAATTATCTGCTACAATGACCTTGCCTCATTTCATCAAATCCATCTAAAATAAACATTATTTGGAAGATTCGTTTTTCTATGACACATTAAGTTGTATACTGGTCATCATGTTGACCAAGTAATTTTGAAGGGAATAAGAAGAAAATTAATATGAAGTGTTTATTACATGTCCAGTTCCACCTTACCTGTCGGAAGTCTCAATCACACTACCGTTTTATAGGTGAATATTACAACCATTTCACACACATAGAACAGAGCCTCAAGTGAGTTAAGTAGTTTATGGAGGGCACATAAAGAAGGTGAGTGTTGGGCCATCCTGTGAAAGACAAAACAGTGCCTGGACGCAGAGAAATACCAAGTCTAGATGAAGAGTTTTCAGAGTCCTCGGTGTCTGAACATCTGCCACTTTCTAGCTGTGCAATTTTCTGGAAGTTACATGACATTTCTCAGCTTCTGAAGTCTGCTTTGGAAAGAAAAAACATCATCCAAAAGTACTGTAAATACAAAGGACCAGAGAATGTTTTGCCTCATTTTTTTTAGCATCTGTAGTAAAACCTGTGGTTTAATAAGCACAATTCTGAATAGAAGTTTAGCTTCCAGGGCCTGAACACAGGCAAAACTGTTCTGCTCATGAGACAGGTAAAAATAATTTGGTGTTGCTTCAGACTGTGCCTAGAAACAGCAAGATAACTGGAAGCTGAAAATCCATGAATTGACCCCTTCTTACAATCCCATGCATCTGTGGTAAAGTTACTGAACTCATAAAATGCTTGGATAAAGATGTTTTGTTTTCACAATGAAGTAGTGATGCTTTGGGCCTCTGTCAAGGTGAAGCAGAACTAGAGAAAGATGCACAGGCTCAGATCTCAAAGAGAAAACAATTAGTTCTGGACCCTTGACAGGGCCACAGAACTGGGTGAGCCACATTGAGCGAGGTCTCCAGGGAAAGGAGAGCCCCAGCTGACATCTTGTGGAATGACACAAAGATCACAGTAGACAAAGGAAGCACATTTTCAATGTAAGCGAATTCTTCTATGAATCAATACAATGAGCTTGAACGAGAACTCCTTGCTCTCAGGGACTTCTGAAAATCCAGCTTCAGTCTTTGATCCCCTTGTTTCAAATTTCTCACTAAAACAACAAAAACAGACCAAAAAAAAAAAAAAAAAAAAAAAGATGAAGGCCATTACAGCACCATAAGAAGAGAGTGTGACATTTAATCTAATGGCCCAAAACTGGAGATTTTTTTTCTTTGTTTTTTTTTCTTCAGATTATTAGGCTGGAGGAGCTAAAGCATGAAGTGAAATTCTAGAATCACACATGCTCTGCAAACAGCAAGGTTGTCTGCCTGGAAGTAGCATGCTCTTGGGTCAGACAGGCAATGCATATTTTACACAGAAAACTATAAGCCTGTCCCATTTCAGGTCTGCTCTCAGGCAGGCGGAGTGAGAATTTGTATTATCCTCTCTCCGTGCATCTCCATGATACAGTGCCTCAAATTCTTATACGAATTTTCTCACTTCTAGAGCACTATAGAACAGAAGCAGTGATATCTGTACAAGCTTTAAACAAGAGAAAGAATCCAGAAGTGGAACATTCCATCAGGAATTAACAGTCTACAACAGTTAAAAGTGTAGACAGTACTGGAGACAAGAAGGTGCATAACAAGGTTTCTGGGTATTGTAGTTTTTCATGGGCTCCATTTTAATTGTGTCACAGAGAGAGTCAGTGAGGACAGGTCAGATCACATTTCAGTTGAAGGGAGTTCATGCATTTGATAAATGTGCTGTAGCCTGGACATTTGTCCAAGAGTTATAAGTGACAGTATGCCACCTGTCAGGCAGATGAAAATTATCTACTTCCTGAGCAAAAATAATGAACCATAAAAACTTAACAGGATTCCAGAAGACTTGACTATGATGAAACCAGATACAAGTATATAAAAAGAAAATAAAGAGAAAGAGACGCTATGTTGTTGAGAATTAAAGAACAAAAACAAAAAACATGGATTAAATTCCAAATGAATGAAAAGACATTAAAATGACCAGGTAAAAATTATTGTCTGCTTTGTTTGAGGCAGTAAAAGACACAAATAACACTGCGGATGTTTTTAAAAAGGTGAATTAAAACAAACAAAAAAAATCTTTGAGAATCTAGTTCAGAGCACAAGAGAACTAGAGAGACAGTGATTTGGGATCTTTAGTAATGTCTACTGACAAATCTCCAAAAACAACGAAAAACACACTTTGCCAAAGGAAAATTAAATGTATTGGACCTGCCATAATAAAGAGAACCTTACTTTGTCAGTCCTGGTAGTGTCTAGAAGGCAGGGGCAGATATTTTTAGTAGTTAGGGCCCAAAGTGTATTATTTTAAAGCTAATCTTGCCAGATGGGAAATTGGCTGGGACTGGACAGAGTTTTTGACCTAAGATCTTTGGATTGATGGCCACAGAAAATCAGGAATCTTGACGTGAGTCTCTATGAGTAAGCTGCCAGTCTTGAGCAAAAGCTATTTGAGCCAGTTCTCAGTTTTATCTTATGAAACACGTATTTCCTGGGGCAAGGTCTAAGCCACTCTTGCTTATTCTGAGTATTGTTTAACACAGGGACAAAACATGATCTTAGTTTCAGCTCTCAATAGGTAATCTAGTTTTCATTTCTGACTAGATTTTTTTATTTTTCTAATTTAAAAATATGACCAGATTTTTTATATGTAGAGTTTTCGTCAATAATTTTGCAAGTATATAGCCCGGTTTTTGATAAGCATAATCAGATCAATCTTCAGTTTAGGAGGTCACTCCCATTGAGTCTCAGAGATGACTCTTGAACCATGAGCTTGGTCTTCTGTAGAAATAGCTATTCTTAAATCAGGTCCATGGTCTCCATGTCCCATATCAATAATATTTTTCCTTTTCATTTAAAAAAATTTTCTAATACTCTATTTATAATATAATATATTTAATATTTCTAATTACATATGCTTTGTATAAGAAATGAATGATACTTTCAAAAATTAAATATAGATATTTAAGTAGATGTCTACAAAAAATAATTAGGGGATAAATGTTCCACAGTGTTTATTAAGTATATTTTTCTGCAAAATGGACCAAGTAGGTGGATTTTAAAAGTCTGCTTTTTTCATTTTTCACATTTCTTTAAGGAACAGAAATAATGTTTGCCATTGGTAGAAATCTCATTTTAATTTTACAGAAATACAATAAAACTAGCTTTTAGATCCTCTTTTCTTACCCTAAACTTTCACAAGGGTTTGATCAGTGTGTGAGGGATGGTGTTGTGGAATGGAGCAGAGCTGGTCAATGTGTTAGCAAACAGCCTCCCAAGCAGCAGGCACCCTACCCTCCCACTGAACCAACTTTTCCATGTCAGCCCTGTATGCTGCATGATTTGTCTTTGGTAGAAATCCTGGGAAAATCAAGTGACTTTCCTTTACTTCATTTTGCAGGTGAGCCCAGAGGTTCAACTTTCATCACCTTTTTGGGAAGTAAGATTCTCCTACTTCTACTTTCAGGAGTGAGCTCAAAGTCCCAGCAGGCAAAAAGCCTGCAACATTGTGTGGGTTTTACAGCCAGGATCCATTATTATTTTTTTCTGAGTTAAGGGATCTAAACATAGAAAGGAAAGTTGGACATTTGTAATTTGCATTTACTGAAAATGATAAAAAGTCATGGATATTGAAGAGGAAGGAGGCCATTTCTATGGTTAGAAAGACTGACCCTGTGAGCTCTGCTTAGCCTTTGGAATATCTAGTGTCTAAAAGAATAGAGGCAATGCTAAGATGTTGTAACACGTCTGCAAATGAAATGGAAATGATTCTACTTTTCTCATATATTTTATAAATCTGTGAGTGTTAAGAGTAGGTAAGAAAAACAATGCTTACAGATAAAATATAGTTAAAAACATTTTCCTCTTTCTAAGCCTTGGTAGTCATATAGTTTGACCAAATGACAGAATAAAGATTGTCCCATGATTTGAAAACTGTCTTCAGTACAAATCTTATAAAAATATGATAAAATTATAACAAATATTTTAGAAGGTATAAAAATAAAAGATAATATCCTGCTTCTACTAAAATATGGACATACTCAATTATCTTAACACTTTACTTTAGAAATATGCTTTGACAGATGTGGATCCATAGAACCTCAACATCTTTTTTTTTTTTTTTTATACTTTAGGTTTTAGGGTACATGTGCACATTGTGCAGGTTAGTTACATATGTATACATGTGCCATGCTGGTGCGCTGCACCCACTAAATCGTCATCTAGCATTAGGTATATCTCCCAATGCTATCCCTCCCCCCTCCCCCCACCCCACCACAGTCCCCAGAGTGTGATATTCCCCTTCCTGTGTCCATGTGATCTCATTGTTCAATTCCCACCTATGAGTGAGAATATGCGGTGTTTGGTTTTTTGTTCTTGCGATAGTTTACTGAGAATCATGATTTCCAATTCATCCATGTCCCTACAAAGGACATGAGCTCATCATTTTTTATGGCTGCATAGTATTCCATGGTGTATATGTGCCACATTTTCTTAATCCAGCCTATCATTGTTAGACATTTGGGTTGGTTCCAAGTCTTTGCTATTGTGAATAATGCCACAATAAACATACGTGTGCATGTGTCTTTATAGCAGCATGATTTATAGTCCTTTGGGTATATACCCAGTAATGGGATGGCTGGGTCAAATGGTATTTCTAGTTCTAGATCCCTGAGGAATCGCCACACTGACTTCCACAATGGTTGAACTAGTTTACAGTCCCACCAACAGTGTAAAAGTGTTCCTATTTCTTCACATCCTCTCCAGCACCTGTTGTTTCCTGACTTTTTAATGATTGCCATTCTAACTGGTGTGAGATGGTATCTCATTGTGGTTTTGCTTTGCATTTCTCTGATGGCCAGTGATGATGAGCATTTTTTCATGTGCTTTTGGCTGCATAAATGTCTTCTTTTGAGAAGTGTCTGTTCATGTCCTTCGCCCACTTTTTGATGGGGTTGTTTGTTTTTTTCTTGTAAATTTGTTTGAGTTCATTGTAGATTCTGGATATTAACCCTTTGCCAGACGAGTAGGTTACGAAAATTTTCTCCCACTTTTTAGGTTGCCTGTTCACTCTGATGGTAGTTTATTTTGCTGTGCAGAAGCTCTTTACTTTAATTAGATCCCATTTGTCAATTTTGTCTTTTGTTGCCATTGCTTTTGGTGTTGTGGACATGAAGTCCTTGCCCATGCCTATGTCCTGAATGGTAATGCCTAGGTTTTCTTCTAGGGTTTTTATGGTTTTAGGTCTAACATTTAAGTCTTTAATCCATCTTGAATTGATTTTTGTATAAGGTGTACGGAAGGGATCCAGTTTCAGCTTTCTACATATGGCTAGCCAGTTTTCCCAGCACCGTTTATTAAATAGGGAATCCTTTCCCCATTGCTTGTTTTTCTCAGGTTTGTCAAAGATCAGATAGTTGTAGATATGCGGCATTATTTCTGAGGGCTCTGTTCTGTTCCATTGATCTATATCTCTGTTTTGGTACCAGTACCATGCTGTTTTGGTTACTGTAGCCTTGTAGTATAGTTTGAAGTCAGGTAGTGTGATGCCTCCAGCTTTGTTCTTTTGGCTTAGGATTGCCTTGGCGATGCGGGCTCTTTTTTGGTTCCATATGAACTTTAAAGTAGTTTTTTCCAATTCTGTGAAGAAAGTCATTGGTAGCTTGATGGGGATGGCATTGAATCTGTAAATTACCTTGGGCAGTATGGCAATTTTCATGATATTGATTCTTCCTACCCATGAGCATGGAATGTTCTTCCATTTGTTTGTATCCTCTTTTATTTCCTTGAGCAGTGGTTTGTAGTTCTCCTTGAAGAGGTCCTTCACATCCCTTGTAAGTTGGATTCCTAGGTATTTTATTCTCTTTGAAGCAACTGTGAATGGGAGTTCACTCATGGTTTGGCTCTCTGTCTGTTGTTGGTGTATAAGAATGCTTGTGATTTTTGTACATTGATTTTGTATCGTGAGACTCTGCTGAAGTTACTTATCAGCTTAAGGAGATTTTGGGCTGAGACAATGGGGTTTTCTAGATATACAATCATGTCATCTGCAAACAGGGACAATTTGACTTCCTCTTTTCCTAATTGAATACCCTTTATTTCCTTCTCCTGCCTAATTGCCCTGGCCAGAACTTCCAACACTACGTTGAATAGGAGTGGTGAGAGAGGGCATCCCTGTCTTGTGCCAGTTTTCAAAGGGAATGCTTCCAGTTTTTGCCCATTCAGTATGATGTTGGCTGTGGGTGTGTCATAGATAGCTCTTATTATTTTGTAATATGTCCCATCAATACCTAATTTATTGAGAGTTTTTAGCATGAAGGGTTGTTGAATTTTGTCAAAGGCTTTTTCTGCATCTATTGAGATAATCATGTGGTTTTTGTCTTTGGCTCTGTTTATATGATGGATTACATTTACTGATTTGCATATATTGAACCAGCCTTGCATCCCAGGGATGAAGCCCACTTGATCATGGTGGATAAGCTTTTTGATGTGCTGCTGGATTCATTTTCCCAGTATTTTATTGAGGATTTTTGCATCAATGTTCATCAAGTATATTGGTCTAAAATTCTCTTTTTTGGTTGTGTCTCTGCCAGGCTTTGGTATCAGAATGATGCTGGCCTCATAAAATGAGTTAGGGAGGATTCCCTCTTTTTCTATTGATTGGAATAGTTTCAGAAGGAATGGTACCAGTTCCTCCTTGTACCTCTGGTAGAATTCGGCTGTGAATCCATCTGGTCCTGGACTCTTTTTGGTTGGTAAACTATTGATTATTGCCACAATTTCAGCTCCTGTTATTGGTCTATTCAGAGATTCAACTTCTTCCTGGTTTAGTCTTGGGAGAGTGTATGTGTCCAGGAATTTATCCATTTCTTCTAGATTTTCTAGTTTATTTGCATAGAGGTGTTTGTAGTATTCTCTGATGGTAGTTTGCATTTCTGTGGGATCGGCGGTGATATCCCCTTTATCATTTTTTATTGTGTCTATTTGATCCTTCTCTCTTTTTTTCTTTATTAGTCTTGCTAGCGGTCTATCAATTTTGTTGATCCTTTCAAAAAACCAGCTCCTGGATTCATTGATTTTTTGAAGGGTTTTTTGTGTCTCTATTTCCTTCAGTTCTGCCCTGATTTTAGTTATTTCTTGCCTTCTGCTAGCTTTTGAATGTGTTTGCTCTTGCTTTTCTCGTTCTTTTAATTGTGATGTTAGGGTGTCAATTTTGGATCTTTCCTGCTTTCTCTTGTGGGCATTTAGTGCTATAAATTTCCCTCTACACACGGCTTTGAATGCGTCACAGAGATTCTGGTATGTTGTGTCTTTGTTCTCGTTGGTTTCAAAGAACATCTTTATTTCTGCCTTCATTTCGTTATGTACCCAGTAGTCATTCAGGAGCAGGTTGTTCAGTTTCCATGTAGTTGAGCGGTTTTGAGTGAGATTCTTAATCCTGAGTTCTAGTTTGATTGCACTGTGGTCTGAGAGATAGTTTGTTATAATCTCTGTTCTTTTACATTTGCTGAGGAGAGCTTTACTTCCAAGTATGTGGTCAATTTTGGAATAGGTGTGGTGTGGTGCTGAAAAAAATGTATATTCTGTTGATTTGGGGTGGAGAGTTCTGTAGATGTCTATTAGGTCTGCTTGGTGCAGAGCTGAGTTCAATTCCTGGGTATCCTTGTTGACTTTCTGTCTCGTTGATCTGTCTAATGTTGACAGTGGGGTGTTAAAGTCTCCCATTATTAATGTGTGGGAGTCTAAGTCTCTTTGTAGGTCACTCAGGACTTGCTTTATGAATCTGGGTGCTCCTGTATTGGGTTCATATATATTTAGGATAGTTAGCTCTTCTTGTTGAATTGATCCCTTTACCATTATGTAATGGCCTTCTTTGTCTCTTTTGATCTTTGTTGGTTTAAAGTCTGTTTTATCAGAGACTAGGATTGCAACCCCTGCCTTTTTTTGTTTTCCATTTGCTTGGTAGATCTTCCTCCATCCTTTTATTTTGAGCCTATGTGTGTCTCTGTACGTGAGATGGGTTTCCTGAATACAGCACACTGAATACAGCTCTTGACTCTTTATCCAATTTGCCAGTCTGTGTCTTTTAATTGGAGCATTTAGTCCATTTACATTTAAAGTTAATATTGTTATGTGTGAATTTGATCCTGTCATTATGATGTTAGCCGGTTATTATGCTCGTTAGTTGATGCAGTTTCTTCCTAGTCTTGATGGTCTTTACATTTTGGCTTGATTTTGCAGCGGCTGGTACCGGTTGTTCCTTTCCATGTTTAGCACTTCCTTCAGGAGCTCTTTTAGGGCAGGCCTGGTGGTGACAAAATCTCTCAGCATTTGCTTGTCTGTAAAGGATTTTATTTCTCCTTCACTTATGAAGCTTAGTTTGGCTGGATATGAAATTCTGGGTTGAAAATTCTTTTCTTTAAGAATGTTGAATATTGGCCCCCTCTCTCTTCTGGCTTGTAGGGTTTCTGCCGAGAGATCCGCTGTTAGTCTGATGGGCTTCCCTTTGAGGGTAACCCGACCTTTCTCTCTGGCTGCCCTTAACATTTTTTCCTTCATTTCAACTTTGGTGAATCTGACAATTATGTGTCTTGGAGTTGCTCTTCTCGAGGAGTATCTTTGTGGCGTTCTCTGTATTTCCTGAATCTGAACGTTGGCCTGCCTTGCTAGATTGGGGAAGTTCTCCTGGATAATATCCTGCAGAGTGTTTTCCAACTTGGTTCCCTTCTCCCCATCACTTTCAGGTACACCAATCAGATGTAGATTTGGTCTTTTCACATAGTCCCATATTTCTTGGAGGCTTTGCTCATTTCTTTTTATTCTTTTTTCTCTAAACTTCCCTTCTCGCTTCATTTCATTCGTTTCATCTTCCATTGCTGATACCCTTTCTTCCAGTTGATCGCATCGGCTCCTGAGGCTTCTGCATTCTTCATGTAGTTCTCGAGCCTTGGGTTTCAGCTCCATCAGCTCCTTTAAGCACTTCTCTGTATTGGTTATTCTAGTTATACATTCTTCTAAATTTTTTTCAAAGTTTTCAACTTCTTTGCCTTTGGTTTGAATGTCCTCCCATAGCTCAGAGTAATTTGATCATCTGAAGCCTCCTTCTCTCAGCTCATCAAAGTCATTCTCCATCCAGCTTTGTT
Organism: Homo sapiens; assembly: GCF_000001405.40. Classification (NCBI taxonomy): domain Eukaryota; kingdom Metazoa; phylum Chordata; class Mammalia; order Primates; family Hominidae; genus Homo; species Homo sapiens. The sequence continues at coordinate 124,361,339 of NC_000002.12, forward strand.
CCGTTGCTGGTGAGGAACTGCATTCCTTTGGAGGAGGAGAGGAGCTCTGCATTTTAGAGTTTCCAGATTTTCTGTTCTGTTTTTTCCCCATCTTTGTGGTTTTATCTACTTTTGGTCTTTGATGATGGTGATGTACAGATGGGTTTTCGGTGTGGATGTCCTTTCTGTTTGTTAGTTTTCCTTCTAACAGACAGGACCCTCAGCTGCAGGTCTGTTGGAATACCCTGCCTTGTGAGGTGTCAGTGTGCCCCTGCTGGGGGATGCCTCCCAGTTAGGCTGCTCGGGGGTCAGGGGTCAGGGACCCACTTGAGGAGGCAGTCTGCCGGTTCTCAGATCTCCAGCTGCGTGCTGGGAGAACCACTGCTCTCTTCAAAGCTGTCAGACAGGGACATTTAAGTCTGCAGAGGTTACTACTGTCTTTTTGTTTGTCTGTGCCCTGCCCCCAGAGGTGGAGCCTACAGAGGCAGGCAGGCCTCCTTGAGCTGTGGTGAGCTCCACCCAGTTCGAGCTTCCCAGCTGCTTTGTTTACCTAAGCAAGCCTGGGCAATGGCGGGCGCCCCTCCCCCAGCCTCGCTGCCGCCTTGCAGTTTGATCTCAGACTGCTGTGCTAGCAATCAGCGAGACTTCGTGGGCGTAGGACCCTCTGAGCCAGGTGCGGGATATAATCTTGTGGTGCGCCGTTTTTTAAGCCGGTCCGAAAAGCGCAATATTCGGGTGGGAGTGACCCGATTTTCCCGGTGCTGTCCGTCACCCCTTTCTTTGACTCGGAAAGGGAACTCCCTGACCCCTTGCGCTTCCCAAGTGAGGCAATGCCTCGCCCTGCTTCGGCTGGCGCATGGTGCGCGAACCCGCTGACCTGCGCCCACTGTCTGGCACTCCCTAGTGAGATGAACCCGGTACGTCACATGGAAATGCAGAAATCACCCGTCTTCTGCGTCGCTCACGCTGGGAGCTGTAGACCGGAGCTATTCCTATTCGACCATCTTGGCTCCTCCCAGAATCTCAACATCTTAAATATCATTAACAAGATAGTCCTGAAAGCGATAAAGAGGATATATCGACTAAGTATTGTTGACTTTCAGAATCCTATCTCACTGTCTAGCATCTTATCATACATTAGACAAATGGTTCTACTTATTTTTATATTACTATCATTTTAAAACCTAGACTCCTACCTTTATTTTTTAAATCACTGTTTACCTCAGTAACTTCGAGCATGTCTTTCAGCTTCTCTATCATGGATGTCAGTACATAAAGTTAGAAAAAGAAAACTGTTATTTATGGGGCTGTGAAGGAATAATCATTGTAGTACTGCCTGGATAACTCTCCCTGTACCTTTCTGTCAATTTTAATTATTCTCAGTTTGCAAGGCTCAGCCTCAGATTTGACCTTCTTGAGATTGCCATCTGTACCTTTGAAGAGTTCAGTTCCCTTAGCTCAACGTACACCCAACTGCTTAACAATGGATTTTACGCCTCATGAGCACACACCACACTCTCAATAAGTAATCGACTACATTCTATTTTTTTGTTCAGTGTTCTATCACTGCTCAATAAATATTCAATTACTGCTCAATAAATATGCAGTCATTGTTCTTTAAATATTTTTGACCATACCTACTATGAGTCAGTCTCCTTTGGCAACTCAAGATACAGCAAAAAAGCATCAATGGATGTGGCTTATAATAAGGTGGAGAAAACATATTAAGCAAGCAACACACAAGTAAGTTTCACTTGTGACAGTTGTGGTGAGTGATATGAAGGCACTATGATGTTTGTAATGCCTCATATTAATTGCCCTGTTGCTGGCTGTTAATTAGCACATATCCAACCCCAATTCCACTGAAAATCTTATTTGATCACTTCTTCAGTTACTTCTTGGACACTTCATTGTTTGGATTTTCCTTCCACTTTGGTGATAGTCTGCTGTCAAATTTGTTTGTAGGACCAGATTCTTTTCCCTGACTTGATTTCATCTATTCTCATGTTCCCAAATGTGAGTCTCCAAACAGACTCCCCTCCTGAACTCTACACCTGCAGACCAGCCCTCCTTCTTAACATCTCCCTGTGTCAAACTCAACACACCCAAAATAACATCACTTTTTCTCCATACTTGCCTTTGAAATCCCAGTGGATTGCACTTCCATTCTTCCAATAGTTCCCAAATCTTAGAAATATTACTTTTTTCTCTTTTTCTCATATCTCACAATAATTTATCAGCTCTATCTCCAAAAAATATAAACAGAATTATTTATGCAAGATGAGTGAGTTTTATAGATCTGTTGTACAGCATAGTTCCTATATCTAATAATACTGTATTGTGCACTTACATTTTTGTTAAAAGGATAGATCTCATGTTAAGTATTCTTACCACATACACACAAAAGGGGCAAGAACAAAACCTTCGGAAGTAGGTGGATATGTCTATTACCTTGACTGTGGTGATACTTTCTAGATGTACGCATATGTCCAAACTCATTAAACTGTAAACATTAAATATGTGTAGTTCTGTGTGTAGCAATTATATCTTAATAAAGATATATGCATATACAGAATCCCATTAATTTTTGCCACTGTGTCCCCTGCTCCAAGCCAGTGTTGCCTTTCCCATGACAATGTCCTGCTTCTACCACGTATCTCCTTGGAGACTATTGTCACTTCAGAAGCCAGAGGCATGCTTTTAAATTTTGAATCAGATGATGGCTCTCCTCTACTCAGTCTTGAAGAGTAGCTCCCATTTCAACTCAGAGTAGTAAGAGGCAAAATCCTTACTGTGGCTACAAAGTTATACAGGATGCATGAAACTTCCTGAGACCTCACACTTCTCCTTTCTTGTTGCTCTTTCACTCTCTCCAGCCACATTGGCTGACTTGTTTTTTCTCTAACACACTAGGGTCTTTGCTCTAGCTACTTCCTAATTCTGGATGGCTCCAGGGATAACTACATGGCTCACTCTTTACTCCTTTAACCCCCCTTTTATTTCCAGACCTCACACTCTGCAAATGCGTTTGCAATGAACCTCTTTAACGTTGCAACCTGCCTCACTTCTGTCACCTCAGCAATTGAGCTTTCCTAACCCTGCTCACCTTTTTATTTTTTCCACATCACCCAAACCCTTCTATCACACGATATCATTATCTTACTTATTTTGTCTCTGCCTAAACTTCTGCTAGTCATATAAGCTCCAGGAGGGCATAAATCTTTTCCCAATGTATACACTGAGGTTTTCCAAGTGTCTCAAAGAATGTCTGGCACAGATTAGGTACTCAAGGAACCCTCAG